>NC_000002.12:120614618-121239618 GCF_000001405.40 Homo sapiens
ACGGTCAGCCCCTCCACGCCTCTCCAAGTTCTGCTGCAGCAGGGCCAGCTCACCCAGATATAACTGGGCCCCTCTCCTGCATCTGGCCCCTCCTGGCTCTCCCCACTGCCACCCAGGGCTGTGACCTATTGCCCGTCCCCATCCCCACAACGGCAACCTGTGTCTCCCTGAGAGGACAGGGAGGGCAGAAAGGTGCCCCGGCACCCATCCAGCAGGCCTGTCCCGCCCAGGCAGGGCTTTCTGACTGATGGAGGACCCTGTACATCCCCTCCCTACGCTCATCCCAGCCCACCTCACAGGTCAATCGCCTCTCCCAAATTCATCCCAGCATCCAGGCCTCCCTGAAATCCCCATGCCCCACGAAGCCCAAGGCCTAAAGTGCTCACCCCTCCGCCATCTAGAGTCAGCGGGAGGTTCTGATAACATGTGCTGCATTTAGCCGGAGGACCCAGCAACGCAAGATTCCTGCTTTGCGAATTGCCGCCGCTCCTCCGGGGTCCTGAGGAGATGTGTGCGAAGAAGACCAATAGCAAGGTGGCCACAGGACCCCACTTCAGGAATGGAGGACTTATTTCCCCAGCTGCTAAGATGTCTCCAGCGCCCCCTGCCCTCCTCTTCCTGCAGGCAGAAGAGAGCCCCCTTGCCCAAGAGCACGACCCTTCCTCAGTGGGACCCATCAATGGCTGAGTGATGGCACTGAGGTACAGAGGCTGGGGACACACCTCCAATGCAAATCTCTATCTCAGCTGCTTTCCAGGGAACCCCACCTGTGACATACCAAGCAGGAAACTAATAACCACTTCACTAAAAACTGGCCTCTCGTCCAGTATTGCCCAGTGCAGAGTTCCAGGAAAGCTGAGACAGAGAAAGCACTTTGGTCCTTCCCGGTGGGGAGGCATCCTATCTCCCCACAAACATGAATCCAAATCTCTCTGGCCAGCCATGCCCAAACCCACACACTTTCCATGCAGAGGAACAAAACAAAGTCTGAGAATAAACCCGGACCCTCTTCCCGTGCCAAGAGAGACAGACGATAGCAAAGGAGGCAGCCTATTCACAGCGGGTGGTTTGCATGTACAGGGCCCTGCCTACCAGCAAAGGTGGCCCACTGGTGGGCTTTGCCATCTGACTAGAGCAGGAGCTTCACCTCTCTTGGATATGATGGGTGCACGGAGGGAGCCCAGGGCGAGCCCAGGGCTCACCAAAACCAAGTTCCAGGCCCAGCTTCAGAGAGTATTGTTATGAAGCAGGCATTCGCCGCAGTCCTAGGAACCTTCATTTTCTCAGCTATAAAATGGCAGCATCAATGGCGCCATCCCACTGGTCTCATGAGTTGGGGTGAGGACACGCTGGGAGAGAGTAGTGGAAAGGCTCCCTGCCCTCAAGGGGTGCACACATGCAGAAACCGACTGTTACGATGATGATGAATGGTCTTGCCTTCCCCTCCAGGGTCCCCTTCTCAGGAGGGCCGGGATCAGGCTTCACATCTGGGTTTCCCTCCAGCCAGCAGAACCAGCCTGGACACAGGTGTTCCCTGAAGCTGGCCAGATGATGAACTAACGACTGAAGGAATCAAGAAGACAGATGATGACTCGGCGTGGTGTGGAGCCCAGATCAGCTGTTAGGGACCTTCACACAGCACTCCTCTCCATAATCGTTTCACTACTTTTGTCCTAAAATCCACAGCTTGCGAGTTGGTTTTCTGTATCATTTGTGGCATTAGCCTGAGACTCTGGAAAGGACAGGAAAAGGGAAGCACAGTGATTGCTCACAGGGGCTCTGTGTACTTTACCTCCCAGATGTTCTGCAAAACAGGTGTCACCACTGCAGGGCGGGCACTGCACCCCAGCACACAGCTGAGCTGGGGGTGGGGTCCAGGGCTTGAGCTCAGCCTGCAGTCCACTCCCCAAGCCCTGTGCCCAGAGGATCAATTTTTTCTAATTCATGCAAAGATGCTCTATAGGTTGGCAGTTCCCAGATACCTAACCCCTGTGAGGCATGGTGCCATTTTTCAGAGGGAGAAACTGAGGCTCAGAAAAGTTCACTTGCCCAACCAAGGTCACACCACAGGTGAGTAGTGGAGCCAGGACCTTGGGCAAGTGAATTTCAGGCTGGGCTTGAGCCCTGGCCTCCTGGAGTCAGATAGACTCTACTCCTTATAGAATGTGGGTGTGGACTCCATTTCTTACAGAGTGTGGACACTGTGACCACAGAGTGGCCCCATAAAGTGGCCACCTCTACAGATGTTGGACAGAGGCTTTCTTCACAGGCTGGCTTATGCTCAACCCCACCTTACAATTTGGGCATGCAGATAATTCCTTCCATGATGTGTTAGTTACAGTTCTTCTGATTTCAAGTAATAGAGACCAAACCAGCAAAAGAAAAAAACTTTATTAGAAAGATACTGAGAGGCCTGAAGGAACTCAAAATCCCAGAAGAACAGAATCCAAGATTGTCCAGGACAGTTCGGAGGATCTCAGAGGTGGAAATGGATTGCCTTTCATCCAGAACCCTGGCATGAGCTCCATTTGGCTTTTAGTCCCTCTGTTACAGTTCCAAATTCCTAAGAGAGAGACTCTGCATGTTGGGCAACTTGGGTCAAGTGTCTCCTTCAGTGAATCGTTTCCTGGGGCCAGGTCCCCTGTGGCAGCATGATTGCTCACAGCCCAACACTGTGATCATGGCCAGTTACCATGTGGGGGATGTACACGCCACCCTTAGACCCAGCAAGAGGGGCTGCTTCCCCGGCTCCAGGCTTCAGAGGGCCCTGCATATTATGAACACACACACACACGCACACACACACACACACACACCTTTTTTTTCTTCTTCTTTTTTGATACAGAGTTTCACTCTTGTTGCCCAGGCTGGAGTGCAATGGCACGATCTCGGCTCACTACAACCTCTGCCTCCTGGGTTCAAGCGATTCTTCTGCCTCAGCCTCCCGAGTAGCTGGGATTACAGGCAGGTGCCACCACGTTTGGCTAATTTTGTATTTTTAGTAGAGATGGGGGTTTCTCCTTGTTGGTCAGGCTGGTCTCGAACTCTCAACCTCAGGTGATCCGCCCTCCTCAGCCTCCCAAAGTGCTGGGATTACAGGCATGAGCCAACACGCCCAGCCCCACACACTTCTTAAAAACACGCAGGATCCAGGCCTTGGTGCTGGTAGATAACAAGGGTAAACATCCATTCTCATGAGTGGCACTGCTCAGGCCCCAGGGAAATCCATTTCTATATCTCTTGTTTAATGTCCTCAACACAAAAGGCATCTAAATGCTGGAAAATTTGTGAGTTACACCTCTGCAGATGTCAGGCAGACACTGCTTCCAGAGGGAAGGAGAATTTGCATGGTGGAAGCTCTTCCCTAAGAGAAAATACAAACTGTTTCACTTGTTAAATCCTCTCAGCACCAATGCAATAGATTTTTAATGACTTATGTTTAGTAGCAAAATATTGTTTCCTAGTAACGTTGAGCATCTATTTCCTTCTCTTCCTGTTCCAATTCATGATTCTGAAGGCACCTGATAATTAGCATATCTTTCACAATAGTGGAGTTGATATTTTGCATGAGCAGCTGAGAAATATATTGCAATATTAAACAATTCGTTTTACTCTTCAATTAGTATATATGTAGGTCTACATTAGAAGTAACATGATGAGGCCGGGCGCAGTGGCTCACGCCTGTAATCCCAGTACTTTGGGAGGCTGAGGCGGGCAGATCACGAGGTCAAGAGATCAAGACCATCCTGGCCAATGTGGTAAAACCCCGTCTCTACTAAAAATACAAAAATTAGCTGGGTGTGGCGGCGGGTGCCTGTAGTCTCAGCTACTCAGGAGACTGAGGCAGGAGAATCGCTTGAACCCGGGAGGAGGAGGTTACAGTGAGCCAAGATCGCCACTGTACTCCAGCCAGGCAAAAAAGCGAGACTTTGTCTCAAAAAAAAAAAAAAAAAAAGAAGAAGAAGAAGAATATGATGAAGTGTAATACTAGTGCTTTCTGTTAGTGACTAGATGCATGCAGAATGCCAGAATTGTGGATAATCTTTGTTTTGTAAAATCATTTAATATGATTTTCCTAAATTTTCAAAAAATTAAATTAAAAACTTCAGCTTTATTTAAACAATTGTAAGATTTTGATATCCATTAATTATAATTATATTTTCTTTCAATTGTCACAGAGAATTGTAAATATTTTAAAGAAGATTTTTATTGAAAACATAAATTTTTTAAATGTTTTGATTCTATTTACCATTATTTAGGGTTTTTGATAAAAAATAAATTCAAATTTTGTACATATTAAATGCAATCAACTTTTATTTTTCATCATATAAGCTGGCGTTAGCAAACTTTTTCTTAATGGGCTAGATAATAAATATGGTAGGCAGGCAATATGGTCTCTATTACAAACACTCAACTCTGCCATTGCAGCATAAAAGCAGCCGCAACAAAACATAAGTGATTGTATGCGTCTATGGTCCAATAAGACCTTATTTACAAAACAATTTGTTTGTATCTTGCTTCATGTGTAAAAATTTTTTTGATTTTGAAATTAATAAAAATGTTTGTTAATCAACTATGAACAAAGATAGAATGCCAAATCTGGCTATAGAGTTCACTGAATATTAATATTCAAAGAAGATAAATTTTGATGAAGTCTTTGGCAAACTTGCAGAAGTTAAAGCTCAAAATAAAAATCTGTGATGTTCTTGATTACTGTTACAGACCAATGTTTTTTTAAAAAGATTCTTCCCTTTTTCAAAAAAAATTTGATTTAAAAGTATTAATTCATGATCTGTCTTTTGTACTGCATATTAATTTTACTTCTTATTTTAAGAAAATGTTTAACCAGCATGACATATATATTACATATAGAAAGTTCAATGAAAGAAAACTTTCACTGTCTATACCTCTTTGCTAGCCATTATTATTATCGACTTCATTTCATGATGACTTTCTGAGACTCCTGTATATAATGGAAGGGATATGAAAACATGAGCCACTCTGGGCAGTGGTGTGCTAGAGCCAGCTTGCTGCAGCTCATGACAACTGATGGCGAGGTCTCTTCCCAGTTCTGTGTCCGTACCTTGAAATCAGCCACAATGGGAGTATTTACACCGTGGAACTCTGCAAACACCACAGATGAGTGCTGGAGCCCCCAGAGAGCTGGTTGTTAAATATTTACCAGTCCACCTCTGACTCTGGTTCTTGATATGCCAGGTACAGGGCCCAGTCCTGTTTGGGTCCCTCTTAGGTAGTGATGGAATGCTGCAGGCATGCTCAGTCTTACTGTTTGGCAAAGCTGATAACACCCAGCGAATAAGGAGAAGCATAAGGCCTCTCTGTCATCTGTCATCTTTTGGTCAGGTATTCAGTTTCTCTCTTTGGACCCAGTATTCTTCCAGGAGCTAACTGACAAAAGAATAGGTGCTTACTGAACAGATCAGAGCTTTGCTTCGAAATCTTAGGGTTTCAGTTACGATTTCCTATCAGTGCTTTCAACACTCAGACCTACTGAAGAAACAGCACCATTGGATCTATTGGGTTATAAGGCCCAAGGGGCAGAGCTACTTATAGCCTTGGCCAGCTTAAGAGCTTTCTCTTGCTGTGAGCCCCACCCAAGCTGGGGTGTCTTATGGCTTACTCATAAATGAGTCGTAAGAACACAACACAACCAAACAGGGTGTGCTCCTTACAAAGTGTAAAGGGGTTCACAAAGCCCCATGCCTCCTTTTTGTACAAGGGGATAAAGTGAAACAACTTCTTCACTTTGGAGCAAATATCCCAATATGTCTCAGACCACCAGAATCCCAGAAACTTCAGTGAGATGGCCCTGTATTTGTATGGAGTTTATCACCTATCTTACATCACACATATGCCTTAACAAAGGCTTGTAAGTACATGTACTTTCTACTTTCCCTGGTTTCCTAGCTTGATATCTGCAATGTAGGAGATGAACATTGCATCATGGGAGATGGTGAGACAGTTAGGGTGAATTGTGCCACAAAGCCAGAAGGCTGATGTAATCACAGAGCAGATCATGAAGATGTACTGCTATCCTTTCCAGGTGAAAACAAACTACTGAATTCCTGAAGCTTTTTACGTTCATAGGAATTTTCTTTAAATGACCAACTGTGATGCCATGGGCTGTGTAAATGTGTAAAGATTCCTCATCTTAAAATAACAGCTGTAATTGAGGTCACCACTTGAATACATTTACAATAATCTGTGGTTACTCTCCAAGATCCACCTGTCTTCTTTATCAACTAAATAGGCAAGTTATATGAAAATAAAATAAGAATCACTACTCTTGCACTTTTTTCAAATATTTCATGTTGGCACTAATATGTGAAATTCCCCAAAGGATATGGAACTGTATGGACTAATAACTTGGTAGGGAAGCAGAATTCCAGGGGCTTCCATTTGGCCCATCCCAGTACTATACTAGGCCTATGATAGCCATTATTCTACAAATCAAAGAGTCAGTGTAGAGATTCTGTCAATTTCTAAGCATTTCCAACTATTCATGTGAAAATGGAAAATAAACATGGGATGGGCTTGGATTCTCATTGTCTTCAGTCAGGTGAATTGAGTTAAAACTCCAATTATCCCCTTAGCCTCAAAATCCTCTGACTGGTAGACCACAGTGATGTTATAAGTTTCCAGGAATTAGTCTTAGCTCAGAACCAATGTTCAACAGTTCTTTCTCCAGTGCAGAATTACCTGACAAATGGCCCAGGTCACTCTGTGATAGACCTGGAGAAAGATTCATGTTATTACAAGGTCCTGCCTTAAGGCCAATGGATTTATTCCTGGGGGGACTGAATCTGTGAATTGAATCAAGCCTACCTAGGGATTAGTTGAAAAGCCATGATTTTCTATCGCGATGACTCCAGTCAAATCCAAAGAAACCTTAGTAGACTACCTATCTACTTCAGTCTTTAGGTTCCTAAACCCAAACAGCCATAACCAAGATCCCCGTGGGTCAGACCGTTATCACTCCAGCCCGACTCTCTGTGATGGTTCCATCTGATGTTCTCTGCTGCTGTCTCTGGTGGTCACACACCATTGCTTGTCTCTGCCCTTCTAGGATCTTCCGTCTTGAAATCAGGAGCCTGTTTCCACCACACTCTCTCCGACCTGCATCTCCGGCCCTCGGAGAAAGGCCATTATCCTACTTCCCAATGGGGCCAGCACTCTCCTCACCATTGTAGTTCTAGTGAAGGTTGTGTCCTCTTGGAGAACAAAATTAGAGAGAGGTTTACGCATAATAATCTCACTTCAGAGCTATAATTTTATAAAGAATTTCTGGCGTTTCAGTGTAGGCCATGCCTGAGTCCGGGTTTCCATCACCCAGCAGAGGGAAAGACAAGAAATGCTCCCAGCTGGCCAAGGCTGCACAGTGAACCTGAATCTCTGGAAAGGACCCCAATATGGTCAATTTTACTTGCTCGCAAGCCGTTTGGTTTGGAAGGTGCTTAGAAATAGAATTGACAGGACTGCTGATGGATGTGGAGTGTGAGGAGAAGAAGATGTCCAAAGTGACTCCCGGTTTTGTCGAGTGACACTAGGTAGATGGCACGTCATCTAGTGACAAGGTAGATTTTCACACTAGTTGATGGCATGTTGCCTAGTGACAAGGGCAAAGCTCCAGGAGCAGCAGTGGAGAGATAAATGCTGGTGGGTGTGCCCACTTTGCAGAAGTGGAAACTAACGATTAAAGGATTTAAGTGACGAGCCTCTTATCACACAACTAATAAGTGACAAAGTGTGGTTGAAGTCCATGTGTGCCTGGTCCCCGAGCCACGCTCCTGCCACCTCACCCCTTCCAGCTGTCCTGCTTCCCCACTCTGCCTCCTCCCCAGCCCTGCCCTATCCCAGATGCAGTCGCTGTGCCTCCATGGTCATTTTGAGGTTTCCATGCTAAGCCCTTGCGTACCTCTTTGTAGTGAATTCTCTCAACACCCGTGTGTGATGGGTTCTGTTGGCCCCGGTATTACAGACAAGGCAGCTGAAGTTCAGGCACGCTAGTTAACTCTGTACTCCTACCCAAGGACTGATGACAGCACTGAGACTTTATCTCACAGGGCGGTGAAGAGGATCAAAAGAGAAAGTGTTGGTGAAAGTTATTGAAAAGTTAGCTGGGTATAATACAAAATGACTTGTCTACAGCATGTCCTGTTGTAGTGTCCTGCCTGGTGACTCAGCAAACCTTGCTGAATGCTGCATCCAGGGGCACCTTTCCTGGTGCTCAGGAATTGGTAACTGAGTCTATAGGTGAACTCGAGGAGGCATTAAATACCCCATAGTGTGAAGAGAGGGGCTGAACACGGAGGCCAGGCTCCTCCTGCCAGAAATAGAGCTGTGGTCTGCTATCGTCATCCGTCTCTGCTCAGCCCCATCACTCAGGACAGCACCTGGAGATGGGGCAGGGAGCAGGAATGAGGGCGGCTTGTGGAAGGAAAGGTTTCGTGGTGACAGCTTGCCCCTCCTTTCCCTGGGAAGAGGGGGGCCACTTCCCCGCCTGCCCTGCCCCTGGCCATAGCATTGAGCCAGGCCAAATGATGCAGGTTGCCAAGGGAGTCATTGGCGTTCTGCTCCTCACTTGCAGGCCCCTGCCGGCTGTTCATCAGCGTGGAGCAGGGTGAAGAGCTTCCTGTGAGAGCTGGCCACGGCCCCAGCATTTCAGGAGGCCAAGGGCATAACCGCGGCGCCTTCTTCTCCTTTGGAGTTTTCTGAAGCCGGAAGCTTCATGGGTGTAATCTCAGTAGCTGAGCAGAGAACCCCCTACAGGCTGAGGGCTGAGGGGAGTGTGGGAAGTCCCCGTGTTGTCCCAGACCCATACATCTCTGGCCAGGCATGGAGGAAGATCCCAAGGGCTCCACAACTCCACCTGCAGGAGTGCCAACATCAGAGCGGCTAGAGCTGTGGGCTTCCCGGGTGAGAAGGCATCCCGCCTAGACAGGGCCAGGGTGGAGGCCAGAATGGGGACCACACATGATTGTCCCTTTGGGGGAGGATGTCAGTGAGAGAGGGTCCTGAGGTGAAGAACACCTGTCCCTGGGGATGAAGGGAGCACATGGGCTTGCGCCAGCCACAGACTGCAGTAGGGAGGCCTCCAATCACCGGCATGGACCCAGGTCCCAGGACATAGTGTTTTCTCTCCTGTGCCATCTGTACAGTAGCCATGTCCAGAAGGCAGGGTGGGGTGGGAGGGACCGTACGTCTCAGAAGAGACCACACCCTCCCATCTTACTTCAGGTCCTCCGCGCTATGGAGTCAAATCTGAGTGGAGGAGTGAAGGAAGGGATGCTGCATTTGGGATGGAAGGTTTCAACCAGCCAGGTGTCTTTTGATAACCAAAAGCTATTTGATCCACTTGCCATGTTGTTAAGGATTCAACATTCAAGTAAGTTGCCCTGCACACAACGATGGGCTTCAGAGTGCAGCCCCTCTAGATGGAACCTCCTGGCGGAAACTCCATCTTGGCTCATCAGGAATGTAGCCTGCCCAGGTGGATACTGCTTCCCATGGCCCTGGACAGAAGAGGAAACTATGAGGAGTGAGTGCTGGGATCCCAGCTCCCCCGCGAGCATCCACTGTGACTCTGGGTCTTGCCGCCAGTGCAGAGAGGAGAGAAGGGGACACTGACTCACCGACTCATAGCTCAATGACAGCACTCCCACTCTTGGTGACAGCAACCAGATGGCAAAGCCCTGTCCTGAGACCACCCAGTCCTCACGGCACAAACTTGCCTGTCCATCAGAAGCAAGCAAATTAGCCCTGCAGAGGCTGCTGTTTTCAGCCCAGCAGGTTGTTAGTTGAGACAAGGTTCTTGTCCTGTTTATGGGTTATTAGTCCAGCAGAGATGGATTTGAAAAGCAAAACAAAACACCTTACCCAGGAAGCACAGGAATAAGTCAGAAATTGGTGGGTTGGGAGGACTCTACATGCTCCCTTTTGGCACAAGCCCAGGTTGCGTGGCCACATGCCCCAGATGGGCCCCAGCAGTCAGCAACAGGACTGTGACCACAGCCACCTGTAGTCAATGCTTGAGGATGCAAACAAGGCCTCAGTGTTGAAGCACAGTGACGCTGGGCTGTAAGGAAAGTAATACCTTGTCCTCACAGCTTCTAGCCCTTCTGGTCTTTAAGCTTAGTCTTTGGTGGGGGCACAAGAGCTGCATAGGCAGGGCCCCAGGGCTGCAGGCTTCTTCCTCTGCCCGATGCTGGCGCCCAGGCTTCCACCCACTGCAGGGCCCACACAAGGAAGGAAGTGCTCATGGGCAGCCTGGGGCAGGCCCAGGCTCAGAGCAGTTATGGAACAGGAGAGGACGGGAGGTCAGAGAGAGTCTGGAGCCGTCTCAGAGGATGTTGTGCAAAGGACAGTTGAGTCCCGAAGAATTAGAAAATTTGGGGCAACTGAGGAAGTAGACAGAGCATTGCAGGTGGGTGGTGGGGAGGTACTGGGGGATTGGTAGAACCAAGAGGGAGAGTCACTGATTTATTTAACAAAACCTCAGGGAGGTATCCGGCGTCAAGGCCCCGTGCTGCAGCAGAGAATCAGACCACAAAGGGTCGGCAGCACTGAGCCCTCTGGAGCTCTCGGTCCAGGCAGGCACAGGGCAAGGGGCAGCCAGACCACGAGAGAGTCCTCACCAAGGGCATGTGCAGCTGAGGAGGGCAGAGGGCTCCAGGCTGGGCCGTCTGGAAAATCCAAAGAGGAGAGAGGTTCTGGATGAGGCCCCACCCACACTCCTGGCCTGCCCCTGACCTTTCTATCCCCGCCATGCCTGATCTCCTCCCGATCCACAACTTTGTTCCTCCGTGCCTTGGCAGATGTCATCCATCCCCTGGACCTCAATGCTCTCCCCTCTCTCTGCCTGGCAAACTTCTGCTTATCTTCAGCCCTCCTGGAAAGCGTTACCTTCCCTCTGCCCCTCTACATGGAAGGCCCCTCCTCCAACTTCTCTAGGACCCTGAACTAGCTGTAATAAGAATATTAGCAATAATAGTAGTAATGGCCGTGATCAATAACAACTGGGAGAAACTGCCAAGATTACTGTTGCCAGTCACCTTTCTAGGTGCTTCACATCTATTAACTCAGGTTCTCCTCACAACTCCAGAAGGAGACATTATCATCTTCATCTTACAGGTGAGGACACTGAGGCCCAGAGAGATTAAGTAAGTTGCCCAAAGTCACACAGCAACTTCCTCTGTGGCAGAAAAATGCCTTGCAATTATTTATAATTGTGAATCTGCCCAGGGTGTGGGTCACCAGGTGCGGGCTGGCCCTTCCCACCTGGCTATGCATTGCTTTTCTGGGCCAGAGTCCAGGGAGTGTGTTTGTCCAGCAAAGAGTGACTACAATCACTGCCCATGAAAACAAGCACCCATCCCAGAACCCCTTGGTCAGCTGCCACACCTGCCAGTCGCATGACATCACCTCTTGGGTCCCTGGCTGCTACCCTCCCTTCCTAGAGAGAAGGGGAGGCTGGCATAGCCACCAGCAGCAAGAAAACAAACAGCACCAGCCTCACCACCTCCCACATTTCTCGGAACTGGGGGCCCTTCTGGCTATCAGGCGTTAAGGAATTCTTCTAAGAGGGACAAAAGAGGGTGAGAGAGATGTAGAAACACCAGTGACAATGGAAACACTGGCCAGCACACATAAACCATGCTCTGCACCTACCCTCTGGCCGCATGTTAACATCCGTGATCTGTGCCAGCGGGCAGCCTTCCCACACCCATGGATGGGGAGCATCAGCCTCTCAGCCCACATGGCCTCTATCCTCAGAAGGGGCCAGCATCCCTGTCCCACCCCACTTAGGTCCCCAGTTCTGTTTCTTATGATGGCACCTTCCCAGATGCCTAGCTTCACAGAATTCTCGCAGTTAGGCGCTCACCACAGAGCCAATCTGATTTAAATCATATTTCTTCATAGGCTGGATGTCCCCATCTTGTCTTCTTCTTATTTCCTTACAGATTGGCATACACAACTAGTGGGTAAACACACGCCCTTCCTCTCTCCAGCCTCTCCACACACACATGCAGGCCCACACAGAGCCACTCATGTGCACAGACACCCACACACAGCCTCGGGACTCCTGATTTCTCCCAATGCTTTCAATGGGTCCATTCTTCACGCAGAGTCCTGTACAGCAAGATCAGGATGAGGAAAGGACTGTCAGAAGAATGACTCCCCTGAGTCACGGGTGGCTTCCTCAGAAGCCGCAGCCTCAGTAGACTGTAAGAATAACAGGAGAGACTCAAGTTGCCAGCATCAGCAGGGCCGTCATGGCCACAGTCAGTTAGAATTAGGTTCAGCCAATAACAGTGGCTTAAATCAGTGTTTCTCAAACTCTAATGTTCATACAAATCACTGGGAGCTTATTAAACTGTAGATATTGATTTAGTAGGTGTGAGTGTGACCCAAGATTGTACATTTCTAACAAGCTCCCAGGAGATGCCATTGCTGTCGGTCCTTGGAGCATACTTTGAGTAGTAAGCACGTACACAAAATAGTTTATTTTTCCTCATGCTCTTGAAGTCCAGAAGTAGTCCGTCCAGGGCTGGTGTGGTGCTCCATAGTGTGAGGGACCCACATTCCTTCTACTTGTTGCTCCCATGTGTGACTCCCATTGGACCAAGGTGCTTCCTGGGGTCCAAAATGGCTGCTGGAGCTCCAGCCATTATGTTTGCATTTCAGCCTGCTCCTTTCTCCAGAAGCAAGACCTGATAGCAGAAGAGCATGCCTCCTCCTTCTAAGAATGCATCAGAATTTGCACACTTCCACTAGTATCCCACTAGTCAGAACTCAACCACATGGCCTCACCTATGTCCATCGGGAAAGGCTGCTGGGAAATAGCCTATTTTATAGGCAACCATATGCTCAACTCAAAACTGAGAGTTCTATTACTGAAGAATTAGGTAAGGAATATTACCTAACTAAGGAGGCAATTGGTAATCCCCAGCACACAGCACACTGGGCTAAGGGATGAGACCATAGACATTCACTGACTGCCTTGTCAGCAGGGTCAGTTGTTTCAGTTTTCCAGGGACAAATGTGAAAATGAACCACATTTCTGGCCCTGACAGTTTCTGCTCACAATCCCTCAGTACACCTTAAGGCAAGTCTTGTAAAACGACAAGCATCACATGCTCAGTCTCAGAGGCAGTGTATGGTGTGGTCTGGCTTCAGGCACTGGAGGCAGACTGCCTGGGTTCAAATCTTGGCTATACTACCTACTGGCTATGTAATCTTGAGCAAGTTGCTAGCCTCTCTCTGTGCCTCAGTTTCTCATATGTAAAATGGGGACCTAGTGTCTCTCTCAAAGTGTTGGTATGGAGATGAAATGAGACAAACTTGCACACCAGCCCTGATGAATAAATAAGTCTACTTTAACACACTTTATAGGCCTCCTTTGACCAGAGCCTGTACAGCCTGTGTGTATGGAGGTTACAGGAGAAGGAGACCCAGGCCCATCCTAAGGGAGCTAAAAATCCATGGCTGTATCTAATTCTGAATTAATGACCTGGGAGCTGCACATTAGAAAATCAGTCATTTCTTTGGTGATAATCTCCATTTGCTAAGGAAATTCAGAATGATAGTTTTTTCCCCCAAACTTTCTTTTAATGATTTTTTTACACAAGAAATGAATCATAACCACACTGTGATAGCTTTGTGAACTCTTGTCTCCCAGAATTCTTTTTCTTGCATGTTTCTGATTAGGGTGGGCTATAAGGGACGTTCTCTTGGGGGAGAATTGGAGGGAGGAAGGAAGGCAGCCACTGCTGTGTAGCACACAGAGTGCTGATCTGCTGACTTGCCTCACTGGTGTGAAGCAGCAGCTGGGTCACATGAGCGTGTGTTAGATGAAGGCCCCCAGCTTCTGCCAGGTTCCCTTGTCACCAAGGTCAGAGGTAACAAGAATGGACCCAGGTTTCAGTCCATCCTGTAGGGTTCTAGTCCATCATGCTCTTGGGGTTCCAGCCTGCTCGTGGTCTTCCCTTCCTGACTGCTGCCTTGGGGACGTCAAGATCTAGCAACAGACATGGAGACACTTAATCAGCCCCCACAATGGGTGTAAGCCAATTCCCTGTAATAAATCTATCTATCTGTCTATATCTATCTATCATCTATCTATTTATATACCTGTTATCTATCTACCTACCTATCTACATCTATTATCTATCTATTTATATACCTGTTATCTATCATCTACTATTATCTACTATCTATTTACCTTTCATCTATTTATCTATCATCTACTATCTATCATCTATCATTTATCATATATCTATCATCTACTATTATCTATGTATCTATCTATATATCTATCTATCCATCCATCCACCTACCTATCCAATCTATCTAAAATCTCCACCTTATTGTACTGATTTGCTCCAATGGTTCTGTAGTTGAAACCCTGATTGATACACATACTATCAGAAATGTAGAAAAACTTCCCTGTCATCTGATCCCCTCTTTCACAGCTGGGCAAACTGAAGCACAGAAAAGTAGAATGCTTTTCTTGAGGTCACACTGTGAGCTAGTGACTAAGGAGGAAGCAGAACCCAGCTCTCCTGATGCCTGGTCCAGTGCTGTCTCCATGGACACATCTCCATCATCAGCAGTCACTCATTCCACAACAGAAGAATTCTGGGACCCTCCTACCTACCAGGTGCTGGGCTTCTGAGACCCTGTACCTACCAAGTGCTGGGCTTGAGGTGGAGATTTAGGGCCATGTCACATGTGGATCCTGCCCTCCAGCTGCCCAGGGCTGGTGGGGAGACAGGTAAGTCTGCAGATAATTAGGACATGGGGTGGCAGGTGTCCCAGGTGGGGGACAGCCAGCACAGGAGCCTGTGGGGCCCAGAAGCTAGCCCTTCATGCAAATCAGAGGGGTCGGGGGACAGGCAAGGCGGCTGCGAGGTCTGCTGTGGGGCATCTCCAGAAGAGCCCTTCTCTAACATGGTGGAGAAATGAATCTATGGATCAAGAGCTCCTGGCAGTGCCAGCCCTGGACTGTCCCGGGGGTGGGAGATGCTCCTCCTGTGCCCATTGCTGTCCTGGGTCCTGCTCCCTCTCCTGATGCAGGACCTGGTCTCCTCACACCCTCCCCATCCCGTCCGTACAGCCTCCAGGAGGGGCTCCTGGCTGTTGAGAGCTCCCCAGTCTGCTCTCGGGGCCCAGACAACAGCCTCTGAGCCTCCCCTCTGGTGATGAAGGCTTTGTCTCTTAGTAAGAAAGCATAAGCGAGGAGCCTGGGGTGGGTTTCTGAAAGGGCCCCTCCTTCTCCACTGCTGGCTTGAGGTCTCCCCACAGTGGGGGTTTCTGAGCCCTAGGCAGTGCTCTGTGTGAGGCATCTTCAACGGTGCTTTGCTCAACGAACCCTTCTCCAGCGCTGACCCTTTGTCCATCATCTCACTGGACATTGGGGGTCCAGAAAACGCTGAGGCCCGAGGCCTTGCCTGACCCCCAAGGCTGGCCCTGAAGTGTTCCAAATGCCCAGACTGATATCCCTAAATCCTTAAGTCCTGACCTGGGGAATCCCGGCAACAAAGCCCCCAGGGAACAGGCTGCTGTCACCAACCCAGTCTCAGGCCAAGCACTCTTTGGAGAACAAATGACACGCTGATTTGGTAACTGATGAGCTAAGGAGCCAGGGAAGGGGGTGGCAGAGTGGGGAGGGACGGGGCTCAAGCTACTTGTCCCTGTTTACTCTCTGAACTTTCTGGAAAGCTCCTAGGACTTTGTTTTCCTGAAATGACATAAAAACAGGTTGGACTTCTTCAGTGTTTACTCGAAGACTTAATTACCTAAGTATGAGCTGGGCTGCCCGACACGCTGGCAGAAGTAAGGTAGGGCAAATGCCTCAGCCTCTTGCCTGGCCCTGAGAAGTCCCAGGAGGTGGGCTCCCAACCCAGGATACAAGCGTCTCTGGGGAGGACACTGAGCCGGGGCTGGGAAGAGGCCTGGCTGTCTAGGACAGAGCTGGTTACAATGCTGTGTGGTTTTGAGCAGCTTACTTAACCTCTCTGAACCTGTCTTTGTTTGCTAAGTGGAAATAGCACTACTTCCCTTGCCAGGTTGTTGAAGGATTAGCACCCAGTCCTCAAAGTCCTCATGTGGTCAAGCTGTTGCGGGAGGGTGGCGGGGGTGCTCATCTATTCCAGAGACCCCGCTACCACCCTCAGTCTCCTTCACAAATGAGTGCTGTCCAAACGTGTCCCCTCACTGCCCACCCAGTGTTTCTTCCCAGCCTCGCTGCTGCCAGACATGAACAGCCCCCCTTCAAGATGTCTGGAGAGGAAGCTGGTGGGTATGAAATTGCCACAATGAAGTGGAAATACTCCTAGCTGCTGGCAGAAAGTTCTTCCGGTTCAGCTCTGCATGCTAGGGCAAGTTTCCCCCTGCTCTGCTCTTCTGAAGTTCTCAAGGAGCCAAGCTCACTCCCTGCATCCTGATGGCATCTGGCTGCTTCTTTCTTCAATTTCCCAAGACCATGAAAACTTTACTGCTTAGCCCTGGCACCACGGATTAGAAAGAAATGCAGACCCAAGTATATTGAAATTCCTCTTGGGGCTCAAGGCTCTGCAGATGGCCTAGAACATGTTTAAATGTGTTTTTAGACGAACATGAAAATGAAAACACAGCATTTTTAAATTCTCAGAGAGAAGCTGCTGACCCAGTCAGAGACATTCTGAGTTGGAGTCACCAGGCCCTGGTGCAATCCCACCCAAGCCTCTTCCCACATGTGGCACCTCGTGCTTCTGCCCTTCTGGGCTTGCGGGTGGAATAGTGGGTGTCGGCTGGAGCCTGCTGTAGTGACCAAAGGGAGACTGCAGACAGTGGCCACATCCCTTACTTCTCCCTGACTGTAGTCAAGGATGTTGCAGCACCTTCCTCAAGGGGGTCTGTTCCCCAACTTTGAGTCCAGGCTGGCTTGAGGATTGCTGTGACAGGGGGACACAACAGAAATGAGGTCCTAGGTTTGTTGGAGCCAGGCCTTGAGCTAGGGTGGCGGGGTGGGGGAGCCCCTCTCTCATTCATTTCCTCCCTTTAAGCCCAGTTTCCTTGACATTGGTAAAGTGACTCAGAAACCAGAGCTCTGAGCCCAGACATGCTATGTCCCTTTCCAGAGCAAGTGACAGGCAAGCTGGGACCACCTCTTGCTCAGACACTTCTCAGCCTCTCCCTAGGAAATAAATAAGGGCCCTGATGCCGGTGCTGCCTCCTGCCCCTCCCCACAAAACCCACAACAGCGTCAGTCTGAGGCACTCTCTTTGAGAGCCGGGATCATGTCTGCTTCACTTCTCTGTCTTCCTGGTATCCAGCACCACATCTGGCTGGGGATGTGAGGGGCCCAGGACAGGGTTGCTAAAACAACAAAGCTTTCCTGACTTCTTATTACTAGGTGCAAGTTCAAAATCCCATGGCACAGTACATGCACCTCTCCTGGGCAGTATTTTAAACATGTCTATAAGTAATTATTTTTATATGTATGTCCGTGAATATATACATGCTTGTATATGAGGTATACATGTGTCTGTTTTTATCCGCTTGATTGTGAATTCCTTAATTGCACTGACATGGACCATGAGGTAGATAGATAGAGAGATGGATAGATGGGTAGGTGGATGGGTGAATGGGAGATGATGGATGGATGGATGGATGGATGGATGGATGGGGGACGGATGGGAGAATTGACAGATAGAGAAAGATGATGGATGGGTGGGTGAGTGGATGGATGGGTAGATGCACGGATGGATAGATCCATCCCTCTGACACTAAGAGAGTAATTTGTTCATAATGGGCTTAGTTAACACGGAAGGAAGGAAGGCAGGATCCAAGGCAGTTCTTGTCCCTAGGGGAGCACAGAGGAGCTGGGGAAGGGAGAAGGCACTGAAGAGCAAAGATTCAGGCCTGGAAACCAGAGGGCTGAGTGTAGCCTTCGTCACCCCATTTGTTTGATTTTCAGTTTTCCTCTGTGTAAGAAGAGGATGACGATAACAGGGCCTGCCTCGCAGGGGTAAGCAGATGAGTGTAAGAGAACGCCCTGTAGAAGTTTACAGTGTGAATAGACCAAGGGCCTTAAATTCAGGCAGTGATGAGGTCTGAGGTCCTGGCTCTACCACATGTGGTCCAGTGAACCTTAAGGACATTTCTTGAACCCCCCTAAACGTAAACTACAAAATCAGGAGAGGAAGTTGCTCCTTGGCAGGGCACTGTGAATATGAAGAGATTCCGTGTGCCGAAGCTCACACTGTGGCTGCTGGTGCTTGGTGGTAACAGCCACTGTCGCTGCGGAGCTCACCATGTGTCACAGAGCTGCACATGGAGAGATGGCTCCAGCCAGTACACAGGGCTGCAGAGAAGGCCTGGTGGGGAAAGGCTCTCTGGAAAGCCGCAGGGGTAGGGAGAGCGGGGGTGGAGCGGGGAGACTGGGGAGGTCAAGGAGCGCTCCTTGGAGGAGGCGGGAGTGTTCATAAGGAAAACCCACCCCTGCCCAGCTGACATCCAGAAAAAGGAGGGGGAGGAGGGGAGACATTGGCAAGGTGAGAAGAAGAGAAATATTTTTGAAACACAAAAAATGACAGTTCTTGGGGAGATGCCAATATTTGCCACTGGTGGATGTGCTCCCCCAGGAAGGGGGTAGGACTTGGCCCCTGGAGACAGCCGCCAACACAAACAGAGGGAGGAGCAGGCTTCGCTGTGAACACAGGCCTGGAGCAAGGCCAGGTTTCAAGGGACCCTCGGGGACTCTGCACCCAAGCAGCTCGGAGCAGGCAGGGAGAGCCTGGGCAGCCAGGGGTCCTGCGTTCTTCTGGGCCTCATGGGCCTCTTGCTCCTGCTCGGGCCTGAAATGATTTACTGCCCTTGGCCACCATGTGCCTGGCTCCACACTGCACTGTGCTTATGCTGTGTGGGGAGGGGCCCGGCCCTCTCAGAGACATGGCCACCTCAGCTCTCTCCCAAAGCTGCCAGGGTTTGGCCAGAGCCTGCCCCCCTTCCCCTTCCCTGCCCATGGCAGGGGCCTGACAGAGGGTGGCAGACTCAGGAGTGGCTGGTGCCCCGGGTGCTCTTTTCCGTGGATGTGAACTTGGAAAGCTTTTGCCAGCTCTCACAGGAGATGAAAGCTGGGTGTGAGGGCAGTGGTGCTAAGCAAAATGGTGATGAGGAGAGGGGACACAGGGACTTTCTGTGGTAGACACAGGACAGCGGAAGAGGAAGGGTGCTAAGGAAGGAGGGGAAGAGGAAAAGGACAAGGTTGCGGAGCGGGGAGATCCATCCACACCCAAAACAACCTCCACAGGGCCCCAGTGTTGGTCCCCACAAATCTTACATTAAATCCCATTCTTTTTAAAACTGTATGGACTTTTTTTAGGCTTTTATATTTTGAAATATAATACATAGAGAGAAACTTGCATAAAAATAAACATAAAGCTTAACAAATTACTTAGTAAGCCAATTTCCAGGCCAGCTCAAGAGCTGGGAGATGGCACTCCCAAAGCCCCCTCGGCAGCTCCCCTTCCCCAGGCTGACCGGAAGTCCTGGCTTTTCTTTATACTCTTATGCAGCCAACAAGGCATGCAACTGGAAACAGCACAGTTCAGCCTTGCCACCTCCTTTAGCTTTACATAAATGGAATCATAACTTCATGTTTTTTTGAGTTTAGCTGCTTTCACTTAATGTAAGTTTCGAGGTTAAATCCTGTTTCGCGTGTGGCTGAGATGGTTCCTTCTGGTGCTGTAGATGACTCCATTGTGTGACCACACTACAATGGCCATGTCCATTCCATTCCATTCCATCTATTCCATGGTGAATGTGCCTTTGGGTTGTTCCCAGGTGGTGATGATTATGAATAACCCTTCCTGTGCTACCACAGTTTCCAAGAAGATGTCTGATTTTTACCATCCAATAAACAACTTGAACATGGGGAAACCAGAGAAGTCGGAGTCCTACTGAGGGGACCATTCCTGGGCCTCTCAGAGAATGGAGGTTCAGGGTCATTTAACTTTCTGGGCCAAGAGATCAACAAAGACTTTTTGAGCATCTGGAAAGTCTGAAAGAACGGCACGCCCAGTAGGCAGGGCCACAGGAGCATAGCGCCTCAGGCTCTGGGTCATGGAGGGCTTCCAGTCTTTGGGATGGGCTAAGGAGGAGGATTCGTTCAGAGTCAGTTGGAAATTATTTAATTCAGTCCTTTTTATGAAAGTGCCTCCAAACACTTGAGTCTCCTGGCTTCCTTGTCTCCCCCGGCCAGGCAGGCACCAGGACCTCTTCTATCCCTGTCTAAAGGAGCACCTGGCCCACACCTGTCTGGACATTGAAACCCAGTGTCCACACCTGGAGAGCAATGGGGGCTAGTACATACGTATACCAGACAGGTTACCGCACAACTTATTTTTGACTTCGTATGTCAAGAACATCTTTCTGGGTGAATACGTAGAGCTGAAACTCATAATCTGTAGAATGGATAGAACATAGATTTCCAACCTATTAATGCACATACAAGTTGCTTTAGTTTTTTGCAAATAGTGATGTAATAAACACCCATGGACATATGTTCTTATATTCAACAGTTTTTAACACAGGTCAGCTCATGTCGCTGACTCCCTTAAGACAAAACACAAACTCCTTGTCCTTGGTGTTCAAGCCTGCGTGACCTGAGCCTGCTGCCTGCTCTGAGCTCACTGTGTAACACCCTTTCTATGCTCATTAGGCACCAGCTACGCTGGCCGTTTTGCAAGTCCTCAAAACTCACCAAGTCCAATCTTGCCTTGAGGCTGCTGCGTGGCTGGCTGTTCCCTCTATGAGAATGCTCTTCCCTGATTCTTAGAGACTGCTTTCTCCTTAGTTGGAGCTCAGGTTTGAAATGTCACCTCTTGGGAGAGGTCTTCTTGCCCATCTGAGTTTAAGTGACCGTCCTCGCTCTCTTCTGTTCTCTAAGTTATCTGCACAGCCTGGTGTGGGTTGAGTTGTGTCCTCTAAAAAGACATTGAAGTCCCTGGTCCCTGTGAATGTGGCGTTATTTGGAGATAGGGTCTTTACAGATGTAGTCAAGTTAAGATGAGGTCATACTGAACTTGAATGAATCCTAGTCAAATTACTAGTGTCCTTATAAGACGAGGTAAATTTGGACAAAAAGACACACAGAGAAAAGAATGTAATGTGACAACAGAGATTGGAGTGACGTGTCTACAAGCCAAAGGACACCAAGGATTGCCAGCAACTTGCAGAAGCTAGGAGAGGCATGGAACAGACTGCCCTGGAGCTCCCAACAGGAAGCACACTGTCAACACCTTGGTTCCAGACTGCCAACCTCCAGAGCTATAAGGAACACGTTTCTGTTCTTTTAAGTCACCCAGTTTGTGATCATTCATTACAGCAGCCCTAGGAGCAGAATTCACAGCCCTAATCCCAATGCAGCTATTTCTAGTTTCTTTCTTTCATTGTTGACTTGTGGTCTGCCTCTCGCATGAGACCGTAAGCTCTGTGTGAGCAGGGCCTTGTCTGATCTGTCCATGGCCACACCTTCAGTGCCTGATGCAAGGACACTTGTTGAATGAAGTGACAATGTGTTATTTCTGAAGAAAATAGATTCCTATAAGTGGGGTTGCTAAGTCAGAATGTCAGTGCATCTTACTTTGGATAAATTATCAGATTCCTTTCCCCAAAATGTTGCTGTTGCACTCTGACCAGGCATGAGAATGCTCGTTCCCACATCCCTATCAGCCCCAGACAGCGTTAATTAACCTTTTAAATTCTAGCCACCAGGAGGTTGAGCATGAGATCCGCATTGCTATTCCCAACTTCTGTTTTCCTGACTATTGGGAAAGGTGATCATCTTTTCACAGATTTATGTGCTATTTGTACCTTTCTTGTGAATTCCTTTTCCATAATCTTTGTTCTTTTTCTGTTGGGATGGTGTGACAGACAGAACAATGGCCCACCTAAATCATCCACATCCTAATCCCTGGAAGTGGTGACTATGTCACCTTGCATGGCCAAGGGGAAGTAAGGGAGCAGGTGGAAGTGAAGTTGCTAATCAGGTGACCTTGAGATGGGGATTTTTATCCTGGATGCTTGGGGTGGACCCGATGTGATTGCAAGCATCCTTATAAATGGAGAGAGGGAACTAGAAAGAACTAGAGAGAAGGCAGCGTGGGCCTCACCTGACCTTGCTGGCTTTGAAGATAGAAGGAGAGGCCAAGAGCCAGGGAGTACAGGTGGTCTCTAGAAGCTGGAGAAGGCAAGGAAGTGGATTCCCCCAGAGCTTCCAGGAAAAACACAGCCCTGTAGAAACCTTGATTTTCTAGCCCAGTGGGACCCCTTTTGGAATTCTGACCTTCAGAACTACAGACAAATTTGTGTTGTGTTAAGCCACTAGGTTGTAATAAGTTGTTAGAGTAGCAGTAGGAAATTGGCACAATAAGTCTGGATTTTCTTATCAATTTTCAGAAGTCTGTTCCATATTAGGGATGTTAACTGTTCGTTTTCTTACATCCACGCTACCCTCACCTTCTGGTACTGGAATTATTGGCTTGTAATCTCCTCCCTCCTTGAGCCCTCAAGCATAGGGTCCATGTTTTATCTTTGTATTTCTAGTGAATCAGCATGGACGTGTCCCATGAAAGAGGAAACACATAAACTATGGGAATATCCCTGCAGCCTGTCATCTCGCCAACTGCATCCTCCCCATCTCGGCTCTCCACGAACACTGAGCCTTCAGACAATTGGAAAACATGGGTATCATCCCATCACTCAGCCCTGTTCCCAGCTTTAGCTTAGAGGAAAGGCTGATCATAGATGCGGCTCTGAGGACAGACACAGGTAGAGTGAGATGGTTTCTGAGTCCCTGAGTACGCCGCATGCCACAGACCACAGCAAGACATTTGCCCATGAGGATGAGATTGGAGTTGCTGTGACTTGACTCTATAATTCAGCAGAATTGGAGTGGCCCGAAGACAGGGACCAGGACAAAGATGAAGACAGCACGAGACGGAAGCCAGACCGGAAAGACGACACCACATAGGGCCAGATACCCTACTCCAGGGCAGCTTTGGAGAGAAGAAAAGCCTAGGTTGGCTGAGAATAGAGGTCTACCACTTAGAGCACTTGGGGCCTAAACATAAATGGAGTTGACTTATTTTTAAAAAGTCACATCTCTTGCGTGCCTGAGATTTGCTTCCACTTCAGACAATTGGAAAGAAATCGGACCAAGGAAAGAGCCCAGTGGTATCAATTCTGTCCTGGAAATGGTCAGGAAGGCCAGCTTCCCTGCAGAGGCGGCCCTGGGGAGGAGCAGCACCCCAGTGGGGTCAAAGCAGGCAGGGCAGGGCCCAAACATCCACAGTCAAAATCTCTCCTTTCCAGGCACTGGCTCTAGGGTCAGACCCAGGCAGTGGAGTGACGTGTGCACGGGCAGCCACAGCCCGACCTTTCCTGCACACATCTGCTTCACAGGTGATGGTGAGGATTGAGTAAGACTGGGGCTGAGAAGGGGCTTTGGGGACCACGAACACCCCACACTCACACTCACAACAGGGGCCTGCATCTACCCAGCATCCTGGCAGCTTCAGTCAAACCAAGCACACTCAGAGCCCAAATGTGGAGAGAGAAGTGGAACGTAGCTAAGTCCATGACCTAAACTCGGTCAGATCTACTCCAGCAGGTATTTGGGCCTCCTCAGAATCTAGTGACTCTTGGTTAACAGACAGTCATAACTTGCTGCATGTCTTGTTTTCTGGTCTTTCACTTACTGAAAGTTCCAGATTAGAAGTGAGGGGCCAGGCACCGCATGACCACTAGCTGCCTGATGCTTAAGAAAGAGAAGAAATTCCACTAGAAAGCACTTGAGCTCAGTTTAGAAACCATGGACAGTGCACCTACTATGAGCTGGGTGTGCTCCAGGTGGCAAGGCTTTGGCAATGAGAAAGCCAAGGAGGGGTACAGGGCCCAGCGGGAGCCGGAAGAAGTGGGAGGACACTTGGCCTAATCATGAGAAAGCTTTCTTGGAGGAGATGACCCCTGAGCTCAGCCAGGAAGGGTGCATGAGACTGGCCAGATGCTGGAGTGCAAGCAGGTCAAGCAGGGGAATGGTATGGGTGAACGCACAGAGGTGTGACTTAGCACACTTGGGCACGTGATGTACAAGGATAAACATCCTCACATGTTTCCACAGCCCCAGGAGCCTCACCATCCAGGCTGATGACCCCAAGCCAAAAGAGGTGGCCATGTCCAATATGCTCTTTGTGCAGGAAGAAAATTTGTTTGTTCAGACCAAATGAAGGCTTTGACTTATGGAACCCAGAGTACACTGCGTGGGCCGTCTCTTCCCCTCTTGGCATCGGCTGGTAAGAAGCGTAGGAATAAATTTAGCCCTTGACATGAAAGAATGTTTAAGCTTCCTGAAAAATGATCTGTTTTCCTCCTTTTCTTTTTCCTTCTTTATACACCTTTTTAAGATTTTATTGTGTGTATGTTTTTGATAAAAATAAAATCTTAAAAAGGTGTAGAAAGTGTCAGCTAGTTTTACTGAGTGTGTTAAGAAATATTAGTCACCTCCTGTGGAGGCTCATGAACTAAGTCATTATTTTAAAAGCTAGTAAAATAAAATGACAGAATCAAACATTTACCCTGTTTTTCCTATACGACCTGTATCACAATGTAGCCAAATAGATGAGAAGTGTCTTTTTAGAGAAGTATTCTGGATAGGAAATGAAAGCCGAATGATGGAGCATCACCCTCTAGTGAATTAATGAATCTAAGCTCTGATCAATAACTGCTAATATCACAAAATGAAAAACAATCACCCCCAATATGTCTCTTATGGAAGAATATAAGATCCCCTATGATAAAGATCTGCCAAAAAGAGACACCAACGCTGAAACTGATCAAGACTGCACTACAAGACTACGGCAGGTGCAGAGGACAGAGGGAGATGTTAGCCAAGTTCATGGAGACACAATTAGAAATATCCAGCAAAAGGCCGGGCGCGGTGGCTCACGCCTGTAATCCCAGCACTTTGGGAGGCCGAGGCGGGTGGATCACAAGGTCAGGAGATTGAGACCATTCTGGCTAACATGGTGAAACCCCGTCTCTACTAAAAATACAAAAAATTAGTCGGGCATGGTGGCAGACGCCTGTAGTCCCAGCTACTCTGGAGGCTGAAGCAGGAGAATGGCGTGAACCCCGGAGGTGGAGTTTGCAGTGAGCCGAGATCGTGCCACTGCACTCCAGCCTGGGTGACAGAGCAAGACTCCGTCTCAAAAAAAAAAAAAAAAAAAATCCAGCAAAAGCTGTAGGTCAGATGGCCTGTTTCAACAAACAAATAGCTGGCACAGAAGTGGAGAGGGATGCACAAAAGTGAGAATGAGAACTAGAAAGAGAGAGAAAGATCCTTATTTGGATCCTGATTCTTTTTTTTTTTTTTTTTTTTTGAGACGGAGTCTTGCTTTGTCTCCCAGGCTGGAGTGCAGTGGCGCAATCTTGGCTCACTGCAACCTCTGCCTCCCAGGTTCAAGCAATTCTCCTGCCTCAGCCTCCCGAGTAGCTGGGATTACAGGCATGTGCCACCACGCCCAGCTAATTTTTGTATTTTTAGTAGAGACGGGGTTTCACCATGTTGGCCAAGTTGGTCTTGAACTCCTGACCTCAGGTGATCCGCCTGCTCAGTTTCCCAAAGTGCTGGAATTACAGGCATGAGCCACTGCGCCTGGCCCCTGATTTAAGTTCTAACAAACTTTTTAAAAAGGAACATGCATTCAAAAATTGAAATTTTGAACTGACTGGATATTTGACATGAGAGAATTAATATTTTAAAATGTATGCATGATAAAAAAAGAACATACAGACACGACTTAAAGGGTTGACTAGATTTACTGGATTTGCTAAGAAAAGAAGCTTTTCCCAGACCTCTTCCACTACCCTCTCCCTTTCCTTTTTCACTACGTGCTATCATGCCAACCCTTTTAGCTATTTATCTCTCCATCTCTACAAAAAACATGTGAGTATTGCTACTTCCTGATGCTTTCATTCTAGGCATTATCCATTGACCCCAACTCTGGGAGACAAGAAGATGTGAGTTTAGCTCTCCTCATCCCTACATCGCCACCCTTTGTTCCCACCACACACACTTGCCTCTCCCTCAAACTCCCAGCAGAGATTCGTGGGACATTGGTTGGATAAAGATTCACTGTCTATGGTGTTACGGCGATTTGTTCAGAACTGAGCTATATAATAAACTACATTTGCTTTTCCTTCCTGCACATCCCCCCTGCTGCCACCCCAAGAGTTAATAATTATCTTGTTTTGTTTCTTTTCTATGTACTGATCACTAATTCAATACCAAACTCTCCATTGTCTAGCTATCTTTGCATTTGTTCTTTCCCATCAGGTATTCTGTCAATTTTGTCAGCATGGAGAAGACCCTCCCCAAGCCTTCTGACCTGCTGGGTACAAAGCTTCATCCTGCTATCTCTCTTCTCCATAATCTTGGGAAAATCTCTCAGTCCCTCTTCTGGGGAAATCCCTCAGTCTCTCTCCTGGGCTGGCTCTTCTGTTTCTTGGTTTACTCCCTTGTTTTGGTGGAGGTGGTCCTCAAGTAGCTTTCTTAAGAAGGGTGTTACAGAGGTAACATTTTTGAGACCTTGCATGTCTTAAAATACCTTTATTATATTTTCACACTTGGTTGATGCTTTAGGCTGGCTATAGAATTCTCAGTTGGTATAGTATAGGCAGCCTCCAAAATGGCCCCAGTGATTCCTACCTTCTGGTATTCACTCCTTGTGTAATAGTCCCCGGCGCTATTGGTCTGTGACTAACAGGACATGGCAGAAGTGGTGGAATGTCACTCCCGAGATTAGATTATAAAAGACTGTCTTGGGCTCTCTTGATCTGCTGGATCACTCCCTCTGGGGGAGGCCACATCTGGAGCAGCCCATGGAGAGGTCAATGTGCAAGGACCTGAAGCCTCCTGCCAACAAGCACATGGGTGAGCTTGGAAGCAAAATGCTCAGCCCTACTGATCCCTGAGATGACTGCAACTCTGTCACACAGCTTGACTGCAACCGCATGGGAGACCCTGAGCCAGAACAGCCTGGCTAAGCTGCTGGTGAATTCCTGACGCTCAGAAATTGTGAGATAACAAATGTGTGTTGTTTTAAGCTATTAAATTTCAGAGCAATTTGTTATGCAGCAATAGACAATGAATCTAGTTGGAAATCCTTTTCCTTCGTAGTTTTGAAAGCTTTACTCTAAGGCCCTCTAGCTTTCTGGGGCTGCTACTCAGAAAGCCAAAACAATTCTGATTTCTGAATTTTTGCACATGACCTTCTCCATCCCAGGTGTTCAAAAAGTGCCCATTGGTTTGCCTTGTTGGGTCTGCATTTTCCATTTCCATTGTGCTGGGGCCCTGATGGGCCTGTCTTTCAGTTTGGGGGAATTTTCTTGAATCGGTTTGTTGACAATTCTCTACCCTCTATTTTCTCTATTGTCTCTTCCTAAAATTCCTTATTATTCACATTTTGGATTCCCTGGATGAGTTCTCACTTTCTTACTCACCATTTGATTTTTCTCTCCTTTCCATTTATGTGGTTTTTTACCTTGCTTTCTGGGTAATATCTTTATCTTCCCATCTTGTTATAAGATTTGTATTTCATTTTCTGTTCTGTATGTTCTGTATTCCCCCTTTTTGTTCTTGCTTTTGCAGAGTGTTTCCTTTTGGTAGTATCTTGTGCTTATGTTATGGATGTAGTGTCTTCCCTTAGGAATCTAAAGATGTGAATACTATTGGTTTTGGTGGCTTTTTCTGGTTTGTTTGTTTCTTTAAAAGTTTTCTTCTTTCTGCATAGTCTGCTCTTTCAGGTTGTTTTCATTTGTTTATTTTCTTTGATCTATTTCTTTTATGTTAGAATTGTCCTCATAGGTCTGGTAATCTTAGTGTATGTGTTTCTATTTGAGAATGGAACACTGGAAAATTGACAGGAAGCTCTTACCCTCCATTGGGTTGGATTTGTTCCCTGAGTTTCACCTGGGGTGATATGGGTGGGCCTTTGGCACTTGTTCCAGCCACCCACCACTGTGGAACAAACCACTCTAAAACTCAGTGGCTTAAAACGACATTTGTGTTGCTCACGAATCTGCAAACTGGACAGGGCTTTGTGGGGACAGCTCATCTCTGCTCCATTCAGCAGCAGCTGGGGAGCCTGAAGACAGGTGGATGAAGTTCTGGCTCACTTGCCTGGTGTCTGGGCTTTGCATGGCTGGAGGCTTTTGGGCTTCTCTCTGTCCCTATGAGCTCTCTCCACATGGTTTCTCCAGCACGGGGGTTTCGGGGCAGGTGGATCTCTAACATGCTGACTCAGGGCTCCCAAAGTGCATGTCCCAGAGAAAAAAAAAAAAAACCTGGGCAGAGGCCATGTCAATGTTTATGATTGAGTATTGAAAGTCACACTATTTCTTTCCTCAAAGCAGTCACAGAGGCCCACACAGTTTCACAGGAAGGAGAATAGACCCTACCATTAATGGAGGAGTGTCAAAACTCTGGAAAAGCTAGTGGGACTGGAAATGTTGTTACAGTCATTTTTGATACAAACTATCACAATACTTGAGTATAACATATTCTGGAAAAATCATGGTATTCGTTTCCTATTGCTGCCATAACAAATAATCACAAGTTTAATGCTTATAAAAACACACACTTATTACCTCACAGCTCTGAAGGTCAGAAGGCCAAAATCCAGAGGTGAGCAGGGCCAGGCTACTTCTGGGGGTGTTGGGGAGCATCTGTCTCCTTGCTTTTTCCTACTTCTACGGATCTCCTGTACTCCTTGGCCTTCCTCTGTCTCCAAAGCACGTCACTCCAACCTCTGCCCCTGTTGTCACACCTCCTTCCTCTGATGCTGGCCCTCTCACCTCTCTCTAGTAAGAATCCTCCTGATGACATAGAGGCCAGCTGGGTCACCTGGGATAACCTCTTACTCTGCAAAGTCCCTTTGCCATGTAAGGTGACATGTTCACAGGTTCTGCGGAGTAGGACGTGGGCATCATTGATGGGGCCATTGTTCCGTCTACCACATTCACGGACGTGGAGCAGCTCATTCCCTAGTGACTCTGCAGCTCCTAAATGGGTGATTCGGGTGAGTCCTGAGGGGCTACTCCAGTGGCCCTAAAGACCCTTCACCCTTATCCCTGGGGTCCCCACCCGCCTCTTACCCTCAGCCCTGAAGCTTCTTGCACAGTGTCCAGCCTGCACTGCGGTCTGCAGAAGCTCCTAACTGGCGTTGGCTCTAAGGGCCCTTCTTCTCTCACATAAGCCCACCCTCTGCTCCCAGAATTCTGAGCAAGTACAGCTCCAAGTTCCCTCAGGGGCCTTGCCTAATCCAGAGATGCTGTCAGGCACCGTGGAAAGATTCCGTTCACACATCTGGTGGGGACCTGGGCCCGATGCTGCCCCTCTTTGGGCTTCAGTTTCCATGCCTTCAACCTGGGAAGTTGGACAGAAGTTGAGAGGGGTGACCAAGGAAGGGTCATGCATCCTTACACGAGAGATAAGCCTAGTCCTAGCCATGGCCATTTCTCACCCGCTCAGTAGTGACAATTATAGCAGTGTTTGCTTCCAATTTTTTAGACACAAAAAATTACAGGTACATTCGAAGTCCCTGTGAATCCCTACTCAGTTCCTTTCCCCTCCCTAAACTTAACCCCACCGCCCCTGGGGGAACCACCATCTCAACTTTGGTGTGTCCAGGGTTTTATTCTTTCTACATAGGTGTGTGACCATAAATAATAGATACGATTGTTCTGTGTTTTAAAAGATTACATACATAAGCCAAAGCCATGTACACATTCAATGCAATCCCTATCAAAATTTCAATAGCTTCTTCACAGAAAAAGAAAAGTGGGTCCTTAAATTCCTATAGAACTGCAAGGAGCCTCAGTCAAAACAATCTTTAAAAAATGGTTGAGGGACTCACACTTCCTGACTTCTAAACTTACTGCAAAGCTACAGTAATTAAAATGCTATAGTGGGCCCGGCGTGGTGGCTCACACCTGCAATCTCAGCACTTTGGGAGGCTGAGGCGGGCTGATCATGAGGTCAGGAATTCGAGACCGGCCTGACCAACATGGTGAAACCCCGTCTCTATTAAAAATACAAAAATTAGCTGGGTGTGGTGGCAGGTGCCTGTAATCCCAGCTACTTGGGAGGCTGAGGCAGGAGAATCACTTGAACCCGGGAGGCGGAGGTTCCAATGAGCCAAGATTGCGCCATTGCACTCCAGCCTGGGTGACAGAGTGAGACTCTGTCTGAAAAACAAATTTTTTAATAAAAAATAAAAAAACAAATAAAATGCTATAGTGTTGGCACAAGGACAATCATATATGGAAAAACACTGTTAAAAATGAAAGTAGAATAGAGAGCTCAGAAATAAACCCTTACTTATATGGTCAATTGATTTCCTTCTTTTTTTTTTTTTTTGACAAGTTCTCACTCCGTTGCCCAGGCTGGCATGCAGTGGTGCGATCATAGCCCACTGCAGCCTTGAACTCCTGGGCTCAAGCAATCCTCCTACCTCAGCCTCCTGAGTATCTGAGTCTACAGGCAAAGGCCACCACATCCAGCTACTATTTTTACTTTTTATAGAGATGAGCCTCTCTATGTTGCCCAGGCTGGTCTTGAAATCCTGGCTTCAAGCAATCCTCCTGCCTTAGCTTCTCAAAATGCTGGGATTACAGGCTTGAGCCCACACCCGGCCTGGTCAATTGATTTTTGACAAGGATGCTGAGACCACACAATGGGGAAAAGAACAGCCTTTCAACAAATGATATTGGGAAAACTAGATATCGACATGCAAAAGAATGAAGTTGCACCTTTACCTTATGCAATGTGCAATGTTAACTCAAAATGGATCAAAATCTAAACTTAAGAACTAAAACTATAATACCATTAAGGGGAAAGCTTCATGACATTGGATTTGGTAATAATCTCATGTATATGGCACCAAAAGTACCAGCAACAAAAGAAAAATTAGGTAAATTAGACTTCATCAATGTTTAGTCTTAGGGTTTTTTTGGTTGGTGTTTTTTTTTTTTGTTTTTTTTTTTTTTTTGAGACAGGGTTTTGCTCTGTTACCCAGGCTGTAGTGCAGTGGTGTGACCATGGCTCACTGCAGCCTCTACCTCCGGCGCTCAAGCAATCCTCCTGTCTCAGCCTCCTGAGTAACTCGGATTACAGTCTTGCACCACCATGCCCAGCTAATTATTTTTTTGGAGAGATGGGGTAGCATTATGTTGCTCAAAGTGGTCTCAAACTTTTGAGCTTATGCAATCCTCCTGCCTTGGCCTCCCAAAATGCTGGGGTTACAAGCATGAGCCACTGAGCCCAGCCCAGTCTTAGTTCTTTAACTTGCAGAATTATAGATTTTTTTTTGGTAATGATAACTTCTTTTTATCTCTTAATATCTACATGATCTTCTTCATTGCTGATATTGGTAATGTGTTGTCTCTTTTCTTGTTTTTGGGTTTATCAAGTTTATTATCTTTTCAATAATCCACTCTTTGCTTTGCTAAACTTTTCTGTTCTGTATCTGCTTTATATTTCATTAATTTTTGTTCTTATTTTTATTTCCTTCTGTCTTCTTTCCTTGGGTTTACGTTGTTATTTTTCTAGCTCCTTGAGCTAGAAATGTAGATGCTGGTTTTAAACTGTTTTCTCCTATAATGTATGCATTTAAAACTACAAATTTCTAATCTCTGCTTTTGCTGTTTATCTCAGGTATTTGTATATAGCATTTTTATTTGCATTCAGTTCAAAATATTTTCTAATTTTCTGTTCGATTTCTTTCTTGACTGCAAGTTATTTAGAAGTATTCTGCTTAACGCACAAACATTTGGGGTTTCTAATAATCTTTCTTTTGTTCATTTCTTGTTTATTTCCACTTTGGTCAGAGATCATCCCTGCGTGATTTCATCTTTTGAACTTTGTTAAGACTTGCTTTACAGTCCAACACATGTTCTATTTTGGTAAATATGCACTTGAAAAGATTGTGTGTTCTCTAGTTGCTGGGTGTAGTGTTCCATATAAATGTCTGTAAAGCCAAGTTGATTAATTCTGTTGTTCATTTTTTTATATACTTATTGACCTTTTATCTGATTTTCCTATCAGTTGCTCAAAGAGATTTGTTAAAATCTCCAACTATGATTACAGATTCGCCTATTTCTCTTTCTTCTATTTTCTACTTCATTTGTTTTGAAGCTCTCTTACTAGGTACATACAAGTTTCTGATTGTTATGTCTTCCTGTTGAATTAACTCTTTTATCATTAGGAAATGTCATGTTTCAACTCCATTACTACTTCTGGCACGAAGTCTACTTTGCTATTATTTCAGCCACACCTTTCATCTGGTTAGTATTTGCACGACACAACTTTTGCCATCTTTTGACTGTTTATCTTTCTATGTTTTTATATTTAAAGTGTGTCTTAGCCCGGGCCTGGTGGCACGTGACTGTAGTCCCAGCTACTTAGGAGGCTGAGATGGGAGGATGGCTTGACCCCAGCCAGGAGTTCAAGACCAGCCTGGGCAACACAGTAAGACCCCATCTCTACTGAAAAAAAAAAATTAGCTGGGCATGGTGGCATGTGCCTGTAGTTCCAGCTACTCAAGAGGCATTTGCATTTGGAGTGTTTCCTTTTGTTTCCTGTAGTGTGGGTCTGCCAGTGATAAGTTCTCTCAGCTTTTGTTAGTAAGAAAATGTCTTTACTTTGCCTTTGTTTTTTAAATTTTAGCCTTTTTACATTTTTGAAACAATCATAAAGTTATAGAAAAGTACAAAGTTGAATATGAAGAATTTTTTTTGCCTGAACCATTTGAGAGTATTTTGCCAGCCTGATGCCTCATCACCCTGAATGCTGTAGCATATATTTTCTTTAAATATTCTCTGGCAAACCAAGGTACAACCTTAAACATCAGGAAATTAACAATGATGCATTACTATCTTAGCTGACATCCTGTTTAAGACGTGCCAATTGTTCCAATGACGTCTTTAGAAAAGGAATCATGCTTTGCAATCATTCGGCACGAGTCACCATGTCTTTCTAGTTTCCTTCAGTTTGGAACAGCTTCTTGATCTTTCCTGGGCTTTCCTGACCTTGATAGTTTTGAAGATTACAGGCTAGATACTTCACCGAATTGCCCTCAATTTGCATTTCTCTCATAATCTGATCTGCAGCATTATATTCAGGGGACGGGTCTTCAGCAGACCTATCAAGGAAGGGGGGCTGCATTCTTCTCATTGCATCCTAGCGGGTGTTGCATAGCAATTTGTCCCATCCTTGGTGATGTTTACTTTGATCATTTGATTAAAATGTGGTCTGCCAGTCTTCTCTAATATAATGTTATTCTTTCCCCCTTTGTGTAAGTCTGTTGTGGAGAGGCCTTTTTTTGTTGTTTGTTTTTGAGATGGAGTCTTGCTCTGTTGCCCAGGCTGGAGTGCAGTGGCATGATCTTGGCTCACTGCAACCTCTGTCTCCTGGGTTCAAGCAATTCTCCTGCCTCAGCCTCCTAAGTAGCTGGGATTACAGGCATGTGCCACCACACCCGGCTTATTTTTGTTAGTAGAGATGGGGTTTCACCTTGTTGGTCAGGCTAGTTTCGAACTCCTGACCTCGTGATCTGCCTGCCTTAGCCTCCCAAAGTGCTGGGATTACAGGCGTGAGCCACCGTGCCCCAGTCGAGGTGCTTTTAAACTATGTTTAAAGTCCTGCTCTTCACTGAACTTTATTTCTTATTTATTTTTTGAGAGAGAGTTTCTCTCTGTTGCCCAGGCTGGAGTGCAGTGGTATGATCTCAGCTCACTGCAACCTCTGCCTCCTGGGTTCCAGCCATTCTCCTGCCTCAGCATCCCAAGTAGGTGGGATTACAGGTGCCCAACGCCATGCCTGGCTAATTTTGTATTTTTAGTAGAGATGGGGTTTCACCATGTTGGCCAGGCTGGCCTCGAACTCCTGGCCTCAAATAATCCTCCTGCCTCGGCCTCCCAAAGTGCTGGGATTAGAGGCGTGAGCCACCATGTCCAACCTATTTTCTTTATAGTTGTATAAGCTCATGTTTTCCTGTTTTATTGAAAGGGTTATAATCTGGCCGGGTGTGGTGGCTCACGCTTGTAATCCCAGCACTTTGGGAGGCCGAGGCGGGAGGATAACGAGGTCAGGAGATAGAGACTACCCTGGCTAACACCGTTAAAACCCGTCTCTACTAAAAAAAAAAAAAAAAAAAAAAAATTAGCCGGACGTGGTTGTGGGCGCCTGTAGTCCCAGCTACTTGGGATGCTGAGGCAGGAGAATGGCATGAACCTGGGGAGCGGAGCTTGCAGTGAGCTGAGATCACGCCACTGCACTCCAGCCTGGGTGACAGAGCGAGACTCCATCTCAAAAAAAAAAAAAAAAAAAGAAAGAAAGAAAGAAAGAAAGGTCGTAATCCATTGTTACTATTTATTTTGATGTTCAGATTGTGCCTGGTTTGACCAGTAGGGGACACTTTGAGGTGGCTCCTGTGTCCTTTTGACATGTCCCCATCCTTCTTTGGGCACTTCCTTGCATTTTGGCACCAGGTGTTGTGAACTCATCTTATCCTTTCCCTGCCCCAGTCCTGAAATTAGCCATTTCTCCAAGGATTCCTAGTTCCCTTTCAGTGAAAAATGTTATTTAGAAGCCAAAATCTGGGTAATAAGTATGTATGCGTATGTATGTATATTATATATGTGTGTGGCACATATATTCATAAATCCACACAGATATCCTATTCCAAACCAATATCACAGAGTTCTTTCTATTTTCTCCTTCATAACTCTCTCTCTGACTCCCCAAGCTGAACCTGCTTCCCCCAACATGAGGATTCCCAGCCGGGTGTGGTGGCTCATGCCTATAATCTCAACACTTTGGGAGGCCGAGGTGGGTGGATCACCTGAAGTCAGGAGTTTGAGAGCAGCCTGGCCAACATGCCGAAACCCCATTTCTACTAAAAATACAAAAATTAGCCAGGCATGGTGCCGCATGCCTGGAATCCCAGCTACTCGGGAGGCTGAGAGAGCAGAATCGCTTGAACTCAGGAGGCAGAGGGTGCAGTGAGTCGAGATTGTGCCATTGCACTCCAGCCTGGGCAACAGAGCAAGACTGTGTCTCAAAAAAAAAAAAAAAAAAAAGGATTCCCTCCTCACCCTGCTTGGGCCTTGACTCTCCACACCACACCCAGCCAGCCTCTCTGAGTGGATGCCCTCTTCATCCTGATGAGTCACTTGTATCCCACATGGGGCTGCCCCTATCTGTCTGACCCTGCCTCAATCTGTTTGACCCTGACACCCTGCTCTGAGCTGTGGTGACTTCCTCCACTCCCGCTACCCCAAAACCACAGATACCTACCTTGCTCTGCCCCATCTAATGGCTTTAGAACTAGATTGATCAGGAAGGGAAGAAAAGGGAAGGCAATAGAAAGAGAAACATGAATCGCCCTCATTTTTTAAGATAATTTTCACTGGGTATAGAATTTTTCTGCATTGAAAGTTGCCATTCCATTGTCTCCTGGTTTTCATAGTTGCTATTAACAAGTCAGCCATAACTCATTGTCACTTCTTCAAATGTAATGTGTTTTATTTTTCCTGGCCACTTTTAACATTTTCTTCCTGTCTTGGTTTTCACAGTTTGACTATGACATTTCTATGTGTAATTTTCTTTGTATTTATTCTCCTTTGAATTTACTAAGCTTTCTAAATCTGTGAGTTGATTTCTTTATCTGATTTTGAAAATTCTTGCCTATTATCTTTTCAAATATTACTTGCCTTATTATTTCTCCCTTCTTTCTTTCTAAGAACCCAGTTATATGTGTGTTATACCTTTTGATTGTGTCCCAGTATGTGTCTTTTACTCAGATATTTTATTTTCATTATTTTCTCTCTCTGTATTTCAGCTTAAGTATTTTCTATATACCTGTTTTTGAGCTCATTAATCCTATCATCTTTTGTGTTCAAGTTGCCATTAAATCCATTCGATGAATTCTTAATTTCAGATTGTTGTTGAACAATCCATTGTTGAACTGTCTATTTGAATTTTATAGATTCCAATTCTCTGTAGAAATTATCTTTTAATTTATCTTGTCTATCTTTCTATAGTCTATTTATTTATAATAACTTCATTCAGATTCTTTCCTAATAATTCCAATAGCTGAATCATCTGTGTTGTGGTGGTGAGATAAACACCTTCACCCCAAATTTGGCTTAAATGTGAAGACTGATGGCATCACACACACACAAACATACACACACACACACACACACACACACCCCAAGAGGATATGAAAATGTTATTCATATTTGAGAATTTCTGTGAAGAGCCTGGAAACTTCTCAAGAAAGACCAAAAATGGCTTCAGATAGCTGAAAAGGGAGACTGGCTTTGGGGTTATTAGATGGTGGAGCTGAGGGTGAGGGTTTCCATGCATGGGCCAGCACTTGCATGGTTTAAACTTCCTGCTGAGGCTAAAGGAGGGAGCACCTGGGCTTTCTTACTAGTTGGCCCAGATGTAAGACCTGATGTAAAAGAAAGAGAAGGTGGTGGAGCTTTAAAACTGTCAGCACTCAAATATCAAAAATGGAGTCAGAGTGGTTTGAGTTTAGTGGTATGTACAACTAATTGATCATAAACAGTGACAGATTTACTTGTTCCTTCTTCACTTCCACTGCTTCATTTGGCTAGCCATGAAAGAAAGAAAAAGAGAGAGAGTGAGGGAGGGAGAGAGGGAAAGAGGGAGGGAGGGAAGGCAGGAAGGCCTCAAGGTAGGAAGGCAGGAAAGAAGGAAGGAAGAAAGGAAGGGAGGAAGGAAGAAATGAAGGGAGGAGGAAAGAAAGAAAAAAATAGAAAAGAAATTTTAAAAATGTTTAATGGAATCAGACTTTTTATGACAATCTGCATTATAGATTGAGTGTTTATGTCTTCCTCAAACTCATATGTTGAAGCCTTAACCCTCAATGCGATGGTGTGTGGTGGTGGGACCTTTGGGAGGTAATTAGGTTTAGATGGAGTCATAAGGTTGGTGCCCTTCTGATGGGATTAGTGCCCTTGCAAGGTAAGAAATAGACATCAGACTTCTCTATGTCCACCATGTGAGCACACAGAAAGAAGCTAGGAGGCTACAAGCCAAAATTTAGCCCCACACCAGGAACTGAATCTGCTGGCACCCTGCTCCTTGCATTTTCCAACCTCTAGAACTGTGAGAAATAAATGTCTGTAGTTTAAGCCACCCAGCTCATGGGATTTCATTACAGCAGCCTGAGTGGACTCAGGCAGACTTGTAATCTGTAATCAGACAAACCCCAAATTTGGCTTCAATGTCAAGACTGATGACATCACACACACACACATACACACACATACACACACACCAAGAGGATATGAAAATGTTATTCATATTTGAGAATTTCTGTTGTATTTTTCCCTATGAGTTATGCTTTTTGGTCATGTTTTCCTACTTATTTCTGTCTTGTAATTTTTATAATGAATTTCTGACTTTATGTATAAAAGAGTCCTAGAACCTAAAGTCATTATTATTCTTCCACAGAAAGCAGTCACTCATCTCCTATTAGGCAGATCAGGTGAAGGGTTGATCACTCCAATCCAATCAGGAGCTGAGCCCGGCTGGAGGTGGATTCTGGTGTCAGAGTCAGTCCAGCTCTGGTTTCCAATGTCTCAGGGATGAGGTATGTCATGGGCTCCTCACAGCCTCCTCCTTCTAGTAGGACTTTACCTCCCAAGCACCATGAGTCTATGAGGCTCAGCTTCCTTCTCAAGCATGACCCTCCTGAGTTTTTGACTGTGAGACCAGACTTTGTCTCTTTGGCCTTGAAAGTTCTATTCTTCAAGGGTTCTGAGCTTAGCTCTTTTGCCTCCTTGCACATGCAAGGAAAGTAGCTGGCAAACGTTTTAAGGAGGATATTTATGAATGTTTCTTGAAGGCCTTTTACTCTAGTTGAATTTTTCCTTCCAAGGACTGAAAACTCTGCCTTGGTAACCCAGTCCCCCAGCATCATCGTACCCCCACCCCCAGCACTCCGTGTTCTATGGGGACAGCTGGCAGTGAATTTGAGGCTTCACTACTCTCTGGCCAGCCAGGCCAGTCCACATGGCTGTCAAAATCTCTGCTGTTATCTCCTTCCCCCAGGAGCCCTCCCTACTTACAGCAAGCCCAACACTCAGTCAGCAGAAGACCTCATGGAGGAAAAAGGACCAGTAATGTCAACTCAGCTAGCAATGCTTTTCCCATCTCTGAAACTTTAGTTTTATCTTGCCCACTTAACTTCCACTGATATCCAATGTCTTCAAAATACATTTTATGTAATCTATTCAAATTTTTCTAGGTGCCACAGGATGAGAAGTGGTTTGCTGCTACCTACTACATTCTACCCTAAAGTGGAACCTGTCTAGATGCTTTATCTTCACTGTGATCTATCACAGAACTATCCTTATTTATGTAGGAGGTGGTGAAATGGGTGATGGTTGTCAAGACAATAACATAACTCAGCAGATGCTTTAGCTAGGTGAATAACTCTAGTGGAACTTCCAAACATTTTTTCCTTTCTCAATCATGCTATGGAATTATTGCCTTCCTCCCATACAGGGAAGTTTGCGTTTTAAGATTCTCGTGGCTCAATGTTTAACCCAACAAAACAATTGTCAATGGTAGTGTTTCAGCTATCTACAATGAGTTGAAGGGGGTAAAAGGTATTTGGGGGCATAGGGCCTTATTGTCATTCCTCAAGTCTTTCTCATTCAGTAACTACTGACTTCATCTATTCCTCAGGCTGGCTCAGGATCTGAAAGAACAGTAGAATAACTGATTGAAGGCGAGTGCATTTGGAGTCAGGTAGAACCTTGCTCTTAAACCCCCATGTTACCTAAGGAAGTTCTTCAACCTCCTTGAGTTTGGTTTGCTCAATGCCTACCTCCTAGGACTGTGGTGAGACTTACGTGAGATGTAAAGTTCCCCAAATACGGGAAACAGTATGTTGTCCTCATCGGTCTTCATTAGCCCTTCTTTTGGTCCTCTGCAAAATTAGGATGATGCCAACTTTACAGAATTGTTTTGGTACTGTAGTTAAATGAGACCATGGAGGTGAAGGGATTTTCAGATGTAAAATGCTGTGCAAAAAGAATATTCAGTGCCCATGTCAGTGGCGACTCTTGCGCTGACTGAGTCGCCAAATGACTGATCTCATGTGAAGGCCCATTCTGGCCAATTTTGTTCCTATGCCATCTTGGCTGTCAGTGCCACCCTAAATTCCACTGTGTCTCCGAAGAGCAGGTGAGTGCCATCTCCCTGGGACGTCATTTCCCTGGGATGCCTCCCTTGAGCAGACCAAGCCGGTACCTAGTGTGGCGGTACCTCCGTGCACCCTCCGGCTGTTGTCATCCCTCCAATCCCTAGGATAGGCGCACCACCCTATTAGGTGCCGGGGGGTGCAGTGCTTGAAATCACACACAAGAGCGATCAAATCATACTTCTGAATCGTGCTAGCTGTGTGATTGTGGGCAAGCCCATTAACTCTCGACCACCACGTTGCTCATCTATAAGCCGAGGGGATAATAATATCTGCTTTGCAAGGTTGTTGTAAGGGCTGAATGAAGTAACGGGAAATCTGGGGTACGTGGGAGATAGTAAATGGCAGCCGTCCCTGTGCGCCCCCTGACACCTCCCGCCCGGTCCTAGCCCTGTACTGGGTCAGTGTCAGCATCCTTCCACGCGTGCTCTCTCTCTGCCACCGCACACCCAAAGACCGCGCCTCTCGCTGCTCTCACCTGCGGGGCAGCGGAGGGCGCAGAGGTCAGGCAGCTGCGGGAGGGCTCGTGAGAGCCAATGAGAGCGCGGAAGGCGGCGAGCGAGCCAATGGACGCGGCGGTGGGGCAGGGGGCGGGGCCTGGGCGAGGCCGGGGGCGGAATGGGCTGAGTGCCCTGTCTGAATGCGGGGAACGTCTGGGCCTCCCCGCCTGGCCCGCTCTTTTACCGTCGCGCAGGCCCCGCTCCAGGCCAGCCACTGGCCCCACCAAGCCCCGCTTCGCAGCCCGAGAGAGCGGGAATAAATTAAGCTATTCTTAGTAGGGCCTGAAAAGGAGCCCTTTCTGACTACTAAGAAAACAAAGTTGCGTCCGTCTCTAGTTCTCAAACCCAAGCACAGTGATGTGGGTCGCCCGGTGCTGCAAGAGGTGGCCCGAGCAGCCGCCGGGTCGCTGGGGGCCCAAAGGAGCCTCCTGGCCAGGAGCCAGGTGCTCTTTGCTCTGCTAAGCTGTGGCGAAAAGAGAATCGGCTGGTTTGGGGCCAACCGGGGTGTTGGCAGGGGGGGGCTTCAGCCCTTCTCGGGCTCCGGACTCCCCAGCTCTCTCCCTGGCTATGCCCCTGCGCCGGCCTAAGAAGGGACCAGGAGGCAGGGCTGGCGCTGGCACTGCGGACGTCAGAACCTCGGCTGTAGTCACGCCCTTGCTCCAGCTTTTTCAGGGCCCATTCGCCCACCTCTGCCCCTCCTGTCCACCGCCCACCTTCTGGCCTCCTTTCTGCACCCAGCCCTTCCCCCACTCTGCTTCAGAACTCAGGATCTCCTCCCCTTCACTCTCCATCACTCACTCTGCGTTTCCTTTACGGGCTAATGCCAGTGTGCAATCATTCATTCATTCGTTTGTGGTCTACCAGCTAGGTGCCAGCTCCACCAGGGTGGCACCATGCAGCCTTGTTCACAGGTGTATACCCTGGAACATAGTAGACGCTCAGCAAATACCTGTTGAACGAATGAACAAATCCAAAATATGGCATTAGGTGCCCTAGACCCTTCTGGAACCATTCTTGTTGCTGAGTGATGAGTCTGACTAACAGCCTTATTCTCCATAGCCACCTGAAGGAAAATCCTCCTTGATGGGGGGATATATGAAGGTGGGGTCCTTCTACTAAATGCCAGCCTGGGTGAAGCTGTGGTCTAAACGTGCCTGTGTGGCTCTTGCACACACCTAAAAGGAAGACAAGCTCCTGCCAACATCTCAGACCTGGAGAATTTTCTAGAGCCATCATGGTCTAGATGCCCAGAAATTCCTGAATATTTTATTGATATTTTATTGAGTTAGAGAGTTCATGGTTATCAAATTCATAATCAAAATGGCTTTCCATGTTCCCCACACTGACGGTAACCTCTACAGAAATGCCATAAGGTAAGTAATTCATCTCATTGAAAAGGACTCTGAGGCCCAGGGAGACGAAGTGACTTACTCAAGCTCACGCAATGAAACCACAGCTCAGTGACCTGCTCTGTAGCAAGTTGCCCCTCACACCCACTAGCTAAGCCCATCCCATAGGGGCTGCACAACAGGCCCCAGACACAGCAATTAATCTGGGAATTGGATGTCGAAAAAAGAGTCTCTGGAAGATGAGATTGTGGATGGGGCAGTACACTTGACCCTAAGCATCACACTTTGGATTTGCTCATTTATTTGTTGAGCATCTGCTATGTGCCGGGGATACACCCATGAGCAAGACAGCGTGTCCCTACCCAGGCCTGGCAATGCTGACACTGATTGGGGAGTATACCATAAGCAAATGAATTCATAATTGCATATCGGGACGAGATCATGAAGGAAACTTGCAGAATAACAGAACAGAGTGACAGGGAGGGAGAGCTCCCCCATAGAGGGGTGTTCCAGAGGGACTCTCTGAGCAGGCGAAAGGACGGGGATCTAGAGGACAGGCCTAGTAAAGTACAGCACATTGCTCCTGAATTTCAGAATCACACGTGTGGAGCCCAGGGCCCTCTGCTCAGGGAGGAGAATCAGGAAAGGGCCCTATCCCAAGGCCCGGGTGTCTGCCGCTTCCCTACCACCTTCCCACAGCGCCCGGCACCGCCCCACACTTCCCCTGGGCTTCTTTATTTATTTTACCACATCTGAGGAGTTTTTAATGGGGGAAAGGGCCTAGGAATGGGGTTGTTTGAGGACAAGGAAACGAGCCACTTGCTGTGATGAATGTTCTTGAAAAGCAATTTATTTTTTCACGGGTAGCTCGCCGGGCTTGGGAACAAAAGTGCTTTGGCTGCCTATCAAATATGAACAGAGGCTAACTGTTTCTTCGGCATTTCTCTTTCCCCACACACGCTCACCCGCGCCTCTCCCTATGTATGACAGAAATGACATCGGGTTCAAGGGCTCCCTGGGGTCCCCTCCTAAGATAAAGTGGCAGCTGCTTTCATGGGGCCTGAGGCCCTCTCCCTCTCCCTTCTCTGCTTACTCGATTCCAAGCAGCAACGGCACTCGGAGGATATTCTCTCTCTCCTGGTGGGATGAGAAAGAGTGGGTGCCCTGGACATCAGAGGTCAGCTGGGATCCCTGAAAATGCCAATGCGGCCCACAGCAGCCAGGAGCCCCCTGCGCTCTCCCCACAGTTTAGCAAGAGAGGACATAAACCTGCACTTTTGCCCCTCATCTGCACCTGCATCCCCCACCACAGCCGCCATAGTCACATCTGCAGGCAGCTCTTCTCCCAGTGTTCTCAGTCTGTCTACCTGTGCCTCTTACCCATGCACAAACATTTCCCCCAAAGGTGGGCTCTCAGGCATCATGAGGCATCAGTGGATGGTGGTGACAGAGGGAACACTGATATTCCTACCAATCTGCTGAAAACGTGCATTTGTCAAATGATTGTGCTTGGCTGTCTGGGGGAGTCCTTTAAGTCCCTGGGAATTATGATGGCTAAAGCAAAACGAGGGATTTGGTTTTGAGCTAGGCCTGGAAGAATTATTGGGGAAAAATTACAGTGTCTGAAACTTACTATTACGAGAGTCTGAGTTTTAGCAGGAATTCCAGGGAGCCAGGAGTCTCCTGCTAGTGTGGGCCTGGCAAGGAAGACCAGGCCACTCCCTGCTTCCCTCTCCTGCTCACCTTCGAGCTGACTCCTGCTTTTAGATTTGCCAATCTAAAACTGATTTAATCTAGAGGGGCAAATCTAAAACTGCCCCTCTGACAACAAGGGGCAGTTGTCAGAAATAAGAGGCCAGCTTTGGATGACTCTCAGCCTGGACAGGAAAGCAGACATCCCTGCTTAATTCCATTAGAGATTTATTTGGAAATGTGACTTGCCTTCTGAGGCAGAGGGGTTTGGGTTTGCTCTTCTGAAAGGGTAGTGGCATTTTAAATCTCACTGTTTATGCAACAGAAGCCTTTATTCTCTATAAAAAGAACTTTAGACAAGTAGCAAGGGGTGGACTTCCATTAGCCCACTCTGAGGACCCCAGTTCTGGAGCTTGGACAATTCTTCATTGACTGAGACCCCCAAATCCAGCTTCTGACAGTGTTTACAGTGGAAGGGCATGTTCTCTTCCTTCTTTCCAGGATGGGGATAGCTAGATTCCAAAGATGGTCCTCCAAGGAGCTTAGTCTATTGGTATTCACTTTCGTAGTCCCCTCCCCTCCAATATGGATGGGCTCAACTTGTAATTAGCTTTGGACCAGCAGGATGTCATGGAAATGATGCTTGTGACTTCCAAAACTAAGTCGTAAAAAGCCTTGCAACTTCTGCCAGGGTCTCTTGGATCACACACTCTGGAGGAAGCCAGGCTATGTGAGAAGCCCAACTACTCCGCCTCCACCATGCTGTGAGGAAGTCTCCATAGCAAGGCCCCATGGAGAGTGCTGCCTGGCTAGACGCTAGCCCTCCCAGCCATCCCAGCTAGGGCACCAGACACGTGAGTGACAAGCCATGTGGGAAGACCTGCCCAGGTAAGGCTCAGGACTCCAGCTTCAGCCACAGTCTAACTGCAAACAAGTGAAAACCACTCAGCTGAGCCCAGTCAGTCCATGAAAGAGCAATAAATTGCTAATGTAAGCCACTAAGTTTGGGGGTGGAGGTGGTGTTGTAATGCAGTGATAGGAAATTAGAACAGAGGCCCTGGCACGAAAAGCAAGAGGTTTTCAAGGAGTTTCCTGCCCAACAGGCCAATAGTTTTGAGCAGCGGTTTCTAAACTTAGCTAAGGAATCCTTTGCCCACTGGAAATCATAATTAGATCTCTGATATGTCAAAGAAACAAAAGCACAGTGGCTCTCTTTTTGAAACAGTGGGAGGCCTGACCAAGCTCTCCTTTTGCCACGTGCCCCTGCAGCAGCCCCCGGGAAATGAATGAGCTCTCCACCTGATCTCCCAGATCTAACTCTCTCTCTCTCCCTCCCTAAAAAAATCACAGCAGACTTTGTTCATCCACACTCCCCTAATCCAGGGAGAATCCTGGCCACAGTGTGGAGTTGTGTCCCTAGCAGCCCTGAAAAGTTACATACTCTGAGGACCTTCCCTTCTTCAGTAGGTAAGCAAGGCCCTGGGTGGCCCCAGTACCCACATCCTCACTGATGGGCAACACCCTGCCTTCCTTCTCCAAAGGACAAAGGGTCATGGTTCAGCAAGCCCTCCTGGGATGCTAAAATAACTTTTCTGCCAAGAGACACTGTTATCAGCCTTTGCTTCTGGCCCCTTTCTGGTGGAGAAGGAAACTAGTATATATGAGGCCTGTTGTCCTATAATGTAAAAAGAGACCCAAAGAGGTTCAAGCTCTCAGTAAAACAAGAGTAGAGATTTCTCCAGCCCCAGTCCAAGCCTGTCTTCACAGCAGTATCAGCCACTGCATGCATGAAGATGGTGGCCATGGGCATGGGAGCAGGGATACACATCTCTCTTCCAAGGCCAGGCCATGCAGAACCCCAACTCTTCCCCTAAACCTTTCCAGGGCAGAGTGACCCAACGTGTTCCCTCCCTACCTGGGTTATCCTAGGTGATGTGGAGACTGACTTGCTCTAGGTGGGCTAGTGCCCAAGAGCCACAATCTCCCTGTGGAGACGGTATGTACTGCGTAGATCTTGTTTCCTTTTTGTCCTTATTGCCAAATCCCCCCAAAATTCTGTTTTGCTCATTGTGCTGCCTTCAGCCGAGGGAGAGCAAGGACTTGCATAATAAGCACTTGACTCTCCTCCAAAGCCAAGGTTTGTTCCAATGGCTTTGACTTTCAACCTCCTCACGTCTCCTTGAAAAGATGAACCGCACTTTTGTACCACAGGACATGCCAGGAATAGCTCACATCAAATGCTTTCGGGAGGGGTGCCTATGAGGAAGAGGCCGCAGGTCAGCCAGACAGCTCAAAGGTACCATTAAGATGATGGACGCCTTTTTCCTTGGTGCTTGGGCAGGCTGCTGAGCTTCATTACTCATCTCTTCCGCAGGGAGGTCACCATGCAAAGGGGGTGTCTTGTGCTCCTCTAGCCAGGATGCAAGCCCTGGGGACCACATTCACATCCTTGGGAACAGAGGATGTGGGAGCAGAACTTCAGATGCTCTAACTCAAAGGGAGCCTGGCCGCTCAGTGTGTCCCTGCCTGAAAGCAGGGCTCAGGCTAAATGAACACAGGCCCCTTCCAGGCCACTGTGGCAAGTCACAACCTCTCTCCCCACCACTATCACCTCTCCCCCATACCAGCAGATTCTTGACAGCCTGCAACTTCCTATCAAGGGAAAACCGCCAAAGGCAAAGCCAGATTTCTGACCAATTTTGAAATGCCTGAACAGGGAAGGCATAGTGGCTCATGTCTATAATCCCAGCATTTTAAGAGACTGGGGCAGGTGGATCATTTGAGGCCTGGAGTTCGGGACCAGCCTGGGCAACAGAGTGAGATTCCATCTCTATGAAAAATAAACAAAATTAGCTGGGCATGATGATGCGTGCCTGTGGTCCCAGCTATTCAGGAGAGAATCTCTGAGGTGGGAGAATCACCTGAGTCCCTACCCGGAGATCCAGGCTACAGTGAGCCAAGATTGCGTCACTGCACTCCAGCCTGGGCAACAAAGCAAGTCCCTGCCTTTAAAAAATGCCTAAACATAACACACAAACAATAGCAATAATAACAGCCACCAACAACACAGTCACTATAATGACCACGTGCTGTGTAGGGCACTTTACCCCACCTGCAAAGTACGTTTGGCCACCTCGTTTATCCAGAGTCTTGGAGAAGTTAAAAACCTTGCTATTTGGTTGGTAAGTGGCTGAGCTGGGATTAGAAACGACGCTTGTCTGGTTCCCAAGCCCACCATGCTCTTTCCATGAGCAACTCTGCCCATGTGATTCAGAGGGTCAGAGTTTGTTGTGACAGAAACAGAACCCAGAGGCTGGTTTCAAGGCCGGGGAGGAGCTGGGTCAGGCCTGAGCCAAATAACAGGGTGGGCCACCTCTGTGCCTCCCAGCTGGTGTTCCTTGGCGGGCCTCCAGGTTGGGGGCAGGGCCAGGCAGGGGTGGAGGGTTTGAAACTGGGCGTGTCCTCAGGAAGCACCCAGCCCCTCCTTCAGTGACCCTTCCGGGAGCGGGTTAGGAGCAGAGGACCTGCTGTGTTCCAGGGCTGTCTCCAAAATATCTTGGTATGCCTTAGAGGAAGCCCATGAGAAAGCCTCACCCATTTCATAGGTGGGGAAACAGAGGTTCAGCACGATCACAGGACCCCAAAAGATATGCAGATTCCATCCCAGATATGTTGGCTCCACGGACTGCGCCTTCTCCCTGTTGCCGCCCCTCTGTGTGGAAAGAGCCTGCCTTTGACCTCGGCTGGGCTGGTAGCCAGGGCTGGGTATCAGCTGCTTGGGGCACTGACCAAATAGGACTACATCCTATCTGCCTCATCGTATGGGATCACATCTGAGCAGTTGTTATCCAAAAGGACAACCAATAATTCTCTCATTATGCAGAAATGGGTTTGACTGCTGGGCTGGAAAATCCCCCCCTCCTTTGGTATATTAAACCCTTTCTTCTGAAATATTATAATTATCCCTGTTTACACAATCGACTAGCGTTGTAAGGTCTTTCTGTGTAAATACAGCAAAGATAAATTTCAGCCATACTCCCGCCTGAATTATTCAAAACCTGAAACGCTGAGGGGTCCGCAGCGCGAGTCGGCTTTGTGCCTTGAGTTGTGAGAGGAGGAATACATTACCCCTGACCTTCCCAAGAAGAACGTGATGGTCGAGCCACGCCCACTGGGAAACAGCCCAATGGGACAAGCCTTTCTCAGATCCAAGCCAGCTCTGCAGCGACCAAGGCTCCCTGCCAGAGCCTGGAGATGCGCTGCGTGCTGAGCGAGACAGGCACAGGAAAGAATTCGCTCCTGGTCTGTGCTAGGCATCCACAGTTTGCAGCTCAGTGCCACTCTCCACCCACCTTGTTCTCTGCCCCAGGACACAGACTTGTCTGGTCAGAACCAGCAGGCGCCCTGGCCCTCAGCCTCCCCGTTGGGTTTGGCCCTGGGAAGCCCCCGCAGGGATGGAAAGGAGAAGATTGATACTGGGGTCTTTATTTCCTTGGGGCCCTCTCCCAGCAGACCCCAAGGCTGGCAACTCTGTCCACACAGGTCGCCGCTCAACCACTCCCCAGCTTCTGGGTCTGGATCCGCATTGTACTGAATGAATCCTTTGGAATTTTCCTCTCCTCACTGACCGGACCTCCTTCTCTTCCCCTTCTGTCTCCATTTCACAAAATTGTTCACATGGTTCTGATAGATTAACAAAGAACTCTTTCTGCTTTTTAGACAAAGAATAAGGAAAATTGTCTACAGAAATAATTCACACAAAGGAAGTCAAGGCCATGTTGAAAACAGCACTTAAAGGAAAAAGTACAATTGACCAACAATTGAATCTTATTAGGCTGAGACCTGCACAATGTGACCAAAGGACATTGGACTTGGCATAAATAATGGCTAACACACACACACACTCATGCACAAACACTCTTAAACTCACATGCACACACCACGCATTCATGCACACACACAATGCATTCACATACACACTCTCAATAGCAGAAGCTATAATCAGTAAAATTATAAATGGGCAAAACCAATCTATGAACTAGTTGCAAAATTTTCTTATAAAAATTAAACAGAAAACTTACTTGATGAAAATCATTTCAATAAAATATCAAAAGAAAGCATAACAGAAAGGGTAATTGTACTGTACTAAAAACCCAGGATTAAATTAGCATGGGATTTGGTTTGAAAAACAGTTTCTTCACGAGAGTTCATCCGTGTTGACATCATCCTATTAAAATATAAATATTCAAGTGGTTTTAGGATCACAGCCTTGGCATCAAAGGAGCAGAACCAGAGGGAATATAGAGCACCTCATCTCGCCCCCAACTGTGCAGGCCAAGGAAGCCATGGGGCCCGCAGTGTCCTGCACTGCCACTTTCAGTCCCAAAACTCCACCTCAGCCCATTTCCTGCCTCCCAGCCTGTCTCCGATGCAGGCTGGGCCCCTGTATGTGACCTCCTGACTCATTTTCCCTTCTCAGCCTCCACTCAGCTTCAGCTTCCTCATATGCCAGAGTTCCCAGGACCTGTTGTCCCTCCTGTGAGTATGAATTGAGTTATCTCTCAGCCCATCATTGCCCACCTCCCCAGGCCCAGACAAGCCCCAGTGACCCCTAGGTGACCTTCGCCCAGGAAGCATGGTTTCATCAACTTCATCCCAGCAAGCAAAAAGGCCCCAGCCACTTAACACTGCCCCTAGAAACTTCCTGGACCTTCACACAAACACAATCCCCAGGTTCCATCTCAGACACCAAAGCTCTGAGGAAGGAGCCAGGCTGACTAATTAATTAGAACATCAACAATAACAAAGTGAATGTCTTGACTACCTGCCACTTGTCAAACGTTCTCAAGAGTATCACATATACAATTTCTTTTCTTTTTTTTTTTTTTGTTTTGTTTTTTTTTTGAGACGAAGTCTTACTCTTGTCGCCCAGGCTAGAGTACAGTGGCGCGATCTCGGCTCACTGCAACCTCCGCCTCCCAGGTTCAAGCAACTCTTCTGCCTCAGCCTCCCAAGTAGCTGGGATTACAGGTACCCGCCACCACGCCCTGCTAATTTTTGTATTTTTAGTAGAAATGAGGTTTCATCATGTTGGTCAGGCTGGTCTCAAACTCCTGACCTCAGGTGATCTGCCTGCCTTGGCTTCCCAAAGTGCTGGGATTACAGGTGTGAGCCACTGCACCCGGTCATGCCACATATACAATTTCTATATCTTGAATCAGTCCTGTAGAGCAGGCATTTCTCCTTCTTATGGAGTGACGACTGGGGCTCAGAAAGTTTGAACAACATCCAGTTACTCAGTTATTGAAAGGTAGAGGTGAAATTTGAACTCATATCTAACTGGATCCTGAAGTCCATTATGACCTCTACTCTAGTGATAGCAGACTCCCGCTGAGAACCACCAGTAAAGCTAGAAAAATGGAAAGTAAACATCTGTGGAGAAGGCTTTGGAGCACTCCCAAGCAGTGGGGAATTGTAGTTCCAAGATCTGGGAGTGCAGAGAAGCCCAGGGTGCTGTTTCCTGCATGTGGTTGCTTTTGTCCAGGAGCCCCTGAAGAAACTGAGGACAGAGATGAGAGGCTGACTTGGGCTTTCAGCAGATTCACAGGGATCTGGAACAAATATTGGAATTCAGGGCCCACTGGTAAATATAGTAGGCCTCCAGTTGAAACCCAAAAGGGCCATACCCTAAGAATAAGAGTGAACCAAATACATTTCCCACTCTCACTGAGTCTGAAGCCCAACATTAGATTGGATTCAGGTGATCTAGAATTGTGGGACCCCCCCCAGCCTAGTAGGTTGCTAGAATCAAGCATAAATCCTCTCTTAAAAATTATAACATCATCCAGGGGTTCAAATTAAACTAGAGTGTTTAAAATACAGTGTCTGGCATGCCATCAAAAATAATGAGGCATTTGAAAAGATCAGATGACATAAACAAAAACTAGGAGAAAAAACAGCCAATAGAAACAACAGACCCACAGAAGATCCAGATAGTGGAGTTAGCAGACGCAGGCTTTAAATTCCTGTTGCACATGCTCAAGGAAATGAAAGACAATATTAAATTTTCAGCAGAGAATAGAAACTATAAAAACTCCTAAAATAAAAAAAGGAAATTAAAAATCTGATGGATGCACATAAGAGCTAATTAGTCATAGCTGCAGAGAAGATTGGTGAAATGGAAAATACATCAGAAGAAAATATGCAGAGAAAAGCCCAGTGAAACAAAGAGATGGGGCAAATAGAAAAAAGCATGAGAGATATATGAGATATGGAGAAGATACAAGGCTTCTACCTGGAATCTGAGAAGATAAGAGGGAGAATGGAGCAGGAGCCCTATCTAAGGGGGAAGTGCTGAGAATTTTCCCAGGTATGTGCTCTTCCCATTTAATCCATTCCAAATAGTTCAAGCTTCTGGGTTCTTTTGTCTTTGCTTTCCCCATTCTATTTCCCATAATTTTTGTTCCTAATTGCCACTTTTACATGACAATTATGGTTCAGAGATTAGCCACATACAACACCAGTGAGACAAGAAGCAACATTTTGTGGGGGCTTCTGGGAACTTGGAAGGGATGATATCATCTTCCCTGGGGAGTGGAATGTGAGGTCTGGAACTGCAGCAGCTATTTTCTGAGCATAAAAGAGTAGCCTTGGGAGGAAGGTGACACCATAAAAGAGAGAGAAAGTGGGTCCTGCTCTCATTAGATCATCCAATTAAGGCATGCCCTGAAGCCAATGATAGCCCCCCCACCAACCACCACCACCACTACACACACACACACACACACACACAGACACACACACACACGTACACAACTTTTTTGACTATTGGGACAATAAAACTCTTAAGCAAGTTTGAATTCGTTTGTGGTCACTTGCAACCAAAACAACCCCAAGTAATACAAAATCTTGGAAATAAAATTGCCTTCCAGAAAATTTGCAACAATCTATAATCTACCCTACAGTGACCACTCCCCTACAAAGACCTCTTTACTCTCTCCAACATTCCATATTTTCATTTACAAATTGATTGAAAGGCAAAACAGTACAATTTTATGTTTAGTTTTAATTCACCTATTTTTATTTCCAGTGAGACTGAATTTTTAATGAATTTTTTAACATTGAATTTCCTCTCTTATGTTGTTTTACTATGGCAGTGATTTACTAAGATGTTAGTTTTCCATTTCTTTGTTTGCTTCCTTTGTTCAATTTAATTCAAATAAATAAGCAGGTTTTTTTAAAAGACAAACCTAACCAGACTGTGGGCCAGGCACTGTGCTACATGGGGCGGGAGCCGTAGAAACGAATGGGACAGGCTTCACTCCTGGAGAGCCTGACCTGTAGTAATGGTGAGAAGACAAAGAGGCAAAAATTGGGCCCAAAACTCTGATACAGGCATGAAGGAAGAGATACGAGGCTGCATTCGTGAGAACTCTAGGAGATTTTATCTGGAATTATTTCCATCATCTAATTTTGTGATTTCTTTATATGTCCTTTTCCATTGCTCATTTTTTTTCTTTCTTTGTCTTCATCGTATTGATTAAGTTCCCTTTGTTCCTTTCTGTTTCCCCGTTCCACTTGTTTGAAAGTTATACCTTCTATTTCTATTCTGTAGTGCAAACTCCTACATTTTAGCATGCATATCTAAGGCTAATCAACATCTCTATCCTGCAGCCAAGTGATAAATGGGCTTTACAATTATTCAACTTTAATCAATCATTTAACATTTTTCATGTTATTCCCACATAGCATTTCACTTTCACCTGACTTTTAACTGTCCCCATAAATTGGTATTTTTTAAAACAATAAATGCTTACTTAGACTTACCAACATGCTGACTCATTTCTTTGCTTACTTTGCCACCTTCATCATATTCCTTCTTTCTGGATTCAGCTTTCTTCTTACTGAAGAAAATCCTTTTCTAATTCTCCAGTGAGAGGTTATGAGTATAAATCCATTCAATCTTTGTTTCAAAACTGTCTATTTCATCCTCATTCTTGAATGATTGTTTAGTGGACATCAGTGCTTTTCAGTCAAATCTTTAGTTCTGTGATGATCTTATCCCATTGTCTCCTGGCATCAGTTGTTGCTGCTGAGAGGTCTGCTGTCAGCTTAATTATCATTCCTTTTTCATCGGTCTGTCTCTTCATTCGCTCTGTCTGCTGTGTTTGCAGTTTTATAATGACGTGTCTATGTGTTGTTTATATTTCACCTGCTTGGAACTTGATGTGCTTATTTGACCTTTTTCCCCTACTCCCTCATTCTGGAGAGAATATGCATCTGAACCATCTCACTCTGTCCACCAGTCTCTTCACATCACTGCCACATTTTCCTTAACTTTGTGTTTTGCAGTTTTTTTCAAATCTACCAACCAACTCCCCACTTCTGTCTTCGGCTATACTAAACCATCTCTTTAACTGATCTATTGAGTTGTTAATGTTATTTTTTTTGTTTGTTTCTTGAAATCTGATTATTGTTCACGTTTGTCTTTTATGATTCTTTTCTTAGTTTATCTTTTTAATGTTTTAATCATATTTATTTTATGATTTCTCTTTTTCATTGTTAAATTCTAGATTGTTCAATCATTTCTAGTTCTTGGAATAAGAGTCCTCTTTTTGTTGACTCTATTCAAGATTGTTTTAATTGTAAGGAACAGAAAAGCCCACATAAACAGACCTAAGAAAAGGTGAATTAATTGTCTTAATGACCGAAAAGTCCAGAGTTGTAGTTACAGTTAGTCCATTTGATTCAGGACCAAAACCCAGGGCCTAATTTCTCTGTTTCTCGACCTCCTGGATCCACTTCTTCTGTGCTGGCTCTGTTCTCAGATAGATGACTCCTCATGGTGACAAAACAGCTGCAGAAGCAGAGATTCCGCCATCCTCCCAGGTTCAAATATGGCCAGCAAGAGAATCTTCTTTCTTTTTTTTTCCTTTTTTTCTTTTTTTTTTTTTTTTGAGATGGAGCCTCGCTCTGTCGCCCAGTCTGGAGTGCAGTGGCACGATCTCGGCTCACTGCAAGCTCCACCTCTCGGGTTCACACCATTCTCCTGCCTCAGCCTCCTGAGTAGCTGGGACTACAGGCATCCGCCACCATGCCCGGCTAATTTTTTTTTTTTTTTGCATTTTTAGTAAAAATGGGGTTTCACTCTGTTAGTCAGGATGGTCTCGATCTCCTGACCTTGTGATCCGCCCCCCTCGGCCTCCCAAAGTGCTGGGATTACAGGCATGAGCCACCGCACCGGGCTGAGAATCTTCTTTCTAATAGTTCCTTTAAACATCCTGAGATCAACTCTGTTTAGTGTAGTTTAGATCACATGCCCATCTCTGCACCAATGACTGTAGTCATGGGAATGAGATATGCTAGTTGGCCTTACCTGTGGTGGAGCCCCATCAGTCTGCTTGGTATGGAGGAGTGGGATCACCAAATGGGCCATTGGAAGAGGAAAGAACAACAGATGCTAGGGAAGTTTTATTTGATTCATGAGGTCCCCCCCTACACCCTGTCCCCTTACATACCTGCCTGCACATACACCAAGATGACTGCTCCCCAACAGCTCCATCGATGAGCAAACCTGGCCCAGAAAGTTCCTTTCCTAGAGGTTCCCACTACAGCCCTGGGGCTAATTCTTTCTGACTAGATTTCCTTAAACTCAACATGGTCACTCTCCCTGGCCATGCCTGAGTCATGTTGCTTCTTTGGAGCCAGGGGGCAGGGTCAATCTTATAGAGCCACGCAGTCTGAGAGTTGAGGAGGGATAGTCCCTAAGGAAGAAGAAGTGCTTACACCAGATGAGGGAGATGGATACTGTCAAGCAGAAAAACTTGCTGTCCTTTTCAAAAGGGAACCCACCTCTTCCTGAAAGCCTGTCTCTTCCTATTGGGCAGCCCAGCCTGCCAAGCCTTGATCAGCCTCCTTGTGCCTCCCATTCAGAATCTCTCCATGCCATGGACATTTCATGGTCTCTCTGGTATCTCCTATCACAGATTTATTTGGAAACCTTTCTCTGATTTCCAGCGTGTACCATTTTCTAGAGTAGTGAGCTCCAAAATGGGTCATGCACTCTCTAAAATAGTGCTTTGTTATTTACTGGCCATAATTAGTTCTCATCAGTACCTCTTTGGGAATCCCTGGTCTAGAAATGATGGATTCCATATTTCTCTGATAAAATGACTTCCTAATTCTTGACCTCAGGCATGCCCCTCCTTTCCAGAGAGAAGCCCATCATTTGAGTCTGTTCTCAAGACACAGACCATCCTCCCATGACTACCTACCCTTGGCCAGTCCCTGCTGTAGCCCGACTTCTCACTGTGTTGTCACACAGACCCTGTCACTTAGAAGCTGTGGGACTTTTAGTGAGTTACTGAGATTCTCTGAGACTCAGTTTCTTCACCTGCAAGATCAAGATAATAATGTTCATCTCCCAAGATCAGGAGGAGGAACTACTAATGGAACCATGGAAAGGAACCTCAGGCATGGCACCTGGTTCAGAGGTAGTCCTCCAAATGTGCACCCTCCCTTCCCTCCTCTTGCTCGCAGCTCCTAGCTCAAGGTACTCTTGGTCACTCTTCCTTGGCCTCTGGCCTGCCTTTGACAGCTGGTAACTGACCAGTCCTTAGGCTCTGGTCCTCAGCAGCCACATGCCTTTGCCGTGATATAACTTTTCATCTGAGCCTTGATTCCTGACACATGGCACCTGCTGCCCCCACCCTGAGATCCACCATCGGCCCCTCCCCTCCTGTGATTCCTGCCACAAACTCCAGGCATGGGTGTGGCCCTATTGGAATGTGCTGGGGGAGAAGCAGGAGGCGGGGACAGGTGACACAGAGGAGGTGATGAAGGTCACACCAAGAGAGGTCCCTGGTGGTTCTTTTTACCTTGAGAGAACATCTGTGGCTTCCATGTTGTCACAAAACAAACAGAAGTGAGTCTGAAGTTTCCCAATCCCCGTAGCTGGTTTCATGGCTCTTTGACAGTCCTTTCATGTCCCTGACAGTGGTGAGCTTTTTCCCCTGGGAAGTTAGGGGGCCTCTGTTGCACCCCCGCGGCCCACCTCGCCCTGGTGACGTTATCCTGGCACTCCCAGGCTGATGACACTTAGCTGTCACCTTTCATGCATGAGCAGCTGTTGCCGCCTGTGTTTCCAGGTGGCCGAGCCCAGTCCCTGTGCCTCCCCTTCCTGCCACATGGGGGACCCTCCGACGGGCTGACTCACCCGGTTCTGCTGCCCACGGAGGGCTTCCCGCTCTGCCTTTCTTGGGCAACCTTCCCAGTTTTCGACGAATGCCTTCCGCTCACAACAGCCCTTTCCTGGGGCGTGTAGGGAACCGGGAGTGGGGTGAGGGCGGGTTCACCCTTCTGCTCAGGTTTGAGTGGCAGCCTGCAGGCGCCCAGGTCTGCGCAGAGATCTCAGACTGTCCATCAGTTCCAGGGCTATTTATGTTTCTGACATTCATTTCTTCCTGCTCCCTTCACCTCCCCCCTCCCACATCTCCTCTTTGACAAAGCTGTGATCAGCCCCACAGCAGAGGCCGTGTGTTTCTTGACCTGGCTTTCCCGTGCTGGGAGCTGGGCTTGCATCGAACCCCTCCTGCTCCCTCAGCGGCTGCGGCCCTTCCCGTCCTCCTGCTCACAGAGCGCACGAGAACCAGGGAAAGCTGTGTGGCTAGAAAGAGCCCCCTCTCACAGCTGCAGACTGCAGAGTTGTCAAGCCTCAGGCAGCTCCGCCCTTCCTTGAGCCTCAGTTTCCTCATCTGGAGAGTGAAGACAACCATCCGCATCCTGCAGCACGGCAGTGACAGTTCTGTGAGAAAAGGTGCCCAGAGTGACGTCTAGCTGCACACCGTTATTACACTACAGGATAAAACGGCTGCCATTACCACATGCTCACCATGTCCCGGGCCACGGGGCACAGATCGACTCATTCAATCCTCACTGCAAGCCATGAGGAAGATCTCACAAGAGGCCCAGGCAACAATGAGGAAATTGATGCGCCGAGAGATCAAGTGACTTTCACAAGGTCACACAGCTGGTCAGCGGCAGAGCTGGCTGTCATCCCGGCATGTGTCCCTCCTCCCTCCAGGAAGAAGCCACCCCAATCCTCCAAGGATGTTCCTTTTCCATCTTGAGGGTATCTGGCCTCCAGAGACTCCTCACTACCTCGGGGCCATTGCTTGGTTTCCCTGGCCCCCATCACCCCAGCCTCCAGCTCCGACGGTCACACTGACTCCGGGAGTTTGTCCAGGGTGAGCACTACTCCTCATACCGCTCTGAGTGCCTCTTCCATGGGGAGGCCAGTGGCTCAGGTCTTCTGCCCTCTGTTGATCAGGAGGCTGAGTTTTTCAGAAGGTCTCCCAGTCAGGTCTGGGACAGGAGCCAAACAGTGGCTCTCGGCCCTCTCCTTCCCCAGACAGGGCTCTGGAATTGGGCGCCACCCCAGCAGCCAGCGAGGGGCTGCCATGCCTGTCCCTGGGCTGGCCCTGAGCCTACAGGTGCTCTCTGGGGGCAGGGGGAGGAGGGCAGGGCCTCGAGAGCCGCAGGCAGAGCCTGGGAAGAAGGTGTCTGTTGTTTCCTTCTTCATCTCTGGGAACAATTCGCCTTTTGAGCTTCTTGGCTGAGCGAGTTGAGAGATTCTTTCTCCAAGGCTTCTTGACAGATTGATTTATCTGTTTCAGTAACTTGGACTTCCTGAGAAAGGGTGGCTTCATGCCAGGGCAGGCGTGGGCACCAACCTGGGGGACGAATGTGGGGCCTCCTCCGAGGATGGCCTTGGACCTCAGGCTGAGGTGTGGACCCCAGGTCCCTGTCCCCTGGCTGGAGACCGAGCGGGTGAGAAGGATTGCCAGCAGGAGCTGCAGATACCCACAGCCAGGCAGTCATTCACCCCATCCTCCCGGCCCCGCTGCTCCCCAAGCGGCTCTTCCTGGACCCATCTTGTGGCTGGGAAAGTTGAGTCACTGAGAAGCGACTGCCCTACCGCAGTAGGCAAGAAGCTGAGATCAGACTTGAACTCAGGGTTCTGAGGCCTCCACATCTATCCTCACCTACCTAAAGAAAGAAGTTTGACCCTCAAACCCCAAGTTGCTAGAGGGCCTGGGCTGAGAAGGCCACAGCTAGCAACTCTCCCCGGGCTCCTCCTGCTTCCCAGAAGGAAGGCCTGCTTCCTGCCTCTGCTGTCTGCCTGCAATGCCTCACAGCCCATGGCTCGCCTCTGTTGCAGCACACTCGCCTGCCTTCCCATCATTCTGCCCACTCCTCCAGGCAGGGCGCCCAGGGCTTGGCACTGAGTAGGGGGCTCAGTTGAGAAGGGAAGGGAGGGAGGAAAGAAGGAAGTGAGGCAGGGAGAGAGGGAGGTGAGGGGAGGGTCCTCACACCCTGTGGGTGATGCCCCAGGGGCCCTAGGGCCATTATGAAGCCCCTAAGGCAAGCTGTGCTTTAAGAATTCAAGAGTCTGGGCTGGGCGCGGTGGTTCACGCCTGTAATCCCAGCACTTTGGGAGGTTGAGGCAGGCGGATCACCTGAGGTCGGGAGTTCAAGACCAGCCTGACCAACATGGAGAAACAGCGTCTCTACTAAAAAATACAAAATTAGCCAGGCGTGGTGGCGCATGCCTGTAATCCCAGCTATTCGGGAGGCTGAGGCGGGAGAATCGCTTGAACCCAGGAGGCAGAGGTTGCAGTGAGCTGAGATCGTGCCATTGTACTCCAGCCTGGGGAACAAGAGCGAAACTCTGTCTTAAAAAATAATTTAAAAATAATAAAAAAAATAAAAAGAATTCAAGTGGCTGGATCACAGCTCACTGCAAGCTTGAATTCCTGGGCTCAAGCGATTCTCCCCCCTCCACACACACACACACCTCCATCCCCCTACCCTCCCACACCCTGCTCTGCTGCACTGCACTACCTCCCCACCCCCCAGCACCCCACCACCCCTCCCACTCCCATGCCACCTCAGCCTCCTGAGTAGCTGGGACTACCAGTGTGCCACCACGCCCAGCTAATTCTTAAATTTTTTTTTGTAGAGATGAGGTCTCACTATGTTGCCCAGGCTGGTCTCAAACTCCTGGCCTCAAGACAGCCTCCCACCTGGGCCTGGTAAAAGCGTGATTATAGGCGTGAGCCACCTCGCCCAGCCATTAACCATTTTTAAGTGCACCGTTCAGAGGCATTAAGCACATTAGCACTGTTGAGCAACCATCACCACCACCCATCCACAAAACCCTTCATCTTGCAAAACTAAAACCCTGTGCCCATTAAACACTAACTCCCCTCCCTGCAACCCCTGGCAACTGCCATTCTACTTCCCGGCTGTGCATTTGACTACTCCAGGTGCCTCATGTGAGTGGAATCATGCAGGCCATGCCTTTTGTGTCTGGCTTATTTCACTCAGCACGATGTCCTTGAGGTTCATCCGGGTTGCAGCGTGCGTGAGCATCCCTTGCTCTCCAGGGCCAGCGCTCCACTCTGGGCGCTTTCCACGAGCTGCCCTCGCACGGCCCTCTGCATGATGCCCACGTTGTCAGGCAGTGCCCTGCCCTCCAAGTTGAGCCCCCAAGACCAGCCCACCCCCATCTGTCTGGCCCCAGTGTTGCCCACCCATGCCTGCCTTTCTCTGCAGAAGGGAGGCTGCTCAGGGCCAGGCCCTCCTGCTCCCTTGGCCCTCGGGGTTCCAGGGGGAGAGAGTGGTGGCTGTTTCAGGTCACCCACAGCCATGCTCTGCCTGCTGGTCTCCTTTCCCTTGATGCTGCTGCCCCCAGGACCTTGAGTAGCACGTTGGTGCCCTGATGCTTATCTTCTTGGGGACGCGCGCGTGGGAGGAGGACTCAAGGAGAGGGCAGATGGGTGTTGCGAGGGATCAGTCTCTAAAGGCAGAACTTCAGGAGTGCATGTCAGCCAGTGCAGGGCTCCTGGACCATGCCCTAGCGTCCTGCGTGGTGTGGCTGCCTCCAGCTGAACCTCTCCCCACATCACCACGCTGCTCCTGTCACTGAAGGCAGCCCCAGGTGCTTGGGGCAGCACTGACCTCACATCCAGTGGAGGGGCTCAGGTCCTTGCCTGCCATTTGCTGACTGCCAGGACTTGGCAAGCCCCTCCCAGAACCTCGGTCCCCCATCCCTCGAACAGACCAAGCCCTCACCCACAGGGTGGCTGTGCGGATGAGCCAGCAGGCGTCTGGCTGGGCCGGGCCAGCCAGTGCTAGGCAGACGCCTGTCCAGGGCACCCGAGCCTTCCGCTGCCCAGCTGCCTGGCTCCTCTGGCCCAGGGCGAGTAGAGAAGCCCTATGCCTCAGCAGAAGGAGAGAGAGCATAGAGCAGCACCCACAGAACCCTGCAGGAGGAGTCCCTGAAAGCCAGCTCCCAGAGCTGTGAGGACTGTATGCATCCCAGGCTGGCGGCCCCTCCCCTGGCCGTGGAATCCAGGCCCACTCCGGTGACAGGTTGACAGTCAGTCCTCTGGCTTCCACATGTGCCCATTTGCAGCTGTCCCCAGACGTCACTGCAGGCAGAGCAGTAGCACAGCCTCATACAGCATTTTCACCACAGACCCAGCAGCAGACGTCGCTGTAAGAGCACAGACGATGCAGAAAGGCAACCAGGAAGGACAGGGAGTGGAATATTCACTACCTTTGTTTTTAATACAATTTATTTAATCATCAGTTTGTAGAATTTAATTTGTAACAATGGCTGTCAGCATTCCTAAACGTTTAATGACGGTCAGTATTAGTGACCACCAGCACACCACTGTCTCAGCCCCTGACCAGGGTTCTCTGGCCAGCACATGGGCATGGAGGGCAGCTGCTGGGGGGACAGGCAGTCCCTGACTCCCCAGGTGTGTGGCGGGCCAGACCCAGGGCCTCTGGCAGCTCAGACCTGCTTTCAACTTCACCCTCCTACAGCCTGTCCTGCAGACACCACTGATGTCCCCACTGCACAGATGAGAACCCTGAGACTCAGAGATGGGCACCACCTGCACAGGCCCCAGAGCCGGTGCTCTGGAAGGACAAGGCTCCCGTCCTCAGGCCCTGGGCTTGGGCGGTGTCATGGGTAGGTCTTGCTGACATCTTAGGGGCCATCAGAGAGCCCAGCCTGAGCAGCGCCTAGCACAGCCCTGGCTATCCAGAGAGCAGCCCAGACCCCAGGCCCCACGTGGCAGGGATGGAGATGTGAGGGTGGAGACGGCCATGGGGGATTACTCCTTCCCCCTGTTCAGCCCACTCTCCAGGCAGCCTCTGTGTGGCACCTCTCATGCTGATTTCCACAGAGGGCGAGGCTGTGCCGGCCAGAAACGTGGGTCTAGGATGCTTGGCAGATGCATTCCCTGTTGTAATTCATGGAATTCTGGAAGCCCTTGGGCCAGCAGGTGACACGGTGCCTTCCTCCAGGGCGCCTGCAACACTCACCTTGACCGATGGTTTTCCCTTGCGACCTGTCTGGCCCTGCCTTCACAGGGTGTCCAAAGGAGTCAGGCACCAGCACCCCCTCGAGAGAGGGCCACCACGTGTCAGAGGCTGGCATGCACCGTGGAGAAAAATGAGATGAGAATGAAGTTGGGGGTGTGAGGACTGCATGTTCAGTGATATCGTGTGATCAAAGGAGATGCCTGCGACCATTTAAAAAGGGGACTTCCCGCTTCTGATAGGACCCGGGACCATTCAGGGGGTTTCATTCTTATTAAATATTTTTGCCTTTTTCATAAAAGGCACTCGCCCACAGAGGGGTCTGTAAAAAAATCAATTCTGTCCGGGCTGCTAAGTGTAAGACGACCCCCTTACTGTCCTTTAAAAGCAAGGAGCTTCTCTTTATCACATATAGTCAGGCCCTGACTCACTTCCCAAGCCCAGTCTGAACCAGGCCAGGCATGGGGGAAGCCGGCGGGTGCAGGGGAGTGGAGGGAAAGGGGAGAGCCGGCCCCAGGAACCTGGTGACAGTGGGGACGGCCGCCCTCAGTCATGCCCGCTCCTTCCCTGGGCCCACGTGACCATCCTTCTCTGTGAGCTCGAGGACACCCCGTCAGCCCCACGGGGTGCGGCTTACCAAGAAGGGGGTGGACACCCCTGCGTGGCAGGCACCGGCCTGTCCCTGCTGCCATACCCAGGTAATGACCGAGACAAGAATAGTCTCGGTAGAAGGGAGGGAGGCCGCCAGACAGCCCAGCCGAGGCCAGAGCCGGTTCTTGGGGAGTAACACCCCCCTCTACCGGCCACCTCGGACTTTACAGGCAGGAATTGCAGAATCCGTTGCATTTTCACAACAATAACTGAGACGTGCAAACCTCTCCTCCAGCTCCCGCAGATTGGAAAGGATGAAAGCGAGGATGGCCTGACCCACCCGCTTTAAGGAATTAGAAACTCAGTGTAAATCCCCAGGGGCATGTCGACACCCCAAAGTTCATCAGGAGGAAAGGAACCCCCATTTTAGACAAAGAGGCCAGAGCTTGTGCAGAGGGAGTGGCCCAGAGGTCGACAGTATCTGGGAGCATGCTTAGCCGGGCCCTGTGGACACACATTTGGACCTACGCAAAAGTTATCTTTGCTTTGCCAAGGATCTCTTTAAATTCTGAGTCTTTTCCCAAGAAAGCAAACTTGACTCCGACCAAGCCTCCAAATCCAATGACCCGTTAAAGAAAAGACAGGGCAGGGGGATGGGTGACGCTCCACTTTGCAGGTTCAATCAGCAAAGTCCCAATGGTAGGAAGCTCCACAGGACAGACTGCCAGTTTCTCCAACAACTCAGTGACACAGGGGAAATGGAAGCGTGGAGGGGAATATTTGGATTAGAAGAGACTTTAGGGTGGAGTGATTCCTAGATTATATCGTTAAATACAAAAGCAAAGTGCTAAAGAATATCTGTAACATGCTACTTTTCATCGAAGGAAGAGGGGAAGGAAAATAAAATATACGAAACCTGTTCTTTTGTGAAGAAGAAACAGAGGAAGGATAAATCAGAAACCAATAAGACGGGTTGCCTGTCGGGGGTGGTTCCTCGAGGGTGTGGGCATAGGTAGGAAAAGGGTGGATGATGGGAATGACACAGAAGAATTAGAGGGAGTGACACTGTGTATACCTTTTGAATCGTTCTGACTTTTAGAATCATGTGCATATTTCATGTACTAGATTAAAAATTTTTTTTAATGAGAGGAAACCCAAAATAGAATACAAACAGAAATAAGTGGCACTAATAGTTTTACAAATGATTTATATACTTCCACTGAAAAGATGGGGGAACTAACCTAAGAAACTTTGGAAAACAGTGTTTTTATTGCATCCTCAAAGGCTAAAAATGAAAAGACGTATATACACATATCATACCATGACTAGTTGGTCAATTTTTCACAAGGGTATGGGTCACTGATTCTGAAACTATTTTACATGCCTTCTGGAACTGAGCAAATCAGTCAATAGATGATGGATAAGGAGATCAAAGATACACCAAGACGGAGAACCCTGTGATACTGGATTAGAATTAGGGGTGTCAGTAAGAACTCGTGGTTTTTAATGTGTATACAGGTGTGTGTGTGTGTGTGTGTGTGTGTGTGTGTGTGTGTGTGTGTATTTCCTAGTCTAGCTGCTGGGAGTGCCTAGAGGTAATGAGAGCCTGGTGGCAATGAGCACAGCCAGCACCCAGATCTTGATTTCTAAACACCAGTCTCAATACAACAAACCAGGGCTTCCAAGAGAAACAGCTCGTTCCAGGGCCAGGTCAGAGAAAGGACAGGAGGAGTCGGCAGCATCTCTTGATGCTATAGAGCAAGGAAGCTCCCAAAAATGATGTGGCTGCGGCAAACCACACGGGAACCATGGGAAGGGGGTCCCCAAAATGATGTGGCCGCGGCAAACCATACAGGAACCATGGGAAGGGGGTCCCCAAAACGATGCGGCCGTGGCAAACCACACAGGAGCCATGGGAAGGGGGTCCCCAAACTCAAAACCATGCGGCCGTGACAAACCACACAGGAACCATGGGAAGGGGGTCCTGATGGCCACAGCTGGGACAATTTGAACAACAAAAGTCATGGTCCATAGCCATAGAATAAAATAAGAATCCATAAGTCTATATGGATATGGAGAAATGAATGAATACACACATGAGGCAGAAAGGAAAGCTCTTACTCACAGAAGAATTCCACTAATGAAATGTAAAAGGAATGCTGAACATAGAAAAATCTCTATTCCATAAACACCTCAGCAATCATTGTTTTAAGCAAGAATCATGAATGGATGTTAAAACTAGTAGGCAAAAATATGATAAGAAATAAGCTACTTACATAGCCTCAAATTATCTCCTCACAGATACTTGTTAATTACAAAGGGAAAGAATGGTAAGTGAATAGTGGAGAAATTGGACATCCCAGCCCTCCGAGAATGAGAAGGACAGCATTCTTTCTGCGAGATTCCTGCCAAAAATGCATAACCCAAATCTAATCATGAAGAAACATCAGACATAACCCAATGGAGGGACATTCTACAAAATCACTGGCCAGTACTCAAAAAAAAAAAAAAGCAACAACAACAAAAGAAAACAAGATAAAGCGAGACTGGGAAGCTCTTTCAGACTAAAGTAGACAATTAAATGGGCAAATCTAAATGAGACCTGTCAATGAGATAAATCTAAGTGAGATTTGTAGGTTTGGTGATCATATCGTGCCCATGTTCCTCTCCTAATTTTGATCATTGTACTGTGTTATGTAAGATGTTAATATTTGAAGAATCTGGGTGAAGAGTATAATGGGAATTCTTTGTACTATTTTTGCAACTTTCCTGTAAGTCTGAAATTATTTCAAAATGAAAAGTGAAAAAAGAAAGAGAAGGAGAGGCTGGAGAGAGACCACACTCAGTCCCTCTGGGTGGAGCTGGTATGGGGCCTGACTCAAGCAAATGGGAAAGGAAATTCTGCCACCCTCAGACGAAACATCTGGAACCTGAGCTCTGATGATGACGGCCTGGCCCTGCCGCCTTTTAGAGACGTGTACTGGAATATTTCCAGATGAAATGCTGTGAGGCCTGGTTTTGCTTCTAAGTAATGCAGGAGAGGGGAGTTGGTCGGGGGTGCAGATGGGACAGAACTGGCTGGGGGTTAGGGCGTTAGGGTTGGTGGAGTTAGAGGGTGGATGCCCGGGGCTCATTATTCTCTTCTGTTCACTTTGGTGTAGGTCTCCAAAATAAGTTTAAAAAAAAAAAAATCCAGACCAGGCACAGTGATTCATTCTTGTAATCCTGGCACTTTGGGAGGCCAAGGTGGGAGGATTGCTCGAGGCCAGGAGTTTGAGACCAGCCTGGGCAACATAGTGAGATCCCATCTCTATGAAAACAAACAAAAAAAATGAAAAAAACAAAACCCTCCAGAGGCAATTCTTGGCCTGGTCAGGAGGGGAAGGAAGATGCCTGAGGGATGGCCAATTCCACTCCCTGCCATGCCCCTTATACCCTCCCCTCTCAGTGTCTGTCCCCACCAGGCCCTGTTCAGCCAGCCCGGGGCCTCTTCAGATTCCTCTCCAAGCTGAACCCTGATCCCCCAAATCCTGATTCAAGAAGCCCTCAGTGGAGGGTCCTCGTTTCCACCCACCTGCCCCTGCCCTTATGGGAGAAATGAACTCTAACCTGAGGTCCCTGGCCACGTCTCCCTGAAGCCCCTCCCCTAGCCCTGCTTCCTCTTCCTCCCCTGGGAGGAACGCTGCAGCGTGAGAGTGTCCTGCTGGCCCAGCCGGCTCCCGGTGGGGGTGCAGAGGAGGCCTGCTGTTTGTAGTTCTGATCTTCCTCTGTGTTGCAGGATGCTCTGCATGCCTGGACACCCCCAAAAGCCATCCACACCTTAAGTCGCTGGGACCACCAAAAATGTGTGCATACCATGGAGAACAACAATGCTGGCCTTTCCTGGTCTTCGTCGCCAAAAATCTGCTGTCGCAGGAGGTAGCACGTACCTGGTGCGATAACATGCTGGGGAAGGGGCAGCGGGAGAACATCAGCCTCTCCACCCTACCCAGACCGGACCATGGGTGCCCAGGCCGAGGGGAGAATGAAGAGACAGGGAGGGTCCACAGGAGGAGGCATGTGGTGGATCCCAAGGTGAAAAGCCCAAGATGGGCTTTCAGGACCTGAGGGCAGAGGGGAACTGAGCCTGTGCCCCATGGAGTGCCTGAGTGTCAGAAGATGACCATGGCACTGCGGAGATTCCTGTGCCATCGAGGGGCACGGGAGCCATCACGTGCTCTCCTTGCCCATGCTCCTAGGGTGGCTGAGAAGCTGCAGGGGAATTTGGGGGCCTGAAGGGCCTGTGGGCACAGCCACAGTGGAACTCATGCATGGATGCCTCTGAGGACATCCAAGACCAGGCGCTCACACACGCACGTGCGCTCCTCACAGTCCTCACACTCTGAAGCATCACCCAAGGCCCTAACCACAGAGCCCATGGCAGTGAGCAGCGGGAACCAGAATGCACTCAGGCCCAGCGTCCTGGTGCAGCAGACACAAGAAATAGAATCCATGTCCAGCTCTGGGAGATACACGAAGTGCCCCCTCTGGCACACCTGCGTGTGTGCTTTCTAAAAGACTAGAAAGCAGGAGGCAGCATCGTGCCGTGAAATGCCTGCCATGAAGCAGGCGGCCTTGTAGGCTCAGCACTGAGCCAGAAACACCAGACATACAGCCGACCAGGAAACTCAGGCCAGCCTGGGGCTCCCTGCCACACGCACAAGGCAGGGAAAGAAACCGAAACATAGACCGTTGCAGGTGAAGCCCCTGTACTCGGTGTCTGTTGCTATGCTGGGTTCATCCTGACTCAAGCCTCCAACACACCTGGGCTCTTGGACAAGGGCTAGGTCAGACGCACAGAACCCACTGTCCCGGGCCTCCCTCCCCTCCTTCCAGACCGGCCCTCGATTTTCTTCTCGGAAGAACTGCTGTGGAGTCAGGTGTCCCAACTGTGACATTGGGGCGCCACCTGGTGGTCATTATGCATAGTACTGTTCCTCCTGAACCCGTGTGTGTGTGTGTGTGTGTGTGTGTGCGCGCGCATGTGCGTGTGTGTGTGTGTGTGTGTGTGTGTGTGTGTCCCCGTCCCCATTTGAGTTCAATGGGCCACTGGCCAGGAGCAGCTTGGAAATGAGTAGCCTTTACTGCCTGGCAAACCTGATTTCAAATCCCAGCTCTGCTACTTACTTAATAATTGATCTTGGACAAGCGACTTAAATTCTATGAGCTTGCTTGTTCATCTGGAAAATGGGCATAATAGTATTCCTTCCCTTGAGCTGGGCACAGTGGTTCACACCTGTAATCCCAGCTACTCATGATGCTGAGGTGGGAGGATCACTTGATCCAAGGAGTTTGAGACCAGGCTGGACAATATAGTGAGACCCTGTTGCTAAAAAAGCAAATATATTAGCTGGCTGTGGTCGTGCACACCTGTAGTCCCAGCTACTAGAGAGGCTGAGGCAGGAGGATCACTTGAGCCCAGGAATAAGAGGCTGCAGTGAGCTGTGATTGCGCCACTGCACTTCAGCCAGGGCAAGAGTGAGACCTCACCCCTAAAAATAATAGTAAAATTAATAATAATAATATGCCCTCCATTACTGGGTTGTTGGAGGGTGGTCATAAACTGAAGCCACCACCGATTCTTCTACCCATGGTCAGCAGTGCTGTTTTCACACGGGAGGCCGGCTCCTGCACGAGGGCACAGGTTTCATGATGGATGACTCTTGTTTCTTCCCGCTGCCTCTCAGTCATGTTCCTGCCTCACATATCCCTCACCACCGAGTGCAGTCTTGAACTCACAGCAGGAGCTCCCTGGAGTCAGTGGGCACCCATCCTCAGCCCAGCACAAGCCCTGGCTGATGTGCTTGGTCTAGTGCCTTCTTTGTTCATACTTTTAACTGAGGGCTGCTGTCTGTTTGGAGCTGGTTCCATACCAAACAGCATTAATGGAGGCTCGGCAGGATGGGAGCAGGGCCAGCTCAGTGTAGGGTCTGGTCTGCCTGAACAGGGCCTGGAGTGTGCCTTGAGGGGGCATTCAGGCCTCTGCAGATGCACAGAGCAAGGAGAGGGTTGGGGAGCAGCCCAGGGGCCGGCCAAATGGGTCACTGCCAGCTATTGAGGGTTGGGCTGGGCTTATCCCAAGGGGCACAGCCAGTAAAAGTGGGCCCCAATTGCAAAGCCCAGATGTGGAGTGTGCTTTCCTTATAAGCCTCAAGGCCCCCATTCCTGTCCACAATTATACCTCATTAGAAATAGATGATATGGCCAGTGGCTTTCAGAGGGCTCCAGGGGAGGTTTTCCCTGTGGTAGTGAGAGTACACTTGCTCACCAAAGGAGAGAAGGCAGGCGCGCCCCGGGTACCAGCCAACCCCACTCTACAGCTCAGGCTGCCCCACCCAAGCCTGCATGAACTGCCCAGGAGGAGAGATTGGGTCCACGCTCCACTCACCAGCCAGACCCATCTTGGACATCTCACAATCTTCCACCCTCTCTCTTCAGGACCTGGCTGACCCCATGCAGCACCTGCTCACATCCTGAGCAGCAGAGAGGAGCTGCTCCTCTGTAGGACTCAGGAAGCTCACTAGCTGGGCAAGGCCAGGACAGGCATCCACAGCAGAGGAAGCCACGTGGGCCGAGGCGTGGGACAGAGGTCACGCAGGGGAACAAGGAGGGACTGCGGGCGGGGTGAGAGGCTGAAAGCCTATGGCCCCAGACACCTGCTCGGGGTTTCTGCCCTGATCTACCTGGGGCATGATCAGATGAGACCCCACAGATAAACTTGTTTTGTGAATTGCAGACACCGATCAGTGCTGAGCGAGTATTCTAGCTCTAGCTCTGGGAGCATCAGAACTTGGAGAGGTACAGGCCAACTTATCCTCTGTTCCTGATCCTCAGCTCCTCATACTCAATATTGAAATCCAAAAAGCTCCCCCAAAATTCAGTTTTTTTCTTTTTTCTTTCTTTTTTTTTTTTCTTGAGATGGGGTCTCGCTCTTGTCCCCCAAGCTGGAGTGCAATGGCATAATCTCGGCTCACTGCAACCTCCACCTCCCCACTTCAAGCGATTCTCCTGCTTCAGCCTCCTGAGTAGCTGGTACTACAGGTGCCTGCCACCACATCCGGCTAATTTTTGTAGTTTTAGTAGAGATGGGGTTTCACCATGTTGGCCAGGCTGGTCTCGAACTCCTGATCTTAGGTGATCTGCCCGCCATGGCCTCCCAAAGTGCTGGGATTACAGGTATGAGCCACAGTGCCCGGCCCAAAATTCGATTTTTAAAGGAAATCATTAGGTAGCGACACCTGCCCTGTCCCAAACTGCAGCCATTTCCGGTCTGACTCATCCCGCTTTGTGGGAGGTCGTTCATCACGGTGGAGAAAGCTTGGCGAGTTTGATGAGCGGTGCTCCCCAGGCCCCCCTGAGGGTGTTCTGTGACTGGCAGTGTTGTTTAAAATCTGAACATTCTGTGTTCCAAACCACAGCTGGCCCCAAGAGTTTTGGATTGGGGTTTATGGACCCCGATCCATGAGGGGCAGAAGTTGAAAAGATCTCCAGGCTTCTCCAAAATTTGACGTTCCTAGAACTATTTGTAACTTATAATTCTAATTCACTTATTTCTCGCCTCTTTTCTAATTGTTAACACTACACTGCGGTAGATTCCAATTTTTAGTTGTATATTGCTACATTTTTTTTGGTCAGTGTTCTGGTCAGTTATTTAGACCACATTGCTTTAGTCTGAAGGCTTGAGGGCAGTCTTTAATTTAAAACAGCTTAAAACATCCTTCCTTTCTGTCTCCTTCCCCATCCCACGCTAGGCCATCAGAGCATCATAGCCAAGCTGCAGTTGCCTCCCGCCGTCTTCTCTCTGGCCCTGCCTTGGGCTCTTGGCCTGCCCTGTGTCCCGGAGCTTCTGGCCCCTCTGGGAGCCTATGGTGCCTTCCTCAGATCAGTGTGTTTAGATTCTGAAATGATGCAAGGACAGCAAGGGAAACCAATGATCCTGAAAAACAGTTGTCAAAATGTTTTACAATTGTGGCACAGACTTATATGTACAAAGTAGGAAAACCACAAGTGGTACTTTGAGCCACCTAGAAGGATGATACTGTGAAGTGAACCTCTTTGTGATGGTGTGTGCTAATGAAACTGGTTTTGGCCTTTTTTCTCCCTCTGCTGTGGGTGCCCGTCCTGGCCTTGTCCAGCCAGCCAGCTCCCATCTGTCCTTGCTTCCAGCTTCCTCCCAGCTGCCAGAGATGTGAGCAGGTGTTGCGTGGGGCTAGCCAGGTCCCAGGGACAAGAGATGCAGGGTTGTGAGGTTGTGGATTGGTTTTGGTGGTTTGGTGATTGCTGGTTGGGCTCACGCTCAGCTCCTACCACATGCCCCGCCCCCCACCACAGGGCAGCTCCCTTCTTCACAGCCAGCAGGACAGTCTTCCAGGCTTCAGGGCTCTTCCTTCCCATCACACTCCCTTTTCAGTCTCACCTGATTAGGTCAGGCCCACCCGAGATAGTCTACCTGTTGATGAACTCAAAGTCAACTAATCTGGGACTTTAATTACATCTGTGAGATCTCTTTGCCTTTGTCATATAATGTAGCCTAATCACAGGAGGAAATCCCATAATATTCACAGTCCTGCCCACACTGCAGGGGAGGGGATCATATGGGGCATGTGTACCAGGGACCTTGGCAAGGCGATCTCAGAATTCTGCCTGCCCAGGCCTCTGCCTCTGACACCTCAGAATTGGAGACTCTGTGTCTGCGTTTGGTGAGTTAGGTCCATTTAACCTTTTCCCACTCTGTCAGCTCCCTACGCATCCAGGCCTGACTGCTGAACAATTCAGTCACAATCAGTTTCTTCTCCGTGATCTGGAGACTAGCATGTTTTATTTCACAGGGGTTTACATAACTTTCTGGAGAATCAGAAGCATAACATAAATGAACTGGATTGCATTATCTATCCTGCCAAAATCTCCACCCACTGCACAGAACAGCAAGTAAAAAAAAAAAAAAAAAAAAAAAAAAAAGGCTCACTTCACACAAATTGTTTCCCAACCTTCATATTTACAGCTGACGATCAAAACATGGGCCAGCATCCGGTTTATCTGGCTCTTTATTTCTTCCATATCTGATGTGCTTCACTTATATTGAGCTATAAATTGTCATTTTTTCCAGGGGAAAAAATCATTTCACGAATGCTCTGTTGAATAAAACCAGGCAGCATTTTTTTGAGTGAAAATGTTCACTTTATAAATGCTGACTTGTTATTCATTGGGTTGTTAGCTCATGAAAAGTTCCAGGACATTCCTCCTAAAAGGAGTCACCTCTCAGCCAACAGAAGGATCTGGCAGCAGTGATTAAGGAGGTTTTATGGGTTATATGGCTGGAAGGCAGAGCAGAAGCCAAGCCACGCTGGGGTCCAAGTCTGGCCAGAGACGAGATTGTACACCCCAGCGTGACAGCACCTTTCCTGTCTCTCCCACCACAGATCCCAGCACTGCAACGACACACAGGACAGGGGCTGGGAGAGAGGCTGCAGGGGTGTGTTGGGCTGGGGGAGAGGCTGCAGGGGTGTGCTGGGCTGGAGGAGAGGCTGCAGGGGGATGTTGGGCTGGAGGAGAGGCTGCAAGGGTGTGCTGGGCTGGGGGAGAGGCTGCAGTGGGGTGATGGGCTGGTGGAGAGGCTGCAGGGGTGTGTTGGGCTAGGGGAGAGGCTGCAGGGGTGTGTTGGGCTGGGGGAGAGGCTGCAGGGGTGTGTTGGGCTGGGGGAGAGGCTGCAGGAGGGTGTTGGGTCCCAGGGCCTCCTTTCCCTGTGATAATCCTGGAATCAGTCACCATCCATGACCAAGGCCAGGCATAAGATTAGCTTTGGGTTTTGAAGGTCCCAGGCAACCTGCATTTTATACACAGGGAGTGGGCTGGGAGTGTGAAGAGGGCAGCAGGGATCCCAGCTGAGGGCCGGAGAAGGCCCAGGCAAATGTTGCAGGGCACAGAGCTTTCCAAATCTTCTCACTGGGGCTACAAGCAAGCAAAGCCAGCCTCTCCCATGGCCCCAGCCACACCCACAGCCCCAGCCCCACCTTGCAGTGCCAGCCTGACAAGGGGTCTTCAAGTCTCTTCAGTCCCACACCCAGAGTAGGGCCTGGCCCATGGAGGTGCTTGGCAGATATTGATGGATGCCTGCAATGGCAGCCTTTTCGAGGCTCTATCTGCTGAGAAAGCAGCAGAGCCCCCAAGGGCATGGAGAGGAGTCCATTTCCAGAGCCCCACCCCTCTGATGCACATCAGATCCCTGCAGCCTCAGCTTCTCAAGCCTCTACTCCAATATCCCTCCACAAAGAGTGCTGAAATCCCTTCCTGGCATTCGGCCACAGAGCTGCCTCCAAGTCCTTCACTGTCTGCCCTGTGGAGGGCCGGGTGGAAGGCTATGACCCTGGAGTGAATGATCTGCATTGGAGTTTGTCCCTCAGCATCTTATCAGCCTCACCACGGCCCATGAGGTCAACGCCATCACTGTGACCGGTTCACAGGTGAGGAAACTGAGCCAAGGGGTGGTGACAGCCCCTGCCCAGGGCCCAGCCTTGCCGGCACGGAGCAGGAGTGGCACAGAGCCCACTGCCTCACCGCCATTGTGCCGCTTCCCACACGCGCCCCGGAGCCTGTCCCCTAGTGCACCACTTCCATCTGACCAGCCCCTTGGGCTCTCCCTCCTGTCTGCCAAGCTACCTGGGGCTGCTGTTTTAAAATAATCATCGGCCGAGCATGGTGGCTCACGCCTGTAATCCCAGCACTTTGTGAGGCCAAGGCAGGTGGATCAAGAGGTCAGGAGTTCAAGACCAGCCTATCCAAGATGGTGAAACCCCATCTCTACTAAAAATATAAAAATTAGCCGGGAGCGGTGGCTGGCACCTGTAATCCCAGCTACTCGGGAGGCTGAGGCAGAGAATTGCTTGAACCCGGGAGGCAGAGGTTGCAGTGAGCCAAGATCATGCAACTGCACTCCAGCCTGGGCAATAGAGCAAGACTCCATCTCAAAAAAAAAAAAAAAAAAAAACCATCATCTTTTCTACCCTTTTATTCTGAACAAAACAGGATGGGGCCATCTGTGAAAAACTTGGATAATACAAAAGATGAAGAAGAACATGAAAGTCACCTTCGTTACCGTCCAGCCTGCCGCAGCCCATTCTTTGATGATCATTTCACCTGCTGTGCGCACGGCTCCTCAAGCTTTTCACCTGGCATGATTAAGATCAACGTTCCCATCGTCAGACGTTCCTGGAAAACAGCATCCTGTTCATGGCTGCCCAGTGTTTCATCATATACAGTTGTAATTTACCTATCCAGGCTCACCCTATAGGAATTTTAAATTGTGTTCAATGTATCAGGAGTATAAATAACCGCCCCAAGTCTGGCAATACCCAGGGTGGGAGTGGAGGCCCTGGGAGGAGGGGGTTCGCACGCCCCCTAGTGGTAGGGTAGATTCGTGCAACTGCTTTACAAAGCGTTTGCACAGTTTGGGGTAGCTGAAGATGAACATCTGCTAACACCTTAGCAAAACCCTCTCATGAGCACACCGGCAGACAAGTGCCCAGGTATTCAGAACTTCCTTGTTTGTAATAGCAAAATGGTGGATCCAACCTAAATGACCACCGTCAGTAGAATGAATACAGCACACTGCTGTATTCGCACAACACATCGGTTCAGTTAGATTACTCTACTTGTCACAGAAAACTGAAATGACAAACGCTAAAACCAGATGGAAGTTTCTTTCTTTCTCATAGTGAAGTGCAGAGATGAGCAGCACAGAGCTGGTAAGGCAGCTCTGCTCCAGCAAGTTTTCAGGACTCAAGTAGCTTTTCTCTTTCTGTTCTGCCATTCTTAGGGTATTGCCTCATGGGCCACGTTGACTGCTCAAGCTCCAGCCATCACATCCACATTCTAGCATGTAGGAAGTAGAAAGATATCAAACAAGGCACAACCCCTCCCTTGAAGACACTTCCTGAAAGATACATAGAACACCATCTTTTACATTCTGCTGAGCCATTTGGCCACACCAACCCTAAAAGGAACTCTGGGTAATGTTCTGTTGTGTTTATTCTGGATGACCATAGGTCCTCTTGTACTGTTCACAGATCTTCATGCTGTCATTTGTGTGGGAAGGGCGGTGGCTTATTGATGGGCTGTGAATTGGAACCCTGGCTCATTACTTTCAAGCTGTGCCATCTTTGTGTGCCTGAAGGTTTTAGGAAAAACAAACTAAGGTAAGAGATAGAAAGCACTTATTGCAGCATCTACACACAGAAAGCAACTGGGCTCCATTCCTCCAGCAATGGCGGATGCTCTGTTCTGTGGAGCAGCCTTTGCAACCTCAGCAAGCTCTGACTGGGAGAACATTTTTCTTTATATAGAGCCCATGTCTGTCATCCTATCCTCCCTGATTCAACCCTGGGAGAAATTTAGAATGTGTCTAAAAACTATTACTAGAAACATAATGGTAGCTAGGCTTATTGAGTTCTTGTTTTACACCAAACCACATGCTATGGGCTTAACCATCCTTTACTTCTAAGAATTCAATCCGTACTTAGTTAAAGTGATGACCCAGAGGAGGAGGAGGCCATTGGAATTCTCTAGCCATGTGGTGACACCATACCATAAGAATGGGACCATGTTCCCCCTTTAAGGCTGACTTGAAGCAGAGACTTTGCAAGGTTCTATGAGTCTTCCTGTTGCAGGGTCTTCTCCAAGTCAGGCCCTCATGTGACCACCTTACACACAGCATGGGGAAGGGATGTTTCTAATGTACCATTACATCCTCACCCCATCTCCAGACCACCAAAATGTCCTTGACACTAAATTTCGTGTTTGTGGTAGAAGATTCACAGAGCAACTGAATTCCACACTTTATCAATCAGGATTGGTTTCCTTTAGAATATCCAGTTTTGCAAGATTATGGCAGGAGTAGGCTGGGTGCGGTGGCTCAAGCCTGTAATCACAGCACTTCGGGAGGCCGAGGTGGGTGGATCACGAGGTCAGGAGATCGAGACCGTCCTGGTTAACACGGTGAAACCCCATCTCTACTAAAAATACAAAAAATTAGCCGGGCGTGGTGGTGGGCACCTGTAGTCCCAGCTACTTGGGAGGCCGAGGCAGGAGAATGGCGTGGACCTGGGAGGTGGAGCTTGCAGTGAACCAAGATTGTGCCACTGCATTCCAGCCTGGGTGACAAAGCAAGACTCCGTCTCAAAAAAAAAAAAAAAAAAAAAAAAAAAGATTATGGCAGGAGTAGTTCAGACCATATGAAATTGCCATTTTTGCAGATCAACAGTTGAGTATCGATAGTTCCATATAGTTCACCTAAGAGCTACCAGACAAATGTCTGCCCATTCGAGCACTTCTGCCCTCAGGAGTCTGAAACCAGCAGAGAGCAGGGAAGGGACTGATTCGTTATTTTCTTGGTTCACCTCCATGCTCTCTCATTAATTTCACACCTCTCCAGCTGCAACACCTTCATTTCAGCACTCAGGATTAAAATGTGGTGAAGTTAGCATTGTCCCAGGACAGATGGAACTATAATACGTTTCACCAACTACACAGTTAATTTCATGAATTTTGATGGTTCAATCATAAGTCCTACTGCTACGTTTACCACCACTTGGTTGACCAATTGGAGTGTTAGTCCATGGAGGATGGACTGAGGCTGTCTTGGTCACAAGACCCCACCCTACCAGTGCCCACTGTGTTTTATTTTCCTGTCTTCTTTCCCTGGGCTGGGAGTGAAGATATGAAGAGATCTGTAAGGCAGGGACAATAACAACAAGTGAAGCCAATGCGGAAGCAAATTTTAGGAATCTTTGTGGAACCCACACCAGTTCTAAGTCCAATTTTTGAAAATTGAGGGCTTAGAGTCAAGGTAGAAGTCTGGAGGAGAATACTGGCTGCTAACAGGACTGGGTGCTGCCTATGAGCAGAGGCCATGTCTGATTCAGTGCTGGATTGCAGTGGCTAGCACAGGACCTACCACACAACATGGAATCCAGTTTAGTCAATATCAGCTCAACAAATATGGACGGTCTCATGTAATGTTAGATTCCATGATTGTACTAAGAAGGAGGAAAGAAGGAAAGGGCTGGATTTTCAAGCCTCCAGATTTGGATCCTGACTCACATCAGTAAAAAGTCCTGGGTAGAGCCACAGCTTCACGTATAGCTGGATCTGAGTGTACGGGTGCTGTCTGGCACCAGCTCAGATTCTCTCCACCTCTGCCTCTGCTTTTCTCTGAGATGCCTTTGGTGTCAGGCAGACTGTTTTCATGAGGGATGAAGAGGGCCCACAGCATCTCCTGGTTGACACCCCAGCAGCTCAGCAACCCCAGCAGAAAGAAAGCCGCTCCTCCCTAGAGTTCCAGAAAGAGGAAGAGATGTACCAGGAAGCTGAAATAATTGAGGTCCCCCCTGCAGATTTTAAAAAGCAGAAACATAAGTCAATTTCCACTGGAAGCTGGACACATTGATAGTTAAGAAACCCTGCAAACAAATGTGTATTTTTGGTCATGTAAACATAAGTGAGTTAGGAGCCGGGTGCGGTGGTGCACACCTGTAGTCCCAGCTACATGGGAGGCTGAGGGGGGAGGATCTCTTGAGCCCAGGAGTTCCAGGCAAGTCTGGACAACACAATGAGACCCTGTCTCAAAAAAGAAAAAGAAAAAAAACCCTAAGTGACCACAAGACTGGCTGTCCGTGAGAGCGGCTCACTAAGCTCATTTCACTACAGGGTAAGTGCTATGATGGAAATGACGCCAAGGAACTTCACTTACAGTCATCTGAAATGTCAGTCCCTCTTCAGACATTGCCAGCCATTTGGGTTTCCATTTTGGTTGAGGCCACAAAACAAGAGTTATGACCTGGTAAAGGTGAGGTGCAAGAACCCCACGAGGACTTGCAAAGAACGCATATTCAAAAAGCGGTTTAGCGGGAAGTGGAGGTCAGGGAGGAGGGGACGGGGGTTTCCTTGGAAAACGTCACTGGGGTGCTGGCAGCTCTTCTTTTTACCAGAAGTCAAAAACAAGGGATGTTCAGGTGACGACTGGAGAGCTGCAGTTTGGGCACAGTAGGCAGACGTCTGAGTGACACCTGAGGAACAGGAAGGATGAGAGAGGCTGCTGGCTGCTCTGTCATGGGGAGTTCCGCGGCACTCAGAGCATACTGGGACGAAAGAGGTTGATGTGGGTTCCTCATAGCTCCTGCCTCAGAAGGCCTCCTGCAGAGGCTAGAGGACATCACCCGGGGAAGACAGACACATGGCTGGACGCCTGGGGGCTACGGAGAGAGTTGTAAGCAATGAGCCAGAGAGCAGCGTTAGAATGGTCAAGGGAAGTTGGAGCTAGAGAGCCGCTGTACCGAAATGCCAGATTCCACCACCTGCCAGCCCAAGTGCCCAACCAACATCGGATCAGCGTGTCAGAATCCCTCCCCCCGGCCCTGCCCCACACACCTCTCCTCCCTCCACCCTCACCCCAGAGCACAGGAGTGACAAGGTGGCGGACAAAGGCAAGGGGATCCTGGAGGAAGGAGAGAAGCAGCTCCACTCCCACCCACCTCCAGGAGGCCAGTGTGTCAGGCTGGGGATGGAGAAGCATGCCTATTAATGAAAGTTTTACTCATTACACTGAACGGAACACATTTATGCAGAACTGGGTCTGTCTTGTATGACTTAAGGGAACCAGAGTACTTTTTATTACCTAAGGGTGATAAGAAAAGTCATGGGGAAATGCCCTGAAATTCACAAAGGGCTAGGCAAAGAATTGGCCCCCAGCGTGGATTTGGAGTCAAGGGGAGACAAAAATTGCATAGCATTATCATTACACTGCTATGATTACATATATTCCATGATGGTTACACTGGAAACATGCCACCCCTGCCTGCATGAGGCTCCTTGTCCTAGCAACCATTCCAGTTTATTCCAGGTTTGCAACCCAGGAGCACTTGACTTCTGCCTTGAGTGCCTCCCTCAACTTGCAGACAGCCCACTGGGCCTTCCTCGGCCTGCACCCTTAAGCATGTCAGGAGAGACAGGCAGCTGCTGGGGCATTGCCATTGGAAGCAGCTGCCAGGAAGGGCACCTGTGCGTTTGTGCTTGAAACCTGATCTGTAACAAAAATGGATTCTGTGCACATCTAGTGTGCTCACCCAGCCCGGAGCACAGCAGCCATCTTGGTAGGGACCACAGCAGCCATGTTGGTAGGGACCACAATGTGTTTACTCCGCCAGCCTTCCAAATCAGACACTCATGTTGCCAATGGTAGTAGGAGGGTGCAACCTCTGTGGAAGGCAGCTTGAGGAATTAAATAATGCCTTTGAATCAGCATTTCAACTTGTAGGAATGTATCCCAAGACAAACTCTTATTAATGCACAAAAACCCATGTACAAGACTATTCATCAGAATACAGTTTGTAATAGCAAAACACTCTGGGAGCAGCCTCAATAGCCATCAATAGGGTGCTGGTTGGATAAAATGAGATAACATTTGGTAAATCCACACAATGGAACGCTGCAGTCATAAAGAAGCTTTAGACGCCTCTCTGTGCAAAGCCACAAAACAACCTCCAAGGTGCACTGCTCATTGTAAACGTGCTCCTCTCTGCTGGCCCTTCTGCTGCGCTGGGCCCACCAGCTGAGACAGATCAAAGCGGAGCCCCAATCTGTGGGGGCTTGGGACCTCTTCCCCTCCATGGAGAATTCTTGGCTCCCACCCTGCTTTTGGGAGTCCTAGGAAGCTGGTGGTGATGCTCGGGTTTGTGGGGTTTTTTTGTTGTTTGTTTGTTTGTCGTTGTTGTTGTTTTTTGAGACAGAGTCTCGCTCTGTCGCCCAGGCTGGAGTGCAGTGGTGCAATCTCAGCTCACTGTAACCTCCACCTCCCAGGTTCCAGCAATTCTCCTGCCTCAGCCTCCCAAGTAGCAGGGATTACAGGCGCATGTGCCACCATGCTCGGCTAAGTTTTGTATTTTTGGTAGAGACGGGGTTTCACCACATTGGCCAGGCTGGTCTCAAACTCCTGACCTCAGGTGATCCACTCACCTCAACCTCCCAAAGTGCTGGGATTACAAGTATGAGCCACCGCACCTGGCCTCAGGTTTGTTTTGATGCCTTTTTATGGGGTTCCCAACTGCAGGGATCCCATAGTGGGGCACCCCCTCACCCCTCCTTCTTCTCTGACTGGCCCTCAACTTCCTCCCCACCCCACTCCCAGCTCTAGCACTGACCGGGAAGGGGTGATTGTGTGCAGCCCACCCATCTTAGAGGCTGACTGAGCAGTACAGGCCCACATTTCCCTCCACACCAAGGTCTCAACCTCACAGCGCCCCAAAGCCTTTCTTCCAGCCCTGCTCAGAAGTTAATCACTTAGGCATCTCGCCACAGGCTCTGTGGAGTCATCGAGTTTGAAGTCAGGAAAAATCCCAAAGGTGGCACCTATCAGCTCTCCCAGCAACTCCAGACCTTCTCAGACCCTGGTTTCGGACACTCAGCCAACACCTCTGACTGTGCCTCTGCCCTGGGTCCCACACCCTCTTCCTGGCACCGGCATCCACTCCTGAGTTAATATGCCCATTGCCCAGCTCTGTCTACTAGTGAGGAGCACAGTTAGGTCCCAGTCTTGGATTTTTAAATACCCTTCTCCACTCAAAGAACCAGGCCTCCCTGGAGAAATAGGTGGTTCCAGGTCTGGGCTGGAAGAGACAAGGCAAATCTTGGATGTCTGGTGCCAGAAACAAGGGTGTTATTGAAGACTAATCAGGGCCAGGATAAACAGACATAGGAAGTTGTCTGATGGGTTTCCACTGACTAATGCTGGGGCCATGAGGACATCAGAAACAATACTGATGGAGATGACACATCGATCTGCCTAACATCACCCTAACCAGGGGATGTCACCAGCATCACTGTTAGTCCAACAACCTGGCCTCATGTGCCTCTGAAGCCATGCACCAAGAAGGACCCCACGTTCCCCACATAGGATTTGTGCAGAAAACCTGATTCTAGTCACGAAGGAAAAAGACCCAACAGAGTCAAAGTGAGAGAATGTCTGCGAAACAATTGATCTGCATGCTCTGAAAATGTCAATGACATGAAGATTTCTTTTTTTAAAAAAAGGCTAGAGAATCCTTTTAATTTTTTTTCTTTCCTTTTTTTTTTTTTTTTTTTTTGAGACTGTCTCTCTCCATCACCCAGGTTGGAGTGCAGTGGCACAATCTGGGCTCACTGCAACCACCGCCTCCTAGGTTCAGGTGATTCTCCTGTGTCAGCCTCCCGAGTAGCTGGGACTACAGGTGTGCACCACCATGCCGGCTAATTTTTGTATTTTTAGTAGAGACTGGGTTTCACCATTTTGGTCAGGCTGGTCTCGAACTCCTGGCCTCAGGTGATCCACCCACTTTAGCCTCCCAAAATGCTGAGATTACAGGCATGAGCCACCACGCCCAGCTAAATCCTTCTAAATTAAAAGGGACTAAAGACAAAAAACCATAACCAGCAAATGTAATATGTGATCTTGATCGGATCCCAGCTCAAAAAAAAAAAAAAATCAGCCATCAAAGACATTTAGGCGACAACTCTGAAAATTTGAAAATGGATTCAATATTAGGTATTACTGAACTGTTGGTGACTTTCTTAAGTACAGTAATGGTCTCATGGTTACAGAGGAGAATATCCCTATTCTTAAGAGATGTCTGTTAAAGAGGGTGAAATGTCACCGAGTCAGCAACTTTCAAACTGACCCACACACATAAAAACATGTGTGCATGCGTGTGTGTGTGTATCTACATATATCTGTGTTACATCTATGGAAAAGGTGGAAAGGAACCAAGCATGACAAAATATTAAGAATTGTAGAATCTAAGTGACATAGACCTGTTGTTTCAACTTTTCTGGATGTCTGAAACCGTTCAACATGAGTTTTGGGAAAAGCCCATCCTTCCTGTTTTCTAAGCAGCAGCTCCCAGAAGAGGCAGGAGCATTTGATAATGTCCTCGGTAATGATTTCATTATTGATTTCATTAATAAGACATCCTGGTGGGAAGGTGTTCTCCAGGCTGCCTGGAAAGGGCTTTTGACGCTGACTGGGCTCAGATGGGCAGAGAAGCCATGATCAGCCCCTCTTCCTTGGGCTGTACCAGGGTGTCAGGTTTGAGGATGTTCCTCCAGCATCCCCCCACGCCCACACTCCCACCTGCTCCAGTGGCAGGGGCTCGGGGGGAAGGCCTTCCAGCCAGTACTCTGATTCAGGGCACTGACATCGCACATGGAAGGAGGTGGGGACAGCCTGGAGAGCACATACAAGGCGCCCCTGTCTCCTGCTCCCAACCATGGCTGGTTGCGCTGATGTCCTCACACTGTTCTTCTCACCACCTACTGCCCAAAAGGAATGATCCTACGAGGTAAATCACAGAGACTTGTTGGCTCAGGTCCAAAAGCTGCCAGGTGGCCACCCCAGAACGCCCCAGGCTTATTAGATAGCAGCATTCCAAGCAGGACCCCAAAATGCTCCAGACAGTGCTCCACTGCTGGCGCCTCTTGGAGGGTCATCTGTTTCTCAGAGGAGAGAGTGTCCCATATCACTCCACAATGTGTCCAAGTCCCCTGACTTCTGTTCTAAGGCATAAAGAGCCTAGGACCCATTGGACAGGTTGGGGAGTTGGCAGAACTTCTGTGATCTCGTGGAGAAGCCTCCAAACCTGGCCTCCAAGGAAGGCGGTTGCCTCTCCTAAGGGAGTAAAAAAGTGAGAAGGCCCCCCATGGAAACCCGTCAGCCCCCAGAAGACCTGGGTTTCTTTTCTTTCCTTTTCTTCTTCTTCTTCTTTTTCTTTCTTTTTTTCTTTTTCTTTTTTTTTTTTTTTTTTTGAGACGGAGTCTTGCTCTGTCGCCCAGGCTGGAGTGCAGTGGCGCGATCTCGGCTCACTGCAAGCTCCGTCTCCAGACCCGGGTTTCTTACTCCTTCAGTCCACGTGGCCCCTATCCTTCCCTTCTCTTTCTCCCATCCTCCTGATCTCTGGGCATAGAAAGCCCTCTCGGGAAGAACACCGCAAATCTTCCGGTCCTGCAGCCTCACAGCTGCGTCTACTCCGCTGGGGGGCTCGGGGAAAGAGGAGAGTCCCGGAGGACAATGGAAATAACGAAGTGGGTGGATGGCTAGAGGGTGGAACAGAGTGACAATTCTGGCTCCAGTCCTCAAATTGCTCTGAGCAGGGCATTCAAATTGGATCCCAACTCCAAAAGTGCATTTTAGCAATCCGCCACCAGGTGGAAGAGTCGAATTAAGAATAGAGTCGCTCCACTGCCGTCCTCCGACAGCAATAGTCGGGACCGCAAAAACCGCGGGACGGAGATCTGACCGTAGAGGGAGCAATGCGCTCTCAGCTCAGCGTCATATTTCCTGGAGTATTTTGGCCTTTGCATCCTGCAGCCCTCTTTCTGTACCAAGGGGAATAACCCAGCATTTATTGAGCATCTACAGCATTTCAGACACAGTGCTGGGCCCCGGACAACTATGAGCAAATTCCATTTGCAGCAGCCCCGCAAAACGGCATTTGGAAGCCTATTTTGTGGCAGAGGAAGCCAGGCAGAGTAACGCCCCGCTGCTCAGTGGCAGAGGGGGAATCAGAAGCCAGCCGTCTGCATTCGAAGTCCAAGCTCTGCCCAGCACACTTTGTGCTGCGTCCTAAAAGCACGAAATGGCAGGGACTGCTCGGCTTTCCCCTTCCGTGGTGGCATCAGAAACGCGGCTGCGGCCCAGCGGCAGAAAGCAGCTAGGAGTGCAGAGGGATAAGCTGAAGCCTCTAAGGGAAAACACCCCAAAACGACAGCTAAATGGCACACTGCAAACAACAAGGCTCACGTTGCATGTCATTTCAGCACTTCATTTTATCTCCCCGTGGTCTCACCACCCCCTTGCTTCCTCCCATTTTGTGGAAGAGCAAATTGAGCTCCAGACTGGTTGAGTTTCTTGGGTAAATGCCTGAAATCTCACACTCAGACTCAAGCCTTCAACCCTAGCATCTGATTCGTAGCCTCAGGACTCTTGTTCTACACACTATATTGCTTCCCTTGGCTGCTTACGTCAATGTGGCCATCACTGAGTCCCACTAGAACCTGGTTCCGGGTTAGTGAATTCAGACAGGATGGGTGGCCAGGCAAGGCAAGAGAGATGGGACAGGGGCTGGGGAAGGGAGGGAGGGGCTTCCCAGAAGAACTGGAGAATTTTGAGGGATCTTCAGTTCCAAGCAGCCCCCACTAGGAGAGACTGGTGATTGGCAGGCCTGGATTTTAATTCTGGCAACACCACTTACTAGCTTCTCTTCTCTTTAGTTTTCTTTTTTCTAAGACTTGGGGTGATCATCATGGTAGGTATCTCAAGAGATTTTCTCAGGATCAAATGTAAATAAAATGCATTTAATCACTCACACCAATTAAGATGGCTAACATCAAAAAAGTAGAAAATAACACGAGTTGGCAAGGATGGAAAGAAATTGGAACTGTTGTGCACTGTAGGTGGGAATGTAAAATGGTGCAGTTGCTATGGAAACCATATGGCTATTCCTCAAAATATTAAACATAGAATTACCGTCAGGCATGGTGGCTCACATCTGTAATCTCAACATTTTGGGAGGCCGAGGTGGGTGGATCACTTGAGCCCAGAAATTCGAGACCAGCCTGAGAAATACGGTGAAACCCTGTCTCTACTAAAAGTACAGAAAATTAGTCAAGCATTATGATGCATGCCTGTAGTCCCAGCTACCCAAGAGGCTGAGGTGGGAGGATCACCTGAGCCCAGAAGGCAGAGGCTACAGTGAGCTGTGATGATGCCACTGCACTCCAGCCTGGGCAACAGAGAAGAATCCCGTCTCAAAAAATAAATAAATAAATAAATAAAAATAGAATTACCATAGGATCCAGCAATTGCGCTTCTGAGAATATACCCAAAAGAATTGAAAGCAGAGATAGAAGAGATGTTTGTACACTGAAGTTCATAGCAGCATTATTCACAATAACCAAAAGGTACAGCAACCAAAGTGCCCATCAACGGATGAGTGGATAAATACAATGTGACCTCTCCATACAATGGAATATAATTCAGCCTTGGAAAGAAGGAAATTCTGACACATGCTAGAACATAGACCTTTGAGGCCATTATGCTGAGTGAGATAAGGCAGTCCAAAAGGACATATACTGCTGCATTCCACTTATGTGAGGATCCTAAAGTAGTTAACATCATAGAGACAGAAAGTAGAATGGCAGTTGCTGGGGGCTGGGGAGATGGGGAACTAGGAGTTGCTGTTTAGTGGGTGCAGAGCTTCAGTTTTACAGGATGCAAGAGTTCTGCAGATGGATGGTGGCGACGGTGGCATAACAATGGGAATGTACTTGATGCCATTGAACTGTACAGTTTAAAATAATTAAAATGGGCCGGGCACAGTGGCTCATGCCTGTAAACCTAGCACTTTGGGGAGGCCGAGGTGGGTGGATTACTTGAGGTCAGGCGTTCAAAACCTGCCTGGCCAACATGGTGAGACTCCATCTCTACTAAAAATACAAAAAAATTAGCCGGGTGTGGTGGCGGGCACCTGTGATCCCCACTACTCAGGAGGCTGAGGCAGGAGAATTGCTTGAACCTTGGAGGCAGAGGTTGCAGTGAGCCAAAATCGCACCACTGCACTCCAGCCTGGGCGACAGAGCCAGACTCCATCTCAAAAAAAAAAAAATAAAATGGTAAATTTTATGTTACATATGTTTTAACACAATTTTTAAAAATAAAATAATTTTTCACATTAGGAGTAAACAATAAAAGACTGAAGACGATGTCTTTAGTTAAAAAAAATTTAATGGGGGTGACTTGATTTAGAGCCGTTTGTTCTTCCTTTGTATGATTACAAATTCTTTGAGTGATCTCTACCCCTTGGAGCTTGAATCTGGATAGACTTGTGTGACTAATTTGTCACCCAAATGGTGTGGCAGATATGACACAGAGTGACTTCCAAGCCTGGGTCCATTTGAAAAGTCCATTAGGCTTCTGCTTGTTTGTGGGGTCACTAGCTTTTGTGTCCCTGAGCTGTCAAGGATGAAGTCTAAACACCCCTCAAGGTGGCCGTGCTGGGAAGATGCCCAAGTGTCACAGGTGGCCCATGGGAAGATGCTTGGTTCAGCAGCTCCAGCTCAAGTCCTGGCATGGAGTCTTCCCAGCTGAGGTCCGGACAGCATGGAGCAGAGAGGAGCCATCCTCTGCTGGGCCCTGACCAACAGGTCTGAAGCCCTGACCAATAGAATCTGTGAGCATGTTAAGAGGGTTGCTCCAAGCTGTGAAGTTTCTGGGTAACGCATTATGCAGCATAGTAACTGGAACATGTAGGTGGAAATGGGTGTCCCTTTGAAATATCTCAACAGATAGCACGTTTTCTTTCCCCATTCATGTCTTCTGGACTTACCCCCTCTCTTCTCACTTTCTACAGAGATAGATAAGAAGTAAATTTAAAATCTTTTTTAAGAGTGACCCAGATTGGATTATCAAGAAACATTCTAGAATTCTCTGCTCTGGAAACGTCCTTTGAGTCAGTGCTTGGAAATGAAGTTGGCCTTACTCAACTTAAAAGATGCTTTCTGGGGAAAGTTGTGAGTAGATTCAGGGTTCTATAATTAGAATCTTCTTCTCTCATTGATTCCTGTTCTTGTTTCAGAGCTGTGTTCCGTTCATTTGGCTTTTTCAGGTTATGTTCTGTTGGACAATTACTTCCAGTAGTTTAAACATCCCTTATCCTTCCCTGGAAGCTAGAAATCTCTCTGAGAGGTGAGGTATGTGTGACTTTGCTGCCAGGCCCACAGGGAGTGCCATGATTGTGACTGTGCTGCTCCTGCAAGGGGTCTGGAGGCAGGAGAATTGTGGGCAGGGGCAGGCACAGGGGCTTAACTCCTGCACAGTGGCTGCGTCATCCTGGGCAGGTCACCGAAGCTTGGCTCCTCCTCCTGGTGTGACAAAAGCCAGGAGGTGGCACACATCGGCTCACTCACAGCACTTGACATCTGGTCATTCACTTGGCAGATGTGACTGTTAACACTTAGGCTCCTGATGGGGACAAAGCAGGCCCAAACCTCACCCTTGTCAAGCTTGGGTGCTGGTGGGGCAAGGCAGACAACAGAAATCCATTGAGTAAATAAGTATATTCTAGAGGGATTTGTGGCATGAGACGTGCTATGGGAAAAACAAACCGGAGCAAGGCAGGGGCCCAGGCATCCTGGGGGTGTGGTCACGGCCGACCGCTTACAGAAGGTGATATTTGAGCAAAGACATAAAGGCAGTTGGGAAATTAGCGACTGACAAAGAGTCCTTGCTTAACCAAACTTCAGTCCAGCTCCTGAACCTTCTCTAGGCCCATTAGTGTACTTCTTTGTAAAATCCAGTTTTAGGAAGAACCCTGCTAACCCAGTTTAGCAAGAACCTTCACTTTCAACATATGCTCCCCTTAATATTCAGTAGGTTTCCTCCTCCCCCAGGTGATGTCTGATCACCTCAGCCTGCCTTCATCAAGAATCCTGTTGGCTGGGTTTAGCCAGGATCCCCCTTACCCTTGAACTTGACTCTTAGTAATTTTCTATCTGCTGACCCCACACGGCCCCTTGGCTGTACAGCCCCACTTGCCTGTGCTGCTTTTGGAGTTGAACCCAATCCCTCCCCCACTGCAGGGCTCCGTTACATTGGCCCCTCTACCTCTCTCAGTGGTCCTGAGTAAAGTCTTCCTTACCAAGCTTGAAGAAGTGTTGTTAAATAAATTTTTTCCTTAACACCATGCAGAAATCTGTATATTTCCACTAAAATTTTATTTGTTTGTTTGTTTGTTTATTTTGAGACAGGGTCTTGCTCTGTTGCCCAGACTGGAGTACAATGGTGCAATTATAGCTCACTGCAGGCTCAAACTCCTGGGCTCAAGCCATCCTCCTGCCTCAGCCTCCCAAGTAGCTGAGAGCTGGGACTAGAGGCACACACCATGACACCTGGCCAATTAAAAAAAAATTTTTTAGGAAGGGTGCAGTGGCTCATGCCTATAATCCCAGCACTTTGGAAGGCCAAGATAGATGGATCGCTTGAGCTCAGGACTTGGAAACCAGCCAGAGCAACATGGCAAAACCTCATCTCTACAAAAAATACAAAACTTAGCAGGGCGTAGTGGCACACACCTGTAGTCCTAGCTACTTGGGGGGCTGAGACAGGAGGATTGCTTGAGCCCGGGAGGTCAAGGCTGCAGTGAGCAGAGATAACACCACTGCACTCCAGTAGAACCAGCCTGTTTCTCAAAAAAACAAAAACAAAAACAAAAACAAAAAAAAACTTACTTTTAGAAACAGGGTCTTGCTATGTTACCCAGGCTGATGTCAAACTCCTGCGTACAAGCGATCCCCCTGCCTCATCCTCCTGAGTAGCTGGAACTCCAGTCACCATGCAATCTGTTATTTAAAAATTATTATTATGAAGAGTAGTACCAGATGCCTTAGGAAGAGCCTGAACTAATCCTCCAATTCCTCTGCCAGAATCAAGTCTCCCCTGGGGATTTAACCCTTGCCTTTTCAGTATTAATATTTTATTACAAAGGTAGAATAAAGTCATTTCTAAACTATCGAAGTCTCCTAAAAAAAATCTAAGTTTTACATGGAGCCTGAGAGGGTCTCACTGTCATCTGAACGTCTGGACTCCCAGCCTGGTGGGGAGAGCAGGGGGTCACCTCTCAGCCTCCTTACACTTCTAAGGGAATTCCGGCGTCCTCACCCTGGGGTGACAGTGGCGGGGGAGCTGGAGCCAGCGTCTAACAGGTCAACATTGGGATCCTGTAGGTTTCAGCCCTCCCTGAAGTCCTGAGTCTGGCCAGAGGCTATCTTCCCCAGCTCCCTCGGTTAACCTTCTTCTGTGACAGACTTGGGAGTGAAAGCTTCAAAAAGCCCTGAAAACTCCTTAGGCCTCCTGGGGACAGAATTGGGTCCAAGCTCTGCAGACAGAGCTACTGAGGTCTGGGGCCGTGTGGCACCTCCATACAGGCTGCAACAGGTAAGCTGGCCACACCACACTGCATGGGCAGCTCCCAGGTGTCCCTGCTTGGGGACTTTGGATTTTAGCCCCCTCATTCAGATGGAAATCTTATGGGAAGGAGGACTGGACTTTTCCCTAGCAGCCATTAGCACCTCATGTGAATGCAGCATCTCCCAGCGGGTAAGACACACTGGGGCAGGGACTATTTGAGGGCTCTAGACCTGCACTGTCCAATAGGGCGGCTACTAGCCACCTGCAGCTATTTATGCTTACTTGTAAACTAATCAAAATTAAATGAGTGTAAAAATTCTACCCTCAGCCCTACTCAACAGCCACAGGTGGCAAGTGGCTCACAAGCCGGACAGCCCAAGTATGAGACATTCCTACCATCGCATAAACTTCTACTGGCCAGCACTGCACCCAGAGGAGCCCCTGACCATCCTGCAACCTGAGGATGGGATAGGGGGCTGCAAAGGTCCCTTCCCTACCCTGCCTTCCAGCTGCTTCTCCTCCTAGGCTCACCCTCCCTGAAGGGACAGAAGGTGGCTTTTTTGCCAGATTGGAATCAGCTCTTTCTAACTGAGGGTTTCCCAACCTTGGCACTGTTGGCATTGGGCCCAGATAATTATTTGCGGCGAGGACCGTCCCGTGCCCCGTAGGATGTTTTTCCGCATCTGCATCCTCTACTCACTGATGCCAATAGCCTCCCTCTCCTGAGTTGTGACAACCAAAAATCTTTCCAGACATTGCCAAATTGCTCTGAGAGGGGAGTGAGGGTGGGAGGAGCAAAATGCTCTGTGTGAGAACCACTGGTTTAACTACAGGCCTGTGCTAATACTGAAGACGGAACATCCCTGGAGGGGACAGGGTGCCATTAACATTTGAGGGGAATTAATTGCTCAGTGGGTCTCTCCATGGACCCCAGTCAGGCCTTGAGGCCAGGGGTCCTTGCTCAGGCCAGCTTTGATGGAGGAGGGGTGGATGCAAAGGGCTTATCACTGGGGAGGGGCTGCTGTGTAGGGGGAAGGGAGGTGACAGTGGAAGCAACCCACATTCCTGACCTGCTGTGGGACTCTGTGTCCAGCCTTGACAACTTCCGTATGGACTGCTCGCTCACAGCTCACCAGTAACGGGGTGATGTGGGTAGGGGTGTGAGTGGCACCCCCAGGCCCTGGTGCCTGCAGACCGTGACACATTTTGGAAGAGGAAAGAATGCAGACGGGTGCCAGGGTACCCAGTGACTTCCCCCTCGAGGGATCGTGGGCAGAAACACTCAAAGTTTCTGACCAACTCTGAATGCCGACCTCATTCTGCTCCTTCCTCTGCCGTGGCTGGTTCCGTTGCATCATATATTAAAGCAGAGGCGGGGTGAGGTGGTTAATGTGCACCCACAAATAATTCCCAAGTGTCCACTTTCTGCGCATGCAGAGCCATCATCGGCTGACACCACAATGGACGGTCATAACAGGAGGGCCTGAAGTGACCTGGGGGCCGAGCCACCACTGCGGAGTCGAGGGTGAGTGAGGAATGGCTCCTTTACAGCCTAACAATTCACGGAGTAATGACCTAACATTGCTCCTCTGGGAACTGGGCCCAAGAAATATATTTTTGCAGGTAACGGCAAATAAGAGCCAACTCGGCAAAGAGGAAGACTGAATAAATCTCCCCGCCCCCAGGATAATTCACACATTTTGACAAAAGCAATCTATAAGCACTCTACTGAATCTGAAATCCCTGAGATGGGATTGAGAATGGTATTCATTGCCAGACTTATAAAGCCCAACAGATCCCAGGGGAGCCAGAAACCTGTCCCTCCCTACAGACAACTCAAAAAGGCACATTCTTCTGCTCCAAGTGGGTGGGGGCCTTCATCTGGGATTTGGGGGTCTCTTAAAGGCCTGCACAAATTTTCCAGCTGAGGCGTGATGGGGGACAACTGAAGAGAGCAGTAGAAATAACATCCCTCATCTGGTTTACTGCCAAACTCCTATTCATCCTTCAAAACTCTGCTCATGAGTCATCTCCTCTGGGAAGCCCTCTGAGCCCTGGCCTTCCTCACTCTGCAGCTGAGTCAATTCTGAATCCACCCTTTACCTCATCAGTTCTCTAGCCTTCAAGGCCATCCTTCCCTTTAATGCTCAAGGAGTAATGGGCTGAGACCCCAGGAAGGCCAGCCATTGCCTGGTTTCCTGCCCCCGAGTATTTCTGAGGACAGCTTCAGGCCCAGCTGCTGACACTGTCATTGCTGCTGGCTACATCACACATTGCTGGAGCCACCTTTTCTGTCCTGCCATCTCTCACTCCTCACTGCTCCTCGCCTCCTTGTCCCACTGCCACAGGTGGCTCCATGATTCCCCAAACATGGCGAGCACCAGATACAAACTTTTCCAGAGGTTTGAGAATGGCAGGAGGGAATTATGGTGCAGAAGAGAAAAATCTTCAAATTGGACAGGGCCCCTGCTCTATGGCCTGCTGGTCAGGCCCACCCAATAAGCCCACGGGGTGCTCCCCAGGCTGGTTTGCTGCCCTGCACCGGGGCAGCCAACCACCTGGCCCATATCCTTGGAACCAGGATCCTGCCCTGCCCCACCCCCGGCCCTCTTTCTGCCCGTCAACGGCCATACACACTGCCTACCTCATTCCCGGTGACAGGCTCTCCTCCCTTGTTATCAAGTTCACGTTCTTGGACCCAACAGTGCTCCCAGTGAGAATGACCATTTACAGTTACAAACAGGACAATTGAGCTCAGGGGTGAAAACTTTCAGCTCAGAAATAGGATTTCTGACTTTGATTTTTAAACATTCCCAAAGCAAAGAGCAATCTTTCCCCAATTAGAATCAGAAGCTGTCGGGATCTGAAAATGGGCCTCTATGGCTTCAAAAACTCAAGGTCCAAGCTTATGCCAGGGATGCGGTCCCCTCTTGGGGAGTGTATCTATGCTCTCACAGCTGTGTATCAGTCCCTCGGCTAAACTCTACGCCCCTGAGGGCAGGACAGAATTAACAACTATTTATGCATTTGCCAGACTCTAAGCACGTTATACAAGTTCACTGGTCTAAGCATGGTGTACATGTTAACGCATTTCCTTTCAAGGAAACCCTATGAGGTAGCTTCTAATATATCCGCATTTACTGGTGGGGAAACTGAGACACAGAGAAACCAGGTGGCTTGTCCAAGTCACAGGACTAGTGTATGGCCTCGTTTGGCCCCAGAGGCCATGCACTGAAGCACTCCACCCCCTCCCCCACAGAAGCCTTTATCTCTGCACTCCTGGAATCCATGGGTTCCAGCTGTGGCTCAGAACCTGGGCTTTTCACTTTTCACTAGGCCAGGCTGAAAGACACCAGGTCTCCAGGATCTCTGCCAAGGTCTCTCGGTGACCCCACAGTGACTCACTGTGCCCCCTTGTAGGTCTGCTCTGTGCCAGGCCAGGCTCCAGTGTTGTGGGGGAAGGGACAGGTGAGTCCCAGTAGAGGCTGGTCTTCCAGCAGCACACACTCCAGGGATCTGGACAAGCCTCCAAGGTTCACCTGCATTTGGAGGGGCCTCATATGTGCTGACCACCAGGACAGTGAGCATGGGAGGCTCAGCTGAGGACAGAGGTCAGGGGCCTGAAGGACCCTTCTGTCGTTGGACACCTGGAAAGGCCTTTCAGGCCAAGCCTCTGAGAGGCCAGAGAAGGGTGAGGAGACTCCAATTAGACCTGGGTTTTTTGTTTTTGTTTTTGTTTTGGACGCAGTCTCGCTCTGTCTCCAGGCTGGAGTGCAATGGCACCATCTCTGCTCACTGCAACCTCCTCCTCCCAGGTTCAAGCCATTCTCCCACCTCAGCATCCCAAGTAGCTGGGACTACAGGCTCATGCCACCACTCCTGGCTAATTTTTGTATTTTTAGTAGAGACGGGGATTCACCATGTTGGCCAGGATGGTCTCGATCTCTTGACTTCGTGATCCACCCGCCTCGGAGTCCCAAAGTGCTGGGATTACAGGTGTGAGCCACCGCGCCCGGCTGCTTCTTTCTTAAAGTAGGGAACATGCCACCTCTTGCAGGGCTGCTTTGAGCATTACAGGAGGTAATGGACACAGGGACTAGTTTGATCTGTGATGTCAGATAGGTTCTGCAACTGCGTTTTGCAACACTTTTGCCTAGTAAAGTTGGAAAACCTCTGCTGTATTTCCTGGGCTTTGGGTGGGCAGAGTGGAAAGGTAGGGGTGTAAAAGGGAAACCCTGATGCTTCCAGGCCTACTGTCCCGCCTGGCTGGTCCCTCCAGTGTCCTTTCCCTGCCCTTCTCCAAGGACAAATGGAGCACACATCCGTGGGCCTGGCAGTGCGGTGGCTGGCCGCCAGGAGCCCTTTTCCCAGCACTTACCCATTTCCAAGGCCACGGTCATTTAATTCTAGCCCCACACCAGGAACACAGGAGGAATTCAGATTATCCAGAGGAAATGGAACCCAGCGAGTCTACTGCCCAGGGTTTCCTGGCTTGAGCCAGTGTTGACCCCGGGCTCCTTCCTCCAAGCCTGCAGTCGACTGGACCCTCATGTCCCTGAGCAAATGTAGGGGTCTTTTAATATCACAAACCAAATCCTGTTCCTTGACCCTTGCTTACATTCTTCAGTGGCTTCTCACTGTTCTTGTGACACTTTTCAAAAGCTGTGGGCCCTGGCTCTGCCTACCCCCCTCTCAATCCCCACACTCTGCACCTTCCTACTTTGGGGCTAGGAACACCCTCTCCTTGCTGCCAGCTGCCCCCCTTTTTCTTTAATGACTCTGCATCCCAAAGTCAAACACAGTGTCTGGCATAGGAAAGCACTCAGTAATTATTTTAGGGGTGAATGGACTGTTTAGTGAATGAATGCGTGAATGCAGGAAAATGAGACCACAACACAGCTATTCCGAGCTGAAGCCTTTGTGGCTGCCACCACCAGGTTCCCCACCTGCCACCTCCTTTGACCCACTGGCAGATTCTCATGTACATTATCTGGTCACCTGCCACTTCCAAGACCACAGAAATGGCAAAACAAAACCAAAAGGCATTGGCAGAACTCCTGCAAGTCAATCAGCAAAACAAAATGGTTTTTCCATAAAGTACTAAAGGTCTTGGGTTCCTCTTCTAATCCCCATCTCAGTTGTGCCCCAGCCCCCTAAAGACAGTCTTGATCCTAAAGCCCAGAGCATCCCTGCTAGTGGGAAGGAGAGGAAAAGTCAAGGGAACTCAACCACTGTGAGACACTGCCAACTAGCCCTATCAAAACAAGGTTCCAGTTTTCAATTCCAAAAGGCTTTACTACTCAGCCTTGAAGTAGTGAAGAAGTGAAGGCCATTTCACAATTGGTGGAAGTAAAAACAGGTACTTAACATTTTGGAGAGCTCTTGGGAATTGCTTTTCAAAATGCGAAGTGTGCACAGACCGCCTGACCCAGCAATTCGACCCTCAGGTCTCTATCCTAAACAATTCTCCCACATCTGTGCAGAGGTGTGTGCACACCAATGGTCTTCGCAACATTCTCTGTAGTGATGGACATAGAAACAACCCTAAGTGTCTATCAGCAGGGGAATCAGCCACTACATCATGGTACTTCCTTTCTGTGGGATACCAGGCATCTCTGAGTGGTCAAGAAAAATGTCCAAAAGAAAAGCAACTTTCAGAACAACACGGATAATACAATCCAGTTTATATATTTTTTGAAAGGATGGGTAATTCTGGAAAGTGGAGGGGAAGACAATGGGAGCACTTAGAAGGTGAGGCTTCCAGGGGTGAGTGGCAGACATCTCGGCTGATGCTGGGAGGGGGAAAGGTGGAGGGCAGAGCAGAGGATCCTGGCAGGGAGAACGGAGGTGTGAAGCCTCTGAGGTGGGAGCACAAATGACCCAAATAGTGGACCTGGAGCTTGAAGTGGGAGGGCAGAGGCAGGAGAGGTGAGTGGGAGGGAGGGCTAGGATCCTATGGGACCTGTGTGTGCTAAGACCAAGATGGGGCCTTATAGAGATTGTAAACGAAGGGACGACAGGGTAAGTTATAGAATTGCTGGTGGGTAGCTGGAAAAAATAATGATAATCTCTCTCTCTTAAAAAGGAAAAGCGAAACAGAAGTGTTCTGCAGCCTGGGCAGGCTGGAAAGGCGAGCAGAAGCTGTCAGGAGGACAGGCTGCTCTGAAGCAGGTCCAGAGAGCCTCCATCCTGCCAGGGGCACTTGCTTTTGCTGCTGGTACAATGCCCATGACCCCTGGGTCTGCGGTCAGGTCTGTAATGCAGGGACATCTTGGGGGCAGACTTGGCAGGACTTTGCAGACAGGACATGCCAGAATTGAGAAAGTAGGGAGCAGAGAAGCTTCTCCTCTAAAATGAAGCTGGGGGTTCTTTTCCCCAGTGAGGCATTGTTCAAGTGAGGCTCTCCCCTCAGGGGTTTGCTTGACCCTTTCCCCATGACTTAACTGAGCTGTGTTGATCAGCTCGGTCGCCTGGGGCTGGAGAACATTTCTGCCTCTCTTGGAAGAGGAGAGACTTCCCCATCCTGACTCATTATTAGGATGTCTTGATTTTCAGGGAGTGTGGGAGCAGACACTTTTTATGCCTTAAACATCACTGAAACCACCAACTCATATCTCTTAAAGCACCTTTCTGAAGACCAACGCACATCATCTGTGGTCAGTATTGTGGATATTACACTTGCCCCAAAGGAGGAAAAACAAGGATATTATTCCTGTACACTTCTGCATTAGTAGAAAATGGAGAACACCCAACACATCACGAGTGGTCACCACCCGGGATGCTGAAGGAATCAGAGGCCTGTAACCTGGTCACTTTTTGCAATGAGTGTGTATATTGCTTTTATAATAACAAAAAAATATGGCCAGGCATGGTGGCTCACACCTGTAATCCTAGCACTTTGAGAGGCCAAGGTGGGAGGATTGCTTGAGTCCAGGAGTTCGAGACCAGCATGGGCAACACAGTGAGACCCCCATCTCTACAAAAAAATAAAAAATTAGCCAGACATGTTGTTGTGCGCCTGTAGTCTCAGCTAGTCCAGAGGCTGAGGTGGGAGAGTCGTTTGAGCCTGGGAGGTCGAGGCTGCAATGACGTGTGGTCACTTCACTGCACTCTACCTGGGCAACGGAATAGGACTCTGCCTCAAAAAAAAAAAAAAAAAACAAATAACAAAAAAAAAACCCCAAAAAAACTAAATAAAAATTGGGCCTGGGAAACCTTCTGTTTTAACACCACCTTTTCTTGCTCTTCGTCCATCCATGCTGTTCTATCTGAAGCTCGTCTCTGGGACCCTAAACCCTGGCTCAGCCCAGTATGGCTGAGCATGTGTGAACACTTGCCTCCAGGGACGTGCCCATGAGGGCTGAGAAAAACTTTCTTCCTACTCACTTCTTTGAACAGAAATGCAATTCACTCTCACTTTGCGTATGTGCTCCCTATGATTTGGGATTTGCACAAGGAATTATGGCACTCATTTTCCAGTCCAATACAAACGTGAGATTATAACACTATGGCTAATATTTAGAGGCGCCATGCCTGTGTGCCAGACACAGGGCTAGGTGCTTTTTGGTGGATTTGTGTGTTTAACACTCATAACCATCCTTTGGGGTAGGAACTATGACCTGCCCATTTTACAGGTGAGTAAGCTGAGGCACAATGAGACATTACCACTAAAAGCCTTTGACCTTACTTTTATTTATTTATTTTTTTGAGACAAAGTGTTGCTCCGTTGCTCAGGCTGGAGTGCAGTGGCACAATCTCGGCTCGCTGCGATGTCTGCTTTCTGGGTTCAAGTGATTTCTGGCTAATTTTTGTATTTCTATTAGAGATGGGGTTTTACCATGTTGGCCGGGCTGGTTTCCAACTTCTGATCTCAGGTGATCCGCCCACCTTGGCCTCCCACAGTGCTAGGATTACAGGTGTGAGTCGCGGTGCCTCGCCTCTTTGGCCTTATTTTTAAAACAAACAAAAATTTTCAAACCCCTGAAAGAATAGGATATCAACCAACATGGTACTAATCTGATGCTCAGTACAGAGTGCCCATGCTGGTGTCCATCCGACAGTCGATTTATTTTGGAAATTGCTTAGGACAATGGTTCTCAAAATGTGGACAAGCAACACGTCATCCTCATCCCTTGTGAACTTGGAAATGCAAATTCCCAGATCCCTCCAGCCCTCAGACCTATTGAATTAGAGGCTCTCAGGGTGGGGCCCAGCAAGCTGTGCTTTCACAAGCCCTCCAGGGATTCTGATGCAGCTAATGTTAATTTCAGGACATCTGGTTTAGGCTTGAATTAAAAAGAAAGCAAGCCATTCATTGTCCCTGTCCTGATTCTCCTAGGATATTTCAGAACTAGGTAATTCCTCCAAATACTCAAAGCTGTAGGTTAGGACAGTGCTTCTCAAGCCGGAAGAAGCCTCCGGAGGGCTGCTGAAACAAAGACTGCTGGGCCCCACCCCGGAGACGTCCATTCAGCAGATCTGGGGTATGGCCTGAGAGTCTGCATTTCTAGTGCGTATTCCAGGTGATGCCAATGCTACTGTGGGCCCCGAGACCCTGCTTGGAGGAGGACAGAGGTGGTAAATGCCCAGATAACACCTTGTCAAATCCAGAATGCCTCCTTCACACGAGCCTCTCTTTATTTTTTGTTAAGAATTTGAAATTTCTATCTGTGGAAGTGCCGTCTTTGAATTGAAACTCTGAGGCGAATGTAAAATAGGATTTGATACCCACCTCCAGCTAGAAGAAGTGCATTTCGGGCGCACGCCTCGAGAAGGGCTGTGGCGGCTTCTCGCTGAGAGAGCTGCAGGACTCTTTGAGGTTTCTGTTCCCTGCCCACCTCCGGCCCCTCTGGGAGGCAAAGGCATCCCTGAGATGCTGCTGTCTGCCGAAAAGGGCAGGAAGATGGTTTTGAAGAGCACTCCGGAGCCCTCAATAAACAGGCAGGAGACAGTCGCTTCACATGGGCTTTCCTCGTCATCCCACACACAGATGGCAGAGTGAAGCGGAGAAAAATGCCTGAACAGGCTCATGATGCGTCAGCCGTGGAAGGACCACACAGGGCTCTCCAGTGTGATTCATGAGCACGCCGAGGACAGAGCTAAAATCACACAGCAGGGTCAGGCGTGGTGGCTCACCCCTGTAATCCCAGCACTTTGGGAGGCCGAGGCGGGCAGATCACCTGAGGTCAGGAGATCGAGACCAGCCTGGTCAACATGGTGAAACCCGTCTCTACTAAAAATACAAAAAAAATTAGCTGGGCGTGGTGGCACATACCTGTAGTCCCAGCTACTGGGGAGGCTGAGGCAGGAGAATTGCTTGAACTCAGGAGGTGGAGGTTGCAGTGAGCCAAGATCACATCACTGCACTCCAGCTTGGGTGACAGAGTGAGACTCCATCTCAAAAAAAAAAAAAAAAAAAAAATTCACGCAGCAGGTCCCTGCTGAGGAGGCCTGGGAGCCAAGTGTCCTGGGAAAGAGAACAGACAAGAGCTGAAGGCCTACTAAGCGTCAGATGCTGGGACCTTGGTCCTATGGTTGAGAGAGGCAGAGCTGCTATTACCACACAGCTGTGTGTCCCAGGAGATGTGCTAGAGGTCAGTACAGAAGAGACAGTCGAAGGCAGAAGGGACAGGGGTGGGAGGGCCCTTGGGAACAGTGAATTTTTGAGCTGAGCTTCCTTAAAAGAAGACAGGGAAGGGGATTACAAACAGACGGGTGCCCTGATCAGAACCCTGGTCCTTGGAGAGGGTCATAAGCATTTCCCACTCTGGAGGAGACTGGGGGGATTGTGGAGCTGGGGGCCTAGGCCAGCATGGGGCGGGACAGACAAAGAGGAGAGCGACCCAGCAGCTGGGCTTAGGAGGAAGAGGCGCAAGGACTCTGGGTTAGTTGGATGTGCTGCATGAGGGAAAGGAAGGGCACTAAGGGAACTCCTGGATTCACCAATCATGCCCTGTCTCTTCCTGAGCTCCTCATTGGCAGCATAGGATTTCTAGGTTGGAAGGTTCTGGGGCTGCAGTCTGGTCCAGGGCTATGGTTAAGGGACTTGTCTTGAAGCAGATCCACTGTTTTATGATTTGAATTGACTGTTTATTTGGAGGTAGGAAAGAGCAGGGGGAGATGGAGAAAATGGAGTCTAGACTCCCCCAAACTATCTAAAGTAAGCCCTCTGCTAGGTCGTGGGATTCCCAAAACTTAAGACATTGCTCCTGCCCTCCAGGGCCTCACAATTTAGTAAGAGAGACACACCAACAGATCATCAAAATGTAAAGTGTTGAGTGCGTCAGACAGACACACATGATGGCATGGAAGCTGTTGGAGATGGGCTGTGATCCAGGAGACGGGTTGTGGTCCAGGAAGGCTTCCTGGAGGAAGTGGTAATCAGTTAGTTTTACAGCTTTCTGCCCAAGGCGTTGGGTGTGGAACTTGGCTGGTGATAGGGCTGTTTACTGAATCAGAGGAGCACGCTTGGGGAGGAAGATGTCAAGTCAGTTTTGTACAAGTTGAGTCTGAGGTTCCTATACAAGCCAAAGTAGTGATGTCCAGAAGGTATTGCATAGAAGGGTCTCAACTAAGTACCCCACTGACAGTGACACGGCTGGCTGATGGCAGAATTGAGCTTCAAATCCAAGTTCAGTGGTGTCAAAGGCCATGAAGCTGTTCTGGGCCCTTGCAGAGACAGCCCTTAACACGTGCTTGCCAGCCAAACTAGCTTTGCACCATCTGGTCCTGAAAAGCCTTGCAGAGAGCCTCTGAAGGTGATCCACAGAAGGGAGAGGATTTAATTGATAGGAACCAAAAGGGCAAAAAATGGCTTCTATTAGCATGAGCTCATGCTCTCTTGTCTGATTTCCTTCTGATGATGAGATAAGAAGGGAAGATGGCAGAATTTCAAGTTACACCCAAACCACCAAGAATCTTTCTGTCTCCAGCACCCACAGGATGTTTCAGATCAGCTCCTGCCGTTCAGCCCCAAGCCTGCCTTCGCCCCCGACATCAGCCCTCCCCGCTACCCTCCCACCATCACTCCACCCTCAGGGGCCTCCGCAGCCTGCTTCCCATGACTGGGGTGGGCAGGATCTCAGAGAAGGGCCAGGAGGCTCCGCCCAACCAGCTGCACCCCTTCAGTGTTGTGTCTGCTTTGAGGAGAGGGAACCTGAGGCCCAAGTTGCAGGGACTTAGGTTTGGCACAGCCAAGCCTCCAACCCTTCTCTTTCTTAGGTCATCAGCCCTGGATATCCAGCCAGGACAGAGCCAACACCTGTGCCAACACCTGGAGCCAGGTGTCCATCAAGAAGGGACCAGGGTTCGGGAGGTGGCAGCATACGAGCTAAGCCCTTGGCCACGTCAGAAATAGGAACTATTGTTTACTTAATTTTTCCTCTCACGATGAACATTTGGCTCCCAAAAAGTAACTTTCGATTTTTTAACAAAAACCAAATTTTTCATTTTCCCACGACTGTACTATAAGATGTTTTTGTCTCCATTTTTACCAGTGGTCTCTGCCTTATTAAACAGGAATACCCTCAGGGGACCCTATTTAGAGCTGGCATGTTGGCTGCATACCTGTCTTCAGCAGCAGGAGGCTGGCGTCTCTGCAGGAGGCTCCTGCTATGCACTCATGTGAACCACCAAGCCCTCACCCTGCCTCAGTGGGCCACCCAGTCCTGCCTCCCTCAGTCATGGGCAGAAGGTTGGTCGGGGGATATTAAATGGGCAATCGCCTTGCCAGCTTGAGCCAGTTCCCCACCCTGATGTCCTCTACCTGAACACACAGAATTCAGGGAACATCCCCGGGTTCTGATTCAGAGGGTGGGGGTATGGCCTTTGATCTGCCCCACCCCCAGTTCCCTGAGGCGTTTTAATTATACTGCCTCTTGCTATCTTCCTGCTCTGCTGGATGAGCCTCTCTGTCCTCTCCCCTGTCCCTTAGTTCCCGACACTGAGACAAAAACTGAGTGCAAATTCTTTATTTGGCAAGCTGGAAAACACCAGTGTGGTGCTTGAATTAGTAGGCTGGGGCTGCCATAACAGTGTACCCTAAACTGGGTGGCCCAACCAACAGAAATTTACCATCTGACAGTTCTAGAGTCCAGAGTTCAAGATCACGGGGTCATCAGGGTTGGCTCCTTCTGCAGGCTGTGAGGGAGGACCTGCTCCATGCCTCTCTCCTGGCTTCTGGTGGCTGCCGGCCATCTTTGGCATTCCTTGGCTTGTGGATGCAACACCTTGATCCGATGTCATCTTCCCATGGTGTTCTCCCTGTTTCTGTGTCCCAGGTTCCCCTTTTTGAAAGGCTGCCAGTCATACCGGATTAAGGCCCACCTTCATGATCTCATCTTAACTTTAACTGAGCTAATTACATCTACAACAAGCTTATTTCCAGATAAGGTCACATTCTGAGGTGCTAGGGATTAGGACTTCATTACGTAAGTTTTGGGGACACAATTCAACCTGCAACAGGGGTGAAGGGAGACAGGCAGGGAAGGGAAGCTGGTGACGAACTCTTATCAAGCAAGTCTTCATTGTGGGCAGCTGGGATCCCACGGGCAACTCTGAAAAAGTGAAGAACCTGAGGGGTGAGGGAGCTGAGGTATTTATCTACCAGCTCCCATGTGCCAGTGGTGGAAGCTGCTGCCATGAGACAATTCCCTGCGGCTTCCAGCTGGTGTGCAGGCAGAGTGGCCTCCAGTGTCCAGAGAGACCTCCCAGGCAAACACGTGGAAGTCAGACCCAGGCCAGAATGTACATAATGGAAAGGGTCAGGGAATGTGGGCAGGGTACCCACATAGCACCTCTGCCCACTGCCCCAGTTCCCAAAGCTGTCCGGGTCATGCAAGTCCATGAATACAACTTAGCAGTCCAGACCATGACACTGGGCTGGAGTGATGATGAGTCTCACGGTTCCTCACCAGCCCTGCCCAGACTTGATCAATATTCACCATCAATAGGGCCACACCTGGTGCTTCCATCTCCTTTGGGGGAATTGCACTCATAGGGCACCCATAGTGCTTCTGTCCCCAAATCTCCACAGAGGCCCTCCTGAGGCATCCCCTGGCCATGGTCATGGCCAGCTGGTCTTCCTTGCTCCCATACATATTGTTTGACACTTGCCTTTCTTCTTGGATGCGTTTCCATATCAGCATTAAGATCGGTACCATTTGTTTCAAGGGCTTTGTAATAGCCTGCCCCGTGGATGTAACATGATGTGTTTAATTATGCTTCTGTTGAGGAACATATACATTGTTTCCATTTTTGCTATTATTAGGAATGCCACAGAGGACACAAAGTACACTGATCCACATGACAGGTTTCCAGAGGTCCAAGTGTTGGTGAAATGACATCCACCTACTTTAAATGTTGAAAGAGAACCCCACATTGCTTTCCCCAAAGTTACATACCCACCTGGAGAGTAAGGAATGTCTGCTGTGAGCACACAGCATAGGGAGAGGCAGTAGCTAGAGTTCAATGACAACCGGACTTTTCCACACTGCACCAGAAGCTGTGGCAGACACTGGACCCAGGATGTGTCCCCAGACCTCCCCTGTCATATGTGCCAGCTTTACTGTGTTTTCTCGTAACTTCAGACCACGTGTGCACTTAGTAAACATCGTATTTTTCTTTTAAAAGGGAAAATTCCTGGCCAAGAAAATTTTACGTCACTTTTACAAAATGAAAACCAGTCTGGGATCCAAATCCCAGGTGAGCTGCCATTTACAGAACAGCAGGTCTGTGTTGGGCTCCGTGCAGATATTATTTTGCTTAATTTTCACCACAAATCTCCAAAGCAAGGATTAGTATTCTTCCCTTTTATGCAGATGAGGAAAGTGGGGCTTGGCATTTCCCCAGCCTCAGATCCCCTCTCCTGGAGTTCTACCCTCAGCCCAGGCCTGGCCCCTTGGACGGTCACGCCCCGGCTTGCTGCTGACTGCTCACTTGGATCTGCAGAGCCAGCCCATCCCTGGACAGTTTCCCTGAGCTGCCCACACTGATGGTCTGTGCAATCAACGTGCCCTCACATATGCCCAAACGACTCATGTACTCATTTATTCATGCAGTGTTCACTGTTGGTTCTTATATGACAAGCATTTCTGGCAGGCTCTGGGCCAAGCGCCGTGAACAAAGATAAAGTGGTGCCAGCCCCTGCCTTTGGGGAGCTTATGATCTGAGAGGGAGGTGGATACATGTAGGGGAAGACGAGAGGGCATGTATGGGAGCTTGGGAGAAGCATCTAACCTTGTCCATCCAGAGGGGAGAGTCAGGGAGTCACCAGGGAGCTTTCCAGGGGAGGGGAATTTTGTAGGGGGCGAGGGAGATGCACCCCAGGCAAGTCAAATAGTGCATGGAAAGACAAAGAGAATGAAAGGGGTGCTGCCTGGTTGGGACACCCAATGATGGGCATGTTTCCCATCAAGAGCAGGATGTGGGGAGGGGCAGATCCTGGCCATTACAGCGTTGGGATTTTGCCCTAGAGAAGAGGAGGCCAGAGCCAGGGACCCTGATGAAGGCTGACTCCAGCAGCACCAGGCCCCAGCCTGCACGGCAGTTCGGCTGAGCTCGCCTCCCCAGACGTCCCCACTCCTCAGCAGTCCTGGCCAAGCCTGCAGGGTGCCTCGTGAAAACAGGCAGAGGCAGGCGCAGGAGAGTCTAACATGCTGCCAGCCCCAGTTTTCTGATGGGGCCTCCCAGGCAGCAGGCAGCAGGCAGCAGATCAGGAACCAGCCTCCTGGGGGCTGCTGTCTCCTCAGGGCTCTGTCCTGTGCCTGATGAATGCCCGTTAGACTAGGAGGTGGGGAAACTGAGGTAGCCTGAAATCTCAGAGGCAGGCAGGGCTCCAGAAATCATCGGCAAGTCCGACTCGCTCCTGTTAGATGTAGGAACAGGCCTGGAGAGAGAAGGGAATTGCCCAAGTGCGTACAATGAATTAATGATTTGGTTAACACTATAATTAATAATTTAAAAGTTGACATGTATTGAACATTTACTTATGGCACGCCAGGCACTGGCACATTAAATGCCCCTTAGTGATGTTCTGATTCTATCATTGTCATGACCCTCTGAGGTAGGTGCAATTTAGTATCTCCGTTTGACCCTGGGGAAACTGAGGTTGAGACTCTGGGATCTCACTCTGAGAAGGGGCCCACCCGCCTGCACGGGCCACCCCAGGATGAGGTGTGCAGCTTGGGCAGGGTGGGGAGCCCCAAGCTAAGCAGGCTTCCCACATTCCATCTTGGCTCAGGCCCAGCGACACGAACAGACAGGGAGCACCAGGGGGCCTGTCTGCAAGGATCAAAGCGCTGGGTGGGAGGCTGCAGAGCAGGGCAGGGCGGCGGCTTCTGGGGCACCACAGAGAGCCACCCTGCCTCCCCTGGTCCAAGCCAGGCCCACCCTCTCACTCGGTGCCCCAGCAAAGGTCTGGGAGGATAGTGAGGTGAGGCTGTTGAGCCCCAGCAAGTCTCTTTTAGGGACTCTGCTTGCCCAATGGAAACCTACTGCCCCCAAACTTCTACTTGTCCTCCGGAGCCCCATGCCCAGGCTGGCAGCAAACTGTGGGGCAGTCTAGGAGCATCTGTGAGCAAATGTTGACCTCACCTTGAAGTGCAGGTGCAGAGAACTCAATGCTTGGCCAGACACCTGTGGCCAGAGAGTGTGGCCCTTCCTGGCAGCTCTGGGATGGGAGGCCCTGGTCTCCAGTATTCTCTTGCCCCTGTCCACACCCCACACATCCCATATAATGAATGAGGCTAGGGATCCCAGGCTTTGCAGCAGGAAAAACCCCTCTTCCTCTTCAGATTTCAGGGCCAATGAGGCACACATGCAAAATCGAGGGTCAGAGCTGGGAGGGGCCGAGGGGTTACCCCACACCGTGTGGAAGGAATCCAAAGAACCAAGGGCTCACCAAGGACACACAGACTCCCGATGGTGGAGCCAGGCCTGGAATTCACGTCCTGACTCCCAGCCTGTGCTCTGTCTGTGTCTGAGTTCATTTTCTACAGCTGCCATAGCGAATTACACAAATCTAGTGGCTTTAAATGACACACATTTTTTTAATGTCACTGTCCTACTGATCCGAAGTCCAGCACGAATCTCACCAGAGTAAAATTCAGGTATCAGCAAGTGGAGCTTCATTCCTGGGGGCTCTGGGAGACATCCTGCTTTGTGCTCACTTGGGTTGCAGGCAGAACTCAGTTCCTTGTGGTTACAGTACTGAAGTCCTCATTTTCTTGCTGGCTGTAAAGTGAGAGCAGTTCCCAGCTTTTATTTATTAATGTTATTATTTTGAGAGATAGGTTCTCACTCTGTCATCCAGGCTGGAGTGCAGTGGTGTGATCTCAGCTCACTGCAGCCTCAACCACCTGGGCTCAAGTCATCCTCCCACCTCAGCCTCCTGAGTAGCTGGGACTACAGGCACCCACCACCACACCTGGTTTTTTTTTTTTTTTTTTTTTTTGTGGAGGCAAGTTCTCGCTATGTTGCCCAGGCTGGTCTCAAATTCCTGGGTTCAAGCAATCCACCCACATGGGCCTCCCAAAGTGCTGGGGTTATAGGTGTGAACCACTGTGCCAGTTCTCAGCTTTTAGAAGTCACTGCATTCCCTGGTTCATGGTCCCTTCCTACATCTGCAAAGCCAACAATGGCTGCTAGAGTCCTTCTTAGTCATATTTTCTGACCCACTCTTGGGCCTCTGCTTCTACTTTTAAGGACTGAAGTGATTAGGTTGGGCCTACACAGATAATCCAGGATGCTCTCCCTAGCTCGAGGTCCTTAATTTAACCATATCTGCAAAATGCCTTTTGCCACATAAGGTAACTTAATCACAGGTTCAGGAGATTCAGGCATGGACATCTTTGGGGACCATTATTCTGGGGACCACAATGCCTTGCTCACTTTCAAGAGGACCAAAAACAGAGTTGACTCCCAGCCTCACCAAACAGCTTCACGCAGCTGCACTGGGTGACGAAGCTCGGCACAGGACAGTGGCCACTCCTGGCTCTGCCCACATGGGTCTCCCTGGCCTTCACCAGGCTGCTTGATGTGATTCAGAGAATGATTTTTTCCTATCATGAAAGAAGTATATGAACCTTTTGAAAGTTTAGAAAATACAAAAAAAAAAAAAAGCAAGAAAACATTTTCCAGCCCCCAAAACAACCACTGTTAGCATATTGCTGAATTTCCTTCGAGTCTCTTACTCTATGCATGGGTTGGCTTTTTGAGACTAGAGTTGTAATCACATGTAATCAAGTTGTATTTTGGTGTTTTTTCACATAGCATTGTATCATACCTACCTTGACACATTGAAATAAATTATTTGTAAAACCTTTTAAAATGGCTACCTACTATTCTGTTGTGCAGATGGCTATACTCTAGCTGACTGAATGACTCTCCTGTGGTGGGACCCTTAGGTCTTGCTCTGTTGCCCAGGCTGGAGTGCAGTGGCATGCTCATGGCTCACTCCAGCCTCAAACTCCTGGGTTCAAGCAATCCTCTTGCCTCAGCCCCCTGAGTAGCTGGGACTACAGCTGCATGCCACCACACCTGGCTGATTTTTGCATTCTTTGTAGAGACAGGGTCTCACCATGTTGCCCAGGCTGGTCTTGAACTCCTGGCCTCAAGCAATCCTCCCACCTCAGCCTCCCAAAGTGCTGGGATCACAGGTGTGAGCCGCTGCACCCAGCTGTAAATGATACTTTGATGGACATATTCTTCGTAAAACATTCCCTGGTTTAGGATGCATTTCTTGGAGGTAGGATTGTTGGACCTAAGAGTACGACCCATTTTAAAGTTCTTGTGACTTACTCATCCCAGGTCTTCTGGAACAGTTCCATTTGCAAATGTTCTCCTGGCATCATCCTTCATGCCGTGTCCCAATTTGGGTGATATATCATATGGTCCCCCCACCACAGGCTGCTCTGGAGATTCAAAGGGCCCCTCTCCTCTGTGCCACCGCATTCCAGGATGGGTCTGGAAGGCTCTGGTCACACTTCTAAGACTGCTGGCTGACCCGATATAATGTCTAAACAGCAGGCACTTTGCCAGGCCGATAGCTGGTTGCCCATGAGAGCAGAAGTTGCACCTCAGCCTGCCCACAGCCCCTGCCAAGGCCCAGCTTCTTCATGTATCCCACCAACCTCCAGAGGGCCTCCGTGGGGTGCCAGCACCCACCCTGGTGCTGGGATACAGTGGTGAGCAGCCCAGGGAAGGCACACCGTGGGGGGGCTCAGGAAACCTCATGGCGTGAGTGAATGAAGCAACACGACCACAGGGTGTATGAAGGGAGCCCAGGGTCCTGTTCACGCCCCCATGGAGTTAAGAAGACCCTGATTACAAAGGGCTCCTGGTGGGATGTCAGAGACAGGCTCTAGACGCGGCTCCCAGGTCATGGAGGCATCCGTCTTTTCCAGAACTAGGCAAAAGAGACATGTGAAATGCAAAGACGCGGAAAGAATAGAAGGTTGTCTCAGTTACTTAAAAACTGCAGACCAAGGCAAGAGACCCAGCTCTGCCACATCAGCGAGGAGGTTCTGTAGGGACCAGTTAACAAGAGCAATGAGACTTGCTGACTCTGTCCAAGGAAAATAGTTTTTAATCCAAAAAGTTGAAAATTTCTTTCACATACTTTAGCAGTGTCCTCTGATGTCTTGAAATTTACAATAAAAGCCCCCCCAGTCACTTTTGGCACTTTGGAAATGGGAGCCTGAGAGAAGTAGAGTCCAGGCCTGGCCACGTCCTTAGGGCCAGAAAGGGACGGTTCCAAAGGGCACGTGGAGTACTGACTCTGTACAGTGCATAGCAGCCCTCCAAGTGCGTCCTGCTGGTCCCAGGAGGAGCCCCATGCCAGGCGAGGGCTGGGCAAGGCACTGGCTGAGTAGCTTTGCAGGTAGGCATTCTGGCTCTTTCTACAGGGGCGGGCACTTTTCAGGGCCAGCTGGGCGGTGCTATGCCAAGAGGCAGGCCTGGGGTGACCAGAGCTTTTGAGTTTTTCAGGGGAATAAAGAAATCTGTGTATGTGTTTATTCCTGGTTTTTGAATGTTGTCAAGAAATTAAAAATAGAAGCCAGGCAAGGTGATGTGTGCCTGTAGTCCCAATTACTAGAGAGGTGGGAGGATTGCTTGAGTCCAGGAGTTTGAGGCTGTAGTGAGCTGTGATGATGCCTGCATGCCAGCCTGGGTGACAGAGCAAGACTCTATCTCTAAGAAAGTTTTTTTTAATAAAATACAATTATTCAGTGTTATTCAGGCCAACCAAAACACATCTGTGGGCCAGATTCAGGCTTCAGACAGCCAGCAGCCCGTGAATTGTCCCACCCAACTTGTGGTGTTACGGATGAGGACACCGAGGCCCTGAGGGTGGGGACACATCATCGGAGTGCACAGTGAATTAGCATCAGAGCTCTGGTGAGCCTAGCCCAGGGCTCGCACCCCACTGCCATCTGTCCCTATCAGAGGCACCAAGAGGAGGAGAGGTGGAGCCTGGATGCACCATGTGAAGAGAGACAGGCAGGGGTCTGCAGGGCCTGTCCAACTCTCTGCACAAGGTAGGTCCCTCTCCCTCTGGTTTTTCTGATGAAGAGCTTCAGGTTTGAGTGGGTGAAGTGACCAGATGCTGGTAACCAAAGTGGCCTGCTCAAGATCACTTGTCGGTCTTTCTGTTCCAGTTCGTTCCACTGCTGGCCATGGCTCAGAGTTCCGAGCCATTCTCTTCCAATCAGTGTCAGGGCACTTCCAGTTTGTTACCCTCCTCTTGGAATGCAGCCCTTCCCTGAACACAAGGCCCTGGGGTTGGTCTGATGGGCAGAGAGGAGCAGGCACTTACTCCCCTGGGTTGGGCCTCTGTTTCCCTAGAGAGAGCACACAAACCACAGGTGGCAGGGGAGACGACCTGTAGGTGTCCACAGACAAATGCTTTAAAAGCAGTAGTTTGGCCCTTGGATGTCTGCATGCCTCCTATTTATGGCAAGCATTCTGGCCTTACCTAGAGTTTCCTTTACAAGGAATTGAGTTGACCTAAAGGTTACGAGGAGGCTGGGCTTGGTGGCTCACATCTGTAGTCCCAGCACTTTGGGAGGCTGAGGCGGGCAGATCACTTGAGGTCAGGAGTTCGAGACCAGCCTGGCCAACATGGTGAAATCCCATTTCTACTAAAAATACAAAAATTAGCCTGTGGGCACCTGTAATCTCAGCTACTCAGGAGGTTGAGGCAGGAGACTCTCTTGAACCTGGGAGGCAGAGGTTGCAGTGAGCCGAGATAGTGCCATTGCACTCCAGCCTGGGTGACAAGAGCGAAACTCCGTCTCAAAAATCAAATAAAGTAAATAAATAAATAAATGAATAAACAAAGGTTACCAAGAGCACAGGTGGTCTGCAGTCACGGCAAGCATCATGGAGGTGGCCCACGAAAACATGTTTGGGACGCTGCTCTAAAGTGCAGCCCACCAGCTTTCGTGACAGTGTTTAAAAGTCTGGGTTGAACTGAGGACACTCGGTTTTTTCTCCCCCGACCTGCTACCTGCACAAGCATGGTGTTTAGCCAGAGCTCTCCATTCTTTCCTTATAGAGTGGGTTGCGTGAGGCTCAGAATTTTAGATTTTATTTTGCCAGTTTCTTCTCATTCTTCTAGGGTGATGGGTCTTTATCTTTGCAAATCTTGATTCTACATCCCAAGAATTAAATTCCAGCTTTGTGTCATCCCCATGTATGATCAGCAGCCTTGCTCTGTCTTCATGTAAGTCACTAGCAAAACTGCAGAACAGGGCAGGGCTGAGCAGTCAGGTGACACTCCTGCCTGGCTCCCCGGGGCAGCAATTCCTTGCCCAGACCTCACCCACCTACAGTTGTTGGACTATCTCCAGCTACAAATCCACCAACCGTGTCTCTCCTGCTCCTGCCCGCCCCCCGGGTGAGGGGCTCTGGGTGGGGCTCATACACCATCCGCCATCCGGGACTCGCGTCAGGATCTACCATCAAGCAATCTGGTTATCTGTTCTCAGTCTGCATCTTTGCCTCGTTTGAAGAAGCAGAGAGCATTTCTCCCAGACATTTATTCCATCTTCTGGCCCCTCTCCCAGGCTTCGCACTTCCTAGAGAGTTGTAGGGAGCAATTCTGCATCCCTGCCCACAAGTTTTCATGGTACTCTGGACTGTGATTTATCCGGATGTGAGGAAAAGATATTATTCATCTTGGCTCAATTCTCTGATGACCTTCTCAGCCACGATGAGGCCACTTTCCTCTTACTCCTATTTGTTCAGTCCCCTTGGTGCTGAAGATCATTAGTATTGTTTAGAATGGTGCGACGTCAGAATCGGGTGATTCTCTCTTTCCTCAATGTCTGGCTTAACATTCCTCAGGGAGAACCCACTGGGGGTCATCCAGGAAATGACACAACAAAGATAAACGAGACAATGTTCCTGCCCTTGGGAACCACTGGCCCCAGCACTGCCTCTGTCCCTCTGAACATGCTATAAAAAGATACTGTTCCCTGTCTTTGGAATTTCAAACTGTGGTCATGCCTGTGTATCCAATACTCCTAACAGCCAGGCTGTGAGGAAATGAAGGTTTCTAGACTGGAGTCAGGCGAGATGTAGCAGGGCTGGATGTGTTAAACAAAGCACCGAAGGAAGTGGAAAGCTGCAGTGCCCTGCAGTCAGGACTGAGGGGCTGGTCAGAGTGGAATACCTGTTTACTCACTCAGCTTGCACGGAGAACCTTCTGAGGGGTAAGCACTGTCCTCTAAGCTAGAGACCTCAGCAGAGCTCTTAACAGGATCTTGCTTTCAGAGAGCAAGTGAAGGCAGCACGGTAGGGGTGGGACCTCCACAGGTCAACAACACATTGTCACAGCTGCTGCAAACTCCCTAAAGAGACAGAGTGAGGGACTGCCTCACTTTGTCTGGAGGAGTCAGGGAAAGCATCCCAGAAGAGATGAACATTGAGCAGGGTTTTGAAGACTGCATAGGAACTCTCCAGTAGAAAAGAGGGTGAAGGGCCTTTCAGAGAGAGGCAGCACCAGTTCAAAGGTGTGGGGACAGGGGAATCACAGTGTGCTACATGAGACAGCAGCACAGGACCCCATCCTGAAGTCCCTTGCATGCCTTCTAAAGAATTTAGAACTCCTTATTATATATTATATATAATTATGTAATTATATATATTATATATTATATAATTATATATATAATATATATAATTATATATATATTATATAATTATATATATAATTATATATATATTATATATATATTATATAATATATATAATTATATATAATTATATATATATTTATAATTATATATATAATATATATATAATTATATATATATTATATATTATTATATATTAATCCGGAACTCCTTTTTTAAAATCTGACTCACCCATTTTCATTATTTATTTATTTATATATATTTTTGGAATTAAAAAAAACTTTTATTATTGAAAATTTCAAACAGGTCAGGCACAATACACTGCATGAACCCATCACTCTGAATCAATCATCAACTCATGGCTGATCTTATTTTATCTGTATCTCCACCACTCACTCCATCCAAGATCATCTGGAAGCCAATCCCAGACATTATATAATTTCACTCATAAATATTTCAATATGTATGGCTAGAAGATAAGGACTCTTAAAAAAAAACCACCCAAATATATGACTGTCTTTGTTTTTATGTTGCTGTAGAAGAAAACCTGAGGCTGGGTAATTTACAAGGAAAAGAAGTTCATTTGGCTCATGGTTCTGCAGGCTGTACAAGAAGCATGGCACCAGCATCTGCATCTGGTGAGGGCCTCAAGCTGCTTCCATTTATGGTGGAAGGGAAGATGAGCCAGCGTGGACAGAGATCCCATCCCATGGTGAGAGAGGAAGCAAGAGAGAGATGGGGAAGGTGCCAGGCTCTTGGGAACTAACAGACAACACAGTCATTATCTTCAGGAGGGTTCCAAGCCATTCACAAGGGATCCACCCCCATGACACCCAAACACCTCACACTAGGCCTCACCTCCAACACTGAGGAATGAACTTTTTTCTTTTCTTTTCCTTTCTCTTTCTCTCTTTCTTTCTGTTTTTAATTTTTCCACTGACTTTGTTTTTCCATGGGGATCGAGTTTCAACATGAGAGTTGGAGGGTCAGATATCCACACCATAGCAATGGCAACATCTAAAGAATCAACAATAATTCTTTATTGTCAACAACCCTCCAGTCAGCGAACAAATTGCCCTATTGCCTTATACTTTTTTTTTCTTCAGTTCATTTAGTTTAAATGAGATTCATCAATGCAATTGGTTGTTATGTCTTTTAAATCTCTAAATTTTTAGCTTTGCCTCCAACTGCTTTTTATGCCCTTGAAATTTATTTATTGAGGAGACTGTACTGTGTCTCTGTGGTAGTGTTTAACACGTTCTTCTATCCCCTAAACTTCTACTAAACTGCAGTTAGATTAAAAGTCTCCACAGGATGACCAGAAACAAGTTTGCTTTTTTTTCAACAAGAATACTTCATAGGTGTGCCGTCTCCTTCCATCAGGAGATTCACAGGTCCCTGTTTGGGGGGTACTGGCAGCCCAGATCCATCAAGCCATTAGGAGTTGCAAAATGTCTGATCCTGTCATTCCCTCCTCATTTATTAACTAGAATACTTCTTCTAAAAGAAGAAACTTACCTTTATTAACTATTTGGTTACTCTGAGGTACAGTTAGTATAGGAAAATCAAGACAAACATTTGATTTTTCCACTTTATTTCTTACTTATCAAATCATGATAGCATCCTCTAAGACAACATTATGCAACAGAAATATAATGCCAGCCACATACGTAATTTAAAATTTTCTAGTTGCCTTATGAGAAAATGAAAAACAGCTGAAATTAATTTTAATGATATATTTTTAACCCAGTATTTCCAAAGTACTATCATTCTAACATGTAGTCAACATTAAAAAAATGCAATTTTCCATCTTTTTTTTTTGTATTCAACCTTCAAAATCCAGTGTGTATTTTACACTCAATTCAGATCTTAAATGTTCATCAGAAATAGTTGACTTGCATTCAGATTTCACAAAATTTATAGTGGAAAATGTAAAGTCACATACCCAGGTTGTTCCAAACACACTTAAAAGATTTTCTTTTACATCTAAAATTTTAAATATGGTTCTTCAGCTGGGCTAGCCACATTTGAAGGGCTCCGTAGTCATGCATGGCTAGTGGGTAATGAAAAGCACAGGTCCAAGGAAACCACTGAGATGAACTTTTTTCCAAGTGGCTTTCTATGTGCATGGATCTAAAGATATGTGATGTGTACAATCCATTGGCAAACTCACGTGTCCCACATTTGGTCAGGGAAGCCTTTTTAATTGGCCCTGAGTCCTCTGACACAACTCTAGTTGTCTTTGATAGCTGCCTTCCTTTCTGGTATGACAATATCAGGTTTTGTCTTAGTCACCTCGGGCTGCTGTAACAAAAAACCACAGGATGGTGGCTTAAACAACAGAAATTTATTTCTCACCATTCTAGAGGCTGGGAAGTGCAAGATCCAGGTACTAGCAGATGTGGTTCCTGCTGAGGTCCCCTCCCTGGCTTGTACACAGCTGCCTTCTTGCTGTGTGCACACATGGACTTTCCTTGGTGCTTATGCATGGAGAGAGATGGAGAGGGGGAGCAGGGAGAGAGAGAGGGAGAGAGAAAATCTCTTGGTTTTCTAGTAAGGGCACTAATCCCATCGTGAATCCCTCATCTAAACCCAATTACCTCTCAAAAGCTCCATTACCAAATACTGTCACATTGGTAATGGACACAGACATGGGTACATAGCAGGCTCCTCTTGGGCATTTTCTTCCCAAACCTAGAATCAATCATTTCTCCAAGGAGTTCTGGTTCTTTATAGTGAGAAATGGTATTTAGAAACCAAATCTAGACTCTCAGGGTGCTCACTGCTATTGGGTTGATCATTGTTTTTAAGACTTTTCAGTGGACAGGGCTAAGAAACATAATTTTAAAAAAAGATAAAATACTCATGAGTTCATAATGATGTTTCCAATTCAAATTTAGAACCATAGAGTTTAACTTTATTAATTTTACTTCTCTTTCTCCTCTCTCCCATGCTGAACAATTCTAATTATCCATCATACTAACATAATTACTAATTTGCATGATTTCATACTATATATTCATTATCTGAGAACAATATCAACACTCTACCAACAATATAATTACTGAAAACAGTTTGTTTTCCACATAACCAGTTCCTTTTGTCCTAAAAGCATATCCACAGTCATGTGCAGTCAAATTAGTACGTTTGATAGTCACATAGAATTTTTGTCCCTTTGTATCTACTAACTAGACACATATTTATGCTCATTTGTTTCATTTTACTTTCACTTTTGGGGATTACTTTTTAAAAAATAATTACATTATTTTTATAAAATAAAAAAATATATCCTTTATACTACAAAAAATAAAATTTTAATATTATAATCATGTAAATTCTTTTCATGTTTCTGAAGTCAAGTCTAAAAACCCAAGATATATTCAAAGAAGTCTAGCTTCCATTTCTGTTCCTTCCATTTTATTCCCTCACTGCCCCCATAGATAATTTTAAAACATTCTATGGTTTATCTACTTAAGAATATAAACAAATCCTGTGTGTATAAACAGTAGTATATGGCCAGGCACAGTGGCTCATACCTGTAATCCCAGTACCTTAGGAGGGCAAGGTAGGAGGACTGCTTGAGGCCAGGAATTTGAGACCAGCCTGGGTAACAAAGAGAGACCTCATCTCTACAAAAAATTTAAAAATTAGCCGGGCATGGTGACATGCCTATAGCCCTAGCTACTCAGGAGGCTGAGGTGGGAAGATTGCTTGAGCCCAGGAAGTCAATGCTACAGTGAGCCATGACTGCACCACTGCACTCCAGCCTGGGCCACACAGCAAGGCCCCATTTTTTAAAAAAGCACTAATATACTATATATTTTACCCCACCTTACTTCTTTCACAATACATATAAAGGTATTTTCTCTTTTCTTTTTACAGCTGTATAATATTCCAGTGTGAAGATATACTATACTATAACTATATAACACCTATAGTTCAATCTATCTTCACATGGAGATATTTGGGTTGCTTCTAGTTTTTTGATATTATGAATACGGCTGCTATTAATAGTCGTCTCTGTATGACTTTTTGAATTGTGTTTGAGATAGATACCTAGAAATGAGTAGGTCAAAAGAGTAAATGCCTAAGTGATTTTACTAGACTTGCCAAATTTCTCTTGATAGGGGTTCTCATACATTGCATTTCCACCAGCAGTGTATGAGAATTCCTGTTTCCCTACAGCCTCACCAACAGAGTATGTAGTGAAGCTTTCGGGTTTTCTTTCTTTCTTTTTTTTTTTGAGATGGAGTTTTGCTCTTGTTGCCCAGGCTGGAGTGCAATGGTGTGATCTTGGCTCACCGCAACCTCTACCTCCTAGGTTTAAGCGATTCTCCTGCCTCAGCTTCTCGAGTAGTTGGGATTACAGGCACCCATTACCACGCCCAGCTAATTTTTGTATTTTTAGCAGAGATGGGGTTTCACCATGTTGGCCAGGCCAGTCTTGAACTCCTGACCTCAAATGGTCTGCCCGCCTTGGCCTCCCAAAGTGCTGGGATTATAGGCATGAGCCACCGTGCCCGGCTGGGGTTTTCTGCATTTAATATGTGAGAAATAGTATTTTGGTCTAACTTTAATTTGTATTCCTCTTATGAGAGAGTGAGCATCTCTTCACATACAGAAGAGCCATTTGTAGGTCTTTTTCTGAGAACTGACATCTTGTATAACGTTGTTACATTTTTCTGTATTTTTAGAAGTTTTTTTTTAAATACATAAGTTATAGTAACTTTTCTCTGTAATAAGTTACATATAGTTTTACTAGTTTGTCATTTGACTTTTTACTTTTTTAGTATTTTTAGTATTTCCCATGAAGGTGTTCACATTTTTTTTTAAATGTAATCTAACATTAGTATTTTTCTTTTTATTTCTAGATTTTGAGTCATAGCTAGGAAAATTTTCCCCATTCGCAGGTTCTAGTAGAATTTACTCATGCTTTCTTCTAGTATTTGCACAGTTTAATTTTCTTTCATCTAAATAATGATTACATCTGGAATTTATACTGGCGTACAACGTGATCTAAGTTTGACTTATGCAGGTGTACAGTGTGATGCAAGTTGTGTGTGTGCATCAGAGTTTTCATTTCCATTTTGTTATCTGGTTATCCCAATACAGCTTACTAAAAAGCACGTCTTTCACTCACTCATTCAGGATGCTGCCTTCATCAAAATGGAAATTTCCATACACAATTAAGTCTGTTTTTGAATTTTGTGTTCCATTTCATTGGTCTTTTTATTCATTCATCATTACCAAGCTGTTTAACTATGGAGGCTTTATAACATGTCTTAAGGTCTGGTAGGGCTGATAGGGTTCTCCCCTCCCTCCAAGTTGCTTCTCTTTTGAGGATTTTTCCTGGATATTCTTCCTTTTTTCTTCATCCCAATGAACTTCAAAATTAAGTTATCTAGCCTACTCCTCCCCTCCAAGAAAAGATGGTATTTTTATTTTTTGGATTGCAATCATTTATATATTAATCTAGGGAGAACTAACTCCTTTATGATGCTGAATCTGCCTAAATAAGAATATATTTCTTTACAGTTGTTCAAGTCTACTTTTATGTGTTTCAGTAGTGTGTTATCGTTTTTCTCATATAGGTTTTGGACTTCTTTTTAACGAGTCTAGTTAGTTTACACTTTCATTTCCTTTACTATCATAATTGGGATCTTCTGTTTTATCTTCGATTGGTTTTACTTATTAATATAAAAACCTTTGATTTATACGTTAATTTTCAGGGAGAAAACTTGCTATCCAATACACTCACGTGGGCTAGCCTTAGCTGTGGACCAACTTCTGCCTTTGTGAACCAATTTTCTGCCTCTACTTTGCTATCTGGGACTCTTCCAGCTCTCTCTCTCCTTCCACTTATTCAAAAGACAGTGAGAACTTGCCTCTCCCCAGTTGATTACTGGCGGAACAAAGCTCACCAAGTAACACAGACACAAAGCAAACCTCTGACACTGAACATTTAAAGACAAGTTGAAATGCTGATAAAATAATGAATAACAGAGGAGGTGCTGAAGGAGAAAAATGATCTATATACATTTGGGGGAGGTTCGGATTGAAATGCACTTTAATGAAGTGCATTTCAAGTGACTTCCACGTTATCTTCCTTCTGCTGGAGACGAGTGGAGAGGATGGAACCCAAGTGGGAGTATTAGAAACCGGCCATCTCCCACGCTGCCTCTTCATTGCCCCCTCCTAAGAGAGGTGACTCACTTACATGCAATTTGATACACTGCAAATGGGCAGGGAGTGGCTATCCTTAGATCCATGTGGAGGCCAGTCTAGTACCTTATAACTATTCCATCATGTTTTCATTAGATGTTTTGAATTATTCCTTTTTAAATTGTCTTGAAGTAGTATCTGTCATTATCATGTGGTAGTGAGGACTGTTGATATTTCTTAGAATCATTAGTGGCTGTGAGAGGATGCTATCTTTTTCAATTTTGTTAAGAAACCCATTGTATCTTGAGAACAGTTCTTGGGAACTGGATCTCTGAGCCCTGCTGATTTTGCTGCCTCCCCACCCCAGGACGGCTGCAGCAGTGTCCTCTGGCCCACTTCCCTAGTCCCTCCCACTTATAATCTACCCTCATGGCCCTTCACTCTGGGCTGACAGAGGGGCCTGTGAGAGTATTACCCAGCCAGGGGACTACAGGGTAGAGGACAGGCAAGGACCATAGCTCATTGATCTTTTTATTTATTTATTTATCTTTTTGAGACAGAGTTTCACTCTTGTTGCCCAGGCTGGAGTGCAATGGTGTGATCTCAGCTCACCGCAACTTCCGCCTCCCAGGTCCCGGTTCAAGCAGTTCTCCTACCTCAGCCTCCTGAGTAGCTGGGATTACAGGCACGCGCCACCATACCCAGCTAATTTTTGTATTTTTAGTAGAGACGGGGTTTCACCATGTTGGCCAGGCTGGTCTCGAACTCCTGACCTCGTGATCCACCCGCCTCAGGCCTCCCAAAGTGCTGGGATTACAGGCGTGAGCCACCCCGCCCAGCTGATCTTTTTATTTCTAAAGTGCAAAGCACATAGTAGGAGCTCAACACAGATGATTAAGTGAATGAATGAATGAATGCATGGATGCGTGCATGAGTTCATTAGCCAAAGAGTTTTGGCACATCTGCACTTGACTCTCTCCCAGCTGTGTCCTCCAGGGCAATCCTGAAGAGGAAAGAGGTTTTGCCAGTTGCTTCTGTGGTTGGCGGGGTGGGCACGGGGGGGGGGGTCCCTAACATCTTCCAAGTTTGTACAACCCCTTGTGTGCATCTCTACATTGCTTTATTCCACAAAGTTGTCTGGGAGAGGGTTGAAAATTCAGGTTGCAAATGAGAAATGCTTGCTGGTGTTTGGCCCGCCTGGCATCCTCCCTTTGTGTAACTGTCCCTGTAGTAGTGCCCCCACAGGTAGCATCCTCACTTTTCTTACTCCTTTAGAAGTCCACTCTTTGGAAAAGGTCTGTAAATTTCCTCACAGTGGTTAAGTAGTATCACCCGAAAGGTTCTGGATTGCCCCTCTCAGATGTACTCGCATTGTGATAACAGACATAGCCTGAGACTAGTGGCTCCCTCTGCAGAGTCTATGGGAGGTGGAGTGGAGGGTGAGGCTGAGGGCCATCTCAGGAGCCCTGAAAGGACAGCAGATGGACAGGATCCACGCTTGGGACTGGTCCGTATTTGTTGTATGGACACCCTCCCTGCCACTCCTCTCTGGCTACTGAGTGGCTGTTTAGTCCACCCTATCCAGGTGGGAACTGGCTACCCAGCCCACTCCTCAGTGCACCGTTTTGTGTCCTTTAATCACGGCCAAATCTATGTATCTCTTGAGAGTGTAGGCTCCTTAAGGGTAGGGATTGGGTCTCTTGATTCTTTCTAGAACTCCTAAGTGCTTGCTATGAGGCTGCCATAGTCGAATGTTCATGTCCCCATGGACATGGGGGCATGTCCAGGGAATTCATACATTGAAACAATCCCCAATGCAATGATATTAAGAGGTGGGGCCTTTAGGAGGTGATTAGCTCATGAGGGCAGAGCCTTCATGTATAGGATTAGTATCCTCACAAAAGAAGGTGCTTGTTCACCCCTTCCTCCATGTGAGGACTCAGCAAGAAGGTGCTATCTATGAAGCAGGGCACTCCCTCACCAGACCACTGAATCTGCTGGTGCCTTGATCTTGGACTTTCCAGACTCCAGAACTGTGAGTAGTAAATTTCTGTCATTTATAAATTACCCAGTCTAGGGTGTTTTGTTATAGCAGCCTGAGTGGATGAAGACACAGGCTTTGTAGCCTAACCATGAAGCAGTACACCTATCTCAGAGCCTATCTAGTCTTCCACGGGTCTCCAGTTAGCCATGTGTAGCAGACTGTGTTTTCCAAAAACAGCCACAGCAACCTTTCTGCTCCCAGGTGCTTTTTCAGAATCATGCCACTCCCCCTCAAGAGATGGAGTCTAGCCTGGTGTGGTGGCTCATGCCTGTAATCCCAGCACTTTGGGAGGCCGAGGCAGGTGGATCACTTGAGGTCAGGAGTTTGAGACTAGCCTGGCCAACATAGTGAAACCCCATCTCTACTAAAAAATACAAAAATTAGCCAGGTGTAGTGGTGCGTGCCTGTAATCCCAGCTACTTGGGAGGCTGAGGCAGGAGAATCCTTTGAACCCTGGTGGCAGAGGTTGCAGTGAGCAGAGATGGCGCCACTGCACTCCAGCCTGGGCAACAGAGCAAGACTCGTCTGAAAAAAAAAAAAAGAAGAGAGATGGAGTCTATTTTCCCTCCCCTTAACCGAGGCAGATCTCTGTGTCTGCCCTGAAGAATAGAGTGCACTGACGTGATACGGTGTGCCTGCCGAGGTTTCATAGAAGACCAAAGGCCTTCTCCCTGGCTGGTTCTTGTTAAGCTCGCCCTGCATATTAGTTACCACCGTGCTATGAGGGACCCCAACTAGCCTGAGTAAAGAGACCACATGAAGAGGTGCATGGAAAGGAACTGAGGCCCCCCACCAGCCAACAGTCAGCACAGACCGCCAGGCAGCGGAGCCAGAGTCTTCAGAGGATCCCAGCCTCAGCCCTGAAGCTTTCCAGTGGAGGCCTGACACTGTGGAGCAGAGACAAACTGCCCCTGTTATACCTCGTTCAAAATCCTGATGTGCAGAAGCCACGAACATAAGAAATGGTTGTTTCCTTCCGTTGAGTTTGCGGGTGATTTGTTCTATGACTAGTCACTAGAATACGGGGAAATAATGAACAAGCTGCTTCCTTTTGGGCCTGGTTTTTCTCGTCATTCAGGCCCATTTCACAGAAAGGGAGAAGGAAGAACTGGAACACTCCACTTCCCCTTCTCCTAGTCCACCCTCCCTCATTCCTCATTCCTTCTTATCAGTGCAACCTCATCTCCCCAGGAAAGCGTTCTCCTTCTCTGTACCACTCCCCTCCCCAAGCTCACCTCCCAGCTTGCTCAGGTCTCCAATCACCGGCTCCCACAGCACGGTGGATTTTCCTTTACCCAGTTTGTGATTATATGTTTGTTTGTGGTTATTAATGAAACATAAGCTCCCTAAGGGGAAAGATCTTGTAGGTGTTGCTCACTGTGGTGTCGAGCCACTTAGCACAGTGCCTGGTACTGATTGAATGAACCAGACTGGCCAAAGGTCATACACTTAGTACCAGATCTGGGACTAGGACCTGGTGTCCCAGCGCTCAGTCGAAGGCTTCCCTGGCCACACCAGTTTGCCTCCACTCCAAACCTTCTGCTGCTTTTTTCAGCGCCCAAACTTCTGACCATCTAGAGATTCAGGCACGGTGTCTACAGAGTTCTCCTCCAACCAAAAAACATTCTGTCTTCATCTCGACAGCCATCTTCTTGCCAAAATAAGCCGGGAAAGGTTATGTGAGTGCCTGGAGTCCAGCAGGAGTTGAGCTGGTCTGAGAAGAAAAACAGAGAAGAAGGAAATATCCTAAAACATTGATTTGTTTAAACTTCTTCACAAACTTTACAACACAAGGAAATCAACAGAGACAAGCTCATAATGAAGTAATCAGCCAACGCGGCTAATATTCCAGCAATGAGAAATGATTCCCTACATGTCATGGGGCAGATATGAATAGGGTCATTAAAATATGGCCAAGGAGGGGAGGGAGAGTTTACTTTTTCTGTCTCCTTAGAGTCTGTGTTCTGAAAGCTCAGCAGGAATTTAAACAAATAGCACGGAGGAATGGTGAATCTGATCATCTTTAAAGAAAAAGCCCCTTTCAAACTTCTCTTTAAATCATTGGCTTATGCAAGTTTCGCTTTTTAAAAATGCTGCCGACCTTTTCCCCCCAAACAAAATTAGCATCAAATTGTTCTAATATTTTTCTGCATATTTTTTTCTCTAGGTCAAGAAGAAATTGTTGCTCCATCATATAAGTGAATGTCAGGAGGAGGAAGGAGGATCTTAAGGAATGAAGTTCTAATGCATCCTCTTTGATTAAAAAGTAAAAGAATAAAGTTAGCAGAGGATAAAAGGTATATGGAGAGAGCCACCCACAAAAAGGGTTGCACCGGTGAAATGGGCCTGTGTAGGTCACATCCCCTCAGGGAGGGTAGCATTGGGTCCCTTGCATTTCAAATAAAATGCAATTTTAGGAACAGGGGCTGAAGGGAGAGACACTTCCACCCACCTCAACAGGGCAATTTTTTAAAAATTTAATTTAATTAATTTATTTTTTTGAGACAGAGTCTCGCTCCATCACCCAGGCTGGAGTGCAGTGGCGCCATCATGGCTCACTGCAACCTCCATCTCCCAAGGGGTTTGAGAGATTCTCCAGCCTCAGTCTCCCAAGTAGCCGGGATTACAGGCGCGCGCTACTATCCCTGGCTAATTTTTTGTATTTTTAGTAGAGACGGGGTTTCACCATGTTGGCCAGGCTGGTCTTGAACTCCTGACCTCAGGTGATCCCCGTGCCTCGGCCTCCCAAAGTGCTAGGATTACAAGCGTGAGCCACCGCGCCCGGCCCAACAGGGCAAATTTAACTGAACTTACAGTACAACCACCCGAAGCTCTGGGAGGATGGCAGAGTGCTCTGACCTTAGACTAGTTACTTAACTTTTTAAAGCATCAGACTTCCCACCTGTAAAAACACGAGAAGAGAACCTTCCTTACAGAGCTGTGAAAGTCCAATAATACAAAGAAAATATAACATCACCTGGCACTTGGTAGAGTGTTCTACAAACGTTAGGAAGAATAAAACCAGAAATTCCCCCCAAGACCCTCTTCGGGTGAGGCCCAGGGGCCCTGGAGAGGGTGGCAGGCCCGGGGGTGTGGGGAGGACACTTTAGCCAGCTGCCCCCAATTCTCCTCCAAGCCTGGCGGCCCAGTTCCGGGCTGTGGTGTGGCTTGAGGGCCCAGGGCTCCTCACTGAGCTTGCTTAAGCAAGTTCTTTCACACACAGCCCCATATACACTTTGGCTAGAAAATTCAATGAGGAGTTTTTTCTTCCTTCTTTCTCTGTTGTTGTTGGGTTCTGATTACTTCCATCTGGCTTCAGCGGCTCGAGTGGAGTCTCTAAAACACACAACACAACAAAACAAAAACCCACCCTGCAAGCCACATGCACCAAACCTAGAAGGCTGCTTCGTTTCTCGCCAGCGTGTGCTCAGATGGCGACGAGGGCTAGCGGCGGCGGGGGACGCCTCAGGACCCCCGGCACCTGCGCTCGCTGCCCGCGGGAAGAGGGTCCGCGTGGACCCAGCCCCCGCGTCCCTTCTCTGGCGTCCCCGGCTTCCGCGCGGGCGTCCAGAGAAGCGGGCGCCCTGGGAACAGCGACCCAGGCATCTCCCCGAGGAGGGAAGTGGGAGGTGGGGAGGGCGGGGGGATTTCAGAGATTGAAAACAGAGCAGCCCTTGCCCCTCAGCTCCGGAGCTCATCTGACTTGAGTTAGCGACACCCCCAACCCCCCCCCCCACACCTAGTCGTCTAAAAAAAGTGTCGGAGATTGGCGCGTCCTTTGGTTCCTTTCTCGAACTTTCCTTGTAGGTGCGTTTTCTTTCCTTGGTGCTGGGTGGGGAGAGTCCCTGTGCTCCCCCTTTCCCCTCCCCCCGCCCCGGCGGCGTTCGGGTCCCCCTGCGTCCCCCGGCAGGGAGCGGGCGGGCTGGCTGGCGGGTTCTTGGGGCCCGGGTGTGCCCGCACCGTGCGCGCGGGGGCGCTGCGCAGTCCGGCGGCGCTGATGGATTGCAGAAGTGCCGGCGCTTGCCAGCCGAGGCAGCACGGCTCCGCGGACTTTTTTTCAAACTCCCATCAATGAGACTTCGAGGAGGAGCGGGCGGCGGCGGCGGCTGCGACTGCGAACGCGGAGGAAGGCCAGGAGCCGCAGGAGGAGCCGGAGGAAAGAGCTTGGGCCGCGCGGCGCGCCGCAGCCTCGGGGAGCCGCCTGCTCGCCGGCGGTAGGGGCTGCGCGGCGCCCGCCCGCCTCTCGGTCCCCTCTCTTGCCTGGCCCGCCCCGCCCCGGCTGGCTGGAGCCCCGGCACAAGGCAGCCAGCCGAGGGTCGCCGCGCCAGCCAAGGTGGGATGGGGGCCCACAGCCACCGCCCGGCGCCCGAGAGGCCACCTGCGTGCTAGAGGCAAACTTTTGTCTCTCTCGGTAAAGTTGCATTGGCCTTCTTTTGCTTGCTTTTCGTGACGAAGCGCCTCCCACCTCGGCCAAGCGCGGGCCGACTGGGATGCTGCGCCGTCTCGGGGGGTCCCTCGGCCGGGTACCGGCGCCTAGGCCTTGGGATCGGGGCCCTGGGCTTCGGGGGACTAGAGGCTAGTAGGCGCGACCCCGCCTGGGGCTCTGGACGAGCAGGGCGGGGACGTAAGGAGAGTCCTGGGGCTTGGAGCTCGTGGCCAGAGGTCGATGTTGCACCCTCTCCCTACCTGGGGGAGAGCACCACTCTTCTCGGGGTGCACAGCGAGCCGGCCTCCGCGCGCCGGCGGGGGTCTGTTTTTTCAGGGGGTGGAGGGTGGGATCGGAGGCTGGGATGCTCCGAAGCTGCCGTAGGTGGGCATGGGAGCGTGTCTGCGGGCGTACTGAGCGCGGAGGGGCTGCAGCCAGCCACTTGAGAACTTCGAACTCCACTTCTCCGCGCTGCGCGTCCCGGAGCCCTGCCTTTCTTTCTTCCTTCCTCAATCCTTCCTCCCCCTCGCCCGGCCCGGCCGCCCCCTCCCCCTCTGCTGGGCTCTCCTCCTCGGCCCCCCCTCTTTGCCTCTCTTCTCCTCCTCTCCTGCCCTCGGCCCTGAGATCCGCTTGACTTCCCAAAGGGATCCGCACGTAATCCTTTGCCGGGTCCTCCGGTTCCCCCTTCCACCTCACTTTCATCCCTGCCCCCCTACTCATCGTCTCTCCCCACCCCCGACAATCTCTCAACAAGTATATTTGCTGAGGAATTTGAAAAATCCACTACTGCAACTTGATCTGTATGTGATGGATGGGGAGAGGCGCGGAGAGAGTTGGGCGCCAATCCTATTAAGGGTTTAGAGAGGGGAGTCTTTTCCCCGGACGGGGCGGGGGCGGGGAGCTGGGAGGGAGCGTGTGCTTGCGTGTGTGAGTGTGAGCGCGCCCGCCGCGCTGGAGAGCTGGGAGTCCACCCAGCTCGGCGCCTTTTCAGCCCGGCGGTAACTGCTGTCATTTCCTAGGAAACCCGACTTTTACCGCGCGGGGAGCTGGGGATGGAGCCCGTGCGCCTCACCCTGGGTGATCGGTCGCTGAGGCTCTCGGGGACCTCGAGCCCCCCCGAGGGTGCCTCTTTCCACTACCTTCTCTTTTGTGTAATTGTTCTGTGGCTCCTAGAGTTGATCCCAGCTGGAAAAGTAGACCTGTCCCTACTGTCTGGTCCCGCGCCCTGGGAGTCTTGTAGGCGTCCCTCTGTCCCCCAGCCCGGGCATCCCGCTCGGTGCGCGACCTCTGGCACGGGCTTTGCAGCTCGGTGGCCGCAGCGGTGTCCCGGGCCCCCTCTCCGCCGCTCTTGCCGGGCGTGTGAAGGTTTAATCCCGACAGCTTCAGATAAAGGGAGCAGTTGTAAAACGCTCATAGGCTGTTTGCAGACGAGGCTCTGGGGGATGTAGGAGAATTTGAAAGTAAACGTTTCCCTCGCAAGCAGCATAAAATAGTGTTTAAACAAATATTGTATTGGCATGCTCAGGGGGCTCGGTGCCAAAAAGTAAAGTAAATAAACTGTGAAATCCAAAATATACAGCGGGGAAAGCGGAGGAATAGGCGGGTTTGTCACAGGCCTCCCTGATGAGACCAGTTTGTTCCAGCCACCTCACCTGCCAGCTTTCTCTCCGCCCATTTCCTTACCTTGCTGGGAGTTCCCTTGGCTGGGTTTCCCTGTGTCTGGGGACAGGCCCTCCCTGGGGCCTGGGAACGGCTTTGCAGTTGCTTGTTTAGGGGGAAGCTCACGGTGTGGCTACCTGGGCCTGACTCCACAGGGACGGGGGGCACCTTGGCTATGCCTGGCTGCTTTGAGTTTGGAGGCTCTTTATTTAGGCTTTTCCCAGCTTCTGGTCTGTCCTGGGGCAGTCATTCTAGAATGTGGAATCCAGATCCATCAGGGGCCTTCTCTTCTTTTTGACTATGCTTCTTGTGCCTCTTTCTTCATCGTTCTTGCTTTTGTTTTCCTAGACTTGCTGCTTCTCTCTTGAGGGTTACAGGAAATTGTGGAGATGTTTTTCCCTGGGATTCGAATTCCACTCAAGCCCAGCCATATGGAAAGTTGTCGCTTGTCTGATGAGTTTTAAAGTTAATTATATTTGGTAAGATTTAGGGTGGTTTTATTTTCTCCTCTGCTTCGAGAAATATGCCAGTTTCACGAAATTGTTTCGTGATTTTAGGGGATTTAAGCTAATACAGGGAAGATCCTGCATTTGAAAGAGCCCAGCTGCCCAGGAGGTATCCCTCAGGTGAACCAGCCTTCAGTTGGGCTAGCATCTGAGTGAGAGACTGTGGTCAGAACGGTCTATTTGCAAAGCCTCTTGGAGAGAATTAGAATTATAGGTAGAAAGAATTAGAATGATAGTAGAAAGAGCCTCCCAAGCCACCGAGGAACAAGGTAAGACTGCTAGAGATGGTTTTATCCTCTGTGGGAATCGATTTGACTGAATTTGCAGTGGGTTCAGATTCCTTCAGCAGAGACTTCCGGGCTGCTCCCAAACTCATTCTGCTCTGGCCTTGAAGGGGACTCTTGACTCGTGGCTTCCTTGAAGCTTGTGTGGAGTTAGCGAGGCCCTTGTGGCCAGGCAGCCTTGGAGTGGAGTGCCACTTCACTCTCCCAGGGATGCTCTGGTCCACTGGTGGAGAGAGCACCGAATGCAGAGTCAATCCTTTGAGTTGCTTGGTCAGAAGAGGGGGCCGCAGGGCTTCTGGTCAGTGGCTCATTGCCTGGCTGCGGGGGTCTTGGGGGCTGTGTACTGTAGCTGGCTTGTTTGCACTGCAGACTGAAAAATACACAAATACTTCACGCTTTTTGTACTCCCACAAGTGCCCTGTACACAGTGCAGCCCCTGGGGCTGGATTAGCAAACCAGGGATTCAGCAGGCAGGCAGACAAAATTGGATATTTGCCTAATAAACACCCTTCTTCCATTGTCCCCCACCCCTGCCCCGGGGGTACTCCACGGGAAAACTTCACTCCACAGATGCCAGCAGTTCCCTTTAAATGGGAGTAGGAGGTTGTCATGTGCACTTTGAAAGCTTGTGTGACCCCCTCACACCCAGCTGGCTTGTTAAAGCCTAGAATCGGAGTCCTACATCCTTGTGTACTCTTTGGGTAGGGCAGCTGGCCTTTTCCTGGGGAAAGTGTGTTTAGCCCAGCTTCCTTTCATCTGCATGGCTCTTGCGGCAGGGAGGTGGAGCAAACCAGCCTTGCTTCTTGGAGGCTGTGGGGAGGAGAAAGGGGTTCTACCTGGGCCAGAGCCTGTTTCCTAGTGGACAAGGGGCAGCCAGGCCAGGTGGACCTCGCTGTGGACAGCTGCAGCTGTTCCCGCTGGGCCAGGGCCCTTTGAAAAGGAACCCGGGGGAGCACTTCCCCCCTTTCTTCTTTTCACTAAGTGTCAGAGGCATGGACAAGTGAAACACGTGAAGAATGCCAAAGAGAGAAACAGTGTTTTCAGATTCCAGAAAATTCAGAGGCAGAATAGGTGATTGTACCAACAACCAGAATGTACAGTGATTTCAGTTGCTCCTGAAATTGCTCCTGCACTTCTAAAGAAATCGGGGAGGAAAAACTGCTCTCTAATTGTTTCCTCAGGCTTGTTTAACAGATTTGAGAAAGGGTCATCCGACATTGATGTTTGAGAGTGTCCTTTGAAAAAGAGTGGCACCTTCAACACTTTTCTGGTTTTCAAATAAACACACAACACCGGATTCAACATTAATCATTTTCTCTGAAATTAATTTGAGGGTTTGCTGTGGAATATCAAGAATTAAAAAAAAAATCATTGATTATTATTTTTAGGTTTAGAGGATGACAAAAGCATCCTTAACCCACAAAACTGTATTTAAAACCTGGGAAAATGCACAGATGATAACGGTATACTTTCTGTGCATTTAATATCTTATTTTCCCCCAATTCTTTCATCAGCACAGTAATTCTCAATAATCCTGTTTGTGTTGTTTCTGGTTTCTTAAAAAACATACACATGGGGGAAAGTAACTCATTTAAGATGTGACCAAAGAGTACTTATTAAACTGTTTTGGGGATTTGGGTTTAAATTGAATAATGTTTTGTGTGTGTGCTTGCACATGTGTGTTGTTTAAAAAAAAAAAAACAGGTTGCTGGGAAGTGTGTTTTAACTGTGAGTGCCGGGTTTCAGCTATTAGCATAAGAAAAAAAGTTTTAGTGCGTTTGCCATTGTCTTGAATGAAGAGTTCAGCAAAGGGAAGGAAAGCCGCAAAAGGGTGATGGTCCATTGAGATTCTTCTGCAGCCCCGAGCTCGTCATCTGCCTCTGAAATCTGTGATCGGATATCACTTTTATCTCGCTTTTCCATTCTCTGGCCTTTTTCACACGTTCACTTTTGTCAAGGTTTATTGATTATGTTTTCTTCTCTACAAATCTGTGGAAAATTTAATGAACCAAAAACAGCAGTGAAATAAAGGGGACTTTTTATTCATTAGCACGGGATTGGGATTGATTCCCTCTTTGGGCAGCCGAGGGCCCCAGGCCTCCTGCAGGCAGCTAGAGGGAGGAGGGAGGGTGGCCCGGCTGCAGGCTGAGGCGGGGACTCCACAGGCCTGTGGCCTCCAGGCTGAGCAGCACGGGCGCAGCCCTGCACTCCTGTCCCAAGTGAACTCTGAAAGCTTGTCCGCGATGGCTGTGCCGGTTGAGCCTGTATGCAACCACGCCGCAGCCCTTACCCGCCATGTCCTCCTGGGTCCTGGCTCAGTGGGCTTGGGGGAGGTGGGGCGGGGGGTGTTGTTTGTATTTCCCAGACTTACAAACCATTTGAGTGCTGGGCCTTCCCTGGGACACAGTTAAGTATCTCCCTTCCTCCAGACCCAGCCCAAACCTGTAATTAAGCAAAGCCCCTGATGTGATTACGCTTTGCTGACTCGGCTGGGTTTGGAGCCATTCCCTCTAGGAAACAGGGTGAACTCTTGCTCTTCCCAGAGGTTTCCTGGGCAGCTTGTGGTGCACCTCTATTGTACACATGTCCGCCTGTCCCCCTCCTTTGGCTCTCTTCCTCTCCCTTCAGCTATCCGTCCGTCCTTTCTGTCTTTTTCTTTCTCCTTCCCCTTTCTCTCTCTTCTGTCCTGCCCCCACCCCCTCTTCTCTCTGGGTCTCTCCTTTCTCTCCCTCTCCGTTCTCTCTCCCCTTCTCCTTTCTTCTCTTTCCCTCCGTTTCCCCCTCCTCCGTTTCCTCCGCCTTCTCTCTCCCTCTCTTTTCTGTCTTTTCTCATCTTTTCCCATCTTTCCCTCCCGTTCCCTCCGCCTCCTCCCCGCCCCCGCCGTCTGGACCTTCCTCTCCCTCCGCGCCGGCTTTTCCGCCACGCGGAGCGCTGGCTGGCGAGGCCGCGTGTCCGAGCGGCGCCGACCGTGCCGCGGCCGGGGGACATTCCGTGCCCCGAGCGCCCCGGGCCCGCGGCTGCGGCCCTCCCACCTGCGCGCCGGCCTGGTTTGCAGCTCCCAAACAATGGCCACATTGTCGCAGCCGCACACCGGCCGCCGCCGGCGAGTGGCGGGAGGCCGGACTCTGCTCGTGGCGAGTCGGGAAGAAAGCCAACGGGCCAGGTCCCCACAGCCGCGCCCGGAGCGCGCGAGCGGCTCCCACCCGGGAAGGGCGCGGGTTCCGAGGGGCGCCCCGGGTCTTCCTCGACCCCGTTTCCCATTGGCCTGCCCTCTTGCCCGCTTCCCCAGGAGGGGCTTCCAGTTGCCTTTACAGCTGGCGAAGTGAATGAGAGCACTCCACGGGAGCCGGGAAGAGAGAGGCCCCGTGACCAAACTTTTGGTGGCGTCTGAAACTTTTTCTGTAAGGCATCTGCAGACAGTAATCACTAAGGCCGCCTTCTGCCCTTGTCCACTCCCGGCGACAGGAAAGGAAGGGCGGTCCTCTCTTCCATTCGTCTTGACCTGTAGGGATTCGAAACCTCTTAGCGCTCAGAAAAAAGATCTTTGAATGCCTGATGTTAAAAGAGCGTCCCTGGGTCCAAGATAGCCCCTTCAGCAGACGCTTAGCAATGCTTCTTTGTGTGCTGGACAATGCAGTAAGTCAGCCAGACTTTTGAGCCACATTTATAAGGAACTGTAAGGGCCGCTCAAGTACACTTGTGCTAAGTTGAATTGATTGAAATTTAATGGCGGTTAGTGGCGATGAATGGTAATGATTTTCCAGCGTATCTTTGGCATACTTGACATTAATAACTGGAGTGTGTGTGTACGCACGCCGAGAGCCCGCCACACACGTGAGGCCGTAGCATTATTCATTTTCCGAGGTGCCAGTCCTTTCTCTCCTCAAATCCTTTTCCATCTCACCATAATTCAGTTGTTAGGATGACTTTAAAAAAAAAGGAAAGAGGGAAAGAGAAAAATCTTTCTCCATTGAGCACGTACATCATGTCAACGTAATTTTGAGCTCATGATTTCTTTTCAATTCCTACATAAATCAGCTTCTAATATATAGAATGTGACGAATTTGTTTTAGCTGCCATCATGAATTAATGTTATGCAAATAGAAGCTGTGCAGGTGAAATGATTTACTTAATAATTTCAACTTCTAATATTTAAACTCATTCATTATGTTGGAGTTAAAAAAAGCAAGTCCATATTTTTAAACCTCAGATGGGGAGATTAGTATGCAAATATTTGCAGTGCAGCAACCCTTGATGACCAGAAAATAGCTCTTAATTTGTTGATTCTCTGGGAATCTGCAGCTCACCATACCAAGTGGCCTAAGGAGCAGGGGAAAGAAGACTTACCAAGTTTTATCTGGGGGAGGACACAAATGCATTTACATAATTCCATCGTGACCATCAATGTACCATATCCAGTGGGACTGAACTCTCTCTGCTTTGGGGACCAAGGAAGGCTTCCCATTTGAATTTGTCTTGAAGAATAACTGTAACTGCCAGGTAGAGAAGGGTAAAGGGCTCTGATGTGCCGCCTCCCCGCTCCCCTTCCTGCTTCTTTGTCCTTTGTCCTTTGCTAGTTAAGACCATCTTAACACTGTAATTCCAGGATTTGGGGAGGCTGAGGTGGGAGGATTGCTGGAGTTCAGGAGTTCGAGGCCAGCCTGGGCAACATAGCGATACCCTGTCTCTACAAAAAAATAAAAATAAAAAAAGAAATCATCTTAAGAGCCAGTCATTAAATACCGGCCTATGAAGGTGACCCTGGTGTAGAAAGTTGGGCCAGAGGACTACCCAGATAACTGTTAGGAAGACTTTCTTATATATACCATCCTTCCCGGCTGTTTCCCTCTGGAAGAAGCTAAGGAAGAGCACAAGAGTGATGGATGGCTGCAATATAAAGATAATTAGCCCGAACCCCTTGGAGTTATCCCCAGGGACTGGGAGACCCAGTCACTCAATAGCTGGGTGACCCTGTGCAAGTTGCTTCGCCTATCTCTGGGAAGGGGGCGGGGCTTGGTAGATGTCATCTCTCAGGTCCTCCCAGCTTCAAAACCCTCTGAGCTAGCACACCCTGCCCACTGGACAGCCATCTCTAAGAGTCAAGACAGCGGGTAGGGTGGGAAGATCAGAGTCTGGAGAAAGGGAAGGTCTTGGGTACCCCCTGGGGAGAGTTGGGTGCCTGTCAAGGAATATGTCCTGCCTCTCCTTGCTGGCCACTCTTCTTAGCCAGCCGCTGTGCTCAGGTACCTCTGGGATGTGGTCACAGGGTCAGTGTAAATGGGAGTGGCCTTGGGGACATTGGTAGAGAGCGGAAGCCTGTGATGGTCTTTTCAGACTTTCCTCGAGGCTGAAGATCAGTGAAGGAAGGGCTGACACATAAATTTGTCTTGGATCTCTGAAGATGATAAGGGTGGAGTTTTGACTTCACTTCTCAAAAAATTGAGGTCGTTGCAGTCTGATGACAGGTTGAAGGCACATCACTCAGACGTTTCTGCAGACAGCTGTGGGTTGTGCTGTCATGATACATTGTGTGTGTCCAGGCAGTGACAGTATATTTAGGGCTGGCCCTCGCTGTCTGTGGAGATCAAGGTGAGGGGACATCTCTGGTGCTCTTGGGCTTGAGAGAATGCATATGTTGCCTTGTTTATGTACTGAAAGAAAAATTGGACTCAGTAGCTACTCTGTTACTTCCATACTTTTCAGGTATGTGAATCAATAGTTGGAACAGGATTGTAGAGTTTGAATGTAATTCAGGTACATTCATCTACCGAAGATGTGGTACATAATATAGTAATTTACATACACAGTATAGTATGTTAGATTACCCTTCCTGCTGTTCAGTGTGAATGAGGGATGTGCGACATGTATATTTATGCTGATAGACATTTATATGGCTAAAACTTTAACTACCAGATTCCTTTAGAATTAGATTTTTGTTCTTCTCCTAAAATGTGCTTGTACCCAAGAACAAGAAATTAAGAGGCACATCTGAGAATAAGGCTGCAAAGGTCTCTAGGTGGGGTTCATGGGCCTCCTGGATGAGATTCAGGTGGGAAGCTTGTTAAATATTGCAGAATCTTAGGTTCCCCAGGGAGAACCCATTGAATGAGAATTCCTGCAGAGTGGGTCCAGGAATCTGCATTTTATCCAGGATTTTTAGGGTGGGGTGATGAGGAATAATGTCTTTTTACTATGATGTCCCTCAGATCTGGGACAGTCCAGGAATGGATTTTCAGCCAATTGCAGCACTTGCAGCTGCCTGGACAGCTGTTGCAGCAAGGAAACTAGCTGAAAACAGAGGTGCTTCTGCTCCAAAACAGCTCTTAGAAGTAGGCTCTAGAGCAGGGTCTCTCTTTCACAGGACAGTAGCTGAGACTATAAGGTGGCTCTGGTGGTTACTTGCTTTTACTGGCCCCCAAGAGAAACAAGAGAGTATATTAAGTTAACATGTTGGTTTATGTGCTGTAGGTTCTGTCCCAAGTGTCCCTGGGATGCCTCCTTTCTTTTTCCATGTAAGGAACTGCAGCGCCATCAGGATGCTTTGTGGCTGAAGTGGGACCAATTTGGCATTGGACAGTTTGAGTAGGTCTTTTGGAAGTTTGACCCACACTTAGGTTTGGTTGAAGGGCCTACCTTGTGGACACCTTTATGGTCCCTAAGAAAAGTAGGAAGGAGACAGATTGTCCAATAGGGGTGAAGTTGCAGAAGAGGATGCTGTGTGGTGGCGTCAGGCCTGGGAGCTGGAAGGAGCCTGCCCTGAGGGTGAGCAGAGCCCTCACTCAAGATTAGGGGCCTAGGAACAGACTTTTCCTTTCACTACTGTCCTGCAGGCCTTGGAGACCTGGGCTCTTCCACACCCGCAGCTGTGACCATGTGGGGTGGCTTCTGGGGCTTTGATTCATACAGTTTTGCACTGCAGACTTCATTTGCTTGATGCTAATGTTACAAGTGCACCTGGGCCAGGACTTCAAGAGTGCATGGAAGAACACACTGGAAACATTTGAAATTGTGATGTGGGTGGGTCCTCATCCACCCTGCAGCTGGTTCACCTGGTGGCCATGTGGTGGGATTTGCTGGTCTGAAGAGGCTCAGGATTCCTTCTGTCCACATTTTTGCAGTTCTTCTGCGCAGGCAGATATGTACAGTAGATTGCAGGCTCTTGCTGGCACTGGGGGCCCCGTGAGAAGGGAGGTGGGATGTGGGCTGGTGCCATTTCCATCTCCTCTGGGTCTCTGGTGTGCAAGACCTGGGTGCCACATCCTTCTGCAGGTGCAACCCTCAGCCCCTGGGCCCGTAGGACCTGGTGCCCAGCCCATCTGTTTTACCAAGAGCAGCAGAGGCCCCATGATCCAGTGCGTTGCTTCTTCAGTGCCATCTCTCTCCGTCTTCAAGGGGCCACCTTGCATGGGTGGTCAGGAAAAGCTGGAGCAGGGCTCAGCTTACAAAAGACTGATAGCTCCTTTGGAAGCCTGGGTTAGCTGGGCTTCTGGGTCCCAAGCCTGCCCTGGTGGTGGAAGTCCTGTTCTCATGCTTACAGTGATTGTAGCAGTGAGAAGCGAAGCTCCCAGACCAGTGCCTGGCCGTGGGCATCAGTAAGGCAGCCTTGTGGAGCACCTGTGTCCACCTCGAGCTGCACCCCCCCAGAAGCTGCCCAGCCACCTGCCCAGCCAGAAAGTAGAAGGCCTAAGAGAGGCCTGGGTCTCTCTGCTCCCCGGCCAACCCTCCTCCCCTGTGGGTGCCTCTGGTTTTCCCAGTGGCCCAGAGCCATGCCTATCCCTCTTTCTTCTGCTTCTGTTTTCTTGGGTTTTCCTTTATTTAAGTTTGAAGATCTATCTCTTTGCTGGGCTCTGGTCTCTGTATTCAAGGTCTGGACTCTGGTTTAGCACTTGGATTCAAGCAAACCTCTTTCTCCTGATGTAAAAATACTAAAAAAAGCCGCAAAACATTATTTGCCCCCCAAGATCTTAAAACTAAGACATGCCTTTTTACTGAAAATGTAAAATAAGGAGAAGCAGAAAAGAGAAATTTGGTTAAATTTCCTGCTAGTCTCTGTTTTTTAATATAAAATTTTTTTTGCTCTATCCTTTCTTACAAAATTGAGGTTACATTAATACAGTCTTGTAACTCCTTATTTATTTAACATTATATCATGGAGATCTCTCATGTTATTAATAATTTTATTAGTGTGATTTTTATTGGCTACATAATATCCCTTTGTCTGCCTCTCTCGTATTTTATTTTATCATCCTTATACCATTGGGCATTTAGACTGTTCCTAGTTTTTGTTATTATAGATAATACTGGGATAGACATCCTTGTGTCGGAATGTTTACCTGAAATTCTGTTTCCTTAAATAGATTCCCAAAAGTGGAATAACTTAGCTAGAATATTTGGACAGCTGTTTTTCAGGTCCTTGTTAGGCGTTAATGGAGTTCCAGCAGTATGTACCTAGCTTTGGGGAAGAGATGGGAGGTGCTAGCTAGAGGTTTTCAGAACAGCTATGCACAAATCAATGTAAGACAATTATTTTGTGCCTTCTGCATGCTCAGACACACACAAGCCACTTGCAAAATAGGGCCTCAATTTGCAGATGGGTAAGCAGGGCCTCAGAGACACTGGCGGATCTCCATGTTCACCTGGGCAGTAGGGGCAGAGCTCTGAGCGGAGGCAGGTTTGCTGACCCCCAAGCCAGGACCCTCTCCCAGAGTTGGCTCCTGAGGGCTGCCCTGGGAGCAGCTGGTTTGCCTCAAACAAGGGCTATAGCACTGATTTCTCAACTGGGCAGTGTCTCCAGGGGGCATTTGACCTGTCTGGAGACATTTTTGGTTGTCACAACAAGGGGAATGCTATTGGTATTTAGTGGGTAGAGGCCAGGGATGCTGCTGAACATCCTGTAAACCACAAGGCAGCCCATGACAAAGAATTTTCAGCCCAAATGTCAGCAGTGCTGCTCTCCAGAAACCCTGAGTGGGGGCACATCATAGGGGACCCCTCCCCTATTGACACAACAGGACTCTGCCACTGGGGCTTCCCAGGGACTCTGACAGTGGGGCTGTCAAAGCAGGCAGCAGTACTTTATTCAAACCTAGTTCTCACACCAGGCTGGAAATCTTAAACCTTTTCTGTGCCTTGAATTTGAAACAGTGTGGCAGGTGCCATCAAGAGGAATTCCTTGTGTAATCCATCAGTCAATCAGCCAGTACTTACTGGAACATCTGTTATGTGCCCGGCACTTATTAAGCTCACGGCTGTAGGCACACCTTGCTAACTTGGTTACGGAGCCGGCAGTCTCCGAAATCCCAGCAGGTTTCTCAAATGTGCGTATTCCTCCTTATCCCCCTTGCCTAGGACGGAGCCTACTTTAGGAAAGGCATGATCTGGAAAGGCATCATGGGAATATTGGCCAGGAGCAGGAATTGCCCCAAACTCTTTTCCCCAAGACCCTGGATAGGTCTGTTTTCCTGGCTCCAGGCTGACAAATTTCCACTTCACAATGAATTTTGTTTTGAGCTATGCTTGCAGCTACTAGTCAGAGAATGCAAAGTCCTGTCAGTATAATGAAAAGCCCCAGAGTGAAGGCCTTGAGCAGTGGCTCTTTTAATTAACCAGTTTGCCTGAGCAGTTTGGAAGGCTTCCTCAAAGAGAGGGCCAGACTGGGTCTTCCAGGAGGAGGACTTTGCCAGCAGAGGGGTTGGGGAAGGAAGGGCAATCTGGGCAGAGGACCTCATAGGGCAAGTGCTGGACAGGGTGTGGCATTTCTGGGGCCTCTGGTATGTGGGAGAGTCAGCGTGGGGTTGCCTCCAAGGGGTGGCTTTGTGGTCCCCCCGGATGACTCCTCTGCCTATCCATGGTTTAGCTTCAGGTCATGGGACATAAATGTGCAGAGGCCCAGGTTCTTTCCGAGGCTGGAACATTTGGGATCCTGATGTGCAGCAATGAGATTGATCATCAGCTTTGCCTTCTCATTCTCCCCGTCTTGGGTTTGGGCTCAGTTTCTAAAGTTATATCTTTCTGTCTGGTGGGTGGTGGTTCTCAGAATGCTCTCTACTATGATCCCCAGTCAAGATTATAGGTTGAGATTAAGATTATAGTGATCTTGCATTCTCCATCCATCCATCCATCCATCCATCCATCCATCCATCCTCAATCCATCATCATCCAACTATCCAACCACCCATTCATCCATCCATCTACCCATCCATCCATCCATCCATCCTTCCACCCATCCATCCATCATACATTCATTGACTGCAAGGATTTTAAAGGCCTTTGCTGTTGGTCTTTGGTGTACCCTTCCTCCCCATCCATGAAGCCAAGGGTCATGTCCTCTGTAAAGTATTTCCTACCACAGCCCTAGGCTCTCACTTGTCTCTGGGATTTCCCTTGCTTATAACACTCATTAATACTGCCTTGCCATTGTCTGTTTATTTGTGCTTAACACGTGTTTGTTTATAAATGAATTTTGGGAAATGTTTCAAGGGAAGAAAATGGCATTTTCCCATTTTCTTTGACATCTCTCTTAAAAAATATAAGTTAACCAGGTAGTCTCCAGATTGACCTCCTTGGTTTGAGAAAGCAAGCACAATTATTAATTAGTGATTAGTTTTAATATAGTAGAGCTGTATTTTAAAAAAAAAATCTAAGCATGTGGTATAGTTCATTTGGACCCCACACATAATCTCTTTGTACAATACTCTTATGCCCTTTGGAGAGATCTTAGGTGGGAGGCAGGATGTTTTGGTGGATGAGGAATTGGAAAGTTGGTGAGATAAGCAGAGTTCCAGGCTGGCTTTGCCTGTGAGTTAACATGAGACCTCAGGCGGCAGGCCATTGTGCCTCTCTGGGTCTCCACTTGTTCATTTCTCAGGACAGATCTTTTCTAGGACTCTGTAAGCTATGACAGTCAGAGCCTGGGATCATAATTGTTCTGTTCGTGATTACAGAGGGTTGTATTTGGAGTTTTTAGACTCATTGACAGTCATCTCACTGATGTACTTGAATAAGGCAGCAGCCCCTGACCTTAGTAGTCCCTCGGGAAGTGCACATGTCTTTAAATGCTGTTGCATCATCTCAAGAGGGGGGCCTTGGAGACCAAGTGCCGCATCAGCCCCCACCACTAGGTATAGGACATGTGTCATGCAGTGGTGACAGCCTGATGCAGTCAGTATTATCACTAGCATTTTACAGATGCCACTGAGACTTTGTGGTTTTATTGGAGTTGCTCTAAGTCCCAAAGATAGAACATCAACGTCACAGCTCCCTCTCCTCCCTGGGGTCTGTTTCTCATCCGCCAGGATATCCACAGGGACATGAGCCTCTGCCTCATCCTCTGAGGGGAGGGCAGGGCGCAGGCTTTGTCTCAGCAGAGACATCCTCTGCCTGGGTGGCCCCTCGTGTCCCTGTCGTGAGCCTCAGCCCCTCCCACTCCAGGAGGAGGTACACTCATTCCTTCTGAGTCCCCAGCTCTCTGAGGGAGGGCTGAGGCTAGTTCTTTCCCAGGCTAGCTCACCACCCCCTTTTGGGGGCAAGTTTGGGTGCTGCACTTCCGCATAAGCCAGCAGGGCATCAGTTTGGCCCCAGAGCCAGTGCTCCCCCGAGGGGGACTGTCCAGCTGTGGCATGGCCATTGGGAAGGGACAGGTGCATCAGGGAAGATTCTGTGGAGCAAGGGGCTCAGAGCAGGCACTGGAGATAGACTGCAAATCCAGCTCTGGCCTGCCATTTTCTCATCTGTAAAATGAGGATAACTCTAAGACCCATCTCAAAGGGTTAGAGGTAAAAGAGTTAGTATGAGACAATTACCTGGCGCATAGTAAGCACACAGTACATCTTGGTTGTTATTATTAAAAAGGCAGTCTGTGTGGGCACGATATATTTGGCAGCTACCACTCTACTGACTCATTTGGGCTCTCGTTAGGCAAAGTCCTCATTCTCATTTAGCACGCGCTGCTGGTTTACACCATAGTTCCCATCTTGCTGGGCCTTAACAACAAAAGACATCCTGGCAGGGAGCAGAGCCTGCCCTTCCCAGAACTTGGATACTTCTGTGCTCTTTTCTGTGGCCAGGAAAGGGGTCCGATGTTTACCAGGGAGCACTTCTAAGATGTGCCTGGTACAGCATTTTACCTTTCCACCTTCATGCTGCTGGAGGCTGCACTGGGCCCCAGGGGGATGCCCCGGTACCGCCTGCCTCTACCTTGCTCTGCAGAGGCCTCTCCAAAGCGGGCCTTCCAGCCAGATCCCTCCGGAAGCCAGGATGGTGGCCCCCAACTCTGCTCCAGCTGTGGAGACTGTTGCCGGTTGGAAAAGGTACACGTGGCCTCCTGAGGGTACTGACTGTGTGGCTCCCACAGGGCCAGCCCCCTGTAGCTACTCAATGTGAATTCTGAAGGACAGGACAGCTGGAAAGGGCCCCGGAAGGATCCCTTGCCCAAAATTGGCCTTTTCCCATCTTTACCCCAACTTAGGGATCATGATGGCCCAAATACTAAAATAACATTTGTTCTTCTAGATTTTTTTTTCTATTTTATCTTTTGGGCCTGTTTAATTCTAGTCTTTTTTTCCTGTGAATATTTATCCTTTCCACCGTTCTCCCCTTCCCCCCAAACTTTACAGATTTTAGATTGTATGGTTTACAGTTTTGCATCTCGTACTTTTTACTTAATACTTTTTGATAAGCATTTGTCGTAGCCCTGACAAAATGATTACTCTATTTTGGACATAAAAGCCAATTTTTCTTTATCATAAGTAATTATTCTCCAAACACGCTTATATATAAATACTCTGAGATTATTAGTGTGCATAACTTTCTCTTTTAAATAAAAGCAGATCCTTTATAAAATAATTATGAGAAAATTCTTGAAAAGAGGAAAAGAAGGCATTCTGGACTCCAGGCCCACGTTGGTGTTCTCTGTGGGTAATGCCCTAGCATCTTGGTGAGTTCCTTCTGGGCCTTTTTCTGTTTATGTTTATGAATACCTTCTGGACTCATGGGATCATAGCACACATATTGTTTTGCAATCTTCACACTGTATTAGTGTGCATGTTTTCCCACAGATATGTCTCTGACCACATTCTTTGAATACATTTCCAGAGGTAGAATTCTTGATCAAAGGTGAGATCATGTTTAAGGCTCTTTATTCATATTTCTGGGCAAGTGATTAAAAATGTAACTACCCAGGGGAAGGCAGCCCATGAAGCCAGTTTCTTTCTGATGCAAAAGTAATAAAGATACAAAAGGTTAAACCTGCAGAAATGTATAGTGTTGAGTGAGCACGACCCCCACTAGAGAGAACGGCTGATAGTGAGTATGCCTGTGTCTCCATTTCTCTATTGATATAGACCAGTGTTTTATTATTATCATTTATTTTTACACCAGTGGGATCATACTACTGCAGTGTTTGGCAGTTTGCTTTCTTTGTGGTCATTTAGCAATATGTCTTGGCATTCTATCCACGTGTGTACATGTATGTATATGTGTGTAGATCATCTTCATTCACTTTATTTCTCACCTATCTTTAATTTTTTTTTTTTTTTTTTTGAGACGGAGTCTCTGTCTGTTGCCCAGGCTGGAGTGCAGTGGCGTGATCTTGGCTCACTACAAACTCTGCCTCCCTGGTTCAAGCTATTCTCCTGCCTCAACCTCCCGAGTAGCTGGACCACAGGCATCTGCCACGATGCTCGGCTAACTTTTTGTATTTTTAGTAGAGATGGGCTTTCACCATGTTAGCCAGGATAGTCTCAATCTCCTGACCTCGTGATCCGCCCACCTCGGCCTCCTAAAGTGCTGGGATTACAGGCGTGAGCCACCGCACCTGGCCCTATCTTTAATTTTTATTTATACTTATTTATTGAATAGTAATATACCTACATGGTTAATAGGTTCAGAAAGCATGAAGGTTATACATACATTATAAAGTTTTCGTACCACTGCCGTAGCCCAGCCACCCAAAACCTCTCAAGAATGCTAGTTTTTTGTGTATCCTTCCTGAAATAAGTTTTGTGTAAGTGGCATGGAAATGAGTATATATAATCTTTTTTACTTTTTTGTACACAAATGGAAGCATATTTTACAGCCTGTATTGGAACTTGCCTTTTTCACTCACCTTTTCCTGTGAGCACATAAACAGCTTCCCATTCTGTGTGTCTGGGCGGGATACCACTGTATGGTTATACCATCGGTTATTTAGTAGCTATTGATGAACATTTGCCACTATAAACAAGGTTGCATTGAATAACCTTATGTCATTTCACATACATGAATATCTCTTTGTAGATAAATTCCTAGAACTTCTGGGTGTAAAACTTCGGGGTATAAGGGTGGGTGTTTTTTTTTTCTGTACGTATTTTTTTTTTTTTTTTTTTGAGACAGAGTCTCGCTCTGTTGCCCAGTCTGGAGGGTGCAGTGGCACGATCTCAGCTCACTGCAACTTCTGCCTCCTGGTTCAAGGGATTCTCGTGCCTCAGCCTCCCAAGTAGCTGGGATTATAGGCGTCCGCCACCACGCCCAGCTAATTTTTGTATTTTCAGTAGAGACAGGGTTTCGCCATGTTGGCCAGGCTAGTTTCAAACTCGTGACTTCAGGTGATCTACCTGCGTCGACCTCTGAAAGTGCTGGGATTACAGGCGTGAGCCACTGTGCCTGGCCTCTCTACGGATTTTAATCTTTGCAATTTGATAGAAGAAAAAATCTGGTTGTTTCAATTTTCATTTTTTAGCATCAGTAATATTAAATATTTAAATACTTTATTTTATGTTGTATTTTCCTGTGTGTTTGTTAGTTGCTTGTGTTTCTTAGCAATTTTTCCGTCAGTGTCTTTGTTTTTTCTTAAAGATTTGTACGTTTATCATAAATTAAAGCTATTTCCAGGCTGGGCGCGGTGGCTCAAGCCTGTAATCCCAGCACTTTGGAAGGCCGAGGCGGGCGGATCAGGAGGTCAGGAGATCAAGACCATCCTGGCTAACACGGTGAAACCCCGTCTCTACTAAAAATACAAAAAATTAGCCGGGCGAGGTGGCGGGCGCCTGCAGTCTTGGCTACTCGGGAGGCCGAGGCAGGAGAATGGCGGAAACCCGGGAGGCGGAGCTTGCAGTGATCTTGGCTCACGCGGTGAGCCGAGATCGCGCCACTGCACTCCAGCCTGGGCGACAGAGGGAGACTCCATCTCAAAAAAAAAAAAAAAAACAACTATTTCCTCTGCTTCTCACATGTTACAAACATTTTTTTCTTGTGCCATCTCTATTAAAATTGTGTTTATGTTTATAGATTTAGGGGTACGAGTGCCGTGTGTTATGTGGATATATTGCGTAGTGGTAAAGTCTGGGATTTTAGTGTAACCATCACCGTATAGGGTACATTATAACCATTTGGTAATTTCTCATAAGGGTGGGTGTTTTTGTACTTTAGACAGATATTGGTAAATCACTTTCCATAGAAGTTTACACTCCCACCAGCAACGTACGAGAGTGCTTATCTGCCCATATCCACATCAACAGGGAGTGTTATCAAACTTGTCGATCCTTGCCAATCTGATAGTTGGAAGAGAAACTATGTTTCAGCGGAGTTTTTTTTTAAAAATGTACAGTTTGATAAAGTTTGACTCGTGTGTGCAAACCATCACCATAATCAAGATAATGGACATATCCATCATCCGCAGAAGTTTCCTCATGCCCCTCTGTAATCTGTCCCCCCACCCCACCCCCTGGCCTTCCCTGGCAACCACTGATCTGCTTCCTGTCATTTTCCAGAGCTTATAAAAGTGGAACCATACAGGATGTCCTCATTTTTGTCTGGCTTCTTTCACCACAATTATTTTGGAATTCATCCATGTTGCTGCACGTATCAATAGTTTATTCATTTTTATTGCTGAGTAGTAGTTCATCATACGGATATATCATAATTTGTTTGTCCAGATGCCTGTTGATGGATATTTAGGTTGTTTCCAGTTTTGGGCTATTACAAGTGAGGTTGCTTTGAACATTTCTGTATAAGTCATTGTATGCGCATGTGCTTTCCTTTTCTCTTGGGTAAACATCGAGGAGTAGAATGCCTGGATCATAGGTAGGTGTGTCTGGGCCAGAGGGTTGGTATATTTAACCATTTTTTCTTTTTTTTTTTTTTTAAGACAGAGTTTCACTCTTGTTGCCCAGGCTGGAGTGCAATGGCGCAATCTTGGCTCACTGCAGTCTCCGCCTCCGGGTGCAAAGGATTCTCCTGCCTCAGCCTCCCAAGTAGCTGGGATTATAGACGCCCACCACCATGCCCAGCTAATTTTTGTATTTTTAGTAGAGACGGGTTTCACCATGTTGGCCAGGCCAGTCTTGAACTCCTGACCTCAAATGGTCTACCCGCCTTGGCCTCCCAAAGTGCTGGGATTGCAGGCATGAGACACCACACACAGCCTATTTAACTTTTTAAGTAACCACAAAACTGTTTAATAAAGCAGCTGTACCATTTTATATTCCCACCAATGGTATTTGAAAGTTCCATTCCTACCACATCCTAGGTAATACTTGCAATAGTTAGTCTTTTGAATTTTAGCCACTTTTATAGGTGTATAGTGATATATTATTGTGGTTTTAACTTGCATTTTCTTAATGACTAGTGATGTGATTCTTTTGGTGTGCTTTATTGCCACCTGTATATTGTCTCTAGTGAAAAGTCTAAGAAAATCTTTTGCTCAATTTTTTTTTTAACATGGGTTGGTGGTTTCCTTATTGCTTAGTTTTGAGAATTCTTTATATATTTTGGATAGAAGTCTTTTGCAGATATCCCAGCCTGTGGCTTATCTTTTCATTTTCCTAACAGTGTCTTTTGTAGACTAAAGGATTTTAGTTTTGATGAACTCCAGTTTGTCAAATTTTTCTTGTATATATCATGCATTTGGAATTTCATCTAAGAAATATTTGCCTAAATTGAAGTCACAAGGATTTTCTCTTATGTTTTCTTTTAAGAAGTATTAAAGTTTTAGGTTTTAAATTTAATATATGATATATATTAAATTAAGCTAATATTTGTATATAATACAAAGTATGTATCAAAGTTCTTTTAAAAAATTGTTCCAGCCCCATTCGTTGAAAAGATTATTCTGTCCGCATCAACTTGCCTTTGCACCTTTGTAAAAAAATCTGCTTCCCATATATGTGTGGGCCTATTCTGGACTTTCTGTTCTATTCTTTTGATCTATTTGTGTACATTGACAGTGACAGCACACTTTCTTGGTTATTGTAGCTTTATAACAAGTCTTGAAGTCAGGTAGCTTAGCTCTCTAAGTATTCTTTTTCTTTTTCAGAGTTTGCATTCTAGGTCCTTTGCATTTTCATATGAATTTTGGAATCATCTTGGCAATCTCTCCAAAAACCCTGCTTTTAAGATTTTGATTGAGATTGTGGTAAATGTAGATGTATTTGGAGAGAATTGACATCTTAATAATATTGAGTAATCTGGCTCATGAACGAGGTATGTCCTTCCATTTATTTACATCTTCTTCATATTCTCCTAGCAATGTTTTATAACTTTTAGTGTACAAGTACTGTACATCTTTTTTCAGATTTATTCTAAGATATTTTATGTTTTTGATACTGTTGTGTTATTTTAAAATTTCAATTTGCTAATATTAAAGAATATAATTGGTTTATTTATATTGCTTTTATATCCTGCTTTTTGTAGATTTTGTCAGATTTTATACATGTGTTTATGTCATCAGTGAATACAGATAGTTTTACTTCTTCCTTTATAATCTGAATTCCTTTTATTTAGTTTTTTGCCTTTCACTGGCTAGAACCTGCAGTACAATGTTGCCTAGAGGTAGTGAGAGTTCTTATTCTTATCTTGTTTTTGATCTTAGATTGGATAACATAATAAATTTCATTAGTTGGTTTTCAACTGTTAAAACAGTTCTTTAAAATTTCTTTTGTGTATTTTGAAGCTCTGTTATTAGGTGCATAGATGTTTAGGATTGTCATGGTATCAGATGACTTTCTTTATCATCTCTACTAATATCCTTTGTTCTGGCTGCTTTTATGATTTTCTGTGGGTTTGTAGTTTTTATCAAATTTGGAAAATTTTTAGCTTTTATGTCTTTAAATATTTCTTCTTCCTATCCTCTATGTTCTGTTTCTCCTTTGGGGACTCCAGTTACATGTATATTAGGCAGCTTGAAGTTATCCCACAGCTCATATGCTCTTTTTTAATGTTTTATTCTGTTTATAATACCGGATAGTTTTTGTTGCTATTTCTTCAAGTTTACAGATCTTTTTTCTTCAATGTCTAATCTACCACCAATTCCATCTAGTGATTTTTCATCTCTAGAAGTTTGATTGGGTCGTTTTGTATCTTCCATGTCTCCACTTAACTCTTTGGACACAGGAATTCATTTATAACTACTGTTTTCATGCTCTCATCTGCGAATTCTAACATTTGTACCTGCTCTGGCTCAGTTTTGATTGATGTTTATTTTCCTCATGTACTTTTCTGCTTTTTTTTTTTTTTGGCATGTCTGGTAATCTTTGCTAGATGCTAGAATATTGTAAGTTTTATCTTATTGGATGTTGAATATTTTTGTCTTACTATAAATATTCTTGAGCTTTCTTCTAGGATATGATTCATTTACTTGCAAAGTTTAATTTTTTTAGCTTTGTTAGATGGGACCAGAGCCTAGGGCTAATTATTCCTTGCTATTGAGGTAAAATCCTTCAGAGTTCTCTACCCAAGGCTGTGTGACTTTTGAGGTTTTCCAGTCTGGCTGGTGGGCATAGGCACTGGCCTTGTCTACACTGGGCACTCTTCCCTCTCATCCTCTCAGCTGGATCTTTTCCTGGCCTTGGGGCAAGAACAGTATGTGCTGATTCTATTCTGCAATGCTCCAGGGGGACCCTCTGCAAGTTCACCAATGTTCCCCTTCTGTTCAGCTCTTCCACTGGTCTGGTGTTCTGCCATGCAAAACCCTTCTTACCCTGGTCTCCCTCCTCTCCAACTCCATCTCCATCTCCTTAACTCAGGAATCCACCAAGCTCTGCCTGGTTACCCCTCCCTGTGCCGTGGCCTGGAAACACTCTCTGGAAAGGAAGCTGGGGCAGGCTAAGGCTCACCTCTTTGGTTTTCGTTCCTTCATTGCCTGATGTTCATTGTCCTGAAAAGCCATTGTTTCCATGGTTTTGCTGGTTATTTGATGGTTTTGGGAGGGAGGTTACATCTGGTCCCTGTTATTCCATCTTGGCCGAAGCAGAGAGCTCACCTTGCACTTTTCTCACTAGCAGGGCCTTTCTGATTTTAAGTGGTGTGAGTGGTCCACTGTAAGGATAGTCCTCACCCTGATGTGTTTAAGACCTGACGGGAGAGGCTGGTGTGGCCAGCGGGTGTGAGGAGGGATGGCTGGGGAGAGGCCTGAAGCTGACAGGGGCAGGGACATCTCACCACTTATCCGGGCCGCCTGGCCTTGAGGGACTAGGCCTCACAGAACATCTGTGTGGGCTGGAGGTTTGCATTTTACTCCTAGCACCACACACAATCTCAGCAGCTTTTCTGAGGGCTTTGTGCACAGCTGAGCGTGGGAGCTGCATCAGGGCAGAAAGCCCCAGAGTGCTCAGGCTTGCCAGCAAAGGCACTCTTCCATGATGCTGTCATGGGGAGAGGGGAAAGCGGAAGTGGGAAGGGCCTATGTGAATGGTGCTGGCTGGGAGGCCTGGCTTCCTCCCCCTGACCGGGCCTCTCAGACCTGGCTGCAGGACCGAGGACCCTCTCTTGTGAGGGAGTGCTGGGGCCTAGGCACAGATGTTCAGCCTGCGCCCCTGGCCTGCCTACATACCTAGGAGAGGGGAAGCCACGGCCAGGCCCAAGGCCTAGACCCAGGGCTCCCTATAACGTCTGAGCTCAGCTACACAGTGGAAAATGGAAAATATCTGCTCGGCCTGCAGCTTCGGGCGGGGTGGCTGTAAATCATCCAGGAGGCTGTGAGAGCTGCCCTTGGGCCTCCTTGGCTTGCGGGTGAGGGCCGTGGGTGGGCCCTGGGGAGCCCACCATCCAAAGGTCAGGCCAGGCCAGCCGTGGGAGAGACAGAGTGAGGGTCAGCGGGCCCCAGAGACTGGCCACTCCTACCATCTCGTTGCACAGAAGGGGAGGGGCAGTGGTGGTGACTTTTCCAGGGACATACAGCCTGATCAAGGCTGAGGTGCAGCTGGCCTTCCTCTCCCCTCTGGAGGAAGTGGACACGATGACTGGGGGCCAGGCCCTTTCTGTGCCCAATCCTGCATGATCTTCCCTGCACCCTCCCCCACCCCCACACTGGCAGGTTTCCTTTTGCTCATGGAGCTGTGGTTGGCCATGTGAGGCCTCATGAGCAAATGCAGCAGCAGAGCTGGTCTGAGAATGTAGGAAGAAACAGACTCAGTTTCTCTTACACTCTCACTCTGTCAACACAGAAAACATGTGTGACCAAATGTGTGGGGGTTTTTCTCCATACCCACGGCAAGCAAGCACTTCTGCCGTGAATACCAGCTAGGTGTCCTCCAATTCAATTCAGTTTTGACCCTGTCTACCTGCAGACAGCATCAGATCCCACAGGTTGAGAGCTCAGTCCCACAAGACCGCCCCACATCTGTGGCATCCCACAGATGCCAGTCTCAAGTACAGGTTCTTCAACTACCTGTGCTTCTGACCAACCAGCTATAAATCTGGGTTCCCATGCCGCCTTCCTTGGGTTTGATTAATGTGCTAGAACAGCTCACAGAACTCGGGAAATACTTCTGTTTGCTGGCTTATTGTAAAGAATATTACAAAGGATAAAGGTAAAGAGATGCACAGGGTGAGGCATGGGGGGTGGTGCAGAGCCTCCATGCCCTTTTGGGTGCACTACCTGTTAGGAACCATGTGCTCAGCTATCTCTGGAAGCTCCTGAACCTAGTCCTTTTGGGTTTTTATGGAGGCTTCATTACTTATGCATGACTGATTAAACCGTTGGCCATTGGTGATCAACTTAACCTTCAGCCCCTGTCCCCGCCCCCGAGGTTGGAGGTAGGGCTGAAAAGTCCTAACCCTCTCTTCTGCCTTGGATTTTCAGGTGACCGGCTTCCATCCTGAAACTACCTAGGGCCTACCTAGTTACAGTCAACTCATCAGCATACAAAAAGACACCCATTTCTCTGGAGATTCCAAAGGTTTTATGCCAGGAAACAGGAGGAAGACTAAATATGTATTTTACAAAATATATATTTTACACTATCACAGCTGGACAGTTAAGCCTGTGTGTCCTCAGGTGAGAGCCCTGGGGGAGCTCTTGGATGAGGGAGGGGCTTTAGCCCTGGGGCTGCCCCTTGTGAGATTCTCCAGTAGCATCCCCCGGCCTCCCTCCCTGCAGTGTTGGGTAAACCTCCCAGGGGCAGGGTGATGGGCCAGCTCTGTTGCTCCAGGGGAGGCCCTGGCCCCCGTGGGCCTCAGTTCCTGTCTCTGTCTGATGAATGGGATGTGTTAGATAGTCTGGGGCCCATCCCAACTGTACAACTTCTCGGAGGCTCTCCCTTTTTCCTGGGATATAGGTCCTCCTAGGGATGCCAGGCCAGTGGAGTGGTCTTATGTGGGGGGTCCAAGGAGGTCTGGGGCCTCCCAGGTGCCATCGCTGTGCTTTTGAGGGAAAACTGAAAGTCTGAACCTTCCCAGGACTGGAAGGGACAAGTGATTTCCCAGGAAGTGGAGGCAGGGTGGACCCTTCCCCAGGCCTGGAGTGACTTCTGGAGGTTGTGTTAGGAGATTTGGGGGACTCTTCCCCTTTGGCACTTGTATGTAGAGACATATGTTTAGATGTTTCTGGGGAGGTGACCACATTTGAATCATCACCTGAGCTCCTTGGTCATTTGTCTCAGACCAGGGATGCAGCGTCCCCCTGTCTGCCTGCCCGCATGCTTGGTGCCACTGAGCCTTGCTTGGTTAGCTCTTGGACCACAGAAGTCAATCTTTTCCAGTGGCTCAGGCCTCGTCTCTGTCTCTTTTGGCTCTTTTTTCTCATGCCCCTAAGTTCGGTGGTGTCTGCCTCCTTGCAAAAATCAAAACAAAACTGTCATAATGTTTTCAGGTCCTTGTGGAATGCCACCCTTTAATTCCTCTTCATTAGGCATGCTTTTCTCCTCCAAGCCTGTCCCGAGAAGGTTCTCCTGACCCTGAACGCCCTCTTGCGCAATCCTGCTGGGCAGCCCAGTGACTGTGAGGTCTGCTGAGGTGGGCCTTGTCCTGCACAGGAAAAGCAGGGTGGGAAGGAGAGCAGAGTGGCTGGGCCTGGATGCACCTTGGGGTTGCTGCAGTGAACGCTGTGGCCAGACATTTCTTTCCATCTATGGCTGGTTTGGATCTTGGTGTAGTTTTACAGGTTTTCAAAATAAAGGAGAATGAGGTGGCAGGAAAAAGACAGGTGGCTAGGGACGAAGATTACCTTGTTTACCAGACTCCACTGGCTGCATTCAGGCTAGAATCTGGGCTACATGGGTAAACTTGGGGCTTGACCCAGGGATGGGGACATATGGGCTGGGTGGGGACATGAGTGGACCTGAGTGGAGAGAAGAACCGGGAAAGCAGCCATGGGCTTGTTGAGATCCCAGAGCCCAGGAGGTGAGACCAAGGATTCCCACCGCCCAGCCCAGGAGGTGAGACCAAGGATTCTCACAGCCCAGCCCAGTGGGTGAGGCCAAGCATTCTTATGGCCCAGCCCAGGGGGTGGCTGCTTCTCTCCCTGTTCTTTTCTCCCCACCTCAGATTGGCTCTAGACAAGGTGGACAGAGGAATTTGCAACTGGAACCCAGAGGGGGTGTGTGTGCAGAGGTGGAGGGCGTAGTGGGATAGAGAGGGCTAGGAGGAGTGTGGAGGCAGAGGCAGAAGGGTCTGGGGGGTCGGGGGTTGGGAGAGCACTTAGTCCCAGCCCGGGAGAGCCACCTCCCCTGCCTCCCTCAAGCTGCCGGCCCGTTGTTTGCTCCTCCAGCTTCCTGCCTGCCCCACGGTGCTGGGAAGGAGCAGCTTGTGCCATTCCAGGATGCCAGGCCCTTCTCTCCCCAGGGCTCTGTGTTGCTCCAGTGCCAAGGACAGCTTTCTTGGTGTATGGCTTGGGGCAGGGACAGGGGCTCTGGGGAGGCAGTGATTGCTTGTGGGGAGGTTCTGCACCCTCTTGGTCCTTAGCCAGAGGGAGCAGCCTCCAGAAAAGGGTTATTCCCCTTCTGCAGGGGCAAATTAGAACATTAGGCAAAAGTACAGAGTGAGTTCCCAGTGCCGCTTTGCTTCAGCACAGCTGATGGCAGACATTCAGATAATGAGATGCACCCACGGAGCCGGGCAGTTCTGGTGCCACACTCTGCTGGGGGCACAGGGAAGTGGCTGCCACCCATACCCAGGGACATAATGAGACCGAGTAGCCCAAGCTGGTGGCAGTCATGGCCTCTAATGATGGGTCTCCGGCTTAGGGGTTTCTACTGGGGCAGGGTCCCTGGCTCTGGGGGATGGATGGGCCTGAGGCTGGCCTTTGCAAGGGGTCAGAGCTTGCTAGGGACTTTGCCTGTGTTTCTCATTGAGTGACCTCAGCACCTAACTTGCATGGTGGTTCCTGCTGGTAGACCTGTTTCAGAGATGAAAAAACGGAGGTGCCACATCCTTAAGGTTCCCATCTGGGACCACAGAGCTGTAAGCCTGCCCGCTGGAATTTGCAGGCAGGTTGGCTGGTGCCAAGGCTGGGCTCTCTCCCCAGTACCAGGGTCCACAGCTGAGTGACTGAGACAGGCAGGAGGAGAGTCACAGGAAGGGGCAGGTCCCAGGAAGGCACAAGCACACCTCTTCCTTATAGCTGGTGGGGAGCCCTGTCTCATCTGCAACAGACTCAGCCGTTCCCTTCCTGTGCCTCCGCGTCTCCCTGAGAAGGTCACAGGCCTCCCCATCGAGAGCGTCGAGGGCCTGCAGCTAGTGTAGGCTCAGCACCAGCCCCCAGGCCCTGGCCCCTGTCTTCGACCATCCCACCATCCCACCATGAAAGGAAGGCCTGCAGAGACGTGGCTGGGTCTGGCTGCCTTGGGGGCTTGGCTTCTTTCCCTTTAGTGAAGGCACAGGGCTAAGGAGACACCTGAGGGCCCTTGGTTCAGAAGTGGACAGAAGTGGAGTCCTGAGCTGAGTGTTGTGAAGTTTCGGCGCTGAAGGGATCCGAGGAGGAAAGGCTTCAGTGGCTGGGGACTCGAGAGGACTTTGAGGCCAAGGTTAGGGGTTGGCAGGATGAAGAGAAGGACAGGGCTTTCCATATGGGGGACCACATGGGCAAAGCCCTGGGAGGCTCTGGAGCCTGGCATACTCCGACTGAGGGGCAGCCCTGCTCCCTCTCTGTTTCCCACTGTGCTCTGTTGTTACCTGGACTTAATCTTGGGTTCTCTGAATGTGCCCTTCCTGCCCCCACCACAGGCCCTTTCTTGTGCCTCCCTCTCCTCTGGGTCTGACTCCTATCAGATTGCTGCTATGCTTTTGATTGATTAACTGGCTCTCAGATCTGTGTGTTTTCTTGACCTAAAGGAGCCCCTGTCCATTATCAGTGTTTGCTGAATAAACGATTGAATGAATGAATGAGTGGATGGATGGGTAGATGGATAGATGGAATGGATGGACACATTTGTTGGATTGAGGGGACTTGAAGGCCTCCACAGTGGCAGGGCCACTAGGCAGAGAAAGCCTGGGGAAGTGGGGATAAAGGGAACTGTCTCTTGGCAAGAATCTGATCCATCACTGTGGATGGGCTTGTCCTGAGCAGCAGGCTTGGTGGCAGCCAAGACCAGGCATCCAGTGGGTGCTCTGGGGGGCTCACTGCTGTCTGGCCCTTGGGGAATGCTGTAGGGGCCAGCTCAGAAACCCCGTGTGCTGTGGGTCCACTCACCCACTCCCCTGCAGACAGAGGGGCCTGCCTTCTACTCACAGCCCTCTGGGCAGAATGACAAGAAGCCACGCCCTGTAGCCATCGTGCCCTCTTGCCCCACGCCCGGAAGCATTGCCGGGTTCTCAGGACCGCTTTGCTGAAGGGGCGGAGCATGGACTGGGCCTGCCACTGATGTGTCTGTGGGTGGGGCTGTGAAAGGCAAGTCAGGACCAAAAACAAAATTATTTTCAAAGGTTTTGGGGCAGGATCCATCAAAGGAGTGGGTTTTGTCAACAAGTGGGCCTTTTATGCTTCCCAAGCCAGCCAGGGCTTTGCGAAGCCAGTGTGTCCGGGGAGATAATTGCATAGCCCTGTGGGGACATCTCCCTCTAAGAACTTTCCTACCGGGTCCCAAGAAGAGCCACACTGGTGATGTGGGCCCTCCATGTCCCCCAGGCCTTGTGCACTGGGCAGAAGCCCCCTTGGTTCTCCTGCATTGTCACCTGGACATGCCTGCTGACTCTCAGGGCTTCAGGGAGGGTAGGCTCTGCCCTGATGGCACTGGGCACAGAAGAGGTGCCAGCGAAGTGGCAGAGCTGACTGGCGGGCTCGTGGCGCAGCCGGAGGCTGCAGGGGACACCTTCCACCGTGCTGGGGAGGGAGGTTACAGGATCTCAAGACTGTCCAGAGGAGACCCAGAATTCACCTCCAGGCGGTCAGGAGCAGGGTTTCTGGTTGTAGCTTCTTGACACGCTTGTGAGATGTGTCCCCAGAAATTTGCTAAGCTAGGTACACTTCAGGTGTTTCTGTGAATGCTTTAATCTTTTAAAAAAAAGAGAACGGATTACTTCCAGGTTTGCCTTTGCATGTCACCCTCACTTGTATCCCTTACTTGAGTGGGAGTGAGTGTCCGGGTCACAGCTGGGTATTGGAGGGACCACTGGCTGCAGACAAGCCTGACTTGGTGTCCTTTGCTCTGTGTTGTAGAAGGGAACAGGGTTGCCCAGAGTTTGCTTTTCATTCCCCTTTGCGCAGGCTGCTGCAGGTAGAAAGGGCTGGGGTCCATGTGAATGTGGGAGAAGCCACGTGCTCTGTGGTTTTTCCAGATGTTAAAAGTGCGTGTTGCTATTTCGAAGACTCTGAAAAATCCTGAAGTAAAGAAACTTTTTGCATGTTTGCCCAGCATTTCTAAAATTCACATAACGTGGAACATCTGACTGGGAACAGGAAGCTGTTGTGTCCCAGAGCTCTGTGCTTGTCTAATAAAAGGCTTCTGAGTTAGCTCTAGTGTCTTTGTGTTAGCTCTGCCTTTGTGTCTCTTGAGGAAATGGAGAGCTGTAACATTTTGTTCATTTGTTCACCGTCCATTCATGCAGTATTTGCCCAGCAGAAGTGGCAGAGGTGGTCATCACTCCTCTTCCTGTATGTGGTGAGCGCCACCTTAGTTCCAGGCACCATGACTCCTGCCCTCCCTTCCTCCTACCCCCTTCAGGAGGCTTTCCCTGAACCTCCCCCTGCCCCTGGGGCTGAGGGCTCCTCTCTGCTGGTCCCACTGTCTCTCTAGACCCCAGTCTGGGATCCTTGGGCCTCTCTCATGTGCCCTCAGGGGACAAAACCCCACTTCACACCCTGAGCCCAGTCCAGTCCTAGCTGCCACTGGGAGAGGGCAGACGGGCCGCCTGTCCTTTTCCTTGCACTTCTAAGGACAGGGTCTCCCTGGGCTGCACAGCCGATGGCTGACTTTGGTGGTGGCCTCTTCATGCCTTTGCATGAGGCCAAGCCCGGAGGTATGAATAAGTGGCTAAAGAGCGATCAACCCAGGGGAGTCAAATGCAGGAACTGGAGGCAGCAAGAAGGCCTGGTGTTGGGAGAGCCGGAACAGAGGGCCGCCAAGGGAGAGGGCCAGCTGGCTTTGTGCCCAGCTGACTGGGCAGGGACCTGGTCTGTACCCAGGCCGGGGCTGGAAGGGCCCCTCAGGATCTGGTTCAGGGGTGTGCCTGAACCTTTCCCCTGCCTGCCAGTGACACCTTGGAGCTGACGCCCCCTCCATCAGGACCCGTTAGGGCAGGTCTGGGGAACAGGCTTCAGGGAGACAGGAGATTCTGCAGGGTGGGATGGGCCCCCTTGGCCTAGCAAAGCTCTTTCTCCGTTGCAGTCAGGTGGAGGTGAGAAGAGCCCATCAGGCGTCTTTGAGACCGCTGTCTCCTTGTGTTTTTGAAGTTCGCTGCCTGATTTCCTTTTGGCACGCGCTAAGGCGGCTGCAGGAGACTCAGGGAATGAGATAGGAGATGTTGATGTGAAGAGAGAATGTGGAATTTACAGAGCAGCAGGAAAAGCACTCCTCCTGGAATTCAGACAGCATTTGTCACAGTGATAACGCCTGTTTTCTAAACAAAAGTCCCTCTGTGGGCAAGGTCTCGGAGACGTCTGGAGCTCTTGCCCAGCTCCCCTCTCGCGTGGCTGGATCGTGTTTCCTTGCATCACGATGGGGAGGGTTCGGAGGTTCACGCGGCAAGGCTGGGGCTGGGATGAGTTATCCCTGCTGTTCTTCAGCATGTCTGCAGCCAGCTGACCCTCTGTGACCTCGCAGCCTTCGGTCCAGCTGTGGCGCCTCAGTTTGGACACATCAGTCTCTCCAGGAAATGCAGCAGGCAAGCGCGTCACTTCCTGCCACCCAGACAGTGTGAAGAGCGTCCAGCATACCCTCGCAGGCCCCATAATGTGCCCATCCACTGGACGGAGAGGGCCTCACGCCCCTGGGGCTGACCCTAGGCTCCCCACCTGTGGAGGGAAGGTGGCTCCTGGAGCATTTTCCGGGCTGGAGAGGATTGTGGGGGAAGCCCTTGAGTAGAAGAGTATGGAGGCTGCCCTGGGCAGAGAAGAAAAGTCAGTGGTCAGGAGGGACCACACCATAGAAATGGGAAAGAAAGGCCCTCCCCTGATAGCCTGAGGTTCTGTGTTCACCAGAAGCAGGAGGAAGCCAGGAGGTGGTGAGAGCAGCGGAGGAGCATTAGCTCTACGCTCAGACTGGCCTGGTGGCATCCTGGCTCTTCTGTTTAAGGTCTTTATGCCTCAGTTTCTGCATCTGTAAACTAGGGACATAATGGTGAATCCTTGCAGGGTGGTTTGTAGGAGTCACTGAGAAAACATGACATGAGAGAGTTGACATTAAAGAAACCGGTGGCCATCATCATTATATTATTATGTGAGTAGATTCTTAAGAGTTCAGTGAAATTCCTGGGAAAAATTCCAGAGGCTGTACTTAGGGCAGTTCGCTATGGAGGGCCTGTTCCCAGGTCTGCAGTGTCACTGGGCAGGGACCATGACAGGGCAGCTGGAGAGAGGCTGGGGAAACCGACAGGCCACACCTGTAGGAATGTGGACACCTGGCTTTTGGTCCCCTTAGCTGCCCAGGGCTATAATCATGCCCTTCTCTTGTGGCTTTTGCAAATGTGAAGTGCGAAATTGCCGGGAAGGCCCGACAGACATACAGCAGGCTCTAACCGACCTCTACGTAACTTGTTCTTTCCTCCAGAGGGGCTGGGCTTGCCTGCCTTCAAGGCAGGAGCTGGGGCCCTGTGGAAGCCACCTCCTTGCTGGGAGAGACTAGGCCAGTCAGAGCCTGGGGCCCCTGTGGAGATTGCCGCCAGCACTGATCGCTTTTCCAAGGGTACAGCTGAGTGAGAGGCCGGGCTCTTGGATGTGCTGAGCAGGGTGCTGGGCTGGGTGCTGGTGGCCGGAGTCTGGCGCTGGGGGCGGGGGCGGGTGGCAAGCATGTTCAGTGGGGATGTTTTTATTCACGCTCGGCCTCTGAGGAGCCAAGCTCCCTCTCCCAGTCTGCCGCTGGTGAGAGGGTCAAACAATTATGGGTCTCCTCATTTCCAAGCCAACTGGGAAATTAAGTCGCATCTCCATCAGAGCGCTATTAGTAATTTTCAAGAAAGAGGTAATTGAAAAGAAACTTTTTAATACACTCACCAAATTGGCACAGGGGCACGGGAGCAGTGGGAGCATCTTCCCACCGTCTGCCTGTGCCCCCCGCTCTGAGAGGCCATGCCCCTCTGCCCAGCCCCCACTGCCTCGCCTGGGTCACCCTGCCCCAGCCACAGTGGCCTGCGTGGGCTCTGGCCCCACCTGGGCCTTAACCCAGGCGCTTGTCCAGCAAGCCGGCTGTGTGACCCTTGGCAAGTTCTTTGCCTGTCTGTGCCTCTTGTCTTCATCTGGAAAAGCAGACTTCAGTACCACTTCAATTCCCATGGACATTGTGCTGTGGGAGGGAGATAAATCTAGGAAGTGCAGGCCCCTGTCACATCAGAAGGACTCGATGCCTGGTGGCTGCCACCACTGCCACCCTCACCCCCCACCACAGTCAGTGCTGCTGATACTCCTCAGAGTTCAGTTCATGGCTGTCCCGACGCTCCTGGAACCTCAAATCCACCCCAGGCTCTTCTTCCCCAAACTATTTTTACTCTTGTCTGAAGCTCGAGTTTGGCATATTTTAAAAATTAAAAGCTGCAGCATCTACCCTGGAATAGCAGTATTTCTACTAGCACTGATGATCACAGGAGCCCGCCTTTACCCGGCGTCGGCTGCCAGGCCCTGTGCTCAGAGCCCCTGTGCCTTTCCCATTCGATCTTCACAGCTGCCCTATGCGGTGGGCGGACTTATCCCCGTCTCAGAGGAAGCACTGAGCCAGAGAGGAGAAGCGCCCTCAGAGCTGGGGTTCCTGGCGAGGCCACTGAGCTCTGCTTGCAGGGACTTTCCATGGGAAGGTGGGCTACTGTGGGTGGGCCTGTTGAACTGCAGGTGAGAAACTGTTTTCTGTCCAGCTGGCCTGCAGGCTGAGAGCAGGTGGAGACCACAAAACTTGCATCTGGCCCGCTGCTGGGAACAGAAGGGGCTCCGTCTACAGAGTGACTTGTTGCACAATGAGGGGCCATTCTCCAACGCCTTTGGCATGACCTGGGCACTCTGCGACCCTCTGAGCTTGTCTCCTCAACTATGGAAGGGAGGTCCTGTTGGTGCCTCACAGGGAGTCTCAAAGATGAAATAATAGTAGTGGCTTGGACAGCCCCTCTTCCCCTGCCTTGCCTGGCTGGATGAGCCCTGGAACTTGCTAAGACTTGTGGTCCTGCTCCCAGGATGTCAGGGACTGGGTCAGCCTCCTCCTGCCTGAAAGAGGCCCCGCCCCTGTGTGTGTGTGTGTGTGTGTGTGTGTGTGCGTGTGTGTGCACCCTGCCCCACTCCGCCCCACCAGAAGTAGGCAAGTTCTGGGGATGGGCTCTCTGGAAGGGTGGTGGGCTGGCACTGTTTGACAGATTGGTGGTGAACCTGGGGAGCTGACCATTCTTTTAGCTCTTCATTCATTCAACCAGGAACTTTGACAGCCTTCCCCAGGCTGGCCAGGCCCTATTCCTGTGGCTTCTCAGTGATGAAGACTTGACAAGGGTCCTCATTTGAAAACGATCCAACAGCAAGAGCATCTCTGACAGGAAGTAGCTCCTTCCTCCCAAAGAGCACCGCTCACCTCCAGAATCCACTCTCTCTGGAGCCCCCACTTGGTGCCCAGCCTGGTGGTCTGGCACTAGCTCCCGCCGCCAGTGTTGACTGAATGAAAGGACAAAGCTGTAGATGGGAGGAATGGAGGAAAATCAGGAGAGGGCTAAAGCGCACAGGCCCCTAACTTTTTGGTGAGCCCATGGCCAGTGTTGGGCAGCAAGTACTGTCCCAGTCCAGTGAGCCCTTTCTGCTGCAGGATGGGGGATTCCGGGGCTCCATGGGTGCCGGGGCCTGGGGGCATCCCCTGAACCTCAGTGCCCTGTGCATTTAGTTCCTTCTCTCCTGGAAGTTGTCTCTGTAGAAGGACCCCTCCAGGCCCTAGAGACCTGGCCCAGCGCTCCCAGCTACTGGGGAGTTGTCCATGCTCACCCTAGGTGACAATGAGGGTTTAACACTAGGTCCTTCTAGGAAATAACTTACAGAAGGCAAGCTCAGAGTCTTGCCCCTGCAGTGCTCATGCATGTGCGTGCATGCATGTACACATGTGCTGTGCGGCTGTGTGAGAGCGTGTGTGTGTTTGGGCACATTTGTGAATGTAGGGGTGTGTCTGTGACTGCTTCTGTGTGCATTTGCTTGCGTCTGTATGTGAGTGCATTTCTGAGTGTGCATGTGTTTGGGAGTGTGCGTCTCTGCCTGTTTGGGAGTGTGTTGGGAATGTGTGTCTGCTTGTGCATGGGCTTTAAGTGTGTGGAAGTTTGGGTGCACAAACACTGTGTGTGTGTGTGCATGTGCATGTGTGGGCACAGCCTCTAGAAGGCAGCATGACTGGATGGGTCCTGGCTGACAAGTAGGTGCCTGCTGCCTCCTGTCCCCTCATTTTGGCCCTGCAGAAGGAGGGAGCTGCCTGGGTCATGCTGACTGAGAGGAAGCCTGGTGCTCAGTTCTCCTGGCCCCAGCCCCTAGTGATAATCACTGTTTTCGGGTTGTATTCAGGGATCCAAATCACAAAGAATATAGCTTGGCGGCTCCTAGAATTGAACACCTCGGTGGCCCCATATGAGGCTTCCATGTTCCCAGCACCCAGCTCCAAACACAAACACATCCACTGTTCTCCCTGATGGCTGCCTTTCCATCCCCCACCCCCAGCCTCCTCCTGTCCAGGCCTTGCCTGGCTGTCTCTTGCTGGAATGCCTCATCTGCCCCCATCTCCTACCCTTCCATGCCCTGTGGTGGGTCCCCGAGCACGGGGCCCAGCTTCAGGACCCATAGGGGTTTAGCTGTCTGTCTTCCCAGTTGGACCAGGAGTGCACTGAGGGTGGGAGCAGTGTTTTGTGTGTGTGTCTCATCTTGGTGCCTGATGCAGGCATCAGGGGACCCAGGAGCTGTTGCTGATCACTGGATGACACCAGGGAAGGTGCTCTGTATTTGGGATTTGGGCTGCCATTGCTGGACGACAGCCACACGCTGCCTGCTTCCTGACAGCCAGGAATGATGTGAGGTGGGACATGGGTGCAGTTTCTGGCTTGCCTCTCTCGTGCTCTGAGGTCTTGGGCAAGGCAGTGAACCTCAGGGACCCTCAATTTCCTCATTGTGAATTAAGCTGGTAGCACAGAGCGTTGTGCAGCTCAGGGATGGTCACCAATGGAAAGTGCTCAGCAGCGGGCCAGGTGCCTGTTGGGTGTTCTCAAACTATAATGATTATGTTTGGGCTCAGCCATCAGTGCTGACCACCTACCCTCCAGGCTGCTGGGACCTGGTGGAAGGGGCCTCCTCTGCATGCCCACCACACCGTCCACGCCCTTAGACTCCCACCTGCCGAGCCTGAGTTAACTCTTTGAGCTCAGAGCCTAGTTATGACATCCATTTTTGCCCCACTTGCCCAGGCCCAGACTCACCAGGAATCTGCATTTTGTCTGGCTGCCTGTGGCTCTGTGGCAGCGAATCAGAGACTTTTGGAAAGCCTGCCAGAGTGAACCTGAAAGGCAGCCATGGATACCACCCTGGGGTACGTTGGTGGGCTCTGCCTGTGTCCTGGCTTTGCAGGATCTCAGCCCTCTTCACTGTGCTCTGCATGAGGAGGCGGGCCGGCACAGAGAGTGGTGGCAGCAGCTCAGGCAGGACCCTTCCCTGTGTCGCTCAGCCCATTGGCAGGTGTCCAGCACGTGCCGCTTGGGTTCAGCACTCTTCTGGGCCCAAGGAATGAGAGCTATGCTGTGCGATTGGGGCGGACACTTGCCTTGCTCCTCACCAGCTCTGTGACCTCGGGCAAATGGCTTCAGGTTTCTGAGGCTTGGCCTCCGCATCTGTAAAATGACTGGTGAGGCTGGCTGTTTTCCAAGCGTCCTTCCTTTCAACTTAGAGTTCTTGATTCTAAGGGGTCGATCAAAGGCCTTCCTTCTCAAAGACTTTTGCCATCTTCTGTGAAGACAGAAGATGTTTCTGTTGAAAGCCAGTGCTCTGGGAGAGTAGTGTGACTTAGTGCGGCTCTGACTGCCCTTCCAGTCGGGAGGCTGTGAGTCATTGGGCTGGAGCCCAGAGCTGTCTTAGGGGGCCTTCTGCCTGTCCCAGCCTTAGGCTGTCTGATGCAGACCTTGTGGCCACAGGGTCTGTGACTAGCAGCATTCAGATGCTCAGCCAAGCACTGAGTCTTCTGCCTTCCAGAGGGGCCACTGGGCTTGCTGGACCAGGACTCCTCAAAGTTAGAAGGGGAGTGGAAGCCAGCAACCAAGTAGGTGGTGTGGCCCTCCCCACTTCCTCCATGGCCAACGCCCACGGTGCTTGCAGACTGCACAGTCGTATTTTATGCCTCCAGTGCTTGGATTTGTATAACTCTCTCCTGACTGGCCTCCCTGCTGTCAGGCCATCCTTGTTTTCGGAGTGACCCCTGTCAAATGCTATGAGGTCATGCTACTCCCTGACTTAAACTCCCATTGCCTAACGCACACAGATGGAGGGGGATGCAGGGTGATGGAGGCTGGGTTTTGTCTCTGTGCTAGGGCAGTTTGATTGATAGAGATTGCCTGGTGCCCTGAGTGAGAAGGACCCCAGGGGCTGCTGGGAGAAGCACTGTGATTGATTAGCAATGCCTGCCTTGGACCAGGAGAGGGTAGACAGTGCTGGTCCTGTGTGAACCTCAAGACTGGATGCCATTCAAATTCTTGGGTAACCCGCAAGGTCTCCTTTCTCTGAGGAGCCTTCCCTCCCCATCTCCAGCTCCCCAAGACTCAGCACCCTGTTCTGCAAGTCACTATTGGTCTTGTGTTTTGTTTGTTTGTTTCCACTCAGCAAGCCTCCAGAGGTCATAGAGCACACTTGTTTTGCTTTCTATATGGGCTAGTGTGGAGCCTCGCAGCCAGGGAGCACACCAGCATCATCAATGGCAGAGGGAATGTTTTAACTCTGAGTCCCCAGGAGCACCCCGGCTGCCCACTCCTGGCTGAGTGATAGGAAGGAGGCCTGCTGAGCCCTTCGGGCCTGGCCATAGGCCCAGAGGTTCCCAGGTCTGCCTGCCTGACCCTTGGCCCTTGTTGGAGAAGGCGGAATGAATATCTTCTGCTGTGGACAAATGTTTTAAGAGTATATTCCTAATAATTATAAACAATTTGTGCTCAAGGTAATAATGTAGAAGTTCAGGAAAACATAGATGAAGAAGAAAGAAGCCATTGACCGTGGCATTCTTCAGCAGCAATGCTGGTAAGAGGCACATTTCCTTCTGGGGCCTCTTCTCCAGCATGCAGCCACCGTTAGGACAGCCTCCTGCATTTGCAACTTTGCATCTGGGTTTCAAATTCTTGGGTACCCCGCAAGGTCTCCTTCCTCTGAGGAGCCTTCCCTCCCCTCTCCTTGATATTTTAGCATAAACCCTTCCCATGTTATTATATCAATGTGTAAATATTGCTCTCAATGTCTGATATCCCATTGTGTGGACATGCCGTGATTACTTAACCAGCCCCTTATTTTTGGCCATTTGCAGTTGTTTTCACTATTTTGACAGTATGTGCTTTCCTGTGACAAACAACTTTGTGGTGACAGCTCTTTTGAGGTCCCTGTGGAGTAGACTGCTCGAAGTGTAACAAGTGGGTCAGAGTGAGAACTTTGTTAAGCTCTGAATAAGTCTTTTGGGGGAAAAGGGGAGAAAGAGCCAGTCTTAGAGCGTAGGCCTGTAGCATCCGGGCCCGGGTAGGATATCGGTGTGCCTGATGGTGAGTGGCATTCTGAGACTCTGCTTTTCTGAGAGGAAAGCCAAGCCCTGCAGTGTGAGGGGGAAGAATCCCACACATTATGTGTGGCATCCTGTCACCCGCGGTGACAGCCCAGGCAGGGATGGGAAAGCCGTTGGGGGCTCCTCATTCAGGCACTGCAGCCTGACGTGCTGATGTTGGCCTTGTCCCTGCTTTCAGATGCCATGCCGGCCCCTGATGCTGTCTGCGGCTGCCAGCTGTGCCAGGCTGGGCATTGGTTGGTGCTGAAGAGGGATGATAGGCCCTGCGCGTCTGTTGCGTGCTTGGGTACAGTAGCGGCACAGTATCTGCCCTCAGGTAGCCCCCAGTTGGCTGTGGGGTGAGGGAAGTGATTGGGCCAGCAGAACTGCATGTGCATAGTCGCAGGTGGCAGGTGGCAGGCAGCACGGCCTTGGGGCTCAAAGTGGGGCAGGATAATGAGCTCAGCCAGGCCGCTTCATGGAGGGGGAGATGTGCTTCAGCGGTGTTGGAGGCTCATTAGGAGCTTGCTGGGTTGTGCCTCCTGGCCAGGGGGACCTCACCTACCTACCTCCCTTCCCTCCCTCCCTGCCTCCCTCCTTCCTTCCTTCCTTCCTTCCTTCCTTCCCTCCCTCCCTCCCTCCCTCCTTCCCTCCCTCCTTCCCTCTCTCCTTCCCTCTCTGGCTTCCTCCCCCCTTTCTTCCCTCCCTTCCATCATCCACTACCCTTCACTTACAAGCAGCCCAATTTCAAGGTGAGGAGCAGGCACCCCGATAGGATGTGAGGATTTAGAAGTGCATTGGAGGCAGTGTGGATGCGGCCGCCCTGCTGTCTGTCCAGATCTCAACCCAGAGTCTGGCTGAACTGGGCCTTCCATTCACCAATAACTAGTACAAGTGAAAGATGCTCTGCTGAGAAATCTGGCAGCTTTGGGTGCATTTGAGGTAAAGACTGCATCCCCTCCCTGCTGTTTTTGTAAATAACTGCTTTATTGAGATGTAATTCGCGTACCATAAAATTCACCCTCTTAAAGTGTACAATTCACTGCTTTTTAGAATATTAACAAAGCTGAATAACCACCACCACTATCTAAACCACTATCACCACATATCTAAGTTCTACACATTTTTATCACCCTCTCAAAAAACCCTATACCCATTAGCAGTCGCTCCCCATCCCTGGCAGCCACTAATTTACTATCTAAGATGACACCTTTTCATGTGTATTTATTTGCACAAATTCCTAGACAGGAAGTGGAAAATTGGTAACCCGTGGCCTGGTCATCACCAGGCTGTTTTACTATACAGGAAAATTGAAATAAAACCCCTGTTCTTGACTTTTTTGAGGGTTTGGTTTACTGAGTCCTCATCCTTGTGTGGGAAAAGCTGGCCAGAGGGGAGCAGCAGCTGTCTGCTTTTGACAAGGCCTGTGTGCTCCAGTTTGCCACAGTCCTCACCACTCCCTATTGCCCCAGGCTTGCCAGCCCTGCTGCATGACTCCATTGGTATGGGAACTGGCAGTCCTTGCCTGAGACCTTTGCTTCCTCTGAGGGGTGACACACTGTCAGCTGTTTGCCAGCCTTTGCACCCCAGATCCTTTTCTGTGATGTGGCCCCCTGCCCAAAGCCCGGGCTCCCATGAGAGCCCACCAGACTCATGCCAGCCTTAAAATCTCTTTTCCCAAGAGCTAGTCTGTGTGGGTGGTCCAGGAAGCATCCTCCATGTCCATCTCTACACTTGGAAATGCTGCCCCTTGCCAGGACTGGTCGACATAGGGACGTGGGTATGCCGGGACCTTGTTGTCTTGCCCACTTTCCTACCTATCACCTCCCCTTCTGTGACAGCTCCTCCACTCCACACTAATTTAAGCTTTGTGTAGATATGGGCCCGCTCAGCATTTCAAGCCATTTAACCTGCTGTGATTGAAGCTGTGGCAATTAAATTTTAATTGAGATGCACGCTGCTTAAGCAGACACAAGACAGCTACAGCTATTGCTAATTAATTTTCTTCCGAAATGACAACATTTAATAATTATGCTTCGTGACGCGTGTGTTATTTATGTAGCCTCACCTCTCCCGGTGCCGTTCAGTGGTGTCCATCAGGGGTAGTTGGTGGTGGTGTCACGTGTGCCTGCTGGATGGCTTCTGATGCGAACAGTGCGCTAATGCTCCGGAGGTGCTGAGACGCCCTTCCTGGCGTTTGAAAGAGCCCCCCAGTGCCTGCCTCGGGGTGGAGGCATTTTGCTCCCCCATGCACCTCTCAGCAGAGCGCCGAAGGGTTCTCACTAGGGAGAGTACCCCCCAGAGTAATTAAGAGCCCCTGGTTTGCTTAGTTAGGGAATGGCCTTCCTAGTTAAAAAACCTGATCCTCCAAGGCAGGGGAGCAGAGCGCTAGAGAGAGCCTGGGGTCTGGAACTCTCTGTGGACTTGGGTTTGGAACATGAGGGTGGGCATGCTGTCAGAGCTTCCTCACCTATAAGGTGGGAAGGGGAGTGTTCCCCTGGGGGGAATGTGAGGCTGGCAGATTCCATATGCCATGTCGTACAGGGGCACAGGGGATGGGCAGGAGGCATCAGCCAAGTAACAGCAGACCCGGCCTTCCCCCGGGCTCCCATCCCTTTGTGTTCTGCGGCCCTGGACCCCAGGCCTCCTCTAACGCTCTCGCCCTGGCTGGCACAAATCGCTTTCCTGGGCTTAGCCTGCCCAGGGGCTGGGATGGTCCCATCAGCAAGGCAGGGCCCCAGCTAGCCCTCTGAACTGGATGCTGTTTTTCCAGGGATGGAAGCTCCTGAGCCCGGACCACCCCCATCAGGTGCCTGGGCAGGTGAGGGATGAGATGGCAGGAGGCGATGGCATGGAGCACCTTCTGGGCACTGGGCCTTGACACATATTGACACATTTAATCTTCGCAGCACCGGACATGTTGTTCCCGCTTTCTAGATGGGAAACTGAGGGTCAGAGAGGTTGGGTTGCACAGCTTGTAAGAGGCTCTATTAGCTTTGGAACCCAGCTCCTGACTCCTTCCAGTCTGTCAGCTTCCAAAGGGAGGCCCAGTGGGCTCTGGGATGCTTGGTTGTGAGTGAGGTCCAGGGTGTGCTGAGTCTAGCCTGCCTGCTTGCTCTGGCGTGTTTGGTGGCTGTGTAGATGCATATTTTTCTTCTGGGTTCCCAGTAGACTTCTAGCCCTCCCTCTGCCTCGAGCCCTTTCCTTGCCCTAGACACATTTGCCTGGGCGGTGGAGTGGGGTCTGATTGGTTGGGGGCATCACAGTGAGCCTTGGGTGGAAGCTGGGGTCATCCCAGTAAGAGGGTGGAATGCAGGGGGACCTCACCAAGATCCAGGACCCAGGATTATCCCTGGACTCTGGTTCTCCAGTCCAGCCCTCCCTGTGAGGCTGTGAGGTTAGAGGAAGCAGCTGGGTCAGGGGCTGTGGAGGCCTGGGGCTGAGCCGGGGCAGAGGCATCCTAGCCGGCGTTCTCCCAAGAGGAGCCAGAGGGCCGAGTGGGGTCTTGAGGGAAGGCTCCAGTGGGCCGGGGACTGCCTCTGAGCCACCCTGTGAGTGCAGCGTGTAGAGGGCCCAAGGGTCTGCGTGGGGAGCTGTGGGCCAGGACCTCTCCCACCTGCAAACTCCCTCCTCTCACAGCTGGGAGCTCCTGTCTCCAGAAGGACCCACTGCCACCTCCCCAGCAGTGAGAGGTGGGCACCTGACACGGGGCAGGGGGCGGTGCTGTCAGTGGAGCTGTGTGCACGCGTGTGTGTGAGTGCATGGCTTTTTGAGCATGTGCAGCTGATTGCGTGAGTGTGTGTATGATGTGAGAGTGGATGAATGTGAGAGTGGGAACCAGCGTGTGTCTTTAGGAACATATGACTATGCGTGTGTGTGATAGTGTACAAGTGTGTGTAAGCGTGAGCCAGAGTATGACTGTGTGTGTGTGCTGTGTCAGTTCGAGTGTGTTTATGTGTGAGTGAGGGTGAGAGTGTGAGTTCCTGTGAGTCCAAGGAGATGTGTGAGAAGCCGTGTGTGAGTGAGTGTGGGAGACGGAGTGGGCGTGTGTGGGGGTGAGGCGTGTCTGAACGAGATGAGGGACAGGGAGGTGGTGGCACCAGTCCCTGTTTCCAGTGCCGTTTGGGCTGCAGGCTTAGAGGGTGGGGGCCTGTGTGGATATGCTGACCTGACATGTGTGCCCACACAGCCTGGGGAGGAGCGCGGCAGGGAGGGGCGCGGCAGGCAGGTGCAGCAGCAGCTGGAGGAAAGCTTTGGGGGGTCTCTGCAGACATTGCCTCTGGGGGGCTACTTGTTTGGAGGGACAGTGATGAGTGGCCCAGGGTCTCTGCTGCCTGAGACTTGGCCATTGAGGACTTGCATCTGGGGTGTAGACTTGGGCCATTGGATCCCAGGCGGGGGTGCAGAGCCTAGTGTGGTCAGAGTGGGAGCACAGAAGCTTGGGGGGTCTCTGCAGACATTGCCTCTGGGGGGCTACTTGTTTGGAGGGACAGCGATGAGTGGCCCAGGGTCTCTGCTGCCTGAGACTTGGCCATTGAGGACTTGCATCTGGGGTGTAGACTTGGGCCATTGCACCCCAGGCTGGGGTGCAGAGCCCAGTGTGGTCAGAGTGGGAGCACGGAGACTCACTGGGGGTACAGAAGTTGCTGGGAGGCCATGGGGGGCAGGCAGCCCCCACCCGGCTAGGCCCAGCTGTGTTGGTGGCATCAAACACGGGGTTGGCAGCGTGCAGCTGGCTCAGCATGGTTGTGATGGGGCAGGGCTTGTTTTTGTTTGGAGGAGGGAAGGTGGCCCAGTACCCACTGTAAACAGAGCTGCTGCCACCTAACTGATGAGTTGTGCTGCTGAAGCCTTGTAGCCCCCACAGATGATGGCCAAGAAAGTGGGGTCTGACAGGGCTGTCCTGGCCTCCTCGCTCCCGATTCTCCTCCCTATGTTGTGAGATGCCCAATTATTTGGCAGCCCTGGGCTTCCTGGCCCACTCCTCCTCCTCTTCCTTTGTATCTCAGAACTCGACGTTAGCTCCTCACAGCGTCCCTCCTTTCCTGTGACTCAGAGTGCTCCCATCGTCGCTCCTGATTCAGTCCCTGCAGCTCCTGCCATCACCCACACACAGCCAGAGAAAACAATTAGGGGGCACGGTGGGTTACCTGCCGGGTTCCTAGGGCAGGTGATGTGGCGCAGGACTGTGTGGCGGGGCGTGTGAACGGTGAGGGCAGGTGCTGTGCCTGAGTTCTGGGGCATCTGAGTGGCAGGCAGGCAGAGCTTCAGATTCCACATGTGGCTGGTGGGGTGAGACGGGGTGAAGTCACCCTAGGACCTGTCTAGCTGTCTGTGCCCAGGGGGTATACAGCAGGCTGGGGGCCAGTCCAGGTAGGCAGGGCACAGAGACCTTCCACATGGCCAGGTAAGTGCTGGATGGAGAACCTGGCACACCCATGGCCTCTGGCCTGCTTGTCTTGCTCCTGAAGCTGCGACAGGGAAGCCACCAGGTTGGCTTGCAAATACAAGAGGCTTTGTAAAATATGCTTCCGGCTTTGCCAGTGGAAGTGCTGGGTTGAACCAGAGGAAGGTGTAACCCTGGGTTGATTTGGTCACTTGGGCCACCAGGCTTGCCCGGCAAATGGGATTGGGGATGCTTCAGGGGAAATTGGACAGGGGAAAATTTGGGTTAAGAGGCCCCATCATGGCTGACTCAGGAGCCAGGCTCTCAGGGAAGCACAAAGAAGGAAGAGCATAAACTTCCCCTCCCTATATACCCACACCCTTCCCATGTAAAGTAAAAACCAAGGTAATATCCGCTGTGCACTGTCATGAGCCCGCACTGCCCAGAGTACTTACACGCATCAGCTCATGTGAAACATTTACAGACAGACTATCATCCTTCCATTTTACAGATCAGGAAACTGTGGCTCAGGAGGCTTGAGCTGTTTTTTCAAGGTCCCATCTGGAAAGGCCAGCAGGTCCCATTGCCTCCTAAGACAGGCTGTGACATTTGAAATCCTGCTGACGAAGGATCTTACACCAGGGTGTGTGTGAGCCCCTGGCCAGTGCTGGGCAGTAGGGCCAGGACCTCCTGCAGTTCGTTCCTGGCCTAACAGGCAACTGAGGACAGGCTTGCAAGGTGCAGGTGTTGAGCATGGTGGTGCATGACGGCAAAGGTGCCACAGAGTGCACACACCTGACTTGGAGAAGGAACTAGGGTGGGTCTGCCGGTAACATGGCCCAAGAGTTGGGAGCCATTGCCCAGAGGGTTTGGTCCTAATCCCTGCCCAGCAAGAGGATTTAGACTCTTGTGGTTCAGTCATAATAATGGTTGACATTTACTGAGGGCTTTCTCTGTGCTAGGCATGCCATGTCCATTATCTATTCACAGGGAGGAAACTGAGGCACAGAAAAGTTAATTACCTTGCCCAAGGGCACACAGTAGGTTAAGACAGGGCCGGGGTCAGACACTAGGGCGGCCTGACCCCCTCAGCCTTGCTCCTAACCACTCCGCCATCCTGCCTCCCCGGGCCAGGACTGGCAGCCTCGGGCTCTGTTCTCCTTCCCAGCCCGGGAGAGTGCAGGTCTGAGCTGTGGCAGCTTAGAGAGTGTATACGTGTGTGAGTGTGTGTTTGTGTGTGCGTATGTGTCACGGGTGTGTTTGTGTTTAGGCAAATGGGGAAAGAAAACAACACCCGCATTCTTTTTCAGCCCCGTAGACATCACTGCATGGTGAAGGAATGTGGATTCAGTGCAGCAGGTTGTGTTTCTTTTTTTTTTTTCTTCATGGCACATAAATACCTTTGGGTTTCTCGGTTCTCAGAAAGGCATCTATTACTCAGGTCTTACTTAGCAGTTATCACTGAAGAGGGAAGCCTGGAGTGAGCATGTGGGCGGGCGTGCCACACACACTCATAACGCCCCCTTCAGCTGGAAGGCAGACTCCTTTTGAATCCAGATGAGCAGATGTCTTGAGACCAAGAAGATCCACTTGCCGAGCTCCAGCTGGGGGCTGAGAGCTCGCCCTGTCCTGGGAGCAGGCATCTTCCCCTCTTTCTTGCAGAGAAGCAGAGACCACCATCCCCACTGAAATATAGGGACCCTTGCCCAGTGTGAAAGGAGGAAGGGAGGAAGACAGGGAGGGAAGGAGGAAGGAAGGAGAGAGAGAAGCTCAGCACAGCTCCAGGCAGAACCTGTGGGAGTTTTTCCAGCAGCGTGGGGTGTGTCGTTTGCTCCCCTTCCCAGCAGGAGGAGGGAGTTTCCAGCAGGCAGAGTGGTGTGGGATGAGGGACATGGCTGGTGGGGAGGCCTCTGGCCCCATGGCGGGTGTCCTATTCAATAGATGGTATCACTGTCCACTACACTACAGACACAGCAGCTGCAGCCTGGAGACGTTAAGCCTGCCACCCGGGTTCCCAGCTGGTAAGTGGCAGAGCCAGTCCTGGGTCGTTTCCAGCCTGGAACTCTGGAGCTTGCCAGTCTGATGCACGTTTATTGGAGATGTGGTTCTCTCCTCTCCCAGCGATGTCCTGTGAAGGCTCTTTGGAGGCTTTCTGTCGTATTTCTGAGCTGTGTTACAGCTTCTGGACACCAGTGAGGTGACCCCACCCCACCTCTGTCCATGAACGTCAGGGTCATAGTCGTGGCAGCCCCAGCTGCCCTGGGGCTGTGAGCTGGCTCACCCCTCTGTCCTGAGCATCCGAGCCCTGAGGCTTCATCGTGTCAGCTCCCATATCTCTTCCACTCTGCATGGGCCCTGGGCATAAACCTTTCTTTCACCTTGCTCCATAGTCTATAAAAGGAGACACAAGCTGTCCCTGCTTCTGGGCCTGGTGGGAGGCTGAGATGAGAGAATAGGAGCCATGCCCCTGGCCTGCAGTTGCTGCCTGGCCTGGCCTGGTCCTGCTGCACCCTCACTGCCCAGCACTGAGGGCCAGTCCTTTGAGTGCGGGGGGATGAGGAGAAATGGCCTCTGATAGGGTGGTGGTCATAACTCCCAGGAAGAATGAGGCTGGGGCTTAGGGGCCAAACCCAGGGGCCAAAACCAGGTGGGCAGAGGCAGATTCTCCTCCCTTGCCCTGCCGGGGTCAGAGCAGCAGCCCCCTCTTCCCATTCTGAGGCCCGGGATGCTCCCCCTGGGACTGGCGGAGCACACAGTCAACTTCTGAGATTTTTCCTACCCTCTTTCGCTTCGGGTCAGGAGTCAGGCTCGATTTATAGTTTCTCCTAATATTTTCTCTGTATTTATTAATAAGTAGCATTTTAATGGAAAAAGCAGAATGATGTTTTACATTAAAGAACATTACCGGCCAGGTGCGGTGGCTTACGCCTGTAATCCCAGCACTTTGGGAGGCCGAGGCGGGTGGATCACCTGAGGTCAGGAGTTTGAGACCAGCCTGGCCAACATGGGGAAACCCCGTCTCTACTAAAAATACAAAAATTAGCTGAGTGTGGTGGTGCACACCTGTAGTCCTGGCTACTCGGGAGGCTGAGGCAGGAGAATGGCTTGAACCTGGGAGGCAGAGGTTGTAGTGAGCTGAGATTATACCACTGTACTCCAGCCTGGTGACAGAGTGAGACTCCATCTCAAAAAAAAAAAAAGAACATTACCAAAAATCCCAGCATAACTCAAAATCCCATTATTCAAACACAAATTTTTTTCTTATATACTGTCTCCCTTGTACAGATAGTTCATTTTCCTAGTTGCAGTTATAGTGTGTATGCAATTTTGTTTTATTTTCACTTACGTGTGATCTTAAACATTTCTGTATTTCTCTAAGTCTTTACAATAATAACCTAAAATAGGCACAGTACTGTCCCGTTGTCTCGCTACGATAGCAATTTATTAAGAACTATTTCCCTCCCGTTAAACATGTGGGGTGTTGTCAGGGTTTAATGGGTGTACTTAACCCTGTAGTGAACATCTTACATGTTTCTTCTTACCTGTGACAGTGTCATTGAGGCAGGCCAGGGACTTAGCAGGTGTTTTATGGCAGGTGGTAGACTTCCTTCAGGGATAGCTGGAGTTCTGCTCTTCAGTGTGTTTTAAAACCAGAAACCCCTGAGCAGGCCTTCTTTGGTTTAAGTGCCTTCTGTGTGTGGGGTGCAGTACTAGATGTTTTTTTGCCATGAACTCATTCATAGTAATCCTGGAGCATCAAATTGTTAGCTCCATTTTCCATGACAAGATAACTGAGGTGTGGCGAAGCTGAGTCAGTTGCCCACAGTTTGCAGCAAGAGGCTGACCCAGGCTTCAGATGCAGTATGCACCACTGCCTCTTTACAGCTTAAGGTGGTGAGACCTCCATCCCTGGGAGGATATTCACTCAGAGCCTGGATGACAGTGCCTAGAATACTCTGGGTGAGGGTTTCTCAACTTTGGCATCATGGACATTCTGGTTGCATAATTCTCTGTTGTGGGAACTGTCCTGGTCACTACAGGATATCTACCAGCATCCCTGGTCTCAACCCACTGGCCACCGCTGGCGCAATTTGGAGACAGTCAAAAATGTCTCCAGATATTGCCAAATGTCCCTTGGTGGCAAATTCACTCCCGGTTGAGAACTGCTGCTGTAGAGGATTCCTGAGTAGAACAGGAGGTTGACTGCAGGCTCTCTTACAATCCCTGGGACCTCCATGAGGCTCCCCTACCTGGTGGGCTCCCTTGGCAGACTGTCCCCATCAGTGGGCCATTGATTGGAAAGACTTGTTGGGGAGGCCATCGAAAGGAGAGGGGGAAGGAGCAAGCAGCACACTGCAAAGAGTCATGGGATGCAGGCTCAGGAGAAAGCCTGGAGCACCTCTTCCATGCTCAGACCCAAATTTGGGGCACACAGCTTTACAATAATCAGCTCTGGGGCAGGGGAACTGGCTCCCAGTAATGACCTTGCCTAGCAGCCTCATGACCAAGAGACACCTAAACCTGTGACCTCCTCTGCAGCTTCCTGCCGTCTTGGAGGGCTCTCTAGGAAGTCTCATGTGGCACCCTGGCTTCCCATATGGGCTGGGGACATCCTTGAGTATCTTTCCAGGGACAGTCCTGGCCAAGGAACCCAGAGCCAAGCCCACCTGTGGCACCTGGTCTCACAAAGCCAGGCCACAGTGGGGGCTGGCAGGGAGACCATGATTGGATTTGCAGGCTCCGTGTAGACTGGGCTTTAAAGAGCGTTCTCATTTCCTCTCCGGAAGCCTTCAAAAGGCCACGGGAACAAAAGAGGCTTGATTGATTGTGTCTTGGAGAGAGTCATCGAAAGGAGAGGGGGAAGAGCAAGCAGCACACGGCAAAGGCACTTAATTCTGCACACAGTGTCATGCCAAGAAACCACGAAGTGCAGGAACAAGCAGGAGACATTTTCCTTTTATCAGTAGGGTGTGTCCTTAGCGGTAACAGCCAGGGACAGCTGGCAGCACAGAGTTTTTGGCACCTTGCTTTCCTCCTCCTCCTCCCTCCATCCCTCTCCATACTATCCACGTTGATTTAAGAGAAGGGAACTTTTTATATGAAAACCACTTAAAGTCTGATCTTATTCCAGGGCAGTTTGCATTTCAATCGGTTGCTCTTGAAAACTAGCAAGCTTCAAAGAAGTGACTGTCCAGTGGTAGAATTTCAGGTGGGGAGTCAGAGTGATTTTTGTTTAGCCAATGAGATCTGACTGGCACCTTCCAAGATACCAGCGACGAGCTAGGCTGCGGCTTCGGCTTCGTGTGAGGCTCTCTGGGGTCAGTTAAACATCCCGTTACCAGCTGTCTACTGGGTGGCAGCCACTGGGGGACATGGTGTGCGGGGGCAATCCAGGAGACAGCTGACTTTAGAACACTGGGTTCACTCTGATGGCCCTCACTCATGGCATGCTTACTGGATGCCAACTGTGTGCCAGGGGCCTGGGAATGAAAGTCAAATATCTGAGCCATCCAGTGGAACAGGCAGTGAAGCACACTGTAGAAGCTTCACCCAGTGCTGTGCTGTGGGTCTCCCAGGCTAATAAGGGGCCATGTGGGAGCACCAGGCCCTTGCCTGGGGCAGGAGGGCTGGGACACGTGTGCTGGGTGGAAGAGATCCCAGCCTTAGCTCTTAGGAGTTCATCAGACAGGTGTTTTTTGAAGGGGAAGGGCATGAATGCAAAGGCCTGACAGGCAGTGTCTGGGGGTTGCAGGCTTCTAGAAATAACATAAAGGGCGAGTCCTGAGTTGGTGGCAAGTGAGGCTGAGGGGGCAGGGAGGGCACAGGCCTTGGGGGTTTTGGGGGCCCAGATAAGGAGTTTGAATGTCATTCTGCAGACAGTGGGGAGTCCCGAGGGGTAAGCACACCCTTCCAGTCTGCCGGACACTTGACTTCCAGGACTCAGAGCTACAGGCTTCCATGCTTGCCCTGCCTCCTGCTCGCCCCCCAGACACAGCCTCCATCTGCTGTGGTCCTCTCTGCTTTAGCAGGCCTTTCTGGACCGGAACTGTTCTTCCTTTGAAAATGCTCACTCATCCCTGCCTCCAGGAAACCTTCCTTGACTCCCTCAGGTTAGCAAGACTGGTAGCCCCCCAGAGCTTATCCCTGCTAGGAGGCTTATTCTGGGTTGGCACGGCCTGTTTCCTCTGATGCCGGTCTCCCCACCCCACACCTGGACTGGAAGCTCTGGGGCGGTAGTACTGTGTTTCCCTCACTTCTGTGGTCAAGGATGGAGACTCAAGATTGGCACACAGTAGGCCCTCAGGAAACCTGTGCCACCCAAATAAAGAACGTCGAGCTTGTCTCAAGTCACGGAGCTGGTCAAACCCTCCTGGCCTCCTTGAGCCGGCGCATGTCCAGGCTGCAGCAGACCACATTATTGGATCCGGGTCCCAGACACCTGGCCTGGGCTGCGATGAGGTGGCTGCCAGGAGGGAGGGAGGGTGGCTGAGGGCATGTGGCCTCCTGGGCATGCAGAGGAAGGCCAGGGCCTGGGAGAGACTGGACCAGGCAGGAGCGAGGCTTATCCAGGGCCGGCTTAGCACGTGAGCTACCTCCTACCTCATCATGAAGATCCCAGCTGAAGGCAGGGCACTCCTGTTGGCTTCATTGCAAGGAAAAAGTGGTGTTCTACTGGCCAGGGTGGTGCTGGCTGTTGGTTGCTGGCAGACTTGGAGGAAAGCCGGTGGCTGAGGCTGGCAGAGGCACAGACAGAAGGGCTGGGTGCAGGCATCACCTGGGAGGTGTGGGGAGGGCTGCAGCTGGGCAAGTTGGAGCAGGAGACCAAACCAGGAGATGCCAGGGCCACACACCAGCCCGGTTCTCCCTGGAGCCTCGAGAAGCAGAGCTACCACCCTGGATCTGCAGTCAGCACTCCCACCCCTGCCCTGCCCCTGCCCCAAGCCCAGCACCACCCATGGAGAGGGTGACCTCAGGCCTTGGAGATTGCTGGCTCGTGGCTGCAGGTGGCTTGGATCCATGCACTTGGATCCTGGTATGCTCCCCTCACATGTCAAAATTCCTGTCTCCATCCAATCATGGCATAACACTGTACTCCCTGGGGGTCCAGCCTGCCTATCTCACACCCAGAGTTGCACTGCCAGTCTGGGCTGGGATAGCGATGTGGTTAACTGCAACCAACTGCTGTGGTTATAAACCAGGTAAGGGGCCCAGTGACAGCCCCGCTGCATCATTGGCAAAGGACTGCTTGGGGGCTGAGCTGCCCGGGGGCTGGATGAGATGACCCCTGGAGGCCTTTCTGGGTGCCAGACTCTGTCATAAGAGGGAGAAGACAGAGGGGTTAGAAACACGTGGTCTGGGCTTGGGGTGGCTCCTGGCAAGGCAGCCTCACAATCCCAGGATCCGTAAGAGGACAAACTCAGAGGAATCAAAACGCAGCTCTCCCCACCACCCTGGACGGGTCTCAGCGAGTGTCAGAGCCCATCGCCAGGTTCTGAGGAGCAGTGTGATGGGCCAATGGGAGGCTCCTCTCCCTGTAGCTTGCCCAGAGTCCTGCCAACCAGACAGGGTCCCAGGTCAGCCCAGCTCCTTTCTCAAGACTTTGAGACTTGGTGTCGGTTGGATCACATTGTTTGAAGAGGTGAGATTTGTCCTTGATCTGCAGACATCTCCCACCACCGCCATCATCCCTGCTGTTTGGGTCCTAATTGGAAGAGCCTGGAAAGGCCACCTGCACCATTCCCCTGACCCCAAAATACCACCCCCACCCTCCAACCCCCCGCCCAACCTGCAATTCCACTGAGAAAATAGCTCTTTTGAGTGTGTCAGTGCTCAAAAAGCGCTTTTAAGAGATAAACACTTTTTTATTCATCTTGAAAATGGTTGTGCTTAGAGCTCAGCAGGTACCCAGTTAATATGTATAGGCTTCAGTGCTAAGTACTATGCATGGCAAATCTTTTGCTCTCAAGGGGTTTACAATGTAAGGGAAGGAAGGCATTCTTATGCAGTGCTGGCAAACACTGCCCATGGCAGACAGTACAAGTTGACTAGTGTGCCTCCTGCAGCAGACATTAGAAGTCGATTACTGCACTTTTCCTGACCTAAGAGATAGCCTGATGCCTTCTCCAACCCAGCCCTCCCTTAAAGGTGCCTGTGGGTCTCAGGGTCTAGAAGCTGCTCACCACGTGGACTTTGTGGGGCATTGAAGCCTGAGGGGATGCTCGGAGAAGAAGAGGATTCTTGAAGACTTGAGTGCCTGAGAGCATTTATGTGTTCAGTTCGTCTCTGAGTCAGTCAACAAACATTGATGGTGTCTGTGTCGAGGGTGGCCATAAAGGGACACGGACACGTAAACATGTAGTTAAAACACAATGAGATAGGAGCCTTGACCTTGGCAGGCACACAGGCAAGACAGACCCCTGCCTGGCCTGGCAGGGGGTGGTCCCAGGGAGGCTTCTCTGAGGGGGTGTCATAGTGGGTATTGGGGAACTAGCATTCCAGGCAGAGGAACCGCGTGATCAGAGTCACAGACAGCATGACTGCGGTGGAATGGGGGTGGGGCAGGGAACCTGGGGGTGCAGATCCTGAGGCAGGGCCTTGGGGCCATGACAGCGACTTGGACCTTGTCCTGTGCGCACTCACTGCCTTCATGGTCCTTCGTCCCCTCTCAGAGTCTCCTGCAAGGATTTTCCACCCTCAGTGGCCCTTGGTCCTTGCCCCCACCCCCAACTCCCTGCCTTCTCAGTCTTGGATTAAGGGGGCCTTGGCATGGGTCTGGGTGCCTGTGGCTCCCGTGTGCCAGGCTACTGGGGTCTGTTTCTGATGTCTGCTGCCACCCTGGGCCCCTGAGAGGCCTTCACCCCAGCCCTCAGCCTGCCCGGGGCAGTGTGATTTTCCCTCCTCAGGGCAGAGGCCAGCCTTGTTTTTCCTCCACACTCAGGAATCGCGCTTCAGGAATACACAAAGCAGCTGTTAAAATATCTGGGTCTGGCGGGCCGGCCACACAGTGGGCCCCTTGTTCCCCTTGCAGACAGCGGCCTCAGAGCACGTCCCAACCCTCTGCTGGGTCAGCGGTGCTGGGGGAGTGGTGTCAGGGAGAGACCCTGGACCTCTAGGCTTCAGGGCTCTCCAGGGAGGAAGGTGATGGACAATAGGAATTTAGAACCGAGTGGAACAAGCACATTACAAACAGATGCCAACCCGAGAGTTTAGATGTCAGACTGTAGAGGCGCTGGCACCAGGGTGGGTGGAGGAGGATGCCTGGATGGGACTGTCGTGTCAATTCTTGGACAGAGCCTTCTGTTGGTGGGGCAGCCTCCAGGCACTGCTCAGGGGCAGGCCTTCTCCAGCTGCAGGGATGATAAGGCCAGGCCTGTGTGTGCCAGGCCCCATGTGAGACATTCTGTTTATCCCCACTTAACAGATGAGGAAACTGAGGCTTAGGGAGAAGTTGATTCTTGTCGACAGTTCCTGACAGAGCTGGGAGGTGAACATGGCCATTCCTTCTCCAGAGTCTGCACTCACTGGCCTCCAGCTGAATGTGACAACCACTGACGTGTGCACAGGTGGTGTCAAAGTTCAGTCACAGCACAAAGAGGTTGGTGAGCTCTGTCTAGGACTCTGGGAAGGAGGGTGTGAGAGCAAGCTTTCTGGATTTTAAAGCATGGCATCCTCGGTAGAGCAGAGGGAAGAATGTTCCTGGCAGGAAGGCATGGGGATTGGAGAGGGCCTGCTGGCTTTCAGGGAGTAAATCCCAGTGGAAACAAACGAAGTCTTGAGGCCGTCTCAAATGTCAACCTCAAAGTAGGTCTTACCCACAGCTTCCCAGAGGGAAAAAGTCCTCCTGATACTCATCAACTCTTATCGGAGGCTGGCTGCCCCTGGAGGGGCCTGCATTTCCCATTGGGGCCCTCCCTGGCCCCTGTTCCAGCCCAGCAAGTCAGTGAATTAGGGTTAATTATCTGTTTTCCTGGACACCAGCAGGCCCAGGAGCTGGGCAAATTAGGGGAGCTTTTGTACTTGGAAAAACAAATTCAAGGAGCGATAAAGAAGCAGGTGCACCTGCTAGGATGGGGATTTTGTATGGTGCCCACCCCTGGCCACACTGGGAGGGTGAGGGCTTTGGCCACCCCCTCAACTTGCAGGCCCCTGGGCTGCATCCCCTGAAAGAGGTGGGGACAGCAGGCACAGGCTGGCCAGGCTGTGCTGCAGAAGCGTGTCAGACACCCAGGGGCTGGAGGCCTTCCTAAACTTCAGTCTCCTCCTAGCCTGCCCTCCCCAGATACCCTGACAGCCCCTATGGTTCCCCTTCAATCTGGCTTATCACTTATTTCTTTCTTTCTTTTTTTTTTTTTTTTTGAGACGGAGTCTCACTCTGTCGCCAGGCTGGAGTGTAGCGACACGATCTCTGCTCACTGCAACCTCCACCTCCCAGGTTCATGTGATTCTCCTGCCTCAGCCTCCTCAGTAGCTGGGATTACAGGCGCCTGCCACCACACCTGGCTGATTTTTAGTAGAGACGGGGTTTCATCATGTTGGCCAGGCTGGTCTCAAGCTTCTGACCTCAGGTGATCCGCCCTCCTCAGCCTCCCAGAGTGCTGGGATTACAGGTGTGAGCCACCGCGCCCAGTCTCACCTACTTCTGTCTCCCTGTGGGAACGCTTTTTTTTTCTTGCCTTAGAGTGTGCCAAGGGCTTCTCCCTCCCTTTGCTCATGCAGTTCCCAGACCCTGGAGTGCTCTTCCCTTTGTGCTCTCCGGGCCAAGTTCAGGACCCTTTCATTCTCTGACTGGAAGCCACAGGGCAGACTGGATGGTCACCAGGAAGCCTCCTCTGACCTCCTCAGGTAGCCCGCCCTTGTGGAGCTCCCACAAGTAGAAACTCACTGCTGCTTATTTGACATTTAGCATATACTGCCTTGGACTTTGAAGCACTCTCTACACAAGTGCCTGCCTCACAACTCTTTACATGTGTGTCTATAGCTGTGCTTTTATACCTTTTGACACCCCTATAATAATTCTGGAGCCTGGCAGGCATCTGTGCATACAAAGGAGTTGGCCATGATGGAGAAAGTAGAAAACTAGAATCCAGCAGACATGCACTGGCCCACCAGCACTGCCGTATCTTAGCTGTGTGACTTCGGGGAGCTTACTTATCCTCTCTGGGCCTCTGATTTTAAGTGAAAGCAAGGTTCGAGATATTGGCCCAGTAGGAGTAGCTGCTGTGAATGGTGAAATTACTTGAGGAGAGGAGCTAGCCAGCTCGGGACACCTATGTGTGCTTGAAGGTTTTGTTGTCTTTCTCTAGTCATGGGGCTCCCGGTGCAGCGACACCCTAGGCAGAGGAGGGGGTCTAAGGAAGGACAGAGCAGTTCAAGAGGACCCTTCTTCCTCTGAGTCAACATGGGAACCATGGATCCCAGGGGATTTCGGAAGAGCGATTTCTTTTCTTCCAGATGTGTCTCCCTTCGTTGTCCTCACAGCCTACTGGGTACCAGGTGGGGTGGTGGGCCATGCACCAAATCCATAGAGAAACAGGGGGGTCTGTTGGGAGCAGTGGCTGTGCACTGGTGCCTCACATACATCGCCACCTTCAAGTTTCTGGATAATCTTGCTGGGGGTGCATCCCCCTCACTGTCTGTGGGAAGCCAAGGTCAAGGTTATGGAGCCTGAGGGGCATGGGGCTGACCCAGACACCATGGCCCTGCCTCCCCGCATCTGACCAGTCCAGGCATCATTTATAGGGTCTGGGCTCCCCTCCTGAGTTTGCCATCTCCCCAAAGGACCCAGAGTGGAGGCTGGGGGCTGTGGGAATCCCTGGCTGGAGTGGTGGAAGAGGGACCAGCGCAGGTAGGAGCTTGCGGTTCCCCTCCCAGTGTGGAATGGCTGGAAGAGGGGGAGTCAGGGACAAGGCCTTTGCACAGCTGCCCACCCGTCCACACTCTGGAAGACCCTTCACACCTTCCTGAGCTCTGCCTGGCCCCAGTCCTGGAGCTCCTTGTTGGTGCTGCTCTCTGGGGCTCTGCAGAGCTGTTATCCTGCTGGGCCCTAGTGAAGCCATGGCAGGCTTCGGTTTCATGTACAGTGATGGGAAGGTGGACAGAGAAGGCAGAAACTGGTGCTGCCTAGGCCTCAGACCCCACAGGCAGGTCTGAGGAGCTGGTGGAGTCCCTGACTGTCCCCCCAGGGCCCTGCAGGCAGGTGATCTTTTCTTGGAGAAGAAGAAAATGGGAGAAGCTGCCCATGTGGGGCAGCTGCTATAATAGGTGTTACGGGCCATGCTGGGAAGGCTGACTGTCTTCCCAGTACCCTGGGAGGGAGGGTACTCTGCATCACTGGGGAGCAAACTGAGGCTCCGAGAGGGGAAGTAACATGGCCACAGACACACAGTGGATGCAGACTATGCTGGTCCAGGCACACATGCATCTCTCATTGTGGGAGAATTCAATGCCTCATGTTTTAAAATAGGATTATTTTGCCGCTGGCAGTAAAATGCCAGAAGTCCTGGGGAACCCTTACGTTCCCCACGTCCCTATCTCCTTCAGGGTGGAGGAGTGAGTGTAAATTTGTCTGGATGGGACAGTGGGGACTGACCTGAGGAGTCAGAGCCCGCTTTGCTCCTAGGCTGCCAGCCTTGGCATTGTGGCACTGGACTGGTGTCCCTGAGGTCATTTTCCCAGTGGAGACAGTGGTGTGAGGGGAGAGGAAAGGACTGGTGCCCAGCTCCTGGTGGATACAAGACAGAGTCCTCAGGGCCTCAGGCCGTGAGTCGGCTGCTTCCCTTTTAGCTGTCATGAGGTTAGAATGACGATTTCCCTTAATCAGGGTGGCGGTGTGCTCTTCACTCTGGGAAATTTCACTTTTTATCTCATTGGATCTTAAAAATAAGTCTGTGATCAAGGCAGGGCACATGTTTATCTCTCATGTATGTGCATGTGTTTGCCTGGGTCTGTGTCCTTGTAATATATACATGTGCATGTGTGAGTGTTCATGTACCTCTGCATGTAACTACATGTATCCTGTATGTGTGCACGTGTGTGGCTGCATATGTGCTGTGAGTGTATGTGTGATGCAGGTGACCATGTGTGACTTTATATATGTGTGTGCCCATGCACACGTCTGTGACTTTAATGCGGTGTGCACGTGTGTGTGTGGCCTGCGTGCAGGTGTATGCATGTGTGTGGCTGTGTATATGGTTTGTCGGCGTATGTTCTGTGTGCTGTGTGAGTGTGTGAGCCTGCGTGTGTGTGTGCATCCATGTGTGCCTATGCGTGTGGGTCCTGGGCACGCATGCCGCACGACTGAGATCACAGCAGAGGTGAGAACACCGTGGCTCTGTGGTGGCTGTGACTGCTGAGAGGCGAGGCTTCATCTCTCTCCTGGAGATTGATTTTGCCTGGGGAACAATGCTCTAATTCCTGTGAGTCACTCGTTAGAGGAGTTCAAAGAAACCAGGTGGCGGGAGGGTGTCTGGGATTTCAGGTTTCAGGGTGATTCGCTCATTCTGCTCTGATTACTAATTTATTCTTCAAGCAAGTCCTTTAACTCAGAGTTCTTAACCTTTTCTGCGCCGTGGGCCCCTTGGCAAGCAAGTGAAGTTCGTGGACTCCTACAATAATGCTATAAATGCATAGAAGAAAAGACACAGGACTGTGAAAGAAAGTGATGATGCGATGTCTAAAACGTTCAAGGCACCGCATCTGTGATCAAGAATACATGTGCTGCTTTACCGACACATCAAAGAGCAAGGTCAGCCGTGGGGGCTAATGAATGGCTAGCATAAGTGGGACACCACGGTGGGCTTGGGCATAGCTGCGACTCATGCCAGTGGCAGCCTGAGGGAGACACCAACTTCAGCTCCAAACTAGCAAAGATAAAAATGTATCTTTTCATCAGGTTAGATAGTCCTGCTTTAACTGGAACTTGTAGATTATTTATTTATTTATTTATTTGAGACAGAGTCTCACTCTGTCTCCAAGCTGGAGTGCAGTGGCGCGGTCTTGCCTCACTGCAACCTCCACCTCCCAGGTCCAAGCGATTCCCCTGCCTCAGCTTCCCGAGTAGCTGGGACTACAGGTGCACGCCACCATGCCCAGCTAATTTTTTGTATTTTAATAGAGACGGCCTTTCATCATGTTGGTCAAGACGGTCTTCATCTCCTGACCTCATGATCCGCCTGCCTCGGCCTCCCAAAGTGCTGGGATTACAGGCATGAGCCACCACACCTGGCTGAACTTGTAGATTATTTGGAAGCCAGAAGGGACCTTATGAGCACCCCGTTCGGTTTTTCATATACCTGCTTCTGTATCAGAAAGACTTGTGCAACTAACAGAAATGCAGCTCTTCTTGCCACCCCCTGCCTAGACTTGGGGAATCACAATCTCCAGGGGAAGGCCCAGAAATGCTCCTGAAGCATCTTGCTGTCACCAGTGCCCCTGCTGAGGCCCCAGAGGGCAGGTGACCTGGGTGAACCTCCTAACGGACAGGGGGCTTCTCCGGGCCCTGGGTCCCGGGTGCCCGCTCCCACCCCCTTAGCAGAATTTTGGAGAGTGTGGCTGTGTTTCCTTCGTGGTTGTTTGGACAGCGGCAGAGCTGTGTGTTTTGAAGGTAAAGTGAGGAATTGACTCTTCTCCTTCCCTGTGGTAGGTGCTGTGACTCCCAGTCCCTCTTTTTCTGGAGCTCTGTGGAGCCCGTGGGAGCCATCCCTGGAGAGACCCTCCCTGCTGTCCCCAGGCAGCCCCTGGAGGCCCAGATGAGACTATCCGCTTTGGCTGCAGGGCTTGACGGGCCTGCCTCAGATGAGCTTTGGGGAGTGAAAGTGGCTGCCTGGGACCCTGGGCGCCTGGTGTTTACCTAGAAATTGTGCTAATCCCGCTAATTCCTGTGATTTACACAGCCTCTTGGCTCTGTGTACTATCTTCTTCTCCGGGAAGTGGTGGGAAGGCGAGGCCACGGATGCAGTGGGCACTGCCTGGAATCCCCCCGCTGCATCTGCTCCCCACAGGCGTTCACGAAACCTCAGGTGCATCTGTGTGCACATCCTCTCCCTGAGCCACAGTCTGGGAGCTGGGCATCTGAATAAATGCCCCTCCTCCCTCACTACATTCACCCTGTTTCTGGAGCGACCACGCCCTGAGGTGTCAGGAGGCATTTTGGCTGGAGGATCTGACTGTAGGCCTGGCCCCGTGCCTTCCTGGGGAGTGGCCTTGGGCAGCTCACTCCCCATGGGGGCCTCAGCTTCCTCCCCTATAAGAACTGGTGATGACATCTGCTGTGCTGAAGTGAATAGGTGGGGTTGCCATGAGGAAGCCGCAGCTGCTGTGTTTTGGGTCCGTTCTTCACGGATGGAGCCTTCTAGTTACCAGCTTGAGCTGGGCCTGGCTGTGGGAATGCTGTGCTGAAGAGCTCCTGGCCTGAAGGTGATGAATGTAATACGGGGGTGTTGAGTAGGACATGATCTGACTGCTTCAGGGCTGCAATCATGGGCTAGGAGGGGAAGTGGGGCTTCCTGGAGGAGGTGACGTCTGAGTGGCATCTTGAGAGTAAGAGTTCATCAGACACAGAAAGGTGAAGGGTTTCCAGTGAGTGGCATAGCTTGGGCAGAGGCCTGGCTGTGTGCAAGGGCAGAGCCAGTTATCCCTGTTAGGAGGGTCAGGCAGCCAGGGAGCTGGTAGGGAGAGGAGGCTTTAGGTAGACATGGGAAGACTTTACCTGAAGGCCAAGGGGCTCAGCAGGGGAGGGATGGAGTGATATGTGGTTTCTGGGAAGATGCCTGGCTGAAGCACAGGGAATTACCTGGAGTGGACCAGAGGTGTGAAAAGTGCCAAGACCCAGAGGGGAAAGAGTGCCTGGCACAGAGCAGCCAGCGGGAGAGGCAGTGCTGGTGAGGCGTGCGAGTGCTGGGGGGTGTGGGGTGAAGTGATGGGGCTCACAGTCTTCGTGTGTGTGGCGAGGAGAGGAGGAAGGTGTCTTAAGGATGCAGCTCAGGTGGCTGGTGTGGTGGTGCCTGTGACCAGGTAAGGGGCAGAGGAACAGCAGGCACGAACCAGTGTATAGTGCTAGTAGGCCATTCAGATAGCCAGACTCTTAAGGGGCGGATTTTAAAGTGGGCTTAAAAGAGCAGGCAGCAATCCCTGAATTTCTAGGCCAAAAGGAGGCCCCTGACTCACCAGCAAGCAGATTTTTCTCTCCCCCATCTGCCTGACTTTCTTGGGCTTTCTGGGCAGGGAGTTTTGAAAGACTGTGGAAACTGGCCAGGCTGGTGTGTGCAGATGAGCCAGGAGCTGACAGGAGCTGTGGACATCCTTCATGTGGCCCCTCCATTGTTCTTGTGTACTCATTTTTTTCTACTTAAAAAGATGTGGGAGTATTGTGTGGATTTAAAAAATAAAATTCTAGGCCGAGTGTGGTAGTGTGCACCTGTAGTCCCAGCTGAGGTGAGAGGATCCCTTGAGCCCAGGAGTTTGAGGCTGCAGTGAGCTTTGATTGTGCCACTGCACTCCAGCCTGGGTGACAGGAGAGACCCTGTCTCTTAAAAAAGAAAAATTCTTGGCTGGGCTCGTTGGCTCACGCCTGCAGTCCTAGCACTTTGGGAGGCCAAGGCAGGTGGATCACTTGAGGTCAGGAGTTCAAGACCAGCCTGGCCAACATAGTGAAACCCTGTCTCTACTAAAAAATACAAAAATTAGCCGAGTGTGATGGCGCATGCCTGTAATCCCAGCTACTCAGGAGGCTGAGGCAGGAGAATCTTTTGAATCTGGGTGGTGGAGGTTGCAGTGAGCTGAGGTCACACCACTGCACTCCAGCCTGGGTGACAGAGTGAGACTCTATCTAAAATAAAAAAATGAAAAAAAAAAAAACAACATAAAACAGAAAAGTTATAGGGCCTACTAATGTGGATTTAGCTGAGGGCCCCGGGAGTGGAGCTGACCACTGGTGTCTGCACACTGCGACCCCCGTCCCCACACTCTCTGCAGGACCTTCACACAGCTGCCCATAACCTTTCTGCCCCACTCCTCCAGGTGTCCAGCCAAAAATGCCAGCTATCTTCCCCACCACCTTCTTTAAAACATGTGACCGGCCAGGTGCGGTGGCTCACGCCTGTAATCCCAGCACTTTAGGAGGCCAAGGCGGGCAGATCACCTGAGGTCAGGAGTTTGAGACCAGCCTGACCAACATGGAGAAACCCTGTCTCTACTAAAAATACAAAATTAGCCGGGCGTGGTGGCTCATGCCTGTAATCCCAGCTACTCAGGATTGCAGGAGAATCACTTGAACCTGGGAGGCAGAGGTTGCGGTGAGCCAAGATCGCGCCATTGCACTCCAGCCTGGGCAACAAGAGTGAGACTCCAGCTCAAAAACAAACAAACAAACAAACAAACAAAAACAAAAAACAAACATGTGACCATCAGATTTATCTTCTGATAGAAAGGCTGGATTGCCAGTGTCTGCTCTGACCCACCACTCAGCTGGAGACGGAAGTTGCCCATGCCCCGAATCCCGCTGGGTGTTCCTCCCTTGCTCACAGCCACTTTCCATCCCTCCTTATCTAGTCTGTAGCCTGGTCTGTTGGCTCTGCCTTCAAACCATGTCCATGTTTCACCAGCTCCACCGCCACCTGCTTAACCCAAACCACCATTGTCTCTCCCTGGGTCACTGCAGTAGCCTCCTCTCCCCGAAAAGCCTGCTCTCCGCACACAGCAATGGAGTGACCCTTTTACACCCGGAGTCAGTCCTGCCCCTCCCCTGCTCAAGACCCTCTGATGCCTGCACTTCCCTTCTGGCCACTACTCAAAGAAGCCAGCCTCCTCCCACAAGGCCCCTGGCTCCTGGCTTTGCCCTCTGACTGCAGTGGGGTGGCCCCTCAGGCATCCCATCCCTACCCCAGAGAGGCCTGGCAGCGCTGCCCCGCTGTGCCCCTGCAACCCTCTCTGTCCTGCTTTCTTTTCCTGAGCCACCTCCCACTCACTGAGATTAAATCTACATTTATTTTCCCCTTGTTTGCCCCCAAGGAGAATGTAAACTCCACATATTGTATCTTCCGCACCAGGCATGATGCCTGATGCATACTAGGGGCTTAAAAATATGTTGACTGAGTGCGTGTGAGTCAATAAAGGATGAACATTTATTGAATGAATGGGTGAAGGAGTGAGCGAACATGCAGATGAATAAGTGAAAGGTTCTGGTGAGCAGGGAAGCCACCTGAAAATGAGGGCCTTTCTTTGAGGACCTCTAGGTCATTGTCACTATATTTGTTTTTATTTTCCCCATGATTCACAGACAGAGGTCATTGTTTCTGACTTTATTTCCCTCATCAGAGGCTACCCGCCACTCATATCAGTAGGAACCTGTTACTTAGATTTTGTAAAATCTGGGTAAAAGATGATGAGAATGGCCTGCAGTTGTCCGTGAGGTCGTTCAGAAGACCAGACGAATCCCAGGACTAATAATTCTCAAAATTAATTAAACCCTCCTTCCCAATTATAAGAGAATTAGAATGAAGTTGGTTGCTTTAGGAGCGAGCGGCGGTGTGAATCTGGGTCGGCGTTTCCCGGCTGGGTTTGGGCTCAGTGTTGGTGAGTGTCTTTGTCTTCTCTTTTAGGATTGCCACCCAGGACGATGAGCGGCTGAGATGGAGACGTCTGCCTCAGCCACTGCCTCCGAGAAGCAAGAAGCCAAAAGTGGGATCCTGGAGGCCGCTGGCTTCCCCGACCCGGGTAAAAAGGCCTCTCCTTTGGTGGTGGCTGCAGCGGCAGCAGCAGCGGTAGCTGCCCAAGGAGGTACTTTCTGTTTCGCACACTTGGAGGGCAGCAGGGGTGTTTTTCATTAGCCCGTTAGGATTTAATTAGAGTGGTGGCCCATGTCGTCAGGGAGGCATGCTGGGTTTATGGAGGGCGAAGAGGAAGGCACCTCTGCTCCCAGGAATCCCAGGCACCATGAAGGTCACCTGTGAGTTTGCTAAGAGGTCTGGCCACCCCAAGTCCAGGGGGCTGAGCTGCCTCAGACAGCGGTGGGTGGGGCCTGAGTACTGGGAGGGGAGAGAGGGAGGAGGGGAGAGAGGGAGGAGGGGCATGGTCGCTGCCAGGCAGCCCTGGGGTGCGTGCAGCTGGCACATTTGAAATGTGCCCAGAGAACTTCTTGCCTCTTGCCCGCCAAGGACTGTTTTGGAAAGTAATTGTCTCCTGATGCCTTCTGGCTCTAATTAGAGGGTCAGGTTCGGGATTTACTATCTTAGGTGAATTTTTGGCCAACTTAATTATAACAAAAGAGACTACACGAGCCACAGCCTCTCATTTTACTGCCCCAAAGAGAAAGACTCTCTGGTTTCTACTGGGCCATCCGTGCCAGCATCCCGTTGGGAAAGTTTGGCGGGAAGGCGAGACCTCCGCTGTGTCTGCACAGTCCATCTGGAGGCCACAGAACTATTTCTGTCTCGGAGGAATGGAGAGACTTCGATTTCTTTTCCTCCCTTTTTGTTCCAGTGCATTTAGTCAGGCCCTGTTGCTCTCAGGGCTGAGGCACAGCTCAGAGAGCAGGCAGGGAAGAGAATGCGCCTTTTCTTCCGGCGGGCGCTTGGGCAGCGCCCCTCACACTTTGATGTATACACAGTTGTTGGGGGCTTGTTTTGGTGGAGACCCCGATTCAATTAAGTTGGGGCAGGGCTGGCTGAGTTTCTGCATTTCTGTTGGGTGCCAAGATGATGCTGGGGCTGCTGGTTCACAGGCCACGCTGGGGCCGGAGCCCAGGAACATGGAAAGACCCTCGGAGGGGCTTAGGAGTTGGTGCTTCTACGAGTGGACCTGAGGGCCTGCGGGGGGTTGTTACTGTATTTACTTTTATTTTTCCTGCGGTTCTAAGTGGGAGGTCATTATTGGGATGTGTGGCTCATGTCAGGAAAGGGAGATCTGAGGTCAACCTTCAGGCCCCTTGGGGAGGTGGCCTTCTGAGCTGGACGATGCCTCTCCACCCTGTGCCCCTTGGACGGGGACTCTCTAGGCCCTCCCTCTGTGAGGAGGGGCCAGCTGGGGGTGGAGGAAGAGCTCTTAGGTGGAGTGGGAGGAGCCAAGCGCACAGGGAGGGAAGAGCTGGTGGAGCGGCCCTGGTCCTGGGGCCACACATGGTCTTTTCCTTCCCCTGGGTCAGGGCCATCCTTGGCCTGTGGGGGCACCTAAAGCTGCCCCTCTGCCCATGCTCTGAGGCCTTGTGAGCTCCAGGAAGCCTGGCCTCTGTGTATGTCTGGCCTGCCCCAGGGTTTTCAGCGGGAACCATCCCCCCATCCCTCCGCCCCACACCCTGCCTCTCCAAGCCATGAGTGGATCATGAACCACCATGGTGCAATTTCCTGATGTGTCACATTAGTAGAGGACAGACTTAGGCAGTAATTAGACAGTAATTAGAATGTAATTGCCGGGGAGCCCCTCTAGTGTCAGGCTGAGTTCTCATTATTGGTGCAATAGCAACAGATGCTTGAGGGATTCTCAATCTGTGGCGGGAGTAGGGGCCAGGCAGGAGGCCCAAAGTTTGGAGTACAGCACCTCCACAAAGGCCCTCACCTCCCAACCCCACCCCACTGCAGCACACCCTTTCCTGCCCACCCCGCAGGCCCTTGTTGTCTGATCGCAGGGTGGCTTGGCTGGTGAGGTTCCAGCGGAGGGTGGACCCAGCCTTCGTGAGCATAGTTGCCACAGGGCAGGTGGCCTGTTAGCTTCAGAGCAGTCTTGGGCCATGTGTCTGCTGCTGGAGAGTTGTGAGGACCCCAGAGCCTCCTCACCCATCGCTGCTCCCTGCACCTGTCTCTGAGCAGCTTTTTTTGGGAAGGGTCCTCCTGGAGTCAGGGGAGAGCAGCTGTCCCTGCGTGGCGCAAAGCAGGGACATCGTGGGCCAAGTCTCCTAGTGCTGGTAAAATGCGACGGCTGCATTCGTGGATGGGATGGGAGGTGCGCTGGCCTGGGTCCCAGTTTTCCTAATCTGTGTCGAGAGTGGATTTGACAGGTGTTGTCCACAGTCTTTATGATCTTGGAACTTCGGGTCTTCCTTAAATGTTACTGGATGGTGGCAGAGGTGCATGAGCAAGAATCCTCATGTATTCAGCAACCCTGAGTCCCCCAGAAGGCTCCAAAGAGCCATGGATGTGGGCCTCACTGCCTGCGGGAGTACAGACCTGTCAGCAGGTGAGGAGAATGTGCGGAAGGAGGTGCCTGGAAGCTGCAGGTGGTTGGCGTGGGTCCCCCTCAGGGGCGGGGATGCTCTTGTGTTCATCTCTAGGTCTCAGCATCTGGTGCTGGGCCTGGCATGAGGGGTACCCAAGGGTCTTCTGGGACTGGAATGGTGTAGGAGAAAGGGTGGCATTGGTGAAGGAGGAAGTCTTCATGGGCCAGAAGCGTTTGCTGCAGCCACTGAGGAGTTGGGCACTCAGCCATCAGGCACAGGGCTGGGTGTGGACAGTGGGTGAGGAGGGGCCGTGAGGGACTGTACCAAGCCTGGGAGAGGGACAGTGCCGCAGGGTGCACCCCGGGTGGATGCAAGGGTGTGGGGAGCTGAGAATTTTTGTTGAGGGGCCCCTCTTCTCGAGTTGTTTCTGGCAAAGACGAATCATCTTGGTCTGGGCGACTGCTCTGAGGCCTGTTTGCTGGGGGCAGGAGCAGACTGAGTCGACTCCCCTGTTGCTGCGCAGGTGACCACTTAGAAGCCTGGCTCCTCTGAGGCCTGGCTTGTTCCTCCAAATCCCGTGACATTGTCCCCCATGGTTCACACCCTGATTTGCTGTCTGGCGGAAAGGGATGATTTATTATTATTATTATTATTTTATTTTTTATTTTTATTTATTTATTTTTTTGAGACAGTCTTCACTTTGTCACACAGGCTGGAGTGCAGTGGCACGATCTCAGCTCACTGCCAGCTCCGCCTCCCAGGTTCACGCCATTCTCCTGCCTCAGCCTCCCAGTAGCTGGGACTACAGGCACCCGCCACCACACCTGGCTAATTTTTTTGTATTTTTTAGTAGAGATGGGGTTTCACTGTGTTAGCCAGGATGGTCTCAATCTCCTGACCTCATGATCCGCCCGCCTCAGCCTCCCAAAGTGCCGGGATTACAGGTGTGAGCCACCGCACCCGGCCGAAAGGGATGACTTATACGAGCTTAGTGTTTCCTGACTTATTACACATCAGAGAAGGTGTGGGGTGGGTGGGTCTTATCTGAGGATGTCAGGGGCGCAGTGGTGAGGAAACAGCCAAATCCTGCAAGCTGTCAGGGGCTGTTTCCTGGCATCTGTAAGGTATCCAGATGTGGGGGCACCCTGCATTCCCCGGCAGCTCATGGCCCCTCATGCAGCCTCCCCCACCCCTCACTGTCACCAGTTCCGAGAGCTTCCATTCCACGGCTAGAATTGCATGGCTTGAGTTGGTTGAAACAGTACACATACCTGCAGGCAGAAGGATTTCACTTTTTTGTTTGTTTGCTTGTTTTTTGAGACAGAGTCTCACTCTGTCGCCCAGGCTAGAGTGCAGTGGCATGATCTCAGCTCACTGCAACCTCTGCCTCCTGGGTTCAAGCCATTCTCCTGCTTCAGCCTTCTGAGTAGCTGGGATTACAGGTGCCCACCACCATGCCCGGCTAATTTTTGTATTTTTAGTAGAGATGGGGTTTCACCATGTTAGCCAGGCTGGTCTCGAATTCCTGACCTCAAGTGATCCGCCTGCCCTGGCCTCCCAAAGTGCTGGGATTACAGGCGTGAGCCACCTTGGGATTTCACTTCTGAGTTCTTTATATCTGTGAAAAATTGAAAACAGCCTACCTGTTCATTGATAGGGGATTGGTTCATCTGTGGAACATCTTGAATGGAACACGATGTAGCCACTGAAAATGTTAATTAAGACTTTTCAATTACAGGGTGGGAACATGCTTGTATTCTAATATTAAGTGGGATAAAAAGAAGGTGCAATTGATCTCAAGCACCCCTAGCAATGAGATAGAAAGTGAAGGTTCAGAGTGAGGAGAGAGGACATGAAGGGGGTGGGAGGCCCCAGCCGGAAAGCTCGGAAAACCCAGGCAGGAGCTCCTGGATGCCAGGCTGGTGTGGTCAGAGCCTCTCCTTCAGTACCTCCCGTATTGTAGATGAGACTGAGGCCCATTTGGGCATGGGGCTTGCCCAAGGCTACCAGCTGCTTCAACCACGAGCTGGGCCCGGGGCTTGGGGCTCCTGCCTCTCACATGGTGAGAGTCTCTTTCAGGTATTTGCTTTTAGATTGTTATTTAGATTGCTGTTAGACTTGGGCCTTAATTTAGGTCCTACTGCTACCCCAGGGTGAGTGTCCAGCCTTGGTAAGGTCTCCTCATGTGTCTTCATGCCTCAGTTCCCTCATCCATCCCAGGCCCTGATGGCACCTGCTCTCTTCCAAACAGCCAGTTATTTGAGGTCTGGGGCCGTGAGTTATTTGCAAAGTCACCTACCTCGACTGGCCTCTGTTGCCTGACTTCCCCTAGGAGTCCATGAGGTCGGACCTGTTGGGGGCTGGGTGTTTCCACTTAGAGTCACTATTTCCCTGTGCCAGAATATGCGTGAGAAATATATTTGCAGAGCAGAGCATGGCTGGGCTGGACCGAGCTGGACCAAAGGAAAAAGCAGCCCTGTGGTCAGACTGGGGAAAGGTTAGTTTAATCATCTGGCTGGAGCAGTTCATAAGAGCAGACGGCAGAAGCCTGGGAGGGCGAGTTCTTTCCCAGTCTCTTTTGCTGTTGTGCTAACACTTTGGAGGCCATAAATCTTTTAAAACACATTTTGGCCCAGAGGTTTTCCCCTCCTTTAACTTCTAAAATGGTGTAATTTTAAAAGCAATTTGATTCAGATGTTTCTCATTGCTTTATACTGAAACTGTCCAAATGCTGTTGTATTTTCCTCCTCCACTGTGGGTTCTCTTTCAAAAATATTTCTGAACCTCTCTGTGTGCCTCACTGAGCACCAGGGACTACTATTCAGAGCCTCTGGGATAATATGAAAGGTGGAGCCATGAAACCCAGAGCTGGGTCTGATCTCATGAGTTTTGCTAGTTTCTGGAATCAAGCAGCCAGACAGGCTTTAGACATCCTGGGATGTACCTGCAATGGCCAACGCCCACCTCTTCCACGAAGCATCCACTGTGTGCTGGGCCAGGTGTCCTCCCAGTGTGGGCCGCACCAGCAACATCAGCATCCCCTGGGAATTGTTAGAAATGCTAATTCTTGAGCCCCACCTTAGACCTACTGAATCTGAGTCTGTGGGGGTAGAGCCCAGCAAGCTGTGTTTACACAAACCCTCTTGGTGATTCTGATACACTCCTAAGTTGGAGAACCGCATGTTCTGACTACATGAGGTAGGGTGGGTCTTCCCATACATAAAATGGGAGTTAGACACAGAGCTGCAGTGCAGAGATTACAGGAGACTTCTGATGTGCTTACACAGGCCTGCCAGGGCACTTCCTGGATAGTAGCTGTAACACTGCCTCTCTTAGTGCAGGCAGTGCTAAGGAAGTAGTGAGAAGCAGCCCAGGCTCTGGAACCAGGCTGCCTGGTTAAGTCCCAGTTCTGTTGACCTTAGGCAGGTCCGTGCCTCACTTTTCTCATCTATAAAATGGGCATGATCTTGGTTGTGAGCATTCCTTGAGTTAGCACATGGGAAGTGCTTCGAAAAGTGTTGGGCACAGAGGGCCTTGTGTGAGGTCCAAGTTGAGTATTTGCTTTATGAACTATTGCTATTCTTCCTACCAGTTTTCCTTTTCTAGATCTGCATACTCTGCCTGACTTAGAAAGTTTCCCTTTCACTGGTAACCCTTGCCTGCTGACCCGTTGAGGCTGACAGCAGGTGGGAAACCCAGGTTTCTGGTGACTTCCTACTTGAGAGTGGTGGGTGCCCTGGGCTGGAAATCAGACCTGGGTGCCTGTCCCACTTTGCTTTGCTCCCAGGGCCTGTCCTGGGTGTCTGTCCCGAGTGGGCTCCTGGCCTCTCTGACTTGGTCTTTTCCCCAGCACGCTGGAGACCAGACCAGACCAAAGGTTACTAAAGCTGGCCAAGCCTTAGACTCTCGTGACAATCACTATGTAAGTGCAGGGTCCAGGGCAGCCCCTGGGCTGGGGCCTGGGCATATGTATTTTTAATACGCTTCACAGGTCATTGGGCGCAGTCCGTCCAAGGCATGAACAAGATCCCTTGGAGTATTCAAGAGTCTCAGGGGGGGAGACTACGGTTTGCAGCTGGTAGTACTGGCGGGGCTGTGACCAGGCTAGCATAGCTAGGGTCAAGCACTAGACGACTTTCAGCAGAGCGCTCCAGTGTTCCAGGAGGCGTGTGTGCTACCTACTCATACTGACAGCCCTCCTATCTTCTTCATTGGCCCTGCTGGGTTCTTGGAAAGTTTTTCTGAGGCACAGTTTTGCTTAGTGGCGAGGCATGCATGTCTATATGGGAATGCTGTGCAAATAGCAGAATATTTAGACGACTCATTTTCATTGTGTTGGCCAGAGCTAGAAAATCCCCTCCCACCACCTGCCTTACCACACCTAGGAATCTGTCCAATACCCCTCCATTGGTACGTACCTCCAAGTCCCTGGTGTCTTTGCACTCTGTCTTTTTCTGTGCCTCCAGGATGTCCTTGTGGGCAGGGCATTGCTTGTTCACCACTGTCCCCACATCCCCGCTTGCAGCAGACATCCCATAGGGGATTATGGAATCTGATGCTATCATGCCAGAGGTGTTCCCGGTGGGCTGGTGTGGTCAGCTGTCTCTGGGTATAAGGGTCAGTTGAGGCTGGCCGTGGTCTTTGGCCCCCCTGCCAGGCCCCATGGCCAGCAGGGAGCTGAGTGGGCCACCTTCCCTGGCTTATCCGAGTTTCTCTGCTGGGGCCACACACTTTTGCCTTGGACCTGATGCACCCAGGTGTGACTAAGTGGGCAATTACTCTTATTTAAGTGATTTTCAGGACGGCTGTTGATGCTGCTGGGCTTGTTTTATGGCCCAGCCATCCAGAACAACCAGTTCCCCTCAGACTTTGTCCAGAGAGCAGAGCTGAGTTCCCCTGACAGCCTGGTTCACCCAGGAAGCGGGGTGCAGGCTGACCACCCAGATGTTTTTCAGATGGTTCAGGAGTGTACTGCAAGGTTGGACGCCTGGGGCGGGAGCATGAGGTTGGAGACTTCTTCCTGCTCCCAGCAGAGTCTAGTGGGAAGAGCATGGCTTGGGGTCAGGCAGATCTGGGCTCTTCTTACCCTCTGCTTACCAGCCGTGTCTTCTGGGCAAATCAAGGAACTTCTCTGAGATTCGTGCAGTGGCGATGGTAGTGGTCACTACTTCTGGCTACCATGGAACTAAGCGAGACAAGGTCTGCAGGGTGGCTAGCAGAGCATGTGGGCACGGAGGAAGTAAATGTCCACATAACGGAAACCCGAGCATTCCTCTGGCCTGTCCTGGCCTCACACTCACTGCCACTCAGAACGGCTGCCGTCCAGAATCAGCCTGGCCGCCCCATTTCCCCAAGCACAACAGGTTTGTTCTCTGCTTCTGGCCGCAGCCCGGGGTCTGGACTCTGGGAGGCTCTCCTGGCCCCTGCCTGTCGCTCCCCTTGGTTGCAGAGACCGGCACACATGTTTCACGTCACCTCTGTGTCACCTTGTTTTCTGGCTGGTTCCTATAAGCTGGTGAACCCTACCTGCCTGGAATGACAGTGTCAGAGGACAGTGCCGGTGGCTCCTGCCCCTGTGTGCTCCCTGGGGCCTTGGCCATGCCTGGCCGGCACTCCTTCATTTCTCACGGTTCACTGTGAATGTTCAGCTGATGCAGAGTTGGGTGAAGCTTCAAAGTCATTTCCACTTACAGAACTGGAAGAAGCTTTTGAAATCCTCTAGTTTGAATCCATTCATTTTACAGATGTGGAAACTGAGGTCCAGAGACACAAAATGCAGAGGGTTGCCTAGTGATATTACTTGGACTGGAAACCAATTCCGCAGGAACATTCCATCACATGGGACACAGCTGTCCCTCAACCTGGCCCTCCTCCTGGCCCAAACCCCAACTTCCCAAGTGACTGTGTTTATGTTGGAAACATTTTTCTGACGTTTGGTTCTGTCAAAACTAATTTTAGCATTTCTAAAGCTTGGTAAAAATACAGCCTCATTACTTTGATGTCAGTGCATAGTTTACTATTAGTATATTCTGGGGTTTATCATTTTAGTCATGTTTAACACGGCTGTGCCAGGCATGCACTATTAAATCTGGCTTATTTTACATTCCTGTCCGGAATTATTTATTTGTAACAATTTCCTCTCTATCAAAAGACACAGCTAATGCTGTGTTTTAATGTGTTATTTACACACAAAATAACCTATTTACAACTCAGTATGCGCCGGAGGGAGAATGGATGGGCCCCTGTTTCCTGCATTCTGTTATATCAGAGTTTAACAATCTGGATTGCTAATAGAACCATTTATCATTACTTGGGAGGGGGGGAAAGAGATAATTTATTTTATGTTTGTGGCCAGGTCTCACCGCCTCTGATCTTGGGACCATTTTGAGGATAATGAAGTGAAGCCCTGCATTTGGTGGGGGCTGTGGGGCACCCGGGCCTGGGTGCCTCTGGGTTCCCTGCATTCATGTGCACATCCTACAGATGGTCCCGAACTGTGGACCAGAGAGGTGGTGATGACAGGGACGTTGCCTCTGCCTTCTAGGAGCTTCCAGTTAGAGGTGACACTCAGCAGATGGTGACGAATCCTGCCCATAGGGCTTCACGGGGGAGGCAGTGTCTGAGCCTGGGGACATTCGGGGTTCCACCAGGTGGAAAGAGGAAAGGGTGGGTGGGCCCTGGTGGGAGGAGGAGGGGCAGAGTGGCCCCCTGGGAGTGTGGGGAGGGAGGACTGGGCGCCATCAGCTCAGTCTGTATGTCTCCTGCGTGAGTCCATATGTCTCCTGCCTGGCATATGGGGTCTGAAGGACAAGGCTCCTGTTGCCCTGCGGGGAGGCGCAGAGATGGCTGGCACCCAGGTGGGTGCATAGCTGATCCAGGGTGCAGGCCGAGGTCCCGGAGGCTCCACTGAAGTCTCTTTGAATGGACATTGAGGGGTAAGGAGGGAAAGCGCCATTTGAAGCTGCTGTCCTCTATGAAGCTCTGTGTGGACACCAGAGGGGGATAGGAAGTGGGGGAAGATGCATTTAAGAAGCAGGGGCCATGGCCCTGTCCCCAAAAGCTTGTGGTTCCCCCATGGAGAAACCAGACACCCCAGTTACGATGCTGATGTGGGCATTGTCTGCTGCCTGCAGTGATCCAGGAAAACATTAGGGAAGGAGTGTGGTCTCAGTAGGACCTGGTAACACTGCTGTGTACAGCCCTGTGACCTGGCTGCTCAGTCAGTCCCACAGAAAGCCACTGTGCACTCAGATCAGGGGGCTGGGGAGGGGGTCACCAAAGTGTGATTGCAAAGTGTGGCAGGGCTTGGGCAAGCCCCCTGGGGACGATGCAGGGAGCCATCAGCCCCAGGACACCAGCATGGTCTGGGGGATGGGGCCTGGGCTTGGACAGGTGAGGTTTGAACCCTTGCCCTGCCCCTTCTCGGTTGGGTATCCTGTGCTGATCCGAACCCCAGTGTCCTCATTTTAAACGCAGGCCAAAATGCGTATCTTTGGAGGGCTAGGCTGACCAATAATGAGACTCCAGTGCTTAGAGGGTCCCTGGCACACAGTTGGCATTCTGTACATGGTAGTTCAGCTGTTAGTATTATGGTTCTTGCTCTTATTATGATTCTTAATTCAAGAACTGTTTTCTGAGGGTAGCGCATACGTTCCTTAAAAATATTTGAGAGAGCAAATGAAGGAGCTGAGTCTCTATAATGAGTTAGCAGTTCACCCGTGATGTGCAAGGAGGAACCACACTCTAGCCTGAGAAACAGCATGGGCAAAGGTCCTGGGGTCTGAGAATGGCTGGAGAGGCTGAGCTGAGCGGGAAGCACTGGCAAATGAGGCTGGTTTTGTCAGCCCCTTGGCAAAGGGCTCCCTTCCCTCCCCGATCCTGGCACAAGCTCACATCTGAGGCCGAGTCTAGTGGCCCCTCCTAGGGTCTGTGTCCTCCCTCTGCTCACAGCCACACGTGGACGCTGGTAACTCAGCCAGGCCCTGTGTGCACGGCTTGCTTGGACCACCCCCCCACACACCTCCCCGCCCCCGCCACCCTGAGCATCTGGCTTCTTCTCCTTCTGGGTGGGCAGGGTGGGGAGGGAGCCAGAGGGGCTCTGTCTTGAGAAGCCGCCCTTGGCTCTTTCCCCTTGAATATGTCCTGGCTGGCCCTGCTGTCAGAGGGCGTGGACCTCTGCTTTGTGTTTTGGGGGATTGTGAAGCTTGAAACCCTGGCACCAGACAGCCAGGCCTCTGGGCAGAGCAGGGCCTCATCCGCCGTCTGACTTTCCATCTCGTTTTCAGCAGTGATATTTGAGAGGAAGTTTGGGTTTGGTATGGAGCCGGGCAGTGGACACCGCTTTGCACCTTCTATTATCCCTGCAATTCTAGAAATGGAAGGACGTCCAGGAGAAGCCCCTTGCAGGGCCAAGCATGTGGTCTCTGTGTGGTGTGATGGTGGCCAGGGTGGGGAAGTCCCTGCCCCCGCCGAGTGCTGCAATCCCACCATTAGGTGTTTACCCCCTTGCTGTCACCTTACCTCTGGGTTTGTGCAAAGGCCCCTGTTGTCCATCATCCTCCTGTGACCTCTCCCCAGTGGCTCCTGGATCAGCTGGAGAGGGCCAGGCTTCTGAGCACTGGAGTACCTGTGCCTGGGGAAGCTCACCCAGGAGAGAAGAGGGTCAGGGAGGGAAGAAAAACTTGCCAACGACACACTTTGCTGACTGGGTGAGTTGCTGAGGCTCGATGTCAGCGAGATCTTTGTCCTGTTGCCAGTCCCCAGACTGTGAGGTTTCCACGCTGGAGTCAATGGCCCTCTACGCCATGTTGGTGACAAGAAAAGCAACAGGCACCTTCACTTAGAGGACAGACAAGTGTGAGTTCACATCTAGGTGTAGGAGCAGGGGCCACCCTTGCCTTGTCTGTCTGTGAAATGGGGGTGACAAGGCTCCCCTCAGCCAACTCTGTAGTGCAGGGTGGCCTGGCATGTGGGCAGCGGGCTGCTGTTGTTATTCTCATGGGATAGTGGCAACCCTTGCCTGAAAGCACCTGAGGCCGTTTGTGTCTTCAGTGGCTCGGGCACTGTGGAGCTTCCCAGCTGCCCATAGTTCTCAGCAGCGCCCACATGCCTGGCCCCCTGGGTTTTCTAGCTCCAGGTCATCAGGGAGGGAGGACCCACCAGTTCCACTCTTCAAGAACTACCTCCGATAATTGAAAACCTATGTGCACACAAAACTTTGTATATGGGTGTTTATAGCAATGTTAGTTACGATAGTCCCAAAATGGAAATGACCCAAGCATCCATCCGCTAATGAATGGATGAGCAGAACGTGGTATGTATGTACAATGGAATATTACTGAGTCATAAAAAGGAGTGAAGTGCTAATCAATGGTATACACAAATGAACCTCGCAAACATATGCTAAGAGAAAGAAGCCGGGCATAAAAGCACAAATATTGTAGGATTCCATTCCCATGAATTGTCTAGAATGACAAATCCATAGAGACAGAAGGGAGATGAGGAGGTGCCAGGGGCTGGGAGAAGAGGGAATGGGGAATGATTGCTATGGGCTTGGGGTTTCTTTTTGGAGGGATGAAAATGTTCTGTAATTAGATAGTGGTGATGGTTGCAACAGCTCTGTGAATGTACTAAAAACCACTGAATTGTGGACTTTACAAGGGTGCATTTTATGGTATGTGAATTACATCTCTGTTTAAAAAAGAAGGGAGGGAGGAGAAAGAAAGGATAGAAGGAAGGAAAAGAGGAAGGAAGTGCGGGGGAGGGAGGGCGCCTGTGGCGGCATGGGGGCCTGGTCGTGCTGCTGCTCACAGCCCCTGGGATCTCCAAGTGCCTTGTGCACCGCTACCCCTCAGGGAGGACCCTGCTTCCCCTGGCCAATGAGCAGCCTTCCCATCTAATCTATAGGCCCCAGAAGCTCTAAAAATAACTGAAGTGGAAGGGGGATGTTTAATGACAAAGTAAATAATTACATTAAGGGTGCGAGTTTGGAGGGGAGCTGAGTAAATCACCGAGAAAGAGCACCAGCCTCCAGCTAACTTCCACTCCTTTATCACCAGATTACATCCTCCTTGGAACCTGAATCATTGACTGTGGCTGGTGGCAGGCTCTGCAGTGGTGGGGGCTGCGGTCAGGCAGGTGCTGAGAGAGATGCCCTGTGAGCATTTCAGGGTGACCCTGCTGGCCCCAACTCCAGGTGGATGAGCCCCAGGGGCGGGGGCCCTGTGCTGCTGGAAATTAACTACTCTGCTGGGGGGAGCCAGGTCTCAGGGATGGCCTCACAGCCTTGCTGCCCACAGCTGGAGGGGGCCAGGCTTCTGAGCCAGAGTGGCTTCAGGGGCCATTTGGTCCATTGAGGTCCAAGGAGGGGGATGGTCTTGCCAGTGCTACGCGGTGAGTATCTACCAGATCTTGGTAGGGAGATTTCTGGGAGTGGTGTTCCCAGTCCAGGTGTGCTGGGCCGTCTTCTGTGTTGAGAGCAACATCTGCAGTGGGCAAGCCCCAGACAGACTATAGCCCTCGGAAGTGGCAGCGTTCACCAGCTTTGGCATGGTGTGGGCTGGGGCTGTCTGGCACACCTGCCCACCTCCCCTGTCCTGGCCTGGAGCCCTCATTTAGTCCCTTCCATTGCTGTCCCTCCTCCCTCTACCTCATGGCCTCATCCTGTCCTCAGGGAGGCCCAGCCAACAGCCTCTCTCCTCTCCCTGGCCCTGTGCTACCCCTCAGGATATAGAGGATGGGCAGGCTCCCAGGCTTATGGGATGTGCTAATAGGGGCGCTTGGAAGGGATGAGGATACAGGGAGACAGCAGTGCCTTGGCCTGAAGGGACAGATCTTCTCGATAGAAACTGAGTTAGGACACTTGCTGCAAGCAACAGAAGCCCGCTCTGGCTCTCTGAAGCTACGTGGCGTTCTGGTCCTCCGTAACTCAGAAGTTCAGGGTTAGATTTGCTTTTAGGACTAGCTAAGCTTGAGGCTCCAGTGACGTCACTGGGACATGTCTCTTTCTGTCCGTGATCTCGATTGGCTTTCCGCTGGCCTGGCATTCTGATAGCTCTGATCACCAGAGGGTGGAGTTGCTGATGTGTGCCTGATACCCATGAGCTCAGATGGAGGAGTGTCTCATTCCGGGTGATTCCAGGAAAAGCCCTGGGGGCAACTTATTGGCTAGGCCTGGGTCCCATGCACCCTTGTGAACCATCCACTGTGACCGAGCCATGTAGTATTTTGTGGGGTCCCATGCATACCTGTGCAAAGTGGGGTGGGTCAGCCCCCTTATCTGCTGGAGCTGTGCGTAGAAGGGTGGCCCATGTGCTGCTGGTCAAGCCAAATACCAGTGTCCGCCTCCCTGAAGCCAGATGGCAGGAGGAGTGGGCAGGAGACCCGGAGAGGCCTGGGCACCTGTAGACATCCACTGGTGGATGGTGGGGTCAGAGTTGGGCCCTTCAGAAGCAGCAAGGAGTCCTCTGGTCATTCTATCCCCCCAGCCTCATTCTTTGGGTTGTACCAGGGGTGCTGTCCCCCTCCCCTACTTGTCCTTTTGAGCTCCCCATAAGGGTACACAAAGTGCTCCCTGAGAAGTGCCAGACCAGAGCCTTGGAGAGGAAATGCTAGAAAGTTCCAGGGGTGGCATCGCTAAGGAGGGCTCCTTAAAGAATGAGAGAGCTACTGGGAAGGTGGAGGTGAGCAGAGGCTCAACGAGGGGTGGATGACAGGGCACATGCCAGGGCAGGGAGCAGCGCCTGCTGGAGAGGAGGCTTCATACTAGGGGTAGGAGGAGAGGTGCAGTTGGAAAGGGAGGTTGGAATCACTGTGGGGAGCCTGGGATGCCCTGAGAGGAATTTGGATGGAGGGGTAGTAGGGAGCCATTGAAGGGCTTTGAGCAGGGGAGGGGCATTTAGAATCAGCACATCTCTTTGCTGATTGATTTGAAGCATTCCATACCCACAAATGAAATCCTGCTGGACAGCTCTGCTTTTCAGAAGATTCTTTTTCCTCCCTCCCTCCCTCCTTCCCTCCCTCTTTCCTTCTCTTCCTTTTTTCCACAAGTGTTTACTGGGGCCCTACTATGCGCCGGGCAGTGTAGTCCCTGGGTGGCAGCAGCGAACACACAGGCAAGGTCCACTTCTCTGGAACTGACATTCTAGTTGGGAGACACAGGCAAGTACCCAAATCAATGACTGTGCGGAACAGGATGTAAGATGGGTATTCTGGCAGGGAGAGATGGGGGATCGGCGGCCTCAGCCTTCCTTGAGACAGGAACACTTTTCCCAGGGTTGTTGAAGCCACTGTCTCTCTCAAATGTGCTGGTTAGGGCGCAATAGAAAACCACTTCCTCTGCTGTGGGAGGAGAAGAAACTCATCCCGAAGCCAGCTGCAGGCTGAAGAGCGGGTTCAGGTCACCCCTGTACAGCAGGACAGGGCCACACACACATGTCGCGGCCCGGTCCCCTCACTGCGTTGGGAGTCCGGTGTCCCCAGGAGCCGCTGGATGGGCCCTTGTGCAGGCAGATGCCCTGGGTCCTGGCCCCACTTGTGGGAGCTGTGGCGGTTCCCGTGCATCCTTGTCTTTCACGGGGGAATGATGAGGACTTCCCTCCTAGGGCCGTGGTCAGGGCTGAAGCTGAGACGCAGGCCGGATTACGATCCACAGGGTCATCCTCACAGGGGTTTTCGAAGGACTGACCGTGCTGCCACCATGGGGGACCTGAGGCCCTTCTTTCCATCACTGGGGTCATGACTCCCAGAGTGGCCTTCTGGGGGCATGTCTGGCCTCTCCCTACCCTCACACCCTGGCGTGTCATGGTGGAACCCATGGTCTCTGTCTGGGGACATCACCTTTCCTAGTCATTCAGGCTGCCGGGGAGCCCCTTTCTCCTGTTGCCGTCCTTGGCATGCGGGCTCTGACCTCTCTTTTCCTGGAACTTTTTCTCCTGGGCTGTGTTTTTCAGGTCTCTGAACCTCTGGTGCTGGCCCAGGTGAGTGCCCCCTCCAATCCTGCCAGTGTGTGAGCTCTGTTCTCCCTCTTCCACATGGGGGATGCTTCACAGCAGTGAGGGCGAGAGTCTTCTCTTCTTTCTGTGTGTCCCCACTGAAGAAGGCGGGGACACCTGGCCATGTTGTGGAGCCTTTCCTGGGTAGGGAAAGAGCGCTGGTCTGGGTTGGGAGATGGACCCCCAGCACTGCGAGGTCCCCAGACGATGGCTGTGAAAGGGTCCCGAAGAATTTTCAGCATGCCACACACAGGATGTAAAGTGTTGGCGCTCCTGGCCAGCGCCTGAGCACCACTAATATGGACAATGTCCTGGCAGGGCCGGGGTGGTGAAACATGCTTCTTTTGTGCATCTGTTCCCAAGGAGGAATTGGAGGCTTCTGAAGACTTAAAAACCACACCAAAACAAAATAACCAGAGAAAATGTTTCCCTGTGCTGTGGTTCTAAGAGCTGCATTGCTTTGGGGAAGAAGGGAAGGCAAGAACCCCCTTTGAAATCTTTTCCCGGAGGAGGTGGGGGATGGCGTGGGTGCCCATGGACATGCAGTCCACGTGATGGCTGCCACGTGCCCTTGAGCATCCTCATCCCAGAATGGCCCAGCTGCGCACAGAGGAACAGCCTGATCCCCTCAGCTGCGTTGAGTCTTGGGAGAGGGAGAGCCAAGCTCCAGGTGTCGATTGAAACTCTGAGTCCTGCTCGTGCAAGGACTTTGCAGCTGCGTGACTGCCCGGGGCGATGGGTGCTACCACACTTGTCTGCCAGGCCATTCTCCTGACAATGTTCTTGTACATGCAGCTGCAGCTGGCCCCAGATCCCCAGGTCCCCCACCACCACCCTGGCCCCTCACTGCTGACTTCTCCTCCATCTCTTGCCATTCTTGCATGCAGTCTTGTCCCCAAGACAAGTAGGGAAGATGGTGCCAGCCTAGTGGGCTACTTTGTCCTGAGAAGGTCATGTTCAGCTTCCCCACCATCCAAGGGAAGTCTGTGCCCCTGATTTGAGGGGAAGATGCATTTTCTAAGGTTACTTCAACTTATGGTGTCTTAGTTATCATTCTTAGAAGCAGGCTCTTAAGAGAAGGATTCTGGTATACCTGGTTTATTTGGAGTTGTAGGGAAGGGAGTGGTGAGGTGAGACGGGAGGAAAGCACCCATAAAGGGAGGCTAAGAGAGTCAGCTGCCCCCGAGAACAACTGGAGCTTCATCCCTGGGGGGACTCTGGGAGCTGGCATGGTTATCCCATCCCAGAGAAAGGAAGCAGCTCTAAACACCAATTGCTGGCAGTGCCCCACTGAGGGTTCCTTTTGCACTCCAGACCTGTTGCACAGCTGGGCAAAGTGGGCTTTGGAGACAGAAAACCCTCAGTTAACCACGGTGCTGGTGGTTGGAAAGGATGTGTGCACCAAAGGGGTAAGGGCACCGGGATTTGAGTGGGAATCAACAGGATCTGCCCTACAGAGATGGGGGTGGTAAGTGCTGATCGCCATGATTTCTGGGGGCTTAGGAAGCCTTTTCTGTGTCTGTATGATTTTGTGGTTAAACATGAATGCTGATGGCTGAAAGGTGTGTGAGTGTGGTAAAATGGATACTTCTAGGCAGATCACCTGGCTGTTGTCAGATATCAGTGCCTCACTGGGAATGAGTTGATCAGATTTCATGCTGAGAGCAGTGTTGGGTGGGGTGGAGCAGGGGTCCCATCCTCCGGCTACAGACTGGCACCAGTCCATGCCCTGTTGTGAACCAGGCCGCATAGCGGGAGGTGAGCAGCAGGCAAGAGCATTACCACCTGAGCCGCACCTTCTGTCAGATCAGCAGCGGCATTACATTCTCACAGGAGCAAGAACCCTATTGTGAACTGTGCATTTGAGGGATCTAGGTTGCGTGCTCCTTATGAGAATCTAATGCCTGATGCACCTGAGGTGGAACAGTTTTGGGATTCCTGCCCCCGCCCGCCCCACCCCCCGCCCCCGCTGCATTGGTCCCTGGAAAAATTGTCTTCCATGAAACTGGTCCCTGGTGCCAAAAAGCTTCGGGACCATTGGGGTAGAGGGCAGGACAGAGGCTGCCTCTTGGAGGATGAGGTCAGAAATGGGCGTGATGGTCCTGGAGATCCCCTGAGTGTATCCTCAAAGACAAGGGCCAGTGTCCTGTCCTGTCCTGTCCTGTTGATGCCAGCGTCCACGGGCCTGAGACAGGGAGAGGTCGATGGTTCTCCCAGCTAAGCCTTTTAGAATGGAGGAGACCCCAGACCCTGAGCCCCAGGGATGAGCCTGATCTATAACCAGTCATTGAAAATACATACAGTGAAATGGAAGTTTCTGCCATTGAGCAGGCTCTTGCTGACCGCTGTAAAGATAAGTAACGGCAGTTTTCAGGCCACTTAAACCCTTACCTTTGGGGTATTAAGGGGTCTCTGCAGACAGTAAGTCTTTATCGGGAAGTGTTTACTCATAAAAAAACACAGTGAAGCCGGGGAGAGAAAGCACCTCAGCCTTTATGGCGCCACAACCCATCTGTAACAGGAGCTGCAAATCACCTGTGGGCTGCAGACGATTCTGCCCAAAAGTTGGGGGCGGAAGTGAGAGTAAAAGCTGACTTGCTACCATGCAGACAGCATTGCCTGCCCCGCCAGCCCCCTCCCTCCACCGATAGAGGGACTGTGCTGCCGTGTGTGTGGCTCAGCCGTCTTGCTGTGGCTCCCAAGTACCACGGGATTGAGCCTGAGCTCTGTGGTCACGTGCCCCCTGGCCCACCTCTCTAGCCTCTGTGCCTGCGCACCTCTGACGGTGCTCCCTGCTTCCAGAGTGCCTTCCCCTGCTTTTCTACCCCTGGGAGGGCTACCCAAATGCCCTCCCCATACCAGTTAGAGTCCGATCAGTGGAGTAGAATCACCGTGAGAGACTTGGAACCAGGGTGGTGATAGGATCAGCTCCTGCCCAGTCGTGGGAGCAGTGATATCTCTACAAAGCCACGGTCTCTGCCTCTGGTGCTGGGCTGAAGTCATTGTAGGTCAGTGGCATTGGCGATCTGAGGGGGTGTTAGGTGTGACGTGGGGGAGAACAAGGACAAGCTGGAACCCACCAGGATGGTTAGAGTTCACGCCTGCCTTCCTGTACTTCCAGCTTCATGATGGATAGGTGGATGCACATGGGGTTGGAGGTGGGTTGTATGACCCTCCCCCTTGGAACTATATCCACTCCTGGCTCTATGGGAGAAAGAGCTGGCTCCAACCCTCTTTGCCCCACAGATCAGTGATGATGTTTGGGGACTGAGGGAGCCTCTGGGATCCTACAGTAGCAGTTCCAAACCTTTTGGTCCACAGATCCCTGTACACTTAAAAATTACTGAGGACCCCAAAGAGCTTTTTTTTTTTTTTTTGAGACTGAGTCTCGCTGTGTCGCCCAGACTGGAGTGCAGTGCAGTGGTGCGATCTCAGTTCACTGCAACCTCCGCCTCCCGGGTTCAGGTGATTCTCCTGCCTCAGCCTCCTGAGTAGCTGGGATTACAGGTGCGTGCCATCATGCCCGGCTAATTTTTGTATTTTTGTAGAGACGGGGTTTTGCCATGTTGGCCAGGCTGGTCTCAAACTCCTGACCTCAAGTGATCGGCCCATCTAGGCCTCCCAAAGTGCTGGGATTACAGGCATAAGCCACGGCGCCCGGCCCCAAAGAGCTTTTTTAATGTGGGTTATATCTATTGATATTTACCTTGTTTGAAACTTAAAAAAATGAGAACTATTTAAAATATTTTGTCTTCAAATTCATTTGAAAATAACAATGATACAACTATTATATTTATGAAAAGAGCTTCTCCAAAATTAAAAAAAAAAGTAAGAAGAGTAGGATTACACTTCTGCAAATATCCTTAATTTCTGTCTTAATGGAAGACAGCTAAATTCTCATGTCTACTTCTGCATTGAGTCTGTTGCACTATGTTGTTTTGGTTAAAATATATGAAGGAAATCCAGTCTAATACAGATCTAGAGATAGAAAAGAGGAGGGTATTTTAAAAGCCTTTTCGCCTAATTTGGATGTTCTTTGATGCTGCACCAAAACACGACATTATGGAATCTGAAACAGATCAAAGGCCTTCCCATGCTGTTGGTTAAAATCCATGGGTCTGTCTTGCACTTTGAATGGATATTTTTTTACCCATGCGTTATTTTGTATAACCGTGCATCAGTCATTCAGAATTAGAAGCCCACATCTTCCAAATTAGAAGTCCAGATCTTCCAAAGCTACACTGGAAAATACAGAGACAATGAGCGAGGAAGACAAATGAGGTTTTAGGATTATTATGAAAATGTGACTTTGCCCATCTCTTGAGAGGACCGCTGCTCTATGCCATCCTTCCTCCTAATCCCACATAGATTTCTGCTGTGGCCAGCCCTCACCCGGAACCACACAGGGAAGTGCGTAATGTCAGCTTGGCGAAGTGGCCTCGGTATGAAGCCACCCCCACTGCCTCCGTGGGGTCTCTCCCCCAGCTCCCAGCCCCGCAGTCTGGCTGCGCTTGTGCCCTGAAGGAGCAGGCCATGCTCACTGCCCACCTGTCACCCCTTCCATCACATGCCCATCATGACAGGCCCCCTCACTTCACCCCATTGGCCCCGCTGATGAGCTCGCTGTGGACCATCGGGGGATCTCCTGCCTCCTCCTCTTACAGTCTCATCACCGCTCCGCCTCAGCCCTTTCCTTCCCTGGCTTCTAAGCTCCCCTTGTGTTCTCCTGCCTGCCCCTTTTCCCTCAGGTGAAGGTCCCAGGCTTTGTCCTGAGTGCTCTTCTCTTGTCACTGGAAACTCATCGCGGGGGCACCTGGGTAGCAAGACCCTCTCAGCTGTCTCTGCCCAGACCCCTATATCTGTCTCATCAGCTCCAACTGCTCATCCACTGGCCTGCCTGGTGCTGGATGTCCCAGGCTGTGTACACAGTGCCCCTCCCCACCCATCCCACATCACCTGGCCCCGCTCCAGACTCCTTTGCGGGCGTAGCGTCCTCACCCACTCGCTCGTATGGAGCAAACCTAAGAGACCCGGCCGGCCTGAGAACCATGTGGCAGGGCTGAGGGGATGGATCCGCACGGGACCTTCTGAGGACAGCTTCCTGAGGCCTCCATGTCCTGCCATTACACATGAGGCCCAGAAGGGTCCCCTGGTTTGCCCAGGGCCTCACATGGGATTTGATGGGATCCTGTTTCTAAACCCCGTGCTCCACTCTTGCCTGTGCTTTTCCAGGGCCCTTGGTTCAAGGGCCCTGTGGCCCTGTGCCTGCATCTGGTTGAGGTTCACAGCTGCCTGAACACTGGGGCCTTGCAGAGAGGTGGTGGGAGGAGCTGGAGAGCTCCAAGGAGCCCCGCTTTCATCCCCGAGGGGTGGCAGTGCCTCTTCCAAGCCTGCAGGGCAGGGGTGTGGAGGGTGAAGTCTAACACCAGGACAGCCAGTGGGTACATTTAGGGCTCTTGTTTGCCATCCAAGAAGAAGCCTCCAAGAAGAAAGTAGCATCTGCTTCTCTAATCAGCCCCTGGGAAGGAGTGTGGACGTGCCAGTGGCCTGAGACAGAGATAAATGGTGTGCACCGACCCTTTGAACTGGCTGGGCCTAGTCTGGGTGCATTTAGTGCAGACAAAGCCAAGAGCCAGGAAGGACTGAACCACACAAGGCCGAGCTGGGCCAGGCACTGGCATTGGCTAAGTCCTTACCGAGTAGGTGCTGGGCACTACTGGAAGGAAGCAAGAGTGCGTCTCTCCCTGCCCCTCCTCCCCAAACCCCACTCCCAACACGAATCACTCCTGAGTCTTGATAATATTCCGAGTGAGTCTGGGCCCCAGGCGTGTCTCTCCAGGGACTCTCCAGTCCCCCAGTGTCTCCGCCCAGGCCCTGTGCCCTGCCAAATCCCAAGGCTCCTTCAAGGCCAAATTCAGTAGTCAATTCTGTTTCATTCAAAAGGCATTTAGATGTTTACGAAAGGCCTACTGGTTAGCATGTTACCAGGGCCACCCGGCTAGTAAGTGGTTTGAGCCAGGATTTGAACTTGAATCCTTCTGAGCCTCCCCCACCTTATGCTGATAACCTGCTTATCTGAAGCAGCCGCAGCCCCCCGCCCTCTTTTACTGATACCCACTTCTAGGTTACGTGCTGGGAAACATATCATTTTGTTAGAATAGTTTCTAAGCCAAGAATCCAGACGCACTGAATAAGGGCCTAGGGGGCTTTTATCATACACTCTTAGTGCAAAGCCTCTGAGATGTAGGTTTAGGGGCTCAGGGGCTTCTTGGCTCTTGTTGGGTTCCTGGCTGCAGCTGGTAGAGTTGCCTTTTAGGAGTGAGTGACCTCCAGATGGGTGAGGTTTGTGTTGCACTTTAAAAGTACTGATAGTAGATATTCAGAGTGACAGAGTGCCACTAATAGAGATTTTTTTTTTTTTTTTTTTTGAGATGGAGTCACTCTGTTGTCCAAGCTGGAGTGCAATGGTGTGATCTTGGCTCACTGCAACCTCCGCCTCCCAGGTTCAGGCAATTTTCCTGCCTCAGCCTCCCAAGTAGCTGAGATTACAGGCGTCTGCCACCATGCCTGGCTATTTTTAATATTTTTAGTAGAGACGGGGTTTTGCCATGTTGACCAGGCTGGTCTCGAACTCCTGACCTCAGGTGATCTGCCCGCCTCAGCCTCCTAAAGTGCTGGGATTGCAGGCGTGAGTCACTGCACCCCACCGGTTTTTGTATTTTCTATCCACCCTCGTTTTTAATCTTCCTTTGCCATTCCTCCTTTAGCAGCTGAAAGCCAATGGCAGGCACAGAGAATTCTATAACCTGAGCCTTGTTCTCAAGAACCAGAAATCTGAAGGACTTTGCCACAGGCAGTTTATTCATCTGCTTGCAGGCATTTACCAGTTACTGTGCCAGTCCGTTATGCTGGGGCAAATACCCCACTGGCCAAGCCCCCAGGGAGCTCACCAGCTAAGAAGAAGGACTGATCAGTGCAAGGACAGCATCTTAGTGTGGTAACGACTCCAAGAGAAGTCATTTCCAGATACTTCATCCTGCTGCTGGGGGAAGAGAGGCAGGGAAGACTTCTTGGAGGAGGCCAGACCCAGCCTGAGCTGGGTCTTGAGGGATGAATACGGGTTCACTAGGCAGAAAAGTGGGGCCCAGAGAACAGAATACGAGCACAGGCAGCAGGATGGCCAGCCGCCAAGGCCATGGGAACCTGGGGAAGGTTGGCTGCTTTGCTGGAGGAAACCTCCAGCAGCATCTACTGAGGCATCCACCCTTAGAAAGACTGAGGCTGATGAAGGCAAGTGAAGGAAAGGTCCAGGCTGGTCCCTTTTGCCCTCTGTCTGGTTTTCTCTGAGCTAAGATAGTTCTCTCTGGCTCCCTTAAAATCAGGACAGTGGAGCGAAGGTGGGTTTGGGGGCCAATTTCTCCTCCTCTCAGCCATCCCAGGCTTTGCTTTCTTGCCGAGTCTAAACTCTCAGCTGTCGCCCTCGTATTTGCTCAGGGGCCCCTGTTAGGGGGACTGTGCACTTTCATCCAGCTGGACGCCGGAGTTCCCTGGAAGCCGAGAGGGTTAAATCACCAAGCCAGCTGGTGAGCATTAGTTCCCCCCTCTCCAGGCAGTAACGTCAGAGGCTGATGCTGGCGGCAAAGAAGCTGGTGGCAGGAGGAGGCGGAGAGCTGCCTTGAGGCACTCCGGGGGTGGGCTCCTGGCCTGGGACCCTGCCCCAGCAACCCCCAGGTAGGCTGGCTGTGGATGTGTGGGCTCCGGACACCCTGCGGGGACGGCTGCTGTCCACGCCAGTGTGTGGACGTGTGTGCACACCCTGTGTGTCTGTGTTTCTTCTCTTTGTGAGAGTTAGCCTTCTGCTGTGGCAAAAACTTCAGTGGAGAAGGAAAGAGTGAGCGCTGGAGAGGGTAGCTTTTTTTCTAGTGGGAAGGGGACTGACTTCTTTAAACAAACACTCAAGTGTTCCAGTGGCCACGGAGCAGGCAGATGTGGGCCACACTGCATCTTCCAGGGTTTCTCTATGCCACTTGGGGTGCAGTCTTGAGTGGCCAGAGGAGCAGTTTGCTGAGGTGGCTTAAGAACATGTTTTCTCATCTGTCTGTGACCAGGAGGCGTTTCGAAGGGCTTGCCATGTGCCGACTCAGTAACTAGTGTGTGGCCTCCCGGTGGTTTCAGATGCCTTGCCAAGGCCGACCCACCCACCTCCTCGAGGAAATGCAAAAAGTGTTTTCAGGGCCCAGAACACTAAGCCTGGGATGATCTGCTCCTCCCTGACTGGCAGCCTGTCTTGCGTGGGCGGCTGAGCTCGCAGCCACCAGGACCTGATGGGGACAGTGTTTCCTGGGGCCTCTGTACGGGGGAGGTTCTCTCGAGTTGCAAAGGTGCAGATGCGCCAGGAGGGTTCTTGGCCCCTAGGCTTCATGGATAGAGTTTACTAGGACAAGCAAAGGCCTGGTGTGCGATCTGTTTTCCTATTTGACTGGATGTTGGGAGAAAAATGTCCAAATTAGGGATGGGCCCATGGCTCAGCTGAGCAGAACACTGGGTGAACTTCTACTGTGAAAGAAATAGCAGATCCGGCGGACATTTATGGGCGACAGAGAAGGGTAGCTCAGCATTGAGGAGGGAGTTTGGTCTCATTCTGGCCGAGACTGTCAAATCCTCGGATGGGCTTGTAAACCAGCTCCTGGCCTAGCCTCATCAAACGTGAGGATGAGGAAGAGAGAGCCTGGTGGGCCCTGGGGAGGGGACCTGCACTCTCAGTGGGACACCTGGTGACCAGTAAGCCTGGTCCACTGCCCTTCCTCACCCTCTCGTCTTTCTAATAAACAGAGGGGAGGTGCCTGTGCATAGACTTGGGGACTATTACATTGACTCAGAAAGACCCTCTTTTCCCTTTTGCCCCAACCAGTGCTTTACGAGGTTGCCTAAGCCTGTGCTGCGACCCCCAGAGGCAGGTGCAACCCCATTTTACAGATGGGGATGCTGAGGCTCTTCACCAGGGCCGCCCAGCTGGATGGCAGTGGGGTGGGTCACACCGAGCCTCCTTTCCCCTGGGCTGGGCTGCCACCCGAGGCCCCCACTATGTGTTCCTGTTTGCCTTTGACTCCACGGGGGCCGGGAGAAAGTGGCACTGGGGATGCCACCAGGCTGCTTGTCAACTGGCCTTTGCTGTGTTCCACACCTCTGACATGGAGGTGAGGCTGTGGTGGCTAAGACCGGGCGGTGGGCCGAGTTCATGTTCCTGCTATGCCAGTGATAGCTGGACGAGACCTAGAGCAAGGCTGTGAACTCTTGTGGCCTTGGAGTTCTTGTCTGTGCAGCATCCTTTCGGGTGCAAGGATTGTTACAAGGGTTGAGTGAGCTGTTATCAGCGAAGCACTGAACAGTGTCTGGAAGGTGATAAACTCAACAAAGTGTCTCTGGAGTTAGAGCAGCCTTCTTGTGGTCCCTGGACCCAGCAGTGTGCTATGGGCATAGTGCCCTGCACAGCGGGTCCAGCTCAAGGGACAGGGACAAAATGACCTTTTCAGAAGCGTGTTAGGAAACAGCCCGATGGGCCCTAAGGCTCCAGAACCTTTGTGTTCCCTGAATCCTGACCCTCACAGGGTCCTTGCATGAACTTGACACAATTAATACCAAGAGAGATGGTGCTGTCCCCATTCCACCCCTTTGCATGTGGCTGAAGGTCACAAGGATAGCAAATGGAAATGCCTCCGCAAATCACCTGTTTACTATTTTTCTGATTATTAAAGTGATTGAAAATGTGATGACTGTGGAAAAGCCCAATGAACATATCATTATGTTCTTCCCTGATTCCACCTCCCAAGGATGACCCTCACTCACATGTTAGTATGTTTCTTTCCAGTTCTTTCTTTCCATGCCATACTTCCCTTCCAATGGAAGGTTCAATTAAGGACGTTAAAATACAACAACAAAACACACAAAAGTAACTCCCTGGGCTTTTGAAATTCAAAGCTTCAGAGGAAATGGTACGAATGCAACCCAAATGGCAAATTTCCCATCTGATTTTATTTTCAGTACACTCTGAACCCATCTTCTGCCCCTTACCCTAGCTCTTCCTCAGGCAACCTTGAGTTTCCTTCTCTAAGGGGAATCTTGCAGGAGTGGTCTAGGACTGGGAGGCTGAGGGGGCATTGGAGGAGACACCTGGACAGGTGTGCACAGAGGTGGATGTGAGAGGTGGATGAAGGACATCCCAACAGGGAACCTGCTCCCACCCCCTGCACCCCCCGCCACCCGGCTGTGTGTTTCCCAGGCGAGGCTGTGTTTGACATGCAGCGGCCGCACACCGTCTTTGGTATGCCGTTTGGTCCCGGACTTAATGAGTTCTGCAGGGACGCTCCACTGTAGCTAAAGATCATTTACCTGAATTGCTTTTTAATTTCTGCCGTGGGAAGCTGCCCCCGGTGTGATATAATTACATTATAATTTACAGCAATCCCAAATCTATAAATTTAGCCATACAGTGGGGGGAAGGGACTGGAGTTGTGTGTGGGGCTGGGGGAGAAATCCCCCCCATCATTAAGTAAACCCACATTTCTGGGTGCAGGTTCCAGTCCCTGGGCAGGTGTGGAGGAGGCAGAGAGGGACATCACTCGCCCAGTACACGCTGAAGTGTGCTTTAACACCACAGAGCATTCGGGCTGGAGCTGCTAGTGGGAGAGGATGAGAGAGTGATGTGACATTCTTTCTGATCTGCCCTCTTATAGCATTTTTGCTGTGGGATGTGGGGAGCACACAGAAGTGGGTAGCCTGGGGACATCTATGGAATGCCTAGCATTGGAAGGCAGGGATCGGAATCCTTCCCTGATTCTCTTATGGGAAGATCTCCCGGCTGTGGGCTGTGGAGAGGAGAGCTGGGCCTCAGGGTGGAGTCCCGGGGATGTCTCTGGGCAGATGGAGCCACTCCCTGGGAGCTTGTGGCATGTGCGGAAGTGAAGCCGTGTGGGATTCCGATAGGCCTAGGCGAAGGCGCAGTACCATGCAGGCCAAGGGAGGGGTTTCCTTTCTGCACCCACAAAAGGGTTCACATTCCTGGTGGCCCTGCCATTCCACGTCACTGTGTAATTTGCCGTATTCCTGTAAAACCATGCATGGACCAAAATTATTCATATTTTATGGGCATAAAGGCAGTTCATTAATTAATGGAATTCTATGGTGAATTAACTTTATTTAACAAAGAAAGAACCAGGTTTTTCTGATTCGTCTGCTCTGGAGATCTAAACGTTCATATCTTGGGGGGATTCCGTTGGGATGACTTTGTAGCAGTGGGAGGCAGTATAGCAGCTAAAGCACCAGTGGAACCCAGGTTCGGAGAAGCTAAGTCACTTACCCCACATCACGTAGCTGGTGGAGGAGAAAAAGACCCTGTGAAGGCTGTTGGATGGGGAAGGTAAGTAGGGGGATAGAGAGGGAGGAAGAGGGAGGCAGCAACAAATTTACTCGCTGTGTTGACCTTGACTGTTACGAGTTTGCCCCTTGGCCAGGGGGACTGTGTGGAGTGGTGCTCTGGCAGCAGCCTTCCCCCTTACAGGGGTGTGGGCCCCCACCCTGATACAGGTGATTGTCCCTCGCCACCCCGGGAAGCTGCTGATCCTCAGGCCCACCCTCTGAGCTTTGGCTCTTACGTTCACGAGCGCTGGGGCTCAGAGATGGCAGAATGGCGGCTCCAGAGTGTCCCTCCAGGTGCTTGTCATTAGCCACTGCCCCCTGCTCCATCTCTGGCTGTAAGCCCCTTTGGGCCCCCTTTGGGTCTACACCAGCACCTGTCAAACTGACTCTGAGGAGGTCAGAGAGGGCAAGTCATTTACCCCAAATGACACAGCTGGTCTTTGAGGATGTAAGCCTGTCCTGAGGGCCTTGCTTTGAGATAAGGTGTCCCACAGCCTGATGTTCCAACCAAGTGGGACATGAGGACCTGAACTCCCTTGTCAGTGACACACCTGACAAAGGATGTCCCCATGGCATTTCTTTGTTGTTGTTGTTGTTGTTTTGTCTTGAGACAGGTTATCGCTCAGTTGCTCAGGCTGGAGTGCGGTGACACAATCGTGGCCCACTGTAGCCTCGACCACCCGGGCTCAAGCAATCCTCCCACCTCACCCTCCCAAGTAGCTGGGACTACAGGTGCCTGCCATCACACCTGGCTTATTTTTGTATTTTTTATAGAGACAGGGTTTCAACTTGTTGCCCAGGCTGGTCTCGAACTCCTGACCTCAAGTGGTCCCCTTCCCAAAGTGCTGGGATTACAGGTGTGAGCCATTGTGCCTGGCCCCCATGATATTTCTTATAGCCATTGGTACTGCCATGATTTGGGAGTTTTGGGAGAATTGAAGCAAGTACTTAGAATCTGAAAGAATGCATTTCCTGTTTAAGGAGCCCATTTATCACTCAGGTTTTACAAATACATGATAAAGCCCAAGGAAGGCCTGGCCCTGTCCACCTGTGCAGCCACTCACTGCCCTCACATTAAAACAACCTCACCTGGCTGTGAGTGTGTGCTTGGCTGTGAGGAGTGTGCAACTGGCTGTGAATGCGCCTGGCTGTGAGTGTGTGCTGGACTGTGTGCGCCTAGCTGTGAGTGCACCTGGCTATAAGGAGTGTGCTCCTGGCTGTGAGTGTGCATCTGGCTGTGAGTGTGACCTGGCTGTGGGTGTGCACCTGACTGTGAGTGTGTGCCTAGCTGTAAGGAGTGTGCTCCTGGCTGTGAGTGTGCTCCTGGCTGTGGGTGTGCACCTGGCTGTGAGTGTGTGCTGGACTGTAAGCATGCACCTGACTGTGAGCGTGCACCGGACTGTGAGTGTGCACCTGGCTGTAAGCTCCTTCTGCCCAGATGCCTGTCCTTTGCCTGCTCCTTCCAGGAAAGCTGCCTTGATGACAGCCCTCCCTCCATGTCCCCCTCCTGGTGCTTCCTGCAGACATCAGATCCCTGTGGGTGTCTTCTGACAAGTCTTACCCCTGCCCCTAGGGCTAAGCCCCAAGGCCAGGAGATGTTTGGATAATCTGGCCAGGGATCACAGGAGCGCTCCTTCCTGTGGCTGCTGGTTCGCAGATGGCCTTGCACAAGCCTTGGCTGCTCAGAGCTTTGCACTCCAGCTGTGGCCCAGCAGTGTCCCAGGGAGGGATAGGATGCTGGGTGAGAACACCACAGGCCCTTACTGCTGGGCACGATGGGAGGCTGCCTGGTGACGGCCGCCTTTGTTATGACAGAGCAGAGCGTTGGGCCGTGGCCAGGCTCTGTCCAGAGACAGCTGCGAGGCTTCCAACCCGGCTGGGTGGGGTGGGAGGGAGCTGTGGCTGGCATGCATCTGCATGCACCCAACTTAGCAAGTTCAGCATGGAGGAGAGAGGGAGAGAGGGGAGAAGCTGAGACAGAGAGGGGCTGAGTGCATGCAGCTGAAGCAGTGCCCTCGTCCCAGTCTGAATGTGCCAGAGCCAGGTTGGGCGTGAGGGTCTGCCGTCCTGTTTACATTTACTCGTGCCTCCTGTACTGCAGGCTCCAGAGCTGGAGTTTTTATTCAGCTTCTGATGTTTATATACACAGTTTTCATGCACAGGCCCAGAACCCAGCCAGCCCCCTCCCTCTGCTGCTGTTCGATCTGGGAGGCAGTGTGCGTCTCCACACAGAGGAGACCGCTGGACTGCACTCTGGAGGAAGTGGGGTCCCCTCCGTGTGGGACCTTGCTTGAGGTGGGCAGAGGTGCTTTGGAGTGGTGGAGATTTTTATCTCATGTATGGTCTTTCGTGTCTAATCTTGGCAAAAGATGGGATTCCCTGCATTGCCGTTTTACAGATTAGGGACCTGAGTTTCAGAGAGCATGTACTCTGCGTCACACAGGTTGGGGAAGTGGCTTTGAACCCAGGCCCATGGGATTCCAATGCCTATGGCCTCTTGACCCCAGGCCTTTCGGGAATGATTTGAGAAGCAGGCAGTTCAGTCCCTCTGTACCTGCGGTCCCCAGTGACAGCTCAGAGCCCGTTTCAGATCCGCCTGGGCAACCTGCCCGGCTCCCGCTTCCTCTGTCTCCCCTTCAAATGCTGGCACATTCTCCATAGTGACTTCCCAGCCTGCCACATCTCCCCACACCCCAGCCACGCATAACCACTGGCGGCTCCCGGGACAAGTGGGGCTCCCACCATTTCGCTTTCACTGTGTGGTGACTCCCATGGGTCCATGAGGGACTGCTGTGTCCCCAGCTCCTAGAACAGGGCCTGGCACTGCCCATGCCAGTGGTTTGTTGACTAAATCCGTGACCGGATGAGTGCTTCAGGGACCTCTAGGCTTCCCTCAGAGCCAGCCCAGAAACACAAACATATGACTATGTTGCCCAGACCCGTGGCTGTCTTCTTTCAGGACAGCGGAGTTGGCACAGCCAAACCCGAGTGTCTGCTGATATGCTTCTTGCTAAGTGGTGAGCCCGGCGTCTCTAAGTAGTGCCTCTGCCTGTGAGCGGGTGATGAAGAGTCAGTGGGGATTCATACCCATACTGTGTGAATAGGATGGCTACTATTAAGAAAAACACTCAGAAAACAGAACAGGTGCTGGTGAGGATGTGGAGAAGTTGGCCTCCTTGTGCACTGCTGGTGGGAATGTGAAATAGTGCAGCCACTTTGGAAGACAGTATGGGAGTTCCTTGGAAAATGAAACAGAATTACCTTACAATCCAGCAATTCTCCTTTTGGATTTAGACTCAGAAAAGTTGAAAGTAGGGTCCTGAAGAGATATTTGCACACCCATGTTCATAGCAGCCTTATTCACAATAGCCAAAAAGTGGAAGCTACCCAAGGGTCCATTGATGGATGAATGAATAAACAAAATGTGGTGCGTGATACAGAGGGCTGTTATGCAGCCTTAAAAAGGAAGGACATTCGGACACAGCACAGATGAACCTTGAGAACGTTATGCTAAGTGAAATAAGTCAGTCACAAAAGGACATATACTGTTTTATTCCACTTATACGCGGTCCCTAGAGTCGTCAGAATCGTAGAGACAGAAAGCAGAGTTGTGATTGCCAGGGGCCGGAGGGAGGAAGGAGTGAGGAGTTCATGTTGAATGGGTGCAGAATTTCAATTTGGGAAGATGAAAAAGCTCTGGAGATGGATGGTCGTGATGGTTGCGGAACAACGTGAATGTACTCAATGCCTCTGAATTGTACACTTAAAAGGCATGGAAATGGTACATTTTATGTTTTGTATATTTTCCTGCAAGTTTAGAAAATGAAATTATTGAAGAGAGCCTGAGGAGCAGGTCTAAACACCCATGGACTTCTAAAGCTTCCGTGAACCTTGGGTCCTCCTGGTTCCTCCACCATCGATGACCAGTGTGTCACCCCCTGGTTCAGTGCCCTCTTTATGCATGAGAGCAGCTTGCTGGGCCAAGGCCCCCGGGCCAGGTGGCTTCTCTGAGGAAACGTTCGTTAGTTCTCCCCGCTCTCTCACCAGAGAAAGCACCTGTGAGGCCAGCCTCTTGTCTGAGCCCCTGCCCGGAGACTCCGAGGACATTCGAGCTCTCAACCCCAGACAGACGCTGAGGGTGGAACCTGTGGAAAATATGTTGGTTTTAGAAATTTAAACCTGATTTTTTTCTCCTCTGTGAAAAGAATCAAAATCCAGCATAAGCTTATTACAGGCGGACTGAGGTTATTTTGGGAAGTAGCAATTAAAGGTTTTATATTTTTCCTCTCCCTTTTGCCCTTGCAGCTTGCACAGGTCTGTGAAGCTATTAAACCTTCACCCAACCCACAGCCCGGAGGAATCTGCCCTGCCCCGTTTCTCCTCCAGTTCAGTGCCTTGGGAAAGAAAAGAAAGTTAAATTCGTATTAATTACAGCCAAATCCGCTCAGTAAGCACTTGCTGAATATGCTTGAGGATGAGGTTTAAAGCTCTCCTCCAAACAAAACGGTAAAATGAAAGGAATAATTTATTTGGTCAGACACTATAATTTGCCACGTCATTCCATTTCTCTTGTTACTAAAATGGATTCTCTGCTGAGGCCGTGACTTCCAACTCCAAAAAAAAAAAAAAAAGATCATCCACAGCCACTATTCCTCACAATTTCTCTGAAAGGTCCTCCTTGCCCCACCACGCTGAAGCTAGGCCCAGGGCTCTTGGAAGAAACACACAGCACTTGCTCCTGCACACTGACACACTCTGTCACCCAAAATGACATGCTGTCACTCATACTCACACACCACATGCTCACAGTCACACACGTACGCATGCATGCACACAGGGACAGCCACGCACCTGCACCCATGCACGCACTCACTGTCACACACACCATCACCACGTGCACACCCAGCACCCACACGCACCCTTCATACACTTATACACACATGCACACATTCGCATGCACACGCCTGCACTCACACAGTCACAGATACACAGGGACACAGAGCCCCAGGGGCAGTATGCCTCAGAGCATGTTAGTACTTCCATAAACGATCTCTTTCCACATCATTTACAGAGTGGGCGCATTGTGAGTGTCTTAAGTTTCTGACCAGGGTTAATGTCTTTCTGAGGCTGACTTAGCTCAAAGGCAGTGTCATGATTAAGATCTCAGGCCCAGGAGTTGGACAGTGCTAGGGCTGAGCCCCAGCCCAGCCACTTAACAGCTGTGTGACATTCGTCAAGTAGAAGGAGTTCCCCCAGCCTTAGCTTCCCATCTCTAGGTGGTGATAATGAAGAGTTGACCTCATAGGGTACATCTGAGGAATAAACCAAGGCTGGGCCTAACAGCTGTTTCCCAGGAGGTTCTCATCTGAGTTGGCTGATATCGTCATTATTATCACCAATCCGTAATGCTGGTGTCCCATCCGTTCTCCAAGTGCTGACTTGGCTGTAGCTGTGGGCCCGGGCCTGGGAGAAGGGGACTGTGTCCACCAGGGTGGCTGCAGGAGGGCCTATGTGGGCCTTGAGATCCTGCTTCCTGGCCAGGACCCATTCCTTCATGGGGCACCTTCCCCAGTTCTCAGGGCTGGGGGCACTCAGAGGGAAGTGCAGGGCTGAGTTCATGTAAGTTCTGCAAGCAAGTTCTGGTCCCTTTGAGTCAGCACTGTGCTAGGCATTCAGAGGGGAGGGGGCGCATGTTTTGCTAAGGGCAGGTGTGCCTGCGTGTGTGTGTGTGTATATATGTGCACGTGTGTGTAAAGTTTCCTTAGAAGAGGTGGCTTTTGAGCAGAAGCGCCTTGGGTGAAAAGTGTAGCAGGCTTGGAAGTCAGAGTGTGCTGCTGAGTGAGTGGGAGTCTGGTGGAGGTGGTCTTTCTAACCGGCCACAAGACCCTGGGCCCGCTCTGCCCCTCCGTCTGAGTACCTGCCATCCCAGGGGGTGAGTGCTGGCTGGGCTCCTGGTGCAGCCACCTGCACCGTGCAGTGCCATCACCGGGTCGTGTCTTGAGCCCCTCCTTGCCCTCCTGTTTGTTTAAGTGGCCTTGGCCTAGCTCCCTCTGCCCTCTGAGGGTCTCACTGTGCCCTAGCCCTGTGGGCATAGTGCCTGGCACATAGGGGGCCCTCAGTCTAGGGCACAGGGTGAGTAGAGGAGGAGGTTGGCCCTGCTGGGGCAGCATGCTTGCCAAGCCTGTGTGTGTGTGGGTTTTTGTTCATGCTTCTGCTGGTGTGTACGGAGAAGTGGGCCCAGACACACACAGACATACACGGATGCCCACCAGGCCCCACGTCCATCCATGGGAAGGGCAGCACATGCTGGTAATGTGTTCCCCAAACAGCAGCCTCTTGGGCTGCCTGAGCTCAGGGCAGAGCAGGGACGGGGCCTGTTTGTTGGGGCTCCAGCAGGGCAGGGGAGGGCAGAGAGTGTGAGCCCTCTGGAGAATGTGCAGGTGGCTGGGGGAGTGCCCTTCCCAGAACCTCATGGCTGGACCTGTGAGACTCCCTGCCCGTCCTGGTCCCCACCATGTTCCCTCTGTTTTCTGGGTGACTCTCTCTGCCTCCTTTCTCTGGTTCTCTCTGTCCTTCTCTGACTTTGTTGCTGTCTCTCTCACTGTTTCTTTGTCTGTCCCTCTCTTCTCTGTCATTCTGTTTCTCTCACTTGGTCCCTGTCCTGGATCACTCTGTGTCTCTGTGTCTTCTGTCTCTGTGTCCTGGTTTCACTCTGCCTCCGTATCTCTCTCTGTCTCTTTTTTTTTTTTTTGCCTGTTTGGTCTCTTTGTTTTCCTGTCATTCTTTTTCCCTCATTTGGTCCTCAGTTTCAGCTCTGCCTGTCTCTCTCTCTGTTTCTGTCATTCTCTCTCTCTCTTTCTGTCATCCTCTCTCTTTCTGTGTCATTCTCCATGTTTGTCCTTCTGTTCCCTTTCCTTGTCTGTCTCTGCACACCAAGGTTGCTCCCAGCTGGGAGGTTGGCCCTGTCCCGATGCCTGGCCCTTCTTCTGCCAAAGGCATCTTGGAAAGACTTGAGGTTATTCTGGTGCATTCAGTCCAGCGCTTGATAATTGTACTAACCTGGCAATTGGCAAGTGCTCCTCCCAAAGAAAACCCTCACAGTGCAGGGTGCTCTGCTGTGGGCACCAGGCCTCCCTGGAGGTTACAGGGCTCACAGTGTGGGGACAGGTTGTCCAGGGGCAGCTGGAGCATCCACTGGGATGCTGATGTCAGGCCAGAGGGCACCTGTGTTTTCCTGGGTGACAGGCCACAAGCAGGACAGCTCACACCCAGGAAAATAAAAGCCAGGCTCAGAGTACTTGATTCCTTATTATGGTTGGGGATAGTCAGTAAAATAGTAGATTCCGTTTTGAGAGCAGTATCAGTGCTCTGGGGCCTGTGAAGGGAGCTTTGGGTGTGCTCTCTGGTTGTCACACAGCCCCCGGTGGTGCAGGTTATTGTCCCAGTCTGTAGGAAGGGAGGTGCCTCCTGGTCTGGTGGCTGGGAGTGTGGCTTTAAATCCAGCTCTGATTCTTACCAACTCACCCAACTCTCCAGGCCTCAGTTTCTGCATTTGTCTGTGGGTTGTTGTGAGGATTCAGTGAGGTCATGCTCACAAAGTACCTGCGTGGAGTAAGGATGAAATCAATGGCACTAGTGTCAGGGCTGTCTCAAAGATTATCACTTAGTCTCAGGGGCTGGAGTGCCAGTGGGATTACCTACGCTGGACTGCGTCTGCTGCCCACCCATCGCTTCCCATATGGGGCACCACAAGGCGGGGTGGTTCTTGGTTTGTTCTTTCAATCAGCAGTAAACACCAGGTACACAGCATGGTACTTGCTTGGTGGAGAGGAATCAGTGTGGATTGGGGCCCCAGTCCATGCCCACCTGGCACAGGGTGCACCATCTGGTCCCACAAGGAGTCAGAGCCCCGGCCACTGAGGACTTCATCTCTGTGTCTTAAGAGCTCATCGGTCTTGAATTTGCCCCCTGGCTGCCCCTGGCAAGTGCTGGGGCTTATACCCAGGAGACCTGGGGTCAATGACTTGAAAATGAAGTACCCAGAACCCCATCACCCTACCCCACAGACCCAGAATTTTAGAGAGATGGCAGAGAGAAGAAAGGAGGTGCTAGGAAGGGTTGCAGAGGCTGCCTGAGGCACGGGGTGGCACCAGGCTGACCCGGGCAGCAGGGCCTGGGGCTGAGGCCCAGGCTGTGTCCCTTCCTGATGCGGCCTGAGCCTGGGCACTGGTCAGTCATCCCTGTGTGGCGGAGAACTCTAAACCTCGCTTGCTTCTCCTCTAGGCACACTCGGGCCCTTGTAAGGGAACAATATGTCCCTCTCCCACCCCCAGCCCAGGGCTGAGCAGACCTCAGGCCCTTTGGGACTGCTGCTTCTGCCCAGGGTGAGGCTGGCTGTGACTCTTTTGGAGTGTGTTCGGGCAATGAGAAAATCTGTGACTTTCTGCTTTGAGAAGAGACAAACCTGGGCTGGAAGGTAGCTCTTTCCCTGCAGGCTGTGTGATGGGCAGGTCACGTCACTCCCTGAGCCTTAGGCCATGGAGTCTTCAAGAGGACGGGTGGGCTGTTAGGTGGCAGCAGACCGGGGAAGGTCTGGTCCTCCACAGGGCAGCAGCAGGTGGCTCAGGGGCTCTGCTGGTCTCTTTCCTCTCTGAGACCCTTCCTCAGCCGGGTGCTGGCCAAGAATAGCTGGAAAGGACCTTCCTGCCTGAAGGATGGGATGTACTAGGTTGTGCTCAGGGACCAGGTCAGACATGGAAACTTGGGGCCTGGAGCCCAGGGACATGGCTGCCCATGGCCTCTTACCAGCCTGGATTGCTCTGGGACTCTTCCTCTCCCAGCCCACCTCCAGGCCTCCTTCATTTTATTCTCCTCGCCTTTGCCTTTCTCTCCTGTCCACCCTCCTGCATTTCCTTTCCCTGTCCTAGCTCCTTTTCTTTCTTCCTCGGCTTGTGCCTAAGGCCTCCAGGGCCTACGAGATGGTGTTTGCCTGTTGCGGATTCTCAGGGCCAGAGGCAGTATAGCTGGGGGCCTGGCATTTGGGGAGGGTTCCTAAGGGCTGTAACCCCAGAAACATTCCCCCTGCAGAGGGCAGTCTGCTCCCTCCCTGAGCTAGGTGAGGGTCTGCAATGGGTCCAGAACATGGGATCTATACCAAGTTCTGGGAACCAGCTCAACAGGCCTGGGCCTGCCTCTCACATCTCTGTGCCCTGGCTGTGTGACCCTGGGCAAGGCACTGCACCTCTCTGAGACCTGTTTCCCCATCTAGAGCACCCAAAGAATCAGGCTGCCTTTGCAGGGCTGTCATGAGTGGAAGCCTCATCCCCCAACCTTGGATGAGCAGACCCCTCAAATGTGCAGCTACCCACAGAGATTTTGACTGTCCATGGACTTTGGTGTTCAGACATCACAACAGCCACCTCCCACCACCGAGGTCAGCTCCTGCCACGCTTCTGGTCATCAACAGGACTGCCAAGACTCCTGGGCTGGGAGCATCCTTTAGCTCCCCAAACCTGCTAGCTGGCAGGAAACATGGAGGCCATTTAGGGACATTCAGCATTTGAACTTAAGATTTGTTTTCAGTAGAACCCACAAACCCAGTTTTAAAATTCAGTTGGAAACCAATCCACAAGTCTTCAAAGTCATCTTAGTGCAGTTCTTAAACTTGCAAAGTAACACCTAGTGGGTCTGTCATTGGCTTGTCTGGCTCAGCTGAAGTCAGAGCTCACAGCACACTGGCCTAACTCTCAGTCTGGCTTCAAAGTAACCTGTGATGCTGCTGCACAGCTCTGGGGGTGCTCAGTCCCCCGCCCCCAACCGCCACATCATCTTGCCCAGCATCCTCTGCACAATGTACAAAAATGTTTTCAAATGCAGGTTTTAGCATGATTCAGGTATGGTGAGGCCAGTAGAGCAGGGGAGAGTTGCCATTGAAAAGATGATTTGTTATTCACACTTCCCAGTGGGAGGACACCCCACACCATACAGGACTACTTGGGGAAGCATCAGGGTCAGTCAGTGAGGCATCCAGGGGAGAGCATGGGAAGGAGGCTTCATTGGTTTTTGTGGAAGGGCTGGCAAGGCAGGGCCAGAAGCTTAGGGTTGGCCGGTTTGAATGATTCTAGCAGTCTCTGGGCCATAGGGGCCATCGCTCTTTGTCTGAGACCTGGCCCTGGGGTGTTAGGGCAGAGGCATGTGGCCTCCCAGAGTGTAGAGCCAGGTAGGGGAGATGGTTTGGAGTATGGACTCTGGATCAGTTGGTTTGCACACAAAAAGGCTCACTCCTGGGTGAGTGCTTTGCTGTCACTCAGCCAGCCTTGGGAGGGGCTGCCTTCCCTCAGTCATCGAAGCCCCAGATGTGAGAACATTAGAAACACAGAAAACAAGAAAGTAGAGTTAATACCAATCATCAGGAGCTGTGAGATGGGGTCTGGGTTCTTGCAGACCCCTTTGTTCACAGACCTTTTCCTGGATTTCTTTTGCACCTGGTTTCAGATGCCTGTGTCCCCCTGCAGTGATGGCTACCGTGTCATCCAAGTCATCACTAACTTTCTGTGGGGGGTTATGCACAAGGCATGATCCTGGTGTTGTTCTGGTTTCAAGGCTGAGAGGTCGTGTGTAAGGACCTTCTGGTGCACTCCTCATGTGGCATTTCAGGGGCTCTGCACCCCATGTTCTCTGGGCTAAACCCACATGGGTCCTCACTCTTCAGCTCGTTTTCCACTGTTTGTGTGCGACATTTGGGTGGAGTTGTGACCAGGCAGCCTTATCATTTTTGGAGCAAACATTACTATTTTGATAAATTGACTGGTTTTTGACAAACACACCAAACTGAAAAAAAGACAATCTCTCTGAGGGAAGGAAAGTGATCATCAAACAGTGAAGACCAGGATTTGGGGGTGGTATGGGTGGAGCCAATGGTCTTTTAGTGGCATTGCTGTACTCATTTGATAGACAAAGAAGCTGAAGCAGGAAAAGAAGCTTAGGCAGTGCCCCACAGAGCTGCCCAGGAGCTGAGCACAACCAATACCAGGCTTTGGTGGGAGTTGATCAGATGCAGCCTTAGGGAAGATTGGCTCCCGTTGTTGCTCAGGTGAGGCGTCAGTCCTCCCAGGCCCCAGCCAGTCACAGGCACCAGACTTTTTTTTTTTTTTTTTGGAGACAGAGTCTCGCTCTGTCACCCAGGCTGGAGTGCAGTGGCATGATTTCGGCTCAGTGCAACCCCCGTCTCCTGGGTTCCGGAGATTCTCCCGCCTCAGCCTCCTGAGTAGCTAGGATTATAGGCGCCCGCCACCACACCTGGCTAATGTTTGTATTTTTAGAAAAGATGGGGTTTCACCATGTTGACCAGGCTAGTCTCCGACTCCTGACCTCAGGTGATCCGCCCACCTCAGCTTCCCAAAGTGCTGAGATTACAGGTGTGAGCCACCGCATCGGCCCAGACTATCTGTTTTGACCTTACATGTAACTTTGCTCTGGAAGTATCTTACCTTGGCATGTCTGGTCTTTGGAGAACACACATATGCACAGAAAGAGATGTGTGTGTGCGTTTGTGTGTGTGTATGTGTGTGTGTGTATACATATATATTTAAATATTTAATATTTTAACCACACCAAAGAGATGTAACAAATACATGTACCTCCATGCAGCTTAACTTTTTTTTGCCATTTTTAGTCTGCAGCATGTCAAGGTGGGGGATGTTCTGCCCTGGATGCAGACATTAGGGAGTGTGCATTGTTTATAGAGAATTCAAAAGCAATAATCAAACTGGCTAACAGTTTACTATATGTTATTACTATGTCCTGGCAATTTTAACCTATGTCAGTGATGACACAGCCCTGACTGGGGTAGTCTGATCCCATGGCCCCCCCATCTGGGCTGTTAAACCCTGATTTGAACCCCTATCTATTGCTCTTCCTTGATTCCATCACCCTCTTCTATCTCCTGCCCCCCAGGAGTAGCGTCAGACCAGAGAATGTTGTGTTTGTCATCCCTCTGGCATATTTCCCCGTTTTTACTTTATATGTAAATGCCCATACAGGGTGGGTTTCAAAAGTTGATTAAGATGTTATCTTATTATGTGTGTGTATATGTGTATATTTTTTTCTGTGCACAAGATTATGTTTTTGAGATGTATTCATGTCGTTACCTGAAGCTCTGATTTGCTCATTGAAAGCTCCGTAGACGCCACAATAAATGAATATTCCACAGCCGATTTCTCTCCTCGCCTGTTGAGGTAATTTACATTATTTACACTTTTTTATTGTTGCAGACATTGTTGCCATGGGTGGCACACCTCCCCCTGTGTCCCTGTGGGAGAACTTTCTTCACAGCAGGGGTTTATAAAATCAATTTCATGGGAAACAGCATTTAAAAAGATGCAATAGAAAATATCACAATACATTGCAAGTATTAAAGTTTTGTCAGACTGTTTTATTTATGTGTGTGTGCCTGTGTGTGTGCATGGACACCTGGAGCACATTGCAACACAACGTGTGTTTCTTTCTCTGTATCACACTGCTCATTTAGAAGCCCAAGCCCAGTGGAAGGGTAGATGTGCTGGGCTGTTGGGTGTACACACTTGTAGCTTTGTTAGATATTGCCAAATTGCTCTCCAAAGTGGCTGCACAGTTTCTTCAGCCTCACTTTTCATGAAATGGTTGACAATATTAGACTGGAATTTTTTCCAGTCTAATAGTGAATGATCTTAGTTTCATTTGCATTCTGCTCTTTTGCAACGTATTGGACGTTTGGGCTGCTTCTCCCTGATTTGCCTATCCATCTCCTTTGCTGAGCTTTTTACTGGGTTGCTGTGTTTTCCTGAAAGTACTTTTAAGAGATACTAATCTTAAAAATCTTAATCTTAGGCCGGGCGCGGTGGCTCACGCCTGTAATCCCAGCACTTTGGGAGGCCGAGGCGGGCGGATCACGAGGTCAGGAGATCGAGACCATCCTGGCTAACACGGTGAAACCCTGTCTCTACTAAAAATACAGAAAACTAGCCGGGTGTGGTGGCGGGCGCCTGTAGTCCCAGCTACTCGGGAGGCTGAGGCAGGAGAATGGCGTGAACCCAGGAGGCGGAGCTTGCAGTGAGCCAAGATCACACCACTGCACTCCAGCCTGGGCAACAGAGCGAGACTCCATCTCAAAAAAAAAAAAAAAAAAAAAGTCTTAATCTTGTTTAGACATGTTATAAATAATTTCTCAGTCTTCTGTTGGCCATTATCTTTGGGTATGGCATGGTTTATTGAGACAACGGTTGTACATTTTAACACAGTCGAGTGTATGATTCTTTTCCTCTGTGGCTTGTGTTTGTATTTTAGGAGGTTCTTTCTGTCCTTGAGGTCATACGGCTATTCTCCTATTCTAAAATTTAAAAAATTGTGCATTTACATGTAGCTTTTAAATTTAGCTGAGACTGTTTTGTCTTTGACATTATGTAGAGATCAAATTTGTTTTACTTTATCTATGTGAATAATCGTCTCAGTAGCAATTATTCTATTTCTTAATTTTTAATGATTTTTTTAAATGCAAAAACTGTCACATGTCAATTTTCCTTGCATATGTAGCTCTGTTTCCGGGCTCCCTACTTTGTTCCTTTGGTCTATTAGTTTCTTCTGGTGCCATCTCACATTGTCTTAGGTCTTACAGCTTTCTGTTAAGCATGGCAGGGAAAATCCCCTCATGTGTTCCTCTTTCAAATGGTCTTGGCTCTTTTTCTGCCCTTGTTCTACCGTGAGAACTTTAGGATCAACTTGTTAGAGTCCTGAAAATCCCTGTTGGGGTTTTGATTATAATTGAGTTATTTGTGAATGAATTTGGAGAAGATTGCCATCTTTGTCATTTTGAGTTTTCCCGCCCATGATCACGGCCTTTCTCCCTATACTTATTGGTTATTTTATGTCTTTTTGTTTTATCATTTGTATCATAAGGGTCTTACACATTTTTTGTTACATTTATTCATAAGTATTCTGAAGTTTTCTTTGCTGCTGTAAATGTTATATATATAAAATATACACACACATATATATATGTTTAAAAATTACAGTTTCTAGTTCATTATTGCTGGCATCTAGGCATGTAGTTAAATTTTATATATTGATTGTATTTCTAGCAATCTTGCTGATCTTTTACTAGTTTTAAATGTGTCCCTACAAATTTTATAGACATTTTATTTAATCTTGTCATTTACAAATGGTGATAGCTTTTTCCTTTCTTTCCAATTTTTCTCTCTTTAGTTATTTTCTTGCCTCTTACTGTGCTGTCTAGATTAGCACTGTCTAATAAAAATATAATGTGAACCACATTTAATTTTAAAATTTCTGATAGCCACATTGTCTTAGTCCACTTTGTGTTGCTATAACAGAATATCAGACTGGGAAATTTATAAAGAAAAGTCATTTACACTCATGCACCCCATAACAATATTTTGGACAATCATGAACCGCATATAGGACAGTGGTCCCATAAGATTATAATCCCATGTTTTTACTGTACCTTTTCTAGGTTTAGACATGTTTAGATATACAAATCCTTACCATTGTGTTACAGTTGCCTACAATATTCCCTATAGTAACCTGCTGTAGGCCAGGGTCAATAGGTTCCAGGAAGAACCTATATCATATAGCCTGGGTGTGTGGTAGGCTATACATTTAGTGATGCACCTAGTGATGCATATCTCAGCACATATCCCTGTCATTAAGTGGTGCAGGACTGTATTTCTCACAGTTCTGGAGGCTGGGAAGTCCAAGGTTGAGGAACCTGCATCTGGCAAGGGCCTTCTTGCTGTGTCATTCCATCAGCAGTGAGACTGACCCATAAATTTCCATTCTTCTCCTTATTTAGTTGAATTTTCAACTAAATTAACCTCATAACATGTCCTAAGGAATGCTTCCCTTTCCAATATTCAAATATTTGCATACCGTATGGATTATCTTCAAATATTTTAATATATTTGTATATGTTCATATTTGTATATGTCAACGATATGTTAAGGATTGTTGTCAAATATTTGTACATGTTACAAAGTTTGGAAAAACCCAAACTACCAAACCTCAGCCTGGGTTTGTTGGTTTCTTAACGTTTTTTAAAAAATTACTAATTCAGTTTATTTAATGGTTAGAGGTAATTCCAGTTTTCTATTTCTTTGTGTCATCTTTCATTCAACCAATCAATCTACCTCTGTCTTCAGGAATGTGTTCATTTTTCTTGTTTTTAAATTTAGCAGCAGTGTTTATAACTATATCCCCTTTTTCATTCTCTATGTTATTTATTTGTCCCTTCCCTGTTTCTTGGTTAGTCTTCACAGAGTTTTATTTTTTATTTATTTTTTTGAGATGGAGTCTCACTCTTGTCACTCAGGCTGGAGTGCAGTGACACGAATTCAGCTCACTGCAACCTCCGCCTCCCAGGTTCAAGAGATTCTCCCGCCTCAGCCACCCGAGTAGCTGGGATTACAGGCGTGCGCAACCACACCCAGCTAATTTTTGTATTTTTAGTAGAGACGTAGTTTCATCATGTTGGCCAGGCTGGTCATGAACTCTGGACCTCAAGTAATCCACCTGCCTTGGCCTCCCAAAGTGCTGGGATTACAGGCGTGAGCCACTGCACCCAGCCTTTTCACAGAGTTTTATTAATCCTTGCAAAGGTCTAATTCAGGAGTTGGTTGATTCTCTTTCTCGTTTCTTTGTTTTCTCTCTTACAGGTTTCTTTTATAATGATGTCATTATATCGTTTCCTTTCTTTCTTAGGTGTGCTTTGACATTATTTTCCCAATTCCTTGAATTGGGCACCTATGTGATTGATTTTTAGCCTTCCTCCTTTTCTACTCTTCTTGATATAAACATATTTCTAAGTTATGCTTCAGTTACATCCCGCACATTCTGAAACATAGCAATTTTATTAAATTTGAAGCCTTAGGATCCACGTCTTTGTACAGTTTTGAAAAATTTCCACCAACCATCTCTTCAAATTATGCCTTTCCCCGCTTCTGTCCATTCTCTCTTCCTGGAACTTTCTTATTCTGTCTTCCATGTGTCGGCACCTGGTTTTTATATTACCCATGTTTCTGTTATGCATTTTCTAATCCTCTCTCAAGCTGACTTTGATAATGCTCTTTGTGGTATCTGGTGACTCTTGTGTGTGTGTCTGCATGTCTGTGCATGCACGCGTGTGCATGGGCACTTTGTAATTTCAGATAATGAGTGGAGATTTATTTGAAGGAAACCTGTGCAGCATGAGTTAAGGCTATCCCTCCAAAGTGCTTTTCTGTGTGACTACCAGGTTCTTCAGGAGTAGCACAGATGTGAGATCAATTTTGTATTCTTTTGATAGCTTAGGGGTCCTGGACCACATGGGGACTATAAATTTGAACCATCACTCAGCGAGAAGGCAAGCATGTGGCTACAAACACTCAGAAGATACTTTTTCAGCTCCTCTGCCCGTTTCCCAGCAGAGGCGTGAGAAGCCAAGCATCTTGGTGTGTCCCTGTGCTGGTGGGCATTGAAGGGTATCCAGCCTGTTACTAGAGATGCAGCGATCCCATGGCCTTTGCACGTGGGGGTCTCGGATCCCCCTTCTTGTTTCTCCCAGACTCCAGGCCTCCTGTCCTCTCACTGCATGGTCGCTAAAAAGAGATCCACTGGGTTACTGAGGCCAACACCCACTCCTGGGCTGCTTAGTGTCAGCTCTCTGTCTGGTCTTTGGGGTCCCTTTGTTATCTGGCCCTACGTGGCCTCTTTCCTTGCCAGCTGAAATGTGCATCTAAACAGATGTTCATTCTGTTTATTGAGCTGGAGGGCCTTTAGTTTCCCTTGTTGATCGTATGGCTGAAACTCGAAGTCGCTACGCTGTTGTTTTTCCTATGCAAAATTAAAGGTAGAAAATGAAGTTGATGGAGAAAGAAACACACATTTTGAGAAAGAACTGTGTAATTATTATCCACTCCCTGCAAAAGACCCATGAAGTGGTCGGTTTTCAGAGGAGGAAATCCTTGGCGTCTGCCTTATTCCAAAATCCACTGGCTAAGTCACTCACCACCTAAGCCCTCTTGGACGAGGACCAAGGCTTCTACGCTCCATACTAAGGCACAATGTGAGGGATTCTACAGAGGGCCTAGTGAAGAGAGAGGAGAGGGCCCATTTCATCTCACTTTGCCTGGGGCCATCCTGCACGCTGCTCTGCTGTGTGATCTCTGCAGGACACTTGACCATTTTGTGAACACATCCTTATCAGTGAACTGCTATTTTTGTAATGGCAGTTCCCCCCAGACACTGAATCCACAAGCTTAAGGTAAGCTTAAGTCAAGAGTGATGACTTCTTGACTATTCTAGTTTTTCTGTCTTCATTCATTTCAACAGTATTTACCGAGGGTCTTCTGTGTGCCCAGCACTGTCCTGGGCACTGTTTAAAACATTGCTTCATTGCCTCTGGTATGCCAGGTGCTGGCAGGACAGAGGAGAACTGGACTTGCCTTCTAGCCTGCTCAGAGTATGGTGGGGGAGAGGCCTGTCCCTAGATTCCAGTGCAGAGCAGAATGCGTGGGCCAGTTGGGGTCTCTGGTTCCCCAGTTGGGAGGAGGACCATTGCAAGCCAGTCTGGAGGGTGTGTGTGTGTGTGTGTGTGTGTGTGTGTGTGTGTGTGTGATGCTGGGCTCTGGGAAAGATAAATGAAGGCCCTTCTCCTTCACTCCAGTTCACTTTTGGATGAACTGTTGGAGGTATTTGGCTTTTGGTAAGTTTTTTTTAAAATTTTATTATTTTAGCTACAGTAATTTACATGATTCAAACTCAATAGTTACCTATTTGTCAACTCAAAAAAAAAAAAAAAAAAACAGACTTCTTTGCTTAAAGTTGATGAGATTGAAACCAAAAAAAATTCAGGAGTTACTAAAGGTTATATGGTGAAAAATCTCCCTCTCAGCCAGCCCCCTGGTTCCCCTCCCTGGAGACGACCAATGTTCCCTGCCTCTCACATATCCTTTGCAAGAGATTCTAGATGTATACACATAAATAAAACATTATTTGTTTATATTTATATATGTGTGCTTACCTATAAATTTACACACATACATACATATATATGTTTTTTAATGCAATTGTCAGCATCTTGTTTTTTTTGCATGACAATGTATCTTGGAAATTGGTCCATATCAGACCTGGAGCGCTTCTTCATTTGTTTTTATGGCTGTTTGGTATTCCATTATGTGGACAGACTGTAATTTATTTAACGAGTCTCCCTCTGATGGATATTTAGATTTCCAATCTTCCGCTATTTTCAAACAATGCCATGAGAAATCATCTTGCCAAGGTGCGTCCCACATTTGAGAGCATGTTTGTGGGATGCAGGATGTAGCTTACAGGGAGCTCCTGGCATGCCGATGTGAGAACCGACCCTCCATAGCAAGGCTGCCCCACATGGCGTGGGCTGGCCTGGCCTCTGAGCTTCCTAAGGGCTAAACCTATAGTTACAAGAATTTTCCTAAGCCCCTCAGCCACAGATATATAATGTGTAGTTTCTGAATGAGTGAATGAAAATACTTACACTTCAGAGAAATTGTCCTTAGCAGAAGGCATAGGACATAGTTTTATTTGTTAGACTTACAGACCATCTGCCTGTGAATTCAAATAATAGTTTTCTTGTTGTTTTTGAAATGAATACATTCCATGAGAGCTGCTTACTCAGACCTTCAGTGGCCCAGCTGGAAGTCTGGTTGGGGAATCATTCCCTGGGTTGTACAAGTTGGTGCACCAGATTAAAGATAAAGTCATTTATGATGACACTAAAATAATATGAGCATCACATTTGGTAGAGACTTTGTTTTTGACGTAACCCAAGATAAGACCTTATCTGCTGTGTGTACGGGAAGGTGCCCTTCAATAAAGGCCTCATTTTCCTTTTAATATTCCAGAATGCAGTGGGAGTGAATGAATGCTGGCAGCCAGCCTTTACGGAGCTACCTCCCCACCAAGATGCTCCCATTTAGTCCTCCCAACCCTGTTGTTACTGCCACTTTGCAGACACCTTTGGCTCAGGCGGTGAAGTCACTTTCCCAAGATCCCATAGGCAGGATCCATACCAGGCTTCCAGCCCCGAGGTAGTGCTGTTCAGAGCTGAGCCCATCACTGTGGCTACCCAGGCACACTTAGAACTTAGACGTCAGGACAAGATCTGTCTATACTTACAGCTGTACCCAGTCTGTGTTTTGGAGTTCACAAAAATAACCTCAAATGAGATTACAAGGGTAACTGAGGTGCCGTTTAAGGACATTATGTCCCCTGTTTCTTCCATGAAAATATTTTGAAAAGGAAAGCAAATACCCCGCTTTGGTTAAGGTCTGTGTAGTGGATTGCAGGGCAGCTGGGACTCTGCAGGTTCCACGGGCGTCAGAGGGGCTCTGGATCAGGGAGGAGTGTGGTTTATTTTTGTTGTTGTTGTTTTGAGACAGAGTCTCCCTCTGTCTCCCAGGCTGGAGTGCAATGGCACGATCTCGACTCACTGCAGCCTCTGCCTCCCGGGTTGAAGTGATTATCCTGTCTCAGTCTCCCAAGTAGCTGGGATTACAGGTACATGCCACCACGCTTGGCTAATTTTTGTATTTTTAGTAGAGACAGGGTTTCACCATGTTGGCTAGGCTGGTCTCGAACTCCTGACCTCAAGTGATCCGCCCACCTCAGCCTCCCAAAGTGCTGGGATTACAGGCGTGAGACACCGTGCCTGTCCAGGAGTGTGGTTTTGCTGGAGCCTGCAGTGTGGTCCCCGGCAGGACCCATCTCTCACTGGGCCTGTTTCCCACCTTTTACATCAGGGCAAGGGTCCTATCTGATGTCACCAAAGAACCCTGAGTAGCTCCTAGCAGAGGGTGCTTGACATTTTCCCTAGTTCGAAATTAGCAGTCAGCACACGTGTCTGTTAAGGGCCAGAGAGTAAAGATTTCAGTCTTTCCAGGCCATACGTATGGTCTCTGTCACAACTACTCTCCTCTGCCACTGGAGCTCAAAAGCAGCATAGATGGTATGTGCATGATCGAGCAGGGCTGTGTCCCAGTGAAATGAGCAGTGGACAGATTTGGCCTCAGGCTGTAGTTTGCTAATCCTTACTTTGATTGCCTAATGGCATTAGATGGAATCTGCATAAAATTAGTACATCCAGCCCTACTTGGGTACAAGCTCCATTTCTTGTGTCTTTATAGTGGGTGCAGGTGGGGCTTGGAGGGTCTCCGTCCCTTCCTGTCACTTTGCTGGCTGGGAAATCAGAAGACCAACTGCTAACTGACTAGCCTGGAGCAGCCTTTGTTGCTCTGAACCTCACTTTCCCCATCTGTAAAATGGGAAGGTTGGACTATGGTTTCTCAAAGATTCTTTCCAGCTCCAAAATGTTCTGAATTCTAGTTAGAAAGGAAATTAACGTTTTCTTCCCTGGAGGTTGTGGTTTCAGTTTGTGTCTTTGGTCACCAAGACAAAGTGGATAGGGTAATTTGGTGTTGTGATCTGCACCCCAAAGGGCACTTACTTTCTGGGGCACCCCATCCTAGCAGAGACCCCTCAGTCTCAGGAGCCAGTTGGGTAGGGATAATCCTTATTGCTTTCTTGGCCCACATAGTGTCCTGAAAATAAGGCTTCACCTGTGAGTTGCTGCATGATTCCAGGTGATGAACGTTAACCTCTCTAGCCTCCTGTTCTCCACCTGGAATTGCCCCCTGTGTAGACTGGGTGGGAGGAGCAGGTGAGGAAAAAAAGGAGAAAGAAGCTGGGCACGGTGGCTCATATCTATAATCCCAGCACTTTCGGAGGCTGAGGTGGGTGGATCACTTGAGGTCAGGAGTTCGAGACCAGTCTGGCCAGCATGGTAAAACCTCGTCTCTACTAAAAATACAAAAAATAGGCAGCCATGGTGGTGCACGCCTGTAATCCCAGCTGTTCGGGAGGCTGAGGCATGAGAATCACTTGAACCCGGGAGGTGGAGGTTGCAGTGAGCCGAGATTGTGCCACTGCACTCCAGCCTGGGTGACAGAGTAAGACTCTGTCTCAAAAATATAAACTAAAAATGAAGGAGAAAGAGATGCTTTGGAAATGCAAACAGCGCTAGGGCTTCATTAAGACGATGACATGTCTTGTGGTTGTTCCAAGGGAAGACATGCTATACAGGGAGGAAACATCCCCACTTGGCTTCAAGGAACTAGATCAGTCCTGGTTCAGCCAAGGCCCAGGCACGCCCACGTGGGCCTGGACTTTCTGCCGTGCTCACATGCTGCAGCTGCCAGTTGGCTGGGGCTGGCTGCCTCCAGTCTCCTTCTCAGACACTCCGCCCAGTTTTGGGTGGCCTGGGGACTGGAGAGGTGCTCCCTGGGAGACCTGGAAAGCAAACGGCACAGCAGTCGGGAGCCCCGGTCAGCTTCTTGTGCTGACTTGGCTCATTCTACCACTAATGAACTCGGGACACTGCCTGGACTCTTTCCTGATTGGAATCATGGGATGGGGTGGTACCCGCATGGATACCTCTGTTTCTGTGGCAAATCATCCACTTAGTAAATATTCATTACTTATTAGGTTCCAGGTATTGTGCCTGGAATACGTGGTAGTATTATGTAGATATTGTTGCTGAGGTTTTCCTAATTGCCAGGCATCAGACTAAATATTACACAGGTTAGCCCATTTGATCCTCACAACAACCCTTTCCAATTTACAGATGGGAAAACTGAGGCTAAGTGGAATTATCTAAGTCAGTCAGCTGGTTAGAGGCAGAGCCAGGATCTGGGTCTGTAACTGGACATCACTGGGGGCTCTGCCTTTCCCCAGGTCAGCTGGGAGATGTCACTAGGGGGGTCCGAAGCACGACTAGACCTACTCGTGTGTTGTCATTTGTGGAGTGGGCCTGGTTTAGATCTCCCCCGTCAGTCATTCTGGTTTCTTGCCGTGGAGTGGCCTCCCTTCCACCTTCTTCAAAGCCACCCAATTGGGGTCATTTTCCTAGCTTGCTGGATGGAGCTAATTACAGCATGCTCCTGGTCCCTGGCCCTTCCATGTGCATCTGTCTGGTGAGAGATAGGTGGAGTTCTGGGCTCTCTGTTTCTGGCTGCTCAGCAAAAATCACTCAGAAGAGGTTTTGTGAAAGCCTTTGTGGGCCTCAGCCATAACTGGCTGGGCCTGGGAGGTGCCCAGGTATCTGCATCGTTAGAGCAAGCTCTCTAAGGGGGCTCTTCACAGCTGCTGGGTCTCCGGGCAGTTGGTAATTTGGTGTGGGCTGAGTGCACAGGTGGTGGTACTGTACCTGTTCTGCAGGGGTCCTGAGGGGCTGGCACCTCTCCGGGCTGTTTTCCAACAGCCCCTGGTCGTGCCGAAGCACCTGTCCTGCCTTTCTGTTCCAGGCCACTCAGGTGTACCAGGTCAAGAGGCAGCCGTGTTTGGTTCCCCTCAATGAGTCTGGCTCTGGCAAAACCATGGCTCAGGCATGGAGCTGGGCAGTCCCAAGCTTGGTCCTCAGCCCTTTCCCTTCAAAGCCAGTTGGGTGAGTTCCTTGACCTCCCTGAGATTCTCTTTTTTCACCTATAAAACCCATGTTTCTAGCTGCATCTCAGAGTTGCTGTGCAGATGGAAGCGTCCTTGTGTTCAGAGGAGTGACAGTGACCGTGTCTTCAGCCCAGGCCTTGCACAGCGCGGGCACCGCAGCTGTTTGTTTGCAGCTCCTGGGAGCAAGCATGGGTTTTAGCTGTGTCTTTCCAGCTCCTAATAAAGTCTTGGCCTGTGGCAAGAGCTCAGCTACTCTGGTTTAGTCTCCAGGTTTGGGGGTTGTGATGGTTAGACCGTCATGGCTTTCCTTGCTTCTCGGGGGCTCTGCGTCTGAAACAAGAGGTGCGAGGAGGGCAACCAATCATCCGGGTTTGCCTGGGACTTAGGGAATTCCTGGAATAGTCCTAGGAAAACCTGAGGCTCTGGCAAGGAAGAACAGTGCTGACTGCTCCATCAGGCTCAGCAGGCACTGTGCTGAGGGCTCGTCATCCTGGGATGGGCCCAAAACGTTTTAATTTTTTAATAATCGGAAGAAAATAAATGAATATAATCCAGCCCAGAAGCCTGGATTATATTCGTCTTTAAACCAACACATTAGTAAAATATAATTTTTAATGTGTCTTATGGAGGAGGAGGTCCACACAGGTAAAAGCGTTTCGAGGTATGAGAGGGACCATGCAGTTCTGGGAGAGACCACTGCACCCAGGGACCCCCTGCCTTCCACGTCTCTTGAAGATCAGGAGGAAGAGAAGACAGCCAAAGAGAACTCCTGCGAGGCTCCTCCTGAGTTTCCAGCGATGGAAGGAAGCGGAGCAATGGCTGTTTCTGGGCCTGCCACCGCCTAGAACTTGGATTGGGGGGTTGGTGAACTTGGATTGGGGGATGGATTGGGGGATTGGATTGGAGCAGGCTGAATGTCAGCCCTGGAAACTGCCACTGGCCTCCCAGAGTGAGCTGGGAGATCCTGGTGTTCAGATGTTCCTGCCTTGGCTGCGTGGGGGGCAGGGGCGGGGGGGCGGTGGTTCCTATTTGGAGCCAGGGAGTTGATTTAATACAGCTGAGGCCAAGACCCAGCGTGGAGCCTACGACTGCAGCTGGATCCCTGCCAGCCCTCTTTCCCAGCCGCATGTGGCTCCAAATCCCAGAAAGGGAGAAACCCGCTGTGGGGAGGGGGTGCAGCAGATGTCACTGTCCCCACATGGTACTTCTTGTTTATCTTTTATTAAAGGCAGGCGCTTAGGCAGGGGCAGTGCTCAGAGCAGCCCTTGTGAGCGGGCCATGGTGGCGGCCTCCCTCAGAAGCTGTGGGAAGAGGGAGAAGGCATGAATAATGCAGGCTGCATCTTGACGGAGCTTGTCCGGCCCCCGCAGACCGCGCAGCGCGCACCTGAGCAAGCACTTTGAATGCCTCTGGCTTCTGAACTTGAGAAGGAAGCTCCCGGGATGGGCCTGACTCCGCCGCCTGGTTGCAATAGTCCTGGAAGGGGCGGCGGAGCAAGCAGAAGCCTCCTGCCCTGGCCCGTGGGTTTGCACCAGCTAGAACGTGGGGCTCCTCCATTAAGAGCTCCTTGGCGTTGGGAGCTACGCAGCCTCACCCCTCATCTTATCACACCAGGAGACCGGCGAGCAGAGTGGGGATGGCCACACAGGGAGTTCGCAGCAGGGTGGTGCTCTGCCTACCGACTCGCCCCTGGGGTTGTCCCTGTCGCCTCAGCCTTTCTCTTTATTTTGGGTGGAGGCAGGGTACTCAGGACAGGGATGAAAACTTAGGTCTGTTTTTCATTGTTCATCCTATTCTTGGCAACTTTTGCAGAAGGCGCTGGCAGGAAGGAGACCCTGGGGAGGGAAGAGTTGGAGGAGAAAGAAGTCTCCTTGGCACCTTTGCCTTTCCTGCTAAAAATGGTGGCAGTTCTGCATTTCTACTAAAAATAGCTAGTCCTCTGTCAAGAAGGCCACCCACACTGGGGTGTGGGGACTGGGGACAGCAAGATGTGGGCCCTGGGCCACACATTCTGTGGAGAGGCCTAGAAGCTCACAGATAGTCACTTTTCTTAGGAAGAAGGAAGGAGTGGCAGGAAGGGGCTGGGATGCCATCTCTGGAGAGCGGAGCGGCACTCCTGCCCCTGTGTGACAAGGACAGGTCTGCACACTCTGTCATGTATTACTCTAAGTGGCTTTAATATTAAATGGATGATGAAGGCAAGGATAAACAAACTGTAGCTTACCATATAATGGAATAGTATTCAACCATCAAAAGGAAGGAGATTCTGACACATGCTGCAACATGGATGAACCCCAAGGATATGCGCTAAGTGAAACAAGCCAGACACTAGAGGACACGTCCTCATGATTCTACTTATATGAGGCCCCTAGGGTAGTCAAATTCAGAGAGACAGAAAGTAGAATCGCAGCTGTCAGCGGCTGGGGAAGAGGGGAATGAGGAGTTAATGTTTAATGTGCACAGAGTTTCAGTTTGGGAAGATGGAAAAGTTTTGAAGATTCACAACAATGTGAATGTATTTGATGCCACTGAACTGTACACTTAAAAATGGTTAAAATGGTAAGTCTTATGTTATATATATTTTACCATCATTTTAAAAAAATTAAATGGGTGTCGTTGATTCCTCTCTTCCTCTCAACCTCCCATATAGAATGACTAGAATCCAGGTGTTTATCTTTTATGCCAATAGTGATGATGATGATGATGATCATGATGATGATGATGATGGCGGCAATTGTGTTCTTTTGTAGAGAAAGTAAGGTAACTCTCTGGGGTAACCAGGGCAGACCCTGTGAGTATTGGATCCTAGTGCCAAGCTTGGAGCACTCTGGCATTTGGGGGTCTCCCTATGGAATTGCTAAAGCTACCATTGGACAAGCCCCACTCATCTATGCAGAACTTCTAACCAAGTTTCCAGTCCCTCTTCTTTAAATGTGAGTGGACACCCAGGGTTTAAGTGACATCTGAAGAAAGGCTGCTATGTGAAAGAGCAACGTCCACATGGACGACTGGGAAAGCATGGTTCCCAAAGCAGCGGAATTCAGGAGGAGATGAAAATGTAAACAGAAAATTGACCTCCCACCCATTGGTATCCTCAGAAAGGCCCAAGAAAGCATTGCATCCATAAAACAAGAACAGGATGCTATGAAATAAGAATATTTGGAGAACAAAAAAGAGCTTTAGATTAAAAATATGATAGTTGAAATAAAAAGTTCATTAAAGGGATACATGACATTTCATGAAAAGAAGAAGAAAGCAAAGACTGGAACATCTGAAAGGAAAGCTGAGAAAGATGCAATACAAAGGCAGGTGATGGAGTATTTGACTAATGGAAGTTTCAGAAACTGAAACAGAAAACAGACGGGAGAAGGTTATACAAGAACAATACAAGAAAATTGCCTGGATCAGGACAAAAATCTTCACATTAAAACATCCCTCAGTGTGCCCAGCACTTTAAAAGAAAAAAAATAATTTAGACATGTGATTGTAAAATTTCAAATAACCAAGAATAAAGTAACGCTTCTGAAAACTTCTAGAGAAGGGGAGAACAGAACAGAACAGAACAGAACAAAACAAAACTAAACAGCCTAGGTCATCTACAAACGAAGGAGGACTAAACTACTACCCTTCCGATCAACAGCAGTGAGTGTGTCAAGTCAGTGAATTTGCCCTGGGAAATTAGCAATGAAACTATCAGACAAGCTCTCAGGCAGATGGGAGGGGACAATAAGGCTATCTTCAGTCATATAGGAGGGACTCAAAGCATTTACCTTCTGTATATCTTTGGCCTTTACTTAAGGATTCTCTCTTACAGCGTAAGGGAGTAAGTGAATGCAGGGAAGACCTGAGGTCCCAGGAGGGAGACCCCCAAGAAGGGAATGATAGCAAGGCCGGGGCTGTGCAGCTGCCCCCTCTCTACAGTCAGAGCAGAGGCTTGAGGGATTCCAGGGGAGGGACTCCAGAAGAGGGCTGCAGCCCTGGTGCCTTTGGAGGATCGGGAGCTGCTGTCATCACTGTGCGAGAGGCAGGGGTTGGCCTTATACACCATTCTGTGTGTGGTGGGGGAGGTCCAAGTGAATTGAGTTGTCCTCTGTATAAATAACCAATAAATCAGAAACATTAAGCTCATAGGATTAAAGAATCAAAACGTGGTATTTTAATACCTTCCTTATATAGATCAGATAGCTGCCAGAGGAATTAAGAGCAGGAACATTTTTTCAAAGTTAAAAGTGGTTGCCTCCAGGGCACAGGGAGGGGACTATTGCCTTTCATTATAAGCCCTTTGGTGCTATTTGTTCTTTAAAAAATCATACGCAGATCTTTTCTCAGCCTTTTGGCTAAGATCAAGTGTAAAAATCATATGCAGGATTGCTTAGATTTTTTTAAAAAAAGAAAAAGAATCATGAAAATTAAAATGAAAGAACTTGCATGGGCCCCAGTTTGTAACAAGAACTCATTGGGGGTGGACTCAGGGCAGCATGGAACAGGCCTCTCAGTGGTGTTCCTGGGACCATGGGCTGGGCCACCTTAAGGGAGGTCATGATGGCTAGGCTGGGCTGGGACTGGAGTGACCTCTCAAGTGAGGAGTTTTCAGTTCTATGTTGCTCTGTTTGGATTTACTTTTTTGGAAATACACAAAAATGCAGCCCGTGGGCCCCCAGGGCCAGGGGACTGGAGGTGGCCCCTGCTCTTGTTGCCTGCAGGTTGTGGTTGGGCTTGTCTGACATGCAGCATGACCAGGAAGGCTTTGTCAAGGCTGCTGTGTGCCTGGGGTCATTAGATCCTGGGATGACTGCCTGTGACTTAGGCCTGGTCCCTGCCCTTGGGGCCTGGCTGGTACTGAACTGGAGTCTGGTGTAGCTCCAGGCAGACTGAAAGGCCCCACCAGGGAGGTCTTCACACTGTCCCCGAACACAGAGGAGGCAGTGAGTGCCAGCCGGGCATCAGGCAGTGGGCTTGGGCTAAACCAGTGCAGTCCCCACCTCCCTGGCACTCCTGTTCCTGTGAGGAAGAATAGACAATCAACAAGTCAACACACAGGTGAAACACTTTGAGGGAGAGGTGCTATGAAGAAAATAGAGTGGGCATGAGAGGGTAACTGGGAGATGCCCCCCACTGGGTACTGGGGAAGGCCTTTCCCAGGAGGTCCCATTTGAGAACTGAAAGCTTAGATAGCGTGAGCCTTAGGAAGCAGGTTTGCAGAGAATACAAGCAGTGCCATCTGGTAGGAGGGGCAGCATTGCCACGTCTTGGAGAAATACACCAGTCAATTGAGGAGTGAGCTGAGACTGGAAAGGCAGGCCAGAGGTGGGACAAGGAGCCTGACTCCACACTAAGGGCGAGAAGTCCCAGGCCCAGAGTGAGTGGGGAAGGCCCTAAGGGAGTTGTAGGATTAGAACCCAGATGGCATTCGCCTGTGTGGAGGGTGAACCTGAGCTTGGAGTCTTTCAGGAGTTGGAGAGAGGAGGAGGACAGGTTGGAGCACATGGAGTCATCCCTACCCTGCCCAGGCCTATGGATCGCACAGAGACGGATGGGCAGAGAGTCGTTCCCCATGCAGCGGGGCTCCTCCTGAGCTCCATTTTCGGGCCAGCTCTGTGCTGGGCTTGGGTGGGGCCACTGCAGGCCAAAGGAGGTGCTGAAACACATAGCACTCCTGCCTACCCCCACCAGGGGTGCCAGGGGGACAGCTGGCTTTCCGACAGGACCCCCAGATGATATGTCGTGTCCGTGCCAATGAAGTCGAGGCAGGACTGAGGGACGAGTGTGTTTCTGAGGGATGGCATCCAGGACCAGTGCCAGCATTCCAGAGGCAGGGCCGCCTGTAAACACAGACAGGGGAGGTAGCTGTTTATGTGGTTGGTTTGAGGAAGGCTTCTCTGCCCACAGATACCTCTCCTGCCTCCCCAGCCCACTTTGGGATCAAGCCTAGAATTCCACCATTATAGGTTCATTCCTTTGGCTTGCAATACAAACATCCCAGTGAGGAGGTGATCCCTGAGCTGTCACTGGTACTGAGCACCCCGTATGCCTTGGTAGGTCATCAGGACCTTTGCCATTCAACAGGACAGCCAGCCAGCACTCGCTGTGCCCAGTGTGTGGCCACTGTGATGGTTCTGGGTGTGTGAAGAGGGTCAGGTGCTGTCCACCCACTCTGGGGGAGACAGACGCAGGAAGGGATAATGAGTAATGAATTCTGTGAGAGAGTGGCCAGGAACAGAGGAGCACAGAGAAGACAGCAATGTGCATCCTTGGGCAAATCGAAAATCCCAAATCCCCTACCCTCTCTGGCCCTCGACATGATCGCTCAGGAGACAGTAGACGACACTGTCTCTGCAAGGCGAGTGAAGGCCAGCAAGGTGCTGGCCCTCAGAGGGTCTTTGGCAAAGGCTTTCTGCGGGGGCTGGAGGGGGGTAGGTCTAGGTTCAGCTGAGGCTGAAAGGAGGGCCAGGAGACCTTCAAAGGGACAGAGAAGGTGCAGGCAGACCAGGACGAGGAGGTTGGCACAAAGGTGTGAGGCATGGGGCTGCCAAGAGCAGTTTGATCCAGGACAGAAGCTGGAGATTTGAGTTCAGAGAATGACACCTCAGGTCACTAGGGACTGGGCCTGGGGAGAGAGGAGGTGTCGTGGAAGAGAAATTCTGTGACATGGTTCCACCATTGGTTCTGGGGAGAAGATTCTCCTGCAGCTCAGAGGGGTCTCCCTTGAGAAAGGCCCTGGGCCTGTCTAGCAGGAGCAGCAGGCCTGCCAGTCTGCAAGGGCTGGCATGGGATTGCAATGCTGAGCTTTCTGGCTGTTTGGATCTGTTGTTTTTCTAAGTCACTAGTCCCTTGCATATTAAGAGAAAGAAGAGAGTGAAACCCAAAAGATGACATAATCATACTTTCCTTCATTTTCCAATGAAGGTCTCCCTTTTGCTTTTCCAAATTGTTGCTATCAGGAGAAAGACGCACATGGTTTCTGTATGACATGTGTTGAGCCTCTCTCCTCGCAGGCCCCAGGGGTCAGGTCCCCACCTTGGGACTTGCTTTGATTCTCACCTCCTGGCATCTGTGTGGGGTGCTGTCTGAATGGCATGGTTACAGGTGCAGCTGGCTAGGGTGGGTCTAGGGGACTGCATTTGCACGGTGGTGGTAGTGGGGATGTGGGTCCCCTATGAGATGGAGCAGCTTGGGGGTAACAGCCAAGATGTACAGGCACTTCCTGTCCATGGTGGCCTGTGGCTCCCCCGAGCCCATTTTTGTCTCCTCCTTCATTCTACCAGCATTTATCAAACACCTATTGTGTATCGGGGCTATAGTGGGAAATAAGACAGATTCCTGCCCTCAAACTGCTCACATTCTGGTGGAAAAAAACCAGCCAAGAGTGTAGGAGTTACAGTGTAGAGAGGTAAGAGCACAAAAGGGCAGCCCAAGGGCAGGGCCGGGAGTCAAGGAGAGCTTCCTGGAGGAGGTGACTCCTGAGCTGAGTCTCAGAAGAGGAGCAGAAGTTTGGGTCAAAAATTTCTAGGCAAAGAGTACAGCAAGTGTGAAGGCAGTGACCCTGGCAGGCCCTGTCAGTTCACCTCCATCCTCTGGTCACACTTGGGTCCCACTTTTAAGAGGGTCTGCCTGCCAGTTCCAGCCGCGCATAGCCTTCCCTTTCCTGAGGCCGACAGGATGTGTCATATCACCTGCCCAGTGCTGCTTCAAGGGGGGCTGCCCCAGTCATCTGCTGAGTGTGTGAGCAGTCCCCTCCCCTGCAGGCTGTGACAATCAGGGGAAATCAGGATCCCAGAAGAACCTTTGGAACCCTGAGGGGCTACAGCTGCAGAAGGGGTCGTGTTTCATGTCACCCATTATATTTGGTCTCCACGATGTGTATGTTCTGAGGTTTTCTGCTTTCAATGCCTGGGACACGCCTGAAGATGAGGAGAAACCAGAAGGAAGGCATGTGCACCAGAATGGACTTCTTGAGTGCTCGCTGTTTGCCTAGCATGGGGTTCTTAAATTATCAGGTGCATCAGAATCACCCAAGAGACTTGTTAAACATGAGATTCTGGGCTCCATCCTGAGTTTCTGACTCAGTAGGCCTGCGATGGGGCTTGAAAGTTTGCATTTGTAAGTCCCCAGATGCTGCTGCTGCTGCTGTTGGCCCAGAACACACTTGGAAAGCCTCTGGTTCAGCCCAGGGCTGGGCACTCTGGCCTGTCCAGGGCCAGCATGGGGCAGGACCCCTTCGTGGGCTGGCAGGAGCCCTGCACACCCTCCACACAGAGCAGGCTCCCCTCGAGGTCATCGCGGAATGACCCTGATTTCCTCATCTAATTTGAGAGGAGGTTTATTTGGGCAGGAATAATAAAAAGCACAGCAAATGAGCAGAGGAAAACAGAACCCACCAGACATGCAAACTCACAGAAATAAACAATTTGCCGATGATCAGGGAAGAGGCTACAGGAAGGAGTTTGTGCAGACAGCTCCTATGAGAAAATGGTCCCTGGGAGGTCCCAGAGGGCTTTCCGGCTGCACGCTGACCCTGGAGGCAGCTGTCAGCTGTGGCACCATGGTTGTTCTCGTGCTTGGAGCTGTCTTCAAAGCCAGTGAGCGAGCCACTCAAGAAACTTGGTTGGTCAGGTGGCTTCACAGATGTACTCTGCTTTTTACCCAAACAGTCTGCACAGTGCATTGTCCATCAGCATGTGTACCCAGGGAGCACTGTGAATTCAGGGCCCTGTGTCTCCAGTACTCAGCATGGTTACAGAATGGGTGAAGGTGCAGTGAAGTGACACCCTCTTCCCATCACTAAGGATATTCACAAGGTTTAAAAACAGTTCCCAAAGCAGGATTCCCAAAGACGCTCTCCAGAGAAACCGTGGAGCCCCCCAGGGGAATTGAGATGATGAAACTACTGCGAGCTCACTTTTCTTAGGGTTCCAGGCACTGCTTGGTTTTCCATGCACTGGATTATTTAATCCTCCAACAGCCCTGGTAACAGTCCCATAATCCTCACTGGACAGTGGGGGAAATGGAGACCACAGAGGTGATGTGATGGGCCTGAGGTCCCACAGCTGGTAAGGGGTGGAGCAGCCTTCCAGCCCTGGCTCTCTGACCCTGGGCCTCTGCTCTGAGCCTCTGTGCTGGGCCTCCTCTCCACTCAGGAAGGCACACATATGTTCTATTAGGTTCATTAAGGAAAATCAGTTACCCTATTTAAAACACCAGCAGGCACCATTTGTGCAGCGCCTACTTGGATCTGGGGACCTGGATTATCTCGTGCCATCTTGATAAAAGCAAGGTCACTGTGCTTGTCCCCAGTTTACAAAGGGGTCATTTGAGGCTCAGGGAGGGAGGTGACTTGAGCAGGGCTGTACAACTGGAACTGATCCCTGGGCTGCTGACTCCTCAGCCTGAGTTCTCCCTGCTGTCCATCCCGCACTTATTTTCCAACACCTCAGGCTGAGAAGCTGCCTGTTCTGCCTGCCTGGCTTCTCTCATGATGCCAGCCAGGAGGGAGTGAGGGCAGGGGGTGCCCACCTCTAGCAGCTCAGGCAGGTTCTAATGTGGGCATTGGCAGCGCCTTCTGGGATCAGAGCTGCTGTGCCACTCACCTTGCCACCCTTTGTTGCACCTTCTAGCTCCTTCCTGTGGGGCTCCAGGTTGGGAATCAGGCCTCCCATTTATGGCAGGTTTGGGCCGACTGTGCCCGGGCCAGGAAGCAGGACGGCTCCTAGGTAGAGATTTGGATGGGGTTCTCACCATCATGGGCCTCGTTTTAAAGTGGACCTGCCCACCGCCCCGATCTCCACTGCCTGTAGACTTTGCAGTGTCCGGACCTGGCTTTGACCTGGGACCAGCCACTGTGTAAGGGAGCTGGCTCAGCTGCCTACAGAACACTCTCATGGCACCGGAACCTCCAGGGCCCCCTAATCTCCAGGGACTGCAGTCCCGAGCCCTCTGTCATTCTACTTGCCTGACCACTGCCCTCCCATGGCTCTGCAGACCAGCGCTTTCCTGGGCTGCTCTGTTGGCTGTCCCACTGCATTCCTCAGGGGCGTCTGAAGAAGCCTCGTGTGGCTGGAATGGGGATAAAATCCAGACGGAAAGGCCTCTGATGAGGACTTGGGCCTTTGGTGTGCCTGGCTCACTTCAGGCCTGGAGGGAGTAGCCCTCTCTGGGTTGAACTGGGCCCAGAGGCCCTCTGATTTATATCAAGGTGGGAGCTGCCTGGGCAGGCAGAAATAATAAAGGTGTGGGCCGGGGCTTATGGAAGATGGGGTGGAGGGAAAGCTGGGCAGAAAAGCTCATCCTTCCATGCCTTTTGGCCATGCTAGCCTAAAGACCAGGGGAAGGCTTAGAGCTTAGTGATGCACCCAAGACGTGCAGGGCTGTGGATCTTAACCTCTGAAGCCACTGCCCACTCTGTGGGCAGCTGCACATCACAAAGATCTAAACTGAAATGGCTATGGAGGAAAGAGGAGTGAGGTGGGGAGGAGGGTAGTGACAGAGAGATGACAGGAGGAAATATCCTGACTAGAGAGCTTCCATCCATTCAACCACCCACCTACCCATCTGCCCATCCACTTACCCATTTGCCCACCCACCTACCCATCTGCCCACCCACCTACCTATCTGCCCACTCACCTACCTACCCATCTGCCCACCCACCCACCCACCTACCCATCTGCCCACCCACCCACCCACCTACCTACCCATCTGCTCACCCACCCACCTACCTACCCATCTTCCCACCCAGCCACCCACCTACCCATCTGCCCGCCCACCCACCGACCCACCCACCTACCTACCCATCTGCCCACCCACTCACCCACCTATCCATCCATCCACCCACCCATTAACTGATCCACCTCACCCAAACACCCACCTACTCATCAACCCATCCATCCTACCCAAACACCTATCCATTCATCCACCCACCAGGCCACCCCGCTATCCAATGCATTTTTCATCAATCACCTGCTATATTCCAGCATTTTCATCCAGGTCCCACCTCAGTGTAGCCCACAGGGGATCAACCCCCCCACCCCCACCCCCACCACCAGTTTCTGATCTCTTTTTGCACGCACAGCCTGATGGTGGCCCTGGGCCCTTGTAAACCCTCCTTCCCATTTTCTGATACTCTGCTTGTTTCTCCTCGTGGCCCACTGAGATAGTAAGCTCCTTCACTCAGAGTTGCGGTTGCTTCTAATTCCCTCGCACCTTTCTTAGAGCTCTCCTTGGAGGAGTTGCTCAGAGCATCTTTTGTGGGTCGATGGAAAGGTTACTGGGAAACTTCAGTTGTTTGAGACTGGGATCACCTGGCCTCTGTGTAGGGTGGTCGAGGTGAGAAGGGAGCTCACGTTAGGTGAACACCTGCTGAGTGCTCAGGGGGCGGGGGAGAATGACAGCTTGGTGCTGGGGAAAGAACCCATGTTTGGAGCTGGCAGGGGTGGGATTGGTTCCCGGAGTTGATGCCAGCTGTGTGGCTTTCAACAAGTCACTTAAGCTTTCCGAGTCTCAGTGTTTTTATTTGTCAAGAAACAAAATATAAACAAACCTGAACAATTAAATGCACATGTAAGTACTCCTTGTGGTACTTGGCATGTGGCTAGTGGGTGATGGTCTCTCCCCATGCCCCCGCCATGTCCATAGATTTGAAGACTGATCAAGGCTACTTTGTTGAGTTAAAATGGGCATAGATGAAGCTTGGCTCTGGGTCAGGGCCAAGCTAGTGAACAACAATGGGCAGCCTCTGATGTTTCTGGCCTCTCGCCTCCACCCTTGTCCTGTCTCATCCTCTTGGCCACCGGCCTGCTAGTCCCCTGGGCAGGATGGGGGAAGAGACAAGCTGCTGAGTTGCTGGAGGGCAGGATGGCTTGGATTCAGCCTGCTGCCTTGCTGTGGACCCTGTGGCTCAGGCCCTCTGTGCAGCCCAGTGGCCGGAGGCTGGTTATCCATAAGCAGGAAATGGTGGAGGTGAGCTGAGCATGAGATGATGTCAGGAGATGTGGGGCAGGAGGCTGGGCTCTGGGGAGGGCCTGCAGTGCTGGGGGGCACAGGCATTTAATCAACTGAATTCCCACTGTCCTCTCTCCAACTCCATTTATTACCTATTAAATAATTATCTCATTTGGAAAGTGTTTCTTAATGTAGGGCAGACTCTATCCCCAGGGCCATGGGTTTTGCAACGAGTTGTCTCCTGTGTGCGTGTTCCAGGCTTGGGCAGGACCGGAGCGTTCTTGCCCTGGCTGTGCCTCTGCCTGAACCAGGCTTTCCGGAGGCACGGTAAAGCGGGTGCCCCCTCCCCTCGACCTGGCTAATAGCCTCATTACAAGGGTTTTCTTAAGCAGTATTCTGTCTTCTAAAGGGGACTGCCTAGGGCTGGGCTTCTGAAGTTACTTGCTATTTTCTGGGACTCTGCCTTAGGATCTCCAAAACGTCTGAAAATGTCAGGGATGGGAGAGGCCTTTGTCGTTTTTACAGGTGAGGCCACTCAGGCCCTGAGATCACACATTGAGTTGATGGCAAAAGCAGAAGCCTAGGCCTCCCGCCTGCAAATGCAGAGCTTGCTCTGCTTCATCTCCTTTTGTCTTGGAATGTCATTGGAGCTTAAGGGTGGCCCCTTCCCCTCTTGAAGGAAGGGCTGTTTCCTGAAACAAGAGCAGGGAAGCTGTGTTGAGTGAATGCAGCTCTGCCTCACAACAGCCCTACAGATACTCCCTCCTTTTTTTTTTTTTTTTTTTTTTTGACAGAGTCTCGCTCTGTCACCAGGCTGGAGTACAGTGGTGCAATCTTGGCTCACTGCAACCTCTGCCTCCCGGGTTCAAGTGATTCTCCTGCTTCAGCCTCCGGAGTAGCTGGGACTACAGGAGCACACCACCGTACCCAGCTAATTTTTGTATTTTTAGTAGAGATGGGGTTTCACCATGTTGGCCACAATGGTCTCCATCTCTCGGCCTCAGGTGATCCGCCCGCCTTGGCCTCCTAAAGTTTGGGGATTACAGGCGTGAGCCATCGGGCCCGGCCTTTTTTTTTTTTTTCTTTTGAGATGGAGTTTTGCTCTTGTCACCCAGGCTGGAGCGCAATGGCACAATCTCAGCTCACTGCAACCTCCGCCTCCTGGCCTCTTGGCCAGGCTGGTCTGGAGCTCCTGACCTCAGACGATCTGCCCACCTCAGCCTCCCAAAGTGCTGCGATGACAGGCGTGAGCCACCATGCCCGGCCAATACTCCCTTTTTTGTTATTAATAAGTTATACAGACTTTCTAGAACATGTGCAAACAGTACTGAAGCACGTGTAGAAACACAAGCCTTGCCCCTCTGTCTGCTCCCCAGAGGTCATGGTGGTGGTCAGGCAGGTGCACGCCCTCCTCCTGGCTGTGGTGTGAGGGTGGATTGAAGGGGACCAAGGAGAGTGCATCGGAGTGCATCATTAAGGTCCTCTAGGCAAGAAGCAGAGGTAATGGACCAGGGTGGGCTTCAGATTTGTCTTCCAGTTTCAGGTGTTTAGAGTAAGGTCAAGCGGTCAGTACCACAGCGTGCCCTGAGGATGGCTTCGGTCAGTTCCAGTACCCCCAAGGAGCTGCATGAAGGTCTCACCTCATCCTATCACCTACCCTGGGCTTCTTCATCTGCAGGGTGGGGCTCACTGTCCTCAGGTCCTGAGATTCTCTCAGGCCCCCAACACAGGCCCTGGGGCTGCCCATGATCAGGCCAGCTGTCAGTGTCCATTGCAGAAGCTCAGAGGGCCCCCTGGGACTTGGCTCCCTTTCGAGATTCTGGGAGCAGACTACAGCAGCGGTCACTGACCCTGGAGTGGTCACGGGCCACTTTGAGGAGTTGGATAGCTTGAAGGATGAATGGCTGAGCTGCAGGGAGAGATCTGGGGAGGGCATTTCAGGCAACGGTTCTGGTGGGTCAAAAGATGCAGGAGGGACCTGGGTGTAGCCTGTTTGCCTGCAAGAAGGCCCTGTGTGGAAGAGGCAGGGTTCCTTATGGATCCTGGGCCTGGCCCATTGTTAACAGGGAGCCGTCTGGGACTCTAGAGCAGTGAGGGGGCAGCCCAGGTACAAGACACATGGTGATGAGGAAGGAGCTAGGGTCAGACCCTGGCTCGGCCACTTGGTTTCCTGAGGCCCTGCGTGGATTACCCCATTTCTAATATGGCCAGGGTTAATGTACCTGGCCCAAGGATTGTTGTGAAAATTAGAGATCCGTTATGGCCAGCACACAGGAGTGTGCAATGGTGATGCAAATGATATAAATGATGATGAATGAGGCAGAAGCTGGACCACTCTGCCTTTAAAATCCTGAAGCCCTAGATGCCCACCCTAATCATGAGAGCTGTCATTTATTATGCAATGACTGGGTGATGATTAGAGCCCATTTACCCTCTGCAAGAGAGTCTCTATCACCCATTTTACAGGTGAGGAACCCGAGTTTCCTGATGTCTCTGAGGCCATGTAGCCCATGAGTGACGGAGTGCGAATTCCATTCTGTGCTGTCTGTTCAGTGTGGTTCATATTCTACCAGACTCCAGCCCTGCCTGTGAAACCCCATATGTAGTGGGTGCTGACGTGAATATGAAATAGCAGGTGTGCCCCATGAGAGAAGCTCAGCAGGCCCCTGCAGGCTTCCTGGAGGCACCTCCTGTAGTATGGCCCTTGGATGGGCCTGCTGCCCCTGTGATTCAGCTCCAGGTGGAGCCTGGGAGGGGTCCCAGTCCTGGGCCTGTGGCTGGAGTCGCCCACGCTATAGTCATCCAGTCTCCTGTCAAGATCTTTTGCTCACTCAACTTGCTTTTTAAAACAAAAAAGCATCCAAGTGGTTCAGTCTCCAAGCCTGGGCTGCTCTTGGGCCCTCTTGAGAATTTGGACACCAGGGTTTGCTGATTGCCACAGCAGGGATTAACCCTCCACGGCCCGTGGCATTCTCCCAGCTCGCTGACCCTGGGGGAACCGGGGCCTGCTGAGCTGAGCCCTTTGTTAATACAGACGAAAAAGGCATTAACCTGCCGGTCCTGAGGCTGTCCACCGCAGAAATGTGACTTCCCTGCCTGCACGTTAAGTGCTAATATGCTCACTAGCTGGCCTGTCCACCCCACAGACTCATTACCGCCTGACCACAGTGGAATTGCAGAGCCAGGCAGGGGTTGTGTCTGCAGGCTCTGGCAGCTCGGCAGATTTCAATGAGATGATCGCTTGTCATTTCTTATTAATGAGCGAGTGCCTGATTCATTATACATCTGAGGGGTGAACCACCCCAGATGGGGAGGAGGAACACGGAGATGTGCAGGCACCACAGAAGGGGTGACGTGGCCCGTGTGTGAGTCTTTTCTTCCTCTTTCTTCCTGCAAGAAACAACTAAGAAAAGCTTTCCCGCTTTGGCAGGCAAGGCTTGGGTGACAGGCTATGTAATGGTGAAGGGGAGGCAGCCCCATGGCAAAGGGAAATTATCGCATAGAGGGCAGATGTCTATGCAGGAGGGCTTCCAAGGAGACCTGGAATGAATGTGGGGTGAGCCCTGGCCCAAAGGCATTTGCTAAATGTTTGTGGAATAAACAAATGCCTACACAGGAAATGCCTCCTAACATAAGGATGCAGTTCGCCCACCCCTCCGCCAGGCTCCTGCTGTGTGCCAGGCATTGCACGAGGTACTGGGGACACAGCAGGCCTTGCCGTCTGGGGGCTCCAGGGACTCCTGGGTTATGTCTGCCCTGCCACTAAGGTATCCGTGTGACTTCAGGCATCCCTGTTTCCTTATCTGTAAAACATGCTGAGCTGTGCGTGACCCCGTCTCTCTGTCTTCTGTGGGGTGGATTGGCAAGAGCTGTGGGAGCCGGAGCCCTTGTGGGTCCATCGTGAGCACTTTGTGTGTAGGTGGGCCGGTGAGGGTGCTGAGCTGGGCAGGTGGGGGGCCAAGCCTGGGCCTTCTCAGATCTTTGAGGAAATGCACAATATCTTATTCATTATCGCTTCACTGGTGCCTGTGCAGGGCAGGCACTCCGAGGTTCTGGGTGAGCGAGTGTGGGGTTAGCAATACAGCCAAAGTGGAAGGCTGGCCCCGGCTCAGAGCGGGGCTCCTCCCGCCTAAGAGGACAGCCTGCTCAGACCTCCAGCTAATAGGGCTGGTGGCAAATTGTACTTTGTGTTCATTGGTAGCATGAGATTGTAGCTCGTATCTCTTTCCCTCCCTGGCTCCCCAGTCGGAGGGAGCTTCCAGAGGCAGTGGAGCAGCTGGGGATCAGCTCTGCCCCTTGCCAGCTGCAAAAACTCAAGTCTTGGGTTTTCATCCATGTTAACAACATCTGCTTCATAGGCCTGCAAGGTGACCAGAGCGCCTGGAAGGGGCTATTGCTGTGGTTGAGCCATTGGAGGACTTGGCTTAGACAACTCACAACTTGGACTTAGTCAAGACCAATGAGAGGACAACATGCCTACTGATGGATTAACAGGAGTTTCTGGGAGACCCTGGAAGCATGAAGCCCACAAGTTCCCTAAAGAGGAGCAATTGCAGGCATTTCTCCGGCAGCCGACCACTGCCCCTCAGGACCCTTGCATGCCTTGGCTCCGGCCAGTGCCCGTGTTGCCCCTGGTCAAGGGCTGCCTGACCCAGTCAGTGCTTGCCTCTTCCTGACCGCGGTCTCCACCCCACACCTGTGATTGCACAACCCCAGGGCTGTAGAATCCACCACGGGCCGTCTCTCCTGCTATGATGAGAGCCTGCCTTGCTTCAAGCACTAGGACTCCACGTGAAGAACACACAGTTCTTTATTCTGTTTTAATCAGATGCTTAATGATTTTCAGTCTACTTAATTACTAGTATTGTATTTTTTAAATAGAGGTTTTAACTGCATCTATGTAGTATCTTAGCCACAATGTGGATTATCTGGGCATTTGTGGGCTAACATGGAAAGCTACTCATATTATGTTACATTATTTTTTATGGGAAAATGCATTTAAGTTCCAAATCATTGATTTATAATATGTCGACCTTTGAGAACACAGCTCATTTGTAAGTGGGAATAGCCTGTATTCAGAACAACATAAAGGGTCTGATATGTCCTGGGAACAGCACAGATAAGCTGAGTCACAGGAGGGCGAGGCCGAGGCAGCCCTTCCAGGAAGCCTTTTGCTTGGAGGAGGAGTTGATGGGGCTGAGGCGTCAATGTGAACAGGAGAGAGGGTGGCGTCTGCTGTGTCTGCTGTGTCTGCGGGCATATTAGGGTCAATGGAAAGGCCAGTTTGGCAGCAAAATGACTTGTGTGTGGAGGGCGGCTGGAGAAGTAGACAAATTCCCAAGGGCAGTCACTGGACTTAGAGGTTACCTACTGGGCTTTGGTGGAGCCAGGGAAAGTTCTGGGTGTGGAGAGTCCTGGTGGCAGCCTGCAGGAGGAGGCTCTGTGAGGGCCCGTGTGGGGACACTGGTAGGATGCCATGGTCTTCCTGCAGGGCTGGCACACACAGACGGGAGGGCTGCTTCCAGGAAAGGTAGTTCTGGGAGACACTGTCCCCTGGGACAAGAGCACACAGGCTGGTCTTGACTGTAGTTTTGTTGCCTGGCTGTGTCCGTTTCCCACCTGCTGTTTTTTACATGGGTTGCTCAGGGCCAAGGCAGCTCCAGCTGATCCCATCTCCAACCTCTGCCCCTGCAAGTCCTGCTCTGTGCAGAGCCCATGTGTCTCGATGGCTGAAGGTAGGGGTCGAATGGGGATTGGAGTGGGCTTGCCAGAGGCACTCCCACCCTCTCTTTTTTTTTTGAGACGGAGTCTCGCTCTGTCTGTCGCCCAGGCTGGAGTGCAGTGGCACGATCTCGGCTCACTGCAAGCTCCGCCTCCCAGGTTCACACCATTCTCCTGCCTCAGCCTCCCAAGTAGCTGAAACTACAGGTGCCCACCACCACACCCAGCTAATTTTTTTGTATTTTTAGCCAGGATGGTCTCGATCTCTTGACCTCGTAATCCACCCACGTTGGCCTCCCAAAGTGCTGGGATTACGGGCGTGAGTCACCGCGCCCGGCCCCATCCTCTCTTACCTGAGCAGGGCTTTGGCTCTCTGTGGGTCACTTGTATGTCATGGAAGGGCATTTCTTCAAACCCCTCCTCCTCTAAGCCTGGCTGAAGAGAACCAGCTCAGAATCATCACTGCCTATGGAAGGCCTGGCCCAGGCTGCAGACACCTTGGGAAGGGGTCTCTCTGGAGATGGCCGTGGGGTCCAGAGAGCAGCCCTTTCTGTGGGGCATTCACTGTTGGGGTCCAACCAGTTCTCTTCCAACTCGGTAGTGCCTCATTCTGAGCCTGAACATTGCCCCAGGGAAGCTGAGGGGAAGGGCTGGTGATGGTGCCCTGGGATTCTGCCTGAGGCCTCATCACTTCCATCTATGGGTAGTATCCGGGGCTGGGGAGCCCGAGCCAGGAGGGCTGACTAAACGTGGCTCGAGTGTCTGAGCGCTTGCCTGTGTCAGTGGAGCCCTTCGCGGTTCCAGAGCAGCCACTGCATGGAGGGGAGCCTCATCGATGAGCTCACTGCATGCAAACAGTAGCTGGGCCAGGTCCTGCTGTCTGCATAGATGCCCTGCCCCCCATGTAACACAGTTGCCACCCGACTACTGTCAGAAGGATCAGGATTCTGAACTTAAGGAGTTCTGTCCTCGCCACTAGGAGGGACGGGGTCCTTCTGGCAAGGGTCCCATCAGGAAAGAGTTGGAGGCTCCATTCCACCAGCCTCCAGCATGGTCTAGTTCTCCCCCGAGGCTGAGGAAAAGTTTGGTTCCCTTCCCTTGTTTTCTTTCTGTGGCCTTTGCGGTGCCCTTGGAGGCAGTACCACCCAAGAAGGGGTTCTGCTTTTCAGTTTTGCTGACCCGGGAGCGTTGGGGTTGAGCTTTTTGTGTAAGTGACCGGGACAAACCTCTGATCCCTTTGCAACCCCATGGCCCTATAGAAGTGTCGCTGAAGCAGCGTCTGGTTTGACCATCTTCTCCCCATCCCTGCCATCCCAGGAAGCCACCTGACTCATCTCAAGGGCTGCTGTATGCCGTGGGGAGGGTATATGCGGTGCTCAGATAGTGCCAGCCAACGCCTGCTCATGCAGCCCCTCTGCATTCAAGGCTTTGCCATGCGTCCCACTCCGGGTACCCCAGGCAGGCCAGGCTCTCTCTCTGGACCTGGCACCCCCCCTGTTCAAGAGAGGGAAGAGCAGGCCATTTCCAGCCCAACACCCTGTGCCTGGGGCCAGCACTGCCCAGACTCAGAGTGGGGATGCAGTTGGTGTTTATGGGACTCACTCTTGCTCCCCATGCTGAAAGATGTCCACAGTTCCTTCAAGATTCGAGGAAGGCCCATGCAGGCCTGAGCTGATTTCTTGGCTTAAGATGGGGTCCCATAGCCCCCCGCCTCCTGCATAAGAAACATGTCTTACTCTAGAGGCCTCAGCCTGTGCTTCTGCAGGAATGTAGCAGAGGGTGTTGGGGATAGGGTAGGGCTGGAGCTTGGCCACAGTCAGAGGGTCTCGGGTAGGGACGTGGAGTCTGAGCCTGTGACGAGGAGAGCTACGGGACAGGTCAGGGCAAGGGCAGCGGGTGGCCGACTCTGGAGTGCCCCCCTCCTGGTCAGGGCCCTTCCTCCCATCCTGTCCTGGGATTAATGTCAAATGTCTTGTGCTTAATGGTTTAATGTCAAATGTCTTGTACTTAATGGTAATCCCATTGCTTAAGGTAAGATCTCCCTTTTGGGGACAGAAGAGCTGTTTTTCATATTCTTGATGCCTTGAGATCAGATGCAAAAGAAGGTATAGAATGCCATTGGGGTGACAAAGAGTGATGACGACAATAGCAATGACCCCTCCCCACCCCATTATGTCTCCTGCCATCCCCCACCCCCATTAGCAGAAAATGCAGCATCCTTGCACATGGCACCTGGCAGACAGGGCGGGTGGTGAGTGGCTGAGTGGAATCAGCAGTCCGGGCAGCCCTCACCAGCGGGTCCGTGAGCTTTGGAGGTGCTGAGGTTCCAGTCTTCTGTTTGATTGGAACTCCGTGTCCCAAAGTACTTTTCACGTGCCCACTCCCTGCGGAAGGGAAAAGAGGGTGGGTGTGATTTTCCACAGCTTGATTCGAAAGACTGAAACTCGATGAGTGACATTTCAGGCTGGCTGGGGATGTGGGTTCAGATCCCCCCATGACCCCTGTGTGTGAGGAGCCACCTTCACCTGCACTGCCCGCAGGGACTCCACTTCCAGGCTCTGCAGCTCTCAGTGCCCTCAGGGAACTGCAGGGAGCCGGCTCAGAAGGTGCACAGTGGCCTGGGGGCCAGTCATGTCTTTCACAGCCTTGTGCGCCTTGGACAAGTCTCCCTCCCTTCCCGGGCCTCAATTTCCCCTTCTTACCCAGTGGGCTGCCTAGTCCACATGGCCCCTAAGATCCCACCCAGCTTCCTCTTCCTCTTGGGGCCACAGAGTCAGGAGTTGGAGGCAGCATGACCCCCAAGTTCCAGACCCTGGAGGGCAGCCGCTGCCCCTGGAAGGCATGCCGACGTCAGCTTCTCCCGGGAGGCGGAATTCATGCGGGCCCTAGTCTGAGAAAGGCACCCGCAGGGTGGACAGCATGCTGCCCGCCAGCAGTGTGGCTGGATCCCCGAGTCCAGCCAGCCTTTCCGTTAGCCAGCCAGCCAGCGAGCGCTCCTAAACCCTGGCCGCCGCCGGTTATAAATGATTCATGCAGCCCCGCCTCCCTCGGCGGCCACTTGATGTTCCCTGCGCTCCAGCCCGGCGGTCCACCGCCTCTCCTGCCGCTGGGCAGTGCCGCCGCTGGGCAGTGCCCTCCCCGCACCGCCGCCCCTCTGGGTGCTGCGTCCCTCCGCCCTCCCCGCACGCTGGGTAAGTTGAAGGAGGACGGCAGCTTTTCCGGAGACGCTCCCTGGAAAGGAGTGCTGATGAGGCCGCTCTTGTGTGTGAAGGCCTGGCCTGCAGCGCCCTTCTCCCACGTCCCTTCCCCTTGTCTGCTGCGCTCCAAGTTTGAAGCCAGCAAGCATAAGTAGGCGCCAAGGCAGGGAGGCTGTGCTGGGCCTCAGGCGGGGGGAGCTGGAGGGAAGGAGGGAGGGAGGATGGGGGAGGAAAGGAAGGAACTGGGTGGACACAGCTGGAGGGGAGGAGAGAGAGGGAATGTGGGGAGGCATGGAGGCACTGCCGAGAAAATGGAGCAAGAAAGTGAGGCGGCTCCTGCGTGGACCCAGGCGAGCGTGCCAGGGACTGGGGGCTCTGGAAGATTCACACTGTCAGCCGTAGGCGTTCTTTCCTGCCCCCCCAGCCTCCCGCAACGGATGTACTCCGAGCCCTTCGAACTCTCGGGGTACCAGTGAGAACTCTGAACTGAGAGTTTCTTCTGAGATCCGGCAAAGCCGAGCTTCTGAGAGCTCAGTCTTCGCCACTTCAATTCCCCGCGGTTTGAGCTGCAAGGAGGACTCCAGACAAGAAGCTTTATTGTCTGCGAGTCCCAGCTCACGGTTACTTAGAAAAACATGTGTGTGTTAAAACAGCTTCCCGGGGGACCATGCTGTTTTCGCGTGAGGAATGAATTTGGGGAAAGTTAAGTATAGGAGAGAAGGAAACAAAATCATATCGAACAGGAATGTTCTGGAGGCTTGGCAAAATCTAGAAGACACTTTATTTCATCGTCTTTTTTCTTTGCAACATCTATCGAATCTTTCTTCTTTTGACTTTCTAAAGGGCTTTACCCAGCCCTGCCTTCTGGGCCCCAGAGGTCCTAAAAGTGGGAGGACTTTTTCCAGTGGGAGGTGATGCTGCCCCTAAGGCCTTGCAGGGAAGGAACAGGCAGGGGCAGCTGGCCCCCTCCCTCCTGGGGACACTTGCATTTTCCCTTTGCCATTCAGAAACAAAGTTAGGTAAGGAGGTGAGACCTTCCTGGGAGCTGCCTTTTGGGAAATGGTGATTGTGACCTCAAATCATGTCAGAGTGTGACTTGCTAGAAGAGAAATGGTCGAGGGAAGAGGGGGCGGGTGACTGGAACCCTCAGGTAACAGGTAGGGATGCAGCAGCAGTGTCCTGGAAAGACCCTTCTGTGCATTTTGTGGGGAGACTTTCCAGGCCAAGGCAAGGAGAACGTGTGGCATCTTCTGAGAGGGAAAGAGGAGCTCAAGGAAGAGGGGAAAGGTCATTGCCCTTGGACCTTGCAGGAAGCAAGGTGCAGGGGCGGGCACATCGTATTGGAGGTCATGAGATTTGGGATCCTCTCAGTGCACTGGGAAGGACATGACCAGGTGGTTGTGTGGGGACATGGCTCTAGCTGCTTTCTGGAGACAGGACTGGGCCAAGAGTTCTCTATTCTGTTCCATTGGTCTATGTGCCTGTTTTTGTACCAATGCTTTTTTGGCAGGGAGGTCACAGAGGAGACCATTTCTGGGCCTGGAATTCCTGAGAGTGGCCTGGCCCCAGTGGGGACAGGGAGGGGAGAGAAGCAACCTGGGGCACACTTCCCTAGCCAGTCCTATGTTTGTGAGACCTGGGAGGGCTGTGGTCAGGGGGCTGGGCCCTGGGGGCAACAGTGCCTTTGCATTTGAACACAAAGTGCCACTTGGTATAATGGGCACAGCTCAGTCTTGGCTGTTCTTGAGTTTTAAACAAATCATGATCCCCACCTTCCAAACAATTTAGTTTTTTTCCCCTAGCTAGCCCCATCACAAACTTTTGAAGCATGAAATGAATTTTGCTGGCCCTCACCAATAGGATCCTTTCCCTAGATAATGGATTTTATGAAATGGCCATAATCCTCCTAGGTAATGAGCAAAAGCTACACTCTCCACTTGGGTCCAGCATTCCTCTTCCTGATTTATGATAGATTGGTTAAAATAGTAAACTGATAGCAGTTGCAAAATAGTCATCAATCACCAGGCAGTGTCGCTTAAACTACAGAAAGGTTTCCAGAAGTGAGATGCTGGAAGCCAGAGAGAGAACAATTTGGCAATACCAAAGGCATAAAGCACCAATGAAATCAAATCTCTGTATTTGTATTCTGAAGACAGAGGAGTAGAGTGGCTCAGGGTACTAAGGAAGGAAGGAAATGCAAGCAAACCCGTTCCCCAAGGTCAAAGGACACCCCCTCCTGAGCTCCAGGCTGCAGGGGGCCCTGCAGGGGGACCTTCAGTCCAGGGAGTTCTTCAGGGGGACTGTCCAGAGGGCTCTGCAGGGTGCTGCAGAGCTCTCACCAGTAGGTTTAGTGTTCTGTTTCTCTTTCTAGACAGTTTTGGAAAGTTTTCCAATTTCTAACATGTATAAATATGTTGGGCTAATATACAGTAATGGCTTTTAAAGCAAAGTTTTTCAAAAGTATAAGAGGATTGAAGTGCAAAGCTATCAAGGCCATGCCCAGGTCTCACCCGTGCTCCCTCACCCCCTTGCCCCTTCGTCCAGACACCTGGCCTGCCACACCCAGCCCAGGACAGAACTTTTCTTTCCTCCTGTACGCTGAGCTGTCAGACCATGAGTGTTCATCATGGGCTGAGGTGATAGTTGATGCTGGAGAAACTAATGTTTTAGGGACCAAAACAAGGTCTGCAGCAGTGTTTCCATGGAACTGCCTTAGTCTGGATGAGTAACCTCATGGCTGTAGATTACTTGCATCATCAGTTCAGGAGAAAACATTCTCCTCCATTGGATGAATAGATGAATGAGTGGTGAGAAGCTGTAGAGATCTTGTGTGGTGTCAACGCCCTCATTTCACAGGGGAGGAAACTGAGTCCCGAGAGAGGGCAGCGACTTGGTTCAGGTCTCAGGGAATTGGTGAAAGAGATTGGAGTATGGCCTCAGCGGAGGTGTGACTGCCAGTGACACCTGCCGGAATGTGAACTTCACGGATAGCGCTGGCTCACACCTGTGTTGCTTAGTGTAGGCTGCTGAGCTGACCACTTGCCCTTGATTATTTCAAGTGACCGCGCCATGTGCCACCTTCAGACCTGCTCCCAGATCGATCCCAGAGCCTAGGGTGGGACTGTGGTTGCTGTCATCATAGGTGTGTGATTTTCCACAGGTCATATAACCCTCTTGAGCCTCATCTTCCTCTTCTGTGATATGAGAGACTCTTCCTGCAGAACCTGGCGTGTAATACATGCAACCTGCATGCCCACCTTCAGTCCAGCAAGCAGCCATCAGGCACCAATTCTAGACCGAGTCCTGGGCCGCCACAGAAACTCAAAGTTAGATAGGAGCTGGGTGGGAAGGCAAGGAACACTCAGGATTTTGAACACAGCTGTCAACCCCTATTCCTTAATTGAGAAAGGCAAATCCTGGGACTTGAATAAGGAGATTGGGAAGACTCATGGCTGCACTAGTGCATGAAATATTATGGTAAAAGCAGGAGAATAAGGCAGTCCTTTTCTTAGCCCTGTTCTTCTCCAGGCCAGAGCCTGGGCTTTAACACTGACTCAGGCAGCAGCCCCTGCAGAAGCTACCTGCAGCCAGGTTGGCCTGTGCTCCCAGAGCCCCTGCCATGGATGTCCATAGGAGCCTCTTTATCCCAAAGCCATGGCTTCCTTCTCAAAGATAGGGCTGTACTTCCCTGCTTTCCTGGTGCCCACACAGCTGTGCATGGTGGACGCTCCATGAGTGTTTACTCAGTGAGGATGCACGGGAGCTGGCTGATGTTGAGAAACGGAGATGAGACTTCAGGGCTGGAAAACACAGCTGCCTGAACCCACGCCCAGGCGTCACCCATGCTCCCTCGTCCCCTCGCCACTCTGTCCTGACACCTGGCTGGCCACACCCAGACCAGGACAGAACTTTGCTTTCCTCCTGTGCACCGGAGCTGTCAGACCGTGGGTGCTAATCATGGGCTGATCTGTGCTCTTATAGGTATGGCTTGCAAAGGACGTCTTTTGTTCCTGTTAGAGTAGCTAACCTCTAAATCTATTTAATACCTCTTCCCTGGTTGTCCATCATTATGACACATGATTTTCCAAAGGATTTACTATTAGTTAGCAGCACAGGGCTTTCTCCCTGGGGTAGCAGCTACTTGCAGTGAAGAAAATGCATGTTCAATGTAGCAATTTGTCTTTTTTTATATATTTATTATAAGAGTAAATGAGTTATTGTTGGAGACTTCAATATTATTGCAAATTAGGTGCTGCAAACAGAGCCGGGCCCATTTATTATGTTTCTCAACTCCCACAGCAAGCCTACCAGTTCAGAAATCAGCTGAGAGTTGTGGCCCTTCCCAGGGTGAGCATGGAGGGACCCCCGGGGTCTGGGCATGACAACCACGACGTCACATTGTGCCAGAGGCAAAAGAAACAGGAGCCACCTGTGCAGGCGGGTGAGGGGCCCTGGAAGGGAGCACAAAGTTTGTTGTGCCAGGTGGTCAGTGGCTGGTGGGCTGACAGCTGTGGTCAGAGAGCTGTAGGAGGTGGAGTGACCTCACGCTGTGACACTTGCTCCAAGCCCATAGCTGTGGTCATGGAGCAGAGGTGAGGTGGTAGATGTTTCCAGAGTGGCCCCTAAGCCATGAACTCACTTTCAAGGTATTGGCAGTTTAGGCCACAGAGACTGGACCCAGGTTCTGATTTAGGGTGTGCCCCGTGACAGAGAGTGGTGGCTGGAATTAACCAGCTTACAGTGGGGTCCCCTGGAATGGTGCACTCCCCAGTGAGGAGTGGCTGCTGCCTAGTCCTGTCCTTTCGCCACCTGCCCAGACTAGGGGTGGACACAGGGGCTGCAGGATGCATAGAATGTTAGGGTCCTGCCTACCAGAGATGAAGGTCATACTGCAAAGTGGGCATGCTGGCTGTGTGTGGTCAACACCAAGAAGTGGGCAGGCTGAGGCCCTGGCATACAGCCCTGCTCCATGGCTGGAAGAGTCCACAGGGAAGGCCACCTAGCCCAGTGATCAGGAGCACAGGCTTCTGGTGACAAGCCAGCCCAGATTGGAGTCCAGGTGTCGTCACCTGCTGGTTGTGTGATTGCGGACAAGATGCTCAACTTTGCTGTAACCTCAGTGTCTCTTCTGTAAAATGGGGCTGATAATCCATAGGTATTATTGGCGTTAAATGAGCTCTTGTGCTTGAAACACTCAGCATAGTACTAGCCCATGGTAAGGGCTCAGATATGTCACTTGTTCAATTACTATTCAGTAGGCTTCTCTGAACGTGACAGGCTAAACTCGAAACATTAATTAGTCACTTCATTTGATGGCAATAGTAATAAATGTGAGTGACAGACACGAAAGAGGCTACCCTCAGTGTACCACCCAGGGAGAGCCAGAGTTAAGATTTTGGAATATATGCTTGCAGTCTTCTGTGTTGTATATAGTGTGTGCACAATTATTCACACACACATACCTGCCTGCTTTTTACAAAATGGGATTATATTGTGCTTGCTACCTCGTAACCTTTCCACCTGAGAATGGATACTGTCATTACTGATGCCTTTCCGTTCAAGTTTTTCTGCAGTTGCAGTCTCAAACTTTTTGGTCTCAGGACCCCTTTATACCCTCAAAAATTATTGGTAGCTTCAAAGAGCTTTTGTTTTTGTAGTGTGTATTTATTGGTATTTACTGTTCTAGAAATTAAAACTGAGAAATTTAAAAGATATTTTAAACTTATTTAAACCTAATAGTAATAGACCCATTTCATGTTAATGAAAACAACCAATTTTTATGGAAAATATTTCCCAGAACAACAACAAAAATGTGAAAGATGGCATTACTTTTCAATTTGACAGACCTCTTTGCTGTCTGGCCTAGTGGAAGGATGCATTCTCCTAGCTTTTCCGCCTTGGGTCTGTTGCATAGCAGCCTCTGGACACCCACAGTGTCTATTCAAGAGAGAAGAAGAGTGAAAAACACAAATAATGTATTAGTATAGAGATAGTTTTGACTTTGCAGACCCCTTGAGGCAGTCTTGGGGATCCCCAGGGCTCTGCAGTCTACATTTTGGTCCGCTTTTGAATGCCTACAGAATGTTTTTGACCTTCCCACCTGAGGCTGGGCTGGGAACATCCCTCCAGCAACCACAGGCTCCCCGAGCCTCCTCATCTGACCGAACCTGTGTCCACAGAGCATCTGAGCTCTCCTCTCTATCATTGTGAAATGGACCGACATAAAATCTCTCTTGTTTGCAGAGTTCGTAACGACAGAGAACATTTCCATACCTTCTCACAATCATCTTTGTGGGGAGACAGCCAGGAGACTGCACCCTCTTGCCTAGAACACCCATGTTGTGGCCAGATCCCCATGTCGGGAACCTGCTCCAGGGATAATCTGCTGCCCCCAAGTCCTGGGGGTCTGGTTCCATGGGGTTTGCTCATCTTCTAGGACTTTGGTCACAGGGGAACAATCCAACTCCTGCCTCCTCCTCACCCCAGAGGCTCCCGGCTGCACACAGCTGGCCAGAGTGACGGTGTTCAACCGCCTGGTGCCTCCTTTTCAGAACCACCCCTCCCAGCCAACAGAGCCCGGTCTGTGCGGGCTCCGTGGGTCTGTGTGAGAGCCCCTGTTTGCCTTGGCTTTGGTCTGTCTTCTCAACTGGCTGGCCGGCCCTTTTCAAAAATCGGCTGGGTGTTATGAAACTTTATTTTCCAAAGAGAAAAATTTCTGGGCCTGTAGCAAGAGGGAAAAAAGTTATACTAATAATCAAAAGCACCAGTAGTCAAAGTAGGATGGTGAGGGTTTGGAGAAACACTGAAAGTTGTCACAAAACACTGCAGCTCACCCATCAGCCGCAGCCCCCGTCTGTGCGCAGAGCCCTAGCCATGCTGGCTTCTCCCTGCGTCAGCATTTGGGGAAAGACGGATGTGCCTGGAAGCGGGCCTTGCTCCTGTCTGTGTAGACAGGCCGGCGTTGAATGTCTACGGGTGGCATCTATCATCCGTGACCTGTAGCATTTGTGCTTTTTGTTTATGGTCTCTCGGCATGCATTGTTTTCTCGGGGCTGAAATATAGCACGCTAATGAGGTATCTCTCTGCTCAGGAGGACGCAGGCAGCTCAGAAAGACGCCTCGGCAGCATGCTGACTAGTTTGTCAACAGCCACTCGCTGTGGCAGCTGCTGTCCCAGCCAAGAAGAAAAGAGTAGGAAATGCTAGGAGAAGCTGCAGCTGGGGGTGGAGGGTACTCGGTGCCTGGGAACCTCAGCTCAGTTGAGTGTCTGCCCTGCAGGTGACTTGATGTTTGGCCCTGGTGCCAGTCATTTCTAGGAGGTATACGACTTGGGGGTGTCAAGCAAACTAGGTTAGGGTCCTAGCTTCCCAGACACTTTCGGCCTGAAACACTCGGCTCCTGGAGCCTGTTTCCTAACCCATAAAACGGTGAGGTGACCTCTGCCTTTGTGGGTGTCTGAGACTCGCCAGTGGCCTGTGTTCTGTGCTGGGTAAATGGCATCAGGGAGCCTGCTGGTGGTGCCTGTGCCTGGCATGGGGCTACTTTGTATGTGCAGGTGTTTTTCCTAAGCTGGGACCTGGGGACAGGCATGTGCCATGCATGTCAGCACTCAGTGTCTGAGCAGAGTTAGGCTGACTCAGTGTCTGTTGTTGGCTCTGGGTGCTAACAGGCACAGTGTGGACAAAGGAGCCTGGAAAAGTGGACCACATCTAGAGGGAAGGCCCATAAAGTGACTTTGGGCTGGCCATCATAGCCTAGGGATTCAAGCTCTGGGAACGAGAGGGACCACAGTGCTGCTCACTTGGAGGAGGGTATATGGGGAAGGAGCAAAGTCCTTTCTCCGTGGGGAAATGGCCCTTGAGGCTAGGCAGAGAAGAGGACGGTCTTGGAAGGATTTGCAAGGAGAGTTACAGTAGACACAGCCTGTCCTGCAGACCCCGCCCTGTGCCGAGTGCTAACGGCGGTGCTAACAGCTGCTGCTGTTTATGGAGCACTAGTTGCAGCCAGGCTTCTGCAGACAGTATTCCTCTTCTTCGCCTCAGGACACCCTTGCGTGTGTTATTACCTATAAATTCTGGGCGGTCAGGCACGATCTAAACCCCAGGAGGATTCTAGTGGAATTCTCTAAGCTGACTATAAAATTCACATGGAAGGCAACAAAACGCCAAAGAGCCAGGACTAAAAGATGACAGTGATGGGGGATGAGGTGGGGGGGCTGGCCTACCAGATGCTAAACCATACTATAAAGCTGTAGTGATTAAAACACAGTGTTGGGACAGAACGGAGGGGCCAGAAATAGAGACAAGTACAACTGGGGATTTCGTTCTCTTTTAACAAGGATGGCAGTTCAAATCTTAGGGAAAGAATGGACTGTTCAGTAGGCAGTGCTGAGACAATTGGTTATGGAGGGGAAAAGTTAAAGCCATGCCAAATGCTCCTTACAAAAATAAATGCAGGCCGGGTGCGGTGGCTCACACCTGTAATCCCAGCACTTTGGGAGGCCTAGGCGGGCAGATCACGAGGTCAGGAGATGGAGACCATCCTGGCTAACGCGGTGAAACCCCGTCTCTACTAAAAATACAAAAAACTTAGCCGGGCGTGGTGGCGGGTGCCTGTAGTCCCAGCTACTCGGGAGGCTGAGGCGGGAGAGTGGCGTGAACCCAGGCCACGGAGCTTGCAGTGAGCCGAGATAGCGCCACTGCACTCCAGCCTGGGCGACAGAGCGAGACTCCGTCTCAAAAAAATAAACAAACAAACAAATAAATAAATGCAAAGTGGAATCAGGAGCTGAATTTCTTAAACATCCAAAATGGTGGCAGTGGGTCTCTCCGCTCAGCTGCTCCAGCAGCCACACTTCCCCCGGAAGCTCACTGATATTCTCCCAGCAGCGAAGATAAATGAGATCAAATCTCACCAGGAGGAAGATTTAAAAATCACTTAATACAGTTTAAAATACTCACCGGAGAAATCAGACAAGTAGGGGATGGCAGAAGGTGGAGGAGGGGGACTTTTCTTGCAGGGGTTTGCAGCTGGCAGGGTTGGAGGAGGGACACAGGTGAGTCACATGCCCTCTGAGGAAGGCCTGGCTCCACTGGGGCTTTGTGTGCCAGCTCCCAGTGGGTCGGCAGGGAGGAGCAAGGTTCTGCTGGCTCTGCTGAGGCCGCCCATGTCAGGGTCAGGCACGTGGGGTCCGAGGCAGGTGGAGGCTCATTCTGAAAAGGCAGATGCACTTGCAGAATGATGTTTAGGATTTGGGCCCTGTTTGCACGGCCCTTTCCGTGTCCCTGTGCTTAACTGTAGGTTCCTTGTTTAATATTCTTTTACTTAAGACGTGCCCCCAACTGTGTAAGCTTCAGGCCCCATGGAACCTGGGCTGGTCCACTGCTCACTCAGTAGGCAGCAGTAAGTTGGAAGACAAGAGGCCTGAGAAGGCCTGGGAGGAGCGGGGCCTCGGCCTTGGGTCAGCCGGTGATGCATTTGCATGGGGCTTGGCCCAGCTCCTCAGCATGACCTTGGGGTGGCTTGCCTGGCCTCCCCTCCTCCTCCAGCAGGTCAGAGCCTGCCCCTGAGCACTGTCCCTGGAGCTCTTCCCAGCTTGCCTATCACACCACATCAGTCTGAACTCCCTGAGATCAGACTGTGGACCCAATGCACAGACCCTGGGTCACTTATTTGTTTCTCCAGGGCCTTGTGTGTAGATATTTGAGAAAGTTTTAAACTATTTTGATGTGGCTTCAAAATGGCCACGCATCCTTCAAAAAAAATATGCAAATACAACATACATAACCGTAAAGTGCATGCATCTTAAGTGGAGGGCGTGGTGAATTTTTGTCGTTTGAACACATCCACGTAACCAGCACCCAGATCAAGAGACAGACCATGACCATGAGCCGAAGCCCCCCTGTGCCCACTCCCAGTCACTAGCCACCACTCCCCCATTTTGGGACAACCATACTTCTGACTTCTGAGAGCATAGCTTGGTTTTGCTTGCTTTTGTTCTTTATGTCAATGGAATTATGCAGTGTGTGCACTTTTCTATCTGGTTGCTTTCTTATGTTTAGGGGATTCATTCGTGTTATTACCTGTAGTCGTGGTTTGCTCTTCTTATTGTTGAATAATATTTTTTCCTGTTATTGTGGATATAGCACAATATACCAACGTTTTCTGATGTTGATGGGCATTTGGGTTGTTTCCAATTTGGGGCTATTCTGTGCTGCTTATGAACATCCTTGTACGGTCTCGATGAATGTCTATGTGCATTTTTCCCAGGTATATACCTAGGAATGGAACTGCTGGGTTATAGGGGGCACATGTGGTCAGCTCTGATAAATACTGCCAGCTGTCCAAAGTGGTTGTACCAATTGCCTTAGTTTTGATACTGGAATTTGCTATTAAAAGATTTATTTTCTCGAACATTCTTTTATATTAACATCTAGGAAAAACTGTTGAGATCAATATGGATACATTAAAGTGTTGACTGAGCCTGGGTCCCTGATGAGAAACTGAAGAATTGTGAACTTCAGAAAAATAGACCTGGGGGAATATTCTGTGATTCACTGACTCCCTCACTTACCTATTTGTTCTTCCTTCAGCCACAGATATTCATTATGTGTATCCTCCCTCCCAGGGGCAGAGCAAGGAAGTCAAGACAATCTTTTCTCCTTACGATACCACCGTCAAATGTATTAGTTATTTCTTCTTGCCAATAATGGCTCTAACTGAGGAAGCCCATCTCTTTATACAAAAAATTAGGTCCAGGAAGAGCTGCCTAAGCAGAATCATGGTTGCAGTAAAGTCACTTTATGGTGTTTAAAGACTTGGCTGAATAAAGGGGAAAGTTTAAATAAATTAGTGTCTAGCTATGGACTGAGACAGTATGAATCCACTGAAATATTTATGAAGAATCTTAATGACATAGTACAATATTAAAAGGAAAAAAAGGATACAGAATTACATACACAGTATAAAAGTTATTTTTTTAAACTCATATCCTGTCACAAAAAGAAAAAACACACTTGGTCTCATTTTTCTGGTTTTAAAAATCTTTCGGCCAGGCACGGTGGCTCACGCCTGTAATCTCAGCACTTTGGGAGGCCAAGGCAGGCGGATCACAGGTCAGGAGATCGAGACCATCCTGGCTAACACAGTGAAACCCCGTCTCTACTAAAAATACAAAAAATTAGCCGGGCGTGGTGGTGCGTGCCTGTAATCCCAGCTACTCAGGAAGTCAGGAGAATCGCTTGAACCCAGGAGGCAGAGGTTGCAGTGAACCGAGATCACACCACTGCACTCCAGCCTGGGTGACAGAGCGAGACTCCATCTTAAAAAAAAAAAAAAATCTTTCTTCTGGCTGCAGTCCTCCAGCTCACCCCTTCTTGCCCAATTCTGTTATCTCAGCATCCTCAGAAGCTCAGTCTGCGAGCATGGAGAGGATAGTGTGTGTCTCCTCCGGCATTGCCCCGTGGGGTTTGGAATGGCGCTGGCTGCTGGCTGCCTGGGCCTGGCATTAGCTCATGGATCTCGGTTGCGGATCAGTTTCCTTCCCCAGGAGGGGCAGGGACTTCACTTTCTATGGCTTATGTGCTTTCCTGGGGCCCAGCATGAGGCCTTTCGCCAGACACTGTGCAGCCCAGACTTGTTCCCAGGACAATGGGTGAGATGAAAAAGGGCTTGGTACTAGTGGAGGCACTTAGTGGCTGCAGCTGAGTGTTGGGAAGGGCTGGAGAGTCAGTTGCAGCCAGGTCTGGAGGGGCTGTGTGCCCAGCTTCAGAGCTTGGGTTTTGATCAGGTTTTTGTGTTAGAATCCTCATTCTGGTGGATTGGAGGGAGCCCCAGAGTGAACATAGAGAGACCTCCTAGCCAGGCAGGAGATAACCTGAGATCAGTGCAGTAGTTCCTCACCCGTGCGTGGGGAGGCAGCATGAGCAGTTAGGAGGAGGATGGTGTCCACAGTGGTCGGATGGCACCCCAGCCAGGCCACGGCGGGCTGGACAGCACTCTCAGGTGACACGTGGCCACCTGCCTGCCTCTGGCTGCGGCCCCACCACGGGCTGGATGCCTGGATGAATCTCAGGCTGGAGTCACTTAACGGCTGGGCTGTCACCCTGCAGTAACCCATAATTACTACTTAGGAGTTTGTGGACGAAAAGCAGTAGATTCCAATTGAGTGTGTTAAACTCTGCACGCGCCTGTTCTAATGAGGAGCTTGTAACCTATGAGAGCCCGTCTGCCGCGGGAGGCGGGCTCTTGAGCCAGAGAAGCCAGCCAGTCATTTTCTCCAGCCTCTAGCTGAGCCTCCACGGCCAGCCATATTTCAGCATTTAGGATTTTAAGTGCTGGTTAAAATGCTCATATAGGGAAGTGTGTATATTTTCATATTTCTGCACATCATGCTAGAGACGAGGGTAGGAATAAATCGGTGTGGCCAGAGGTGCCGCTTCAAGCTGCTTTATTCCCTCTCTGTGCACAGTGTTAAACTGGGCTGTGTCTGACTTCCCAACCTTCATCCTGTAGGGGGCTGTTACTGGGGAAAGAAAGTTGTCTTAAAGGACCCTGGAGTGTGAGGGATGGAAAAGCGAAAGGTTTGTCTCTGCAAACAGGTAGTGCTGAGTGGTCGCCAGCTTAGAGCCCGTCGTCCAGATGCTTTGTTTTCTCTCTGTTTTACATGAATTTCCACTGCACAGCCATTGGAGTTTTGCTAGTTGGGAATTTTAATTAGAGAATTGGGCAAACTTCATTACTTTTCATTCAGGTTTAAGGCAAGAGGGCTGATTAAATTCATCCATCTTCCCCACCGAAGTCCAGCCTCTGAGGTTTAATCCCATTGCCTGAAGTCCCCATCACCCCGCCATCCTCCTTCCTCCTTCCCCGCCTCGCAGACAAGGGCTCTCTTTCCAACTCCACCACCTGTTCCAGCCCCGGCTCTGCCCGCAGGAGGGGAAACCAGGTCACATCTGTGGTCATTCACAAACAAACATAGCTCTGCTTTGCCCCACCAAGAGGCTGAGCCTGTGGTTTTTCTGTCCAGGTCCTGAAACACCCCAGACAGCAAGAAAACCAGAAAAAAGCAGCTATGGGCTAGGTTAGGACAATTGAGGTATCTGCGTATGAGAGAGATTATAAATGTGTACCTCCTGGCTAAAGTATGTCTTTCTCTAGCAGAATTGTGATTTGAACTGCTTTTGAAAATTAAAATGTTGGTATGTGAGGTGAAAATGAGCTTAATCTGGGGTGTTGAATAATTGTTTTCAGCCATTGAACACAAGTCCCAGCATAGCATCTACCTAGCTACATGGATGGAAATGCAAATATCCCCCCCTGCCCCCACCAGGGAGCAAAATGTGAAATTTGTCTTTCTTATTTGCCATCCTTCGAAGGCAGCACCCCCTGTTACCATGATAACATAACCTTGTGCACCTCCATTTCTGAATCTGTAAAATGGGGGCAAGTCACTAACCTTATAAGATGGTCGGTGGAATTAACTAAGCAAATTTATCTAAAGCACCTGACACCCTTTCAGGCACACAGAGGTTCCAAGATCTTCAATGTGACGCTTTCAAGAAAGGCAACTCAAGTTCAGGGCTTCTGAATCCTACTCCAAATACCCTGTCATAGTCAACACATCCCTGAAGTTCCCTACACCATGCCTAGAAGCACTGAGGCTGGGCAGTATCTCCTTGTGAAAGGCCTGGCCCCCTTCCCCAGGGTCCTGCTTGAATGTCAGAGGACAGGTGGGGAGGAGGATGGGTGGAGAAGGACAGTGGCAGGGAGGACAGTGGGGAGAGGGCAGGTGGGGGGAGGACAGGTGAGGGGAGGACAGGTAGGGGAGGGCAGGAGTGGGAGGACTGTGGAAGGTGGACAGGTTGGGGGAGGACAGTCGTGGGGAAGACAGTGGGGAGAGGGCAGGTCAAGGGAGGGCAGGTGGGAGGAGGACAGTGGGGGAAAGACAGTGGTGGGGAGGACAGGTAGGGGAGGGCAGGTAGTGGGAGGATAGCTGGGGTGGCGGGGGGGAGGACAGGTGGGGGAGGACAGTGCAAGGAGGGCAGTTTGGGGGAGGACAGTGTGGGGACGGCAGGTGGGGGGAGGATAGTCGGGAGGACAGTGGGGAGAGGGCAGGTGGGGGAGGACAGTGCGGGGGAGAACAGTGCGGAGTGGCACGGTCGCCGGGAGAACAGTGGGGAGAACAGTGGGAGAAGACAGTGGGGGAGAACAGTCGTGGGGACAGTAGAGGGCAAGACAGGTGGGAGAGGGGCATGTGGGAAGGAGGGCAGGTGGAGCTGGCGGCATCATGAACTTTTGGAATAGCAAAGGGAGTTGGGGCTCTGAATGTCAGCCCAGCAACCAAAGATAGCTGGCAACGAATGGTCCAGGTCTTTTGGGATGGAATGTCATAGGGGACAACTAAGGCCCTGTAGGTTGATTCCAGAATACACTATCCAGGTCCAGGGTGCAGTGGCTATAACTTGCAGATCAAACAATTCACACCACTTCAGGAGTTGAACTTGGCTGTGAGTTTACGTCTGGTCTCTGGACCCATGTGGCTGCCTACAGTGAACTTGACCTTTAGGGGCTCTGGCTTCTGGAAGGAGGGAGTTCCAGGAGCCACATCCTCCTTCCAGGAGGCCAGGTGACATGGACAACGTGAGGGAAGGCAGCCAGGGCGTGAGGCCTTGGGTTGGGTCTCCAGGGCAGCTCACCACAGGGAAGGAGTGAAGGTGGTGAAGGATCACCCGGGAGATGCTGCTTGGGCTGGAGGGCGCCCGCTGCAGGCGTCAGCTGCTGCCGGCTGCGGGATGTGATCAGCACTCCTCACTTCATGGCCTCAGTTCGCTCGCCTGTGAAATGTAGGTGTGTGTCCCTGGAGTCCCTCCAAAGCTCTGTGAATTTGTGGAACGCAGATGGAGGGAAGGTCAAGCTTGGGAGAGGGCGGTGGCTTTGGCTGCAACGCGAAGCCGACAAGCACTGGCAGCAGGCCTGCTGGGCTGTCTTTGAGCGCGGGTGTCTGGGCCCACCCTCCTCTGTCGGATCCCTGGGTCTTCTGTCCCTCACTGGACATGTGGATCTGACCGCCATCCAGGACGTCCCCTCTGGGTCCTGCTGGCATTACTCCAGAACCACTTCATCTTCCTTGCCCTCCAGGGCTGAGATAGCTGGTTTGGTCTCACATCTGGTCTTAAGTGGGTCTTTTTTTTTTCTTCTCATTTTGTCTATCTTAAAATCAGGTTTATGAAGGTGTAAATTACATATAGTAAAATACACCCTTTTGAGGCATACAGTTCTGTTAATTTTAACAAATGTATACGGTTGTGTAACCATCACAACCAAGATACAGAACAGTTCCCTCTCCCCAGAGCGGGCATCCTGTCCTTCCGTAGCTGCTCTCCCACCCTCCTACCCCCAACAGCCCCTGGCACACTCTATTATGTTTCCCATCCCTATAATTTTGCCTTTTCCTGAATATCATATAAATGGCATCATAAAGTATGTTTAGCTGGGGCTTTTGAGAGAGAAGTAATAGGTTCCTTCCGTGGGTTTAGCCTTTTGTTTGCATCTGCTCTCATGAAAAGGTCTATGCTTTTATCAAGCCTAAAAGATAACCTTGGCCGGGCTGGTGGCTCACACCTGTAATCCCAGCAAGTTGGGAGGTAAAGGTGAGCAGATCGCTTGAGCCCAGGAGTTTGAGACAAGCCTGGGCAACATGGCAAAACCCCATCTCTATTTTAAAAAAGAAAAATTAGCCGAGCATGGTGGCACGTGCCTACAGTCCCAGCTACTTGGAAGGCTGAGGTGGGAGGATCACTTGAGGCCAAGAGGTTGAGGCTACAGTTAACTAAGGTCGCACCACTGCACCCCAGCCCAGGTGACAGAGCGAAACCTTGTCTCAAAACAAACAAATAAACAAACAAACCCACGATAACCTTGAAGAAGACAGCCGCACTGTACAGGAAGCTCTGGTGTGTGCAGGTATTTGTAGAGCATTTGCTACGCTGACCCGTTAAGTCCCTACAGCAGTCTCATGAGGGTAGTTATTATTGTAATCCTGTTTAACAGATGAGGAAACCGAGGCTCAGAGAAGTGTAATCATTCACTGTGGTCACATAGCTCAGATCTGAACCCACTTCTGTCATCCTCACTATTCTGTGTGGTTGTTTGGCTGAGTCTTGGATGAGGGATACTTGCAATGATAGGTAGCCTCTGGCCCCTGGTGGTGGGGGTAGGGAGTGGGAGAGTCGGAGAGGTAGAAGAAAGCCGCTAGATCCAGGCCTCTAGCCCCTATCTCTACGGGGGACTCCCTTCCAAGGAAAATTGTCTGTGCTCCAGACCCCCGCAGCAGATGAGTGTGTGGAGGCCTGATTTTGGAGAGTGGGGATTTGCACCCTTCCGCAGGCCACCCCTGTGTTCCTGCTCATACTTTTGCATAGCCACCACCTGAAGTTAGGGCAGCCCCAGCCCTGGGGGAGACTTTAGGGGCCAGGGGCAGCTCAGTGCTGGGCTCACAACCACAGAACACCAGCTTTCCTGGCCTAGGTCACACTTTGCCAGGCCACACCATGAAGGGGAGAGAGCGCCCATCCTTGGGGAGCAGGATCCAGGGTCTGTGAGACCCAGGCGTGGGCTGCAGGGAGAGTGAGGTCGTCCGCACGGATGGTGGAGTGGACAGAGGCCAGCAGAGGCTGCGCGCCCATGTGCGGGCCAAGGGGAGAGCGTAGGTAAAGGACAGTATTGCAGTCTTGGGACCAAGTGCCACTAAACCTTATGGGTAATGGGTTTTTCATCCCCTGGGTAATAGGAGACACCAAAAAATGAGGACATTACTTAGTGAGTCCCTCACCTCCCTGGCCCCATTCAGCAGACTCGGAGGAAGGACATTGCCCAGCATTGAGCCGTGTGTGGATTTAATGGGGTTTCCAGCTAAACCTTCCATCAAATTTACGGCTGTGCCTGTCTCCTGACCTTCCCCCTCACACATTCTTTTCAGAAATGAAGCTGTGTGCAGGCTGTGAGGTGTCACTTCCCCCACGCTGGAGATATACAGCTTGGGCCTGGGTTGAGACAGTGGATTTAATCAGGCTGGGTCCCCGCAGTTCACCCGCCCCTAAGCTGAGTGACATTAGGGTGGCCGTCGGAGTCCAGCTAGAGTGGGCAGCACGGAGCCAGCAAGTGTTTGTCCTGCCAGCCACAGGCTTCTGCTCAGCCTTGCCTCGCCTCCTTGCTGGGAGAGTGGCGCGTGGGGGCCCAACATCTGCTCACCCCCTGGGCCGGAAGGTGGGGTTCTTCCTGTAATCTTCTCCCACAGCCCCCACCTCCTACCATTGCTGCCATGGCGGGAGCATCATCAGCCGGCCTCACTCCTGCTTTCCCCACTATCCTAACAGCTGGGCTGCTCCTGGCTCCCTCTCCATTCATTTCTTGCCTTCCATCTTGGAAGTGTTCAGTGTCTGCTGAATCCTCCCACCCCAACCTCACTGCCCCTCTAGAGCTTATTGCCTTTCAAATACAGCTCAAATATCACAACCTCCAGGAGGCTTTCCCCGATCTCATCACCCCCAGGGAAGAGATCTCCCTTCTGCACATCATGCAGACCGGGTCCTAGAGGGTGAACCTTTCTCTGTATGCCTTTCTCTGTTGCTGGGCCTGGCCCATGGAAGAGACCCAGTAAATAGACACTGTCATTGTCACAGGGCCATGTTGTCAGATGCCTGCTCCAGAGAGTGAAGCTGCAGCTACATTGCCAAGCTCACTGGGCTTTGTAAATGGCCCCTCAACCTCAAAGGCAGCAGCTGCAGTCTCACAGCTGGCCTCTGGGGAGGCTGCCTTCCGAGGGTGGCTCCCCTGAGCCTGGCCACCCCAGCCTCGGAAATGCTGACAAGGCCTTTCCACCCGTCCCTTCTGGGGCAGCGTGTGTTTTCATGGCCCTTCACTGACTGATCCCATGTTCATCTCACCGACTGCCTCAGAGGCCTCGGGGCCTGGGGCGGGGCAGCTATAGCAACAGGCAGCGTCCAGTGCCCACTCGGACACACAGGGCCCTTGAGGCAGCTGCTGGCAGCAGGAGGCGTCTAGCAGGTGGGCAGAGGGACTCAGGCTTGAGGCCACGGGGAGGATTAAAAATAAAATTGCCTCTGCTCCCTGGAAGCTGAGGCCTCTGTACTTGGAGTTGGAGGATGACAGACACAGGAGGAGGGAGAATCTGCTAGCACCAAACTCCCCTCTACCTGGTCATGTGTGGGAGCGGGGCCTCACGTGTGGGACACTATCATTCACATTCAAGTGATCATTATTATCACACAGGGCCGTGAGCTAAAACCATACTTCTGTCATTCTTTGGCTCTAAGAAAATGAAAAAGGGAAGTAACTCCATTTACTGAGCACCTGTTATATACCAGATAATTTTACATGCATTAGCGTGCCATCCTCATGCTGGCCTCAGGAGGTGAGAACCCCTATTCTCATTTTTCCAAAGTAAATTTGTGTGTGTGTGTGTGTCTGTGTGTTTTGGTTTTGGGGTTTTTTTTTGAGACAGGGTCTTGGAACCCCTATTCTAATTTTTCCAAAGTGTGTGTGTGTGTGTGTGTGTGTGTGTGTGTGTGTGTGTGTGTGTGTGTGCGTGTATATTTTGGTTTTGGGTTTTTGTTTTGTTTTGTTTTGTTTTGTTTTGTTTTGTTTTGTTTTGTTTTTTGAGTCAGGGTCTTGCTGTTTGCCCAGGCTGGAGTGCAGTGTCATTGATCATGGCTCACTGCAGCCTTGTCCTGCTGGGCTTAAGCGATTCTCCCACCTCAGCCACTGGAGTAGTTGGGACCACAGGCGCGCACCACCACACTTAGCTAAGTTTTTAAATTTTTTGTAGAGAAGAGGTCTCATTATTTTGCCCAGGCTGATCTCGAACTCCTGGACTCAAGTGATACTCCCACCTTGGCCTCCCTAAGTGCTGGGATTACAGGCATGAACCACTGGGCACAGCCCCAAAGTGTTTATGAAAGGGAGTGGCAGGGTCAGACCTGCGCTCCAGAGAGCTCATACTAGCCTTCCTGAGGGGCGTGAGTGGGTGAGGCAGAGGTGGAAAGGCTGGGAGCCTGCTTAGTGAGCTGCTGAGACAGACAGGAAATAAAGGGGCCTGGAGTGGGACTGCGGTAGCCTGCATGCTGGCCCCAAGCCGCACCTGGTGGGTGGACCCAGGGCCCCAAGGAACCCCAGACGTTGCTGGCTGGGTGGATGGCGGTGCCCTTGCTGAGGCAGGAGACCCTGCCCAGGAGCAAGCACAAGGTGCTGGGAGAAGATGCCACGGTCTGTCTGTGTCAGGCGAGGCACATCCAAGATGCCTGGGGCTCACGCAAGGGCTGGACGGAGAGATCCAGGGCTCAGAAGAGAGATCTGGGCCCGAGACGCAGATGCAGAAACACATGGTGAAAATACTCATCCAACACACTCACGTTTTTCCTCCGTAGGTGCCAGTGACACTGTGGGAAGATGCCTGGCTTCCCAAGCACACCTCAGACGCTGGCCCCCGATCAATGCCTGTGGTCCTTGAAAGCAGATGGCCAGATGCCCTGCCTGAAAACTCCCACATGGCAAGTGGTAGATGTCACAAGCCACAGAGCACCCCCCGCCCACAAGATCCCCCAGCCTGCTTGTGGGAGGGAACATCCCATTCTGGTGCTTTTGATCTCTTCCTGCAAATATGCAGCTCAGGCGACCTGGGAATATTCCCCCACAGTGAACCTGAATTGATACTCACCAAATTAGATCAATTCCAGCCGGAGCCTGGAGCCTGTGATTATCACCCTCTCACCGTGCTCTTTTCCTTGCTGGGCTGCGTGTTGGATTTCCAAAAGGCTTGTAATCAACAGCAGAGAGAGCTATGTATAGCCCACTCCCCGCGCTGGCGAAGCCCGGGAAGGCCACTGTTTGAGGTTAGGCTTGAGTCAACTTGTACCATGTACTTGGGAGCCATTCAAAAGAGGCGGTGCACACACAAATCATGATGGGGCTAATCAGAAGTTTGGGTATTTAGTGGGATATGTACACAGCAATCATTGTTGGAAGCGCCCTTCTCCCACAGAGGCCATTATCCCGGAGCGGGGTGCTGTTTGCCTGGTTTTGTCTGGGCCACAATTTGCATTCACTTGATGGATTGTCAGGGTCGGGGGTCTCCTCCTTGGGAAACAGTGGAGTGACTGCTCAGCACACTCTTAAGAGGAAGGGGAGCGCTAATACCAGCGTTTGCCCAGGTCCTTGAGAGGGCCCGGGGATCCTAACGCAGTGCTAGATCAATATGACAGGCGCTAAGAAGCTTGGGACATGCATTCACAAACCCCTTTTATTGCTCCACTCCAAGCCAGGGAGAGGGGAGCTGCAGCTTGGGCACAGCTAGCAGGACCTGGCCGACAGGCTCTTGTTTGTTTTCCCGGCTGCGGTGGCCTGCGGTTCAGTTCAAGTTTGCCAAAGTGATTTGGAGTGGCCTTCCCCAGCTGAGCCTTGCGTGGGACCTGTTAAGCCCCTGCTCTGTCACCTGCCTTCTTTCTGTCTGGCTGGATGCCGAAAAGAAACCTCCAGAGGGAGAAGGGAGTCGGGGAGGGGTAGAAGGGAGGCCTGTTTTGCCCGCTGGGGCAAGGGCAGCTGTTTCTCTGGGGGTAAACACTCTTAGTTGCCAAAATGCCCTGCAGTTGAGTGATGTTGCTTTCTCGTTTGGCAAGGCGAGAGGTGTTTTTGTTTTATTTTTGGTATTTTCCTGGGACATCTGTGACACCTGTTGACTCCATGAGTTCTCTCAATCTCATCGTCCCCGAGCATTAGGAACAAAGCCCAAGGGTTCCACATTCTCTCCTTTTGAACAGCACCGCCATCACTTTTATCTTCTTAATTTTCAGGGTGTTTTCTTCTCTTCAGACAGGAGAGACCCTGTGCAGTGTGATTCAGGGGAGAGTGGGCACCAGTGAGAGACACACAGGCCGTGAGGGCCATGTTCCCTAACAAACAGTGTTTGGTGTGGACAGGGCCTACTAGGGTGTGGTGGGTGGGGAGATTGTTGAGTTTTTTTTTATTGCAACCAGTCTTCAGAGCAATCAGGGATTTTCTTTTCTTTCTTCGTTCAGAAACGTGTGAGGAAAGCTGACTAGCATCGACAATGCCAGGTTTCCTCTGTTGGGCCTTCTATTCAGGGTCGCTGCTTGCATGTTCCAGTTCTGGGTCAGGACTCATGGTCAGCGTTGGCTGACATCTCAGTAGCAAGTCTTTTTTCCAGGAGAACCCAACACTTCAAAGGCTTATCAGTTAGTGGTGACTTCGTGTTTCTAGTTCTCCATGTTGATGGCTAAAATGGAGACAGTTGAGTTGTCCCCAAGAGGGGACCAAGTCTTTCCTTTTCCCTGGGGGTGGGGAGGGTAGAGTGAAGGAGGCCCAGGCTAGACGGCCGTGAGGACTCTGTCCAGAAAGGGCCCCTCCAGCAAGGGTGATGGGTTGGGCGCTGCAGGACCGCGGAGAAACAGAACGCATCTTTATCTGGTCCTCCGAAAGAAGTGCGGTGGCCATAGTCTCCTCTTTTAGCCCTTTTCTGCCCCTGTGTCTCAGAAAAGTCTTGAAAGGGCTGGAAGTCTGTGGGTGATGTTAGCCTGCTGAGATGCTCGAGGAAACTCAAATGGCTCTTTCTTTGTATCACGTCTTTCCTGTCAACTCATACCCCACCTTGAGCCAGCCCTCAGAAGATGGTTGCAAGAGACACACCTTGGGTAGTAAAGGTGGAGAAAGAATGCTTTCCAGTTCAGACAGTCAGCTCCTCCATCGAGGAAGGATGAGAAATCACAGCCTTCAGGATTTCAGGCCAGGCACAGGACTCTTAGACTTGATACCATAAGCATGATTCATAAAAGGAATGATTGACACATTGGACCTCGCCAAAATCAAAAATTTTGCTCTTCGAAAGACCCTGTTGAGAGGGTGAAGAGACAGGCTGCAGAATGGGAGAAAATATTTGCAAACCTCATACCTGACAAGGGACTAGTACATAGAATATGTACTCAAAACTCAACAGTAAAAAAGAAACAATATAATTAGAAAATGGGCAAAAAACAGAAAGAGACCTTTCACAAAAGAGGATTATATAAATGGCCAATAAGCACATGAAAAGGTGTTCAACTTCACTAGCCATTAGGAAAATGCTAATTACAACTGAGCGAGGTATTATACACACATCAGAATGGTTAAAAGAAAAAATATTCATAATGAGAATGCAGAGAAACAGGAGCACTCACACATAGCTGGTGGGAATGTAAGACGGTACAGCCTCTCTAGAAAACAGTCTGGAAGCTTATTATAAAGGTAAACATACTGCATAGGACCCAACAGTTACACCCTTGGGCATTTATTCCAGAGAAGTGAAAATTTATATTCACACAAAAACCTGTACACAAATATTTATAACAGTTTTATTTGTGATGTCCCCAAACTGGAAACAGCCCAGATGTCTTTTCGTGGTCGAGTGGTTAGACAAACTGTGGCACATTCATACCAGGGAATACTACTCAGCAGTGAAAAGGGACAAACCATAGATGCCTGTACCAATTTGGCTGAATCTTCGGGGAATTATGCTGAGTGCAAAAGCCAATCCCAAAAGGTTACCAACTATGTGTTTCCATTTATGTAACATGTTTGATGTGATGAAATTTTAGAAATGGAGAACAGATCAATGGTTTCCAGGGTTTAATGACAGTAGGGGTGAGGGAGAGGAGGGCAGCAGAAGGGTGCTCATCGTGACAGAACTGTTTAGTATCCTGACTGAGGTGGTAGATATTGAATCTGTACCTTTAATGAAATTGCATAAAACTAAATGCACACACATTCACATATATATATATATATATACACATAAAACTAAATGCATACACATTCACATACATACATACCTGCGTGCAAGTAAAACTGAGGAAATTAGAACAAGGCAGATGCATTGTATCACTATCAGTATCTTGATTCTGATATTGCACTGTAGCTTTGCAAGACATGATTGGGGAAATCTAGGTAAATCATACACAGGATGTCTTCCTGTTACTTCTTACAGCTGCATTTGAATCTCAAATTAGCGAAAAATAAACAAGGTAATTAATATATGCAATGCGAATTACGTCACGTGTCTTCACTAGCTTGTCCTCAAGTAAGCAAGCCGTGCTGTTTCCCAAGGGGCTGGGCCTCCTTCGGGACATCTATGCTTACCTGGAGGCTGGTGGGTTATAGCGAGGTGGGGGCACGGGTCCCCCCAAAGCTTGGCTTCGTGAAGCTGGTACCCAGGTAGTGGGGAGGAGAGAGGATGTGTGTCCTCCAGTTCTCCTTCAGTCATTTTCACCTCTTGGAGTTTGCATCTTGGGGATGGCTTCTCCTAATGCCTTCCCAGGACTGTGTTCATTTGTTCATTCATTCATTCATCAGTCCATTTGTCAGCAGGGATTTCTTGAGGACCCACTGGGCACCAGACGTGGAGCCCACAGAAATGAAAAGATGGACCTTTCAGCATCAGGGAGCTGATGGCTGGTGGGGAGCAGGCAGTGGCTTGAATGCCACACAGGAAGGTGCTATGGGAGAGTAGCAGGCACCCCTCACCCAGGAGTGGGTGCACTGGGCGGGGTGTCTGGTGGATAAAGAAGAAATCGGGGAGCCTTGCTGGAGGTGATGGTGCTTGTGTTGCCTGTTGAACAAGTGGGTGTAGGCAGAGAAGGAATTTCTTGAGAGGCAGTGTTGCCTAGTGGTTAAGAGTTGGCTGCCTGGGTTTGAATTTGGTCTCTGTTTAACTTCTCTTCTTCAGTTTCCTTTTCCATGAAATGAAGGCAAAAAGGGACCCTACCTTATAGGCATCGTAATGTGGATCAAACCAGTTCACATTTTTCAGGACCTGGCCCATGGTGAATGCTGGGTAAGTGTTTGATAAATTAAATCACACAAATAGATGAACGGGCGTACAGAATGTGATTGAAGCCTGGGCTATGCTGGGAGAAATCAGAGCTGGAGTACAGGCTGTGAAGGGAAGGGGGAGCAGCAAAGGGCAGGGCCTGGCTTTCCCCTGGATGCTTATGGGCACCTCTCCTCTGGGGAGCCGGCTATGCTCCTGGCTCCAGTAGAGTGGAGGGCACCACACATGCTTTCTTTACAGGGGAAGGCGCTGTTCCCTTCTCTTCCTTACTTGCCCTTTCCATGCACCCTGACCCCACTGAAAAAGCAGCAGAGAGGGGCTTTGCACACCAGGCTGTCCTCATTTACTCAGTCCAGATACCTGGGAGATTGTGAGAAGCTGGATGCACCTTCCTGGACCAGCGACCCCTCTTTCCACTGCACTCCAGGTGTGACCAATGCCAGTCTTCACTGAGCACAGTGGGTGAAGCCCCCTTCCCATCCCACCCCACCCTGCACCTTGTGACCTCCTGCTTGGCTCTGCGGATTGTGGTCACCACCTTGGACTACTTAACCCCAGCACTTTGGACAAAGCTTGACATCTGATCAGGTGCTCATTAAAAGCACTGTCCCATTGTCGGGCCCCCATCCACCTCTCTCCCCCGTCAGCCAGGGAAGGGAAGATTTGGTCTCTTTGCTCACGTGACAGAGATGTCCCCACCTTTTTGACCTGTTGAAGGTTCTTCTGGGCCACAGGAGAAACGTTTGTTTCACGAGAGGTTTCTGCAGGTGGTGGGCCTGAGCCGCCTGCTCTGGGAGGACTGAGGTTTGGGCTGAGGAACTACGTGGTCATTCGGTGGTTGATGTGGAGTTGGAAGCCCTTGTGGGACCTTGGGCAGGGCACAGGCCTCTGTCTGCCCCTTGGAAAAGTGGGTGCATAAATCCTGCTCTGTGCATAAATCCTGTCCCAGCTAGCCAGGGGCTGCAGAGGGGAGAGTTCTGGTGCTGGCCCGGTACCAGCTTGGATGGTTAGTGTTTGTGGCAGGAGCCATCATGCTCTGCCTCTCCTGCCGCCACCTCCTGACCACTTTACTGGATCCTGCACCTGCGTGTTTGTGCCTGAGGGGCTTTTTCTTGCTGCTGCGCTGGTGGCAGTTCAGGGTGCCAGGAAATTAACACTGATAATCAGTAACCCTACTTAACAAATGTCTATGGCAGAACTGGTGTGTAAATACCCCAGCTCCCTCACCCCTCAGCTGGGTCTACTCTGGTTCTCAGAAGTTCTGTGTGGAGCTCAGCTGCCCTTGCCCAGAGTGGTAGGGGGTGTGCCATTGTCCCTGATTCACCACCTTCGGTGTCTCTTCCTGATGTCCTCAGCTGCCCTGTCATCTCCAAAATAAACCACTTGCACTCACATCCTTGTCTCAGGTTCTGCCCCTAAGAGACCCAAACCCAATGGGGTTGTTGCCACTTTTCTGATAGATGCTGTGGATTTGAAGTCAGGAAGGATAGACCACCGCTAACCCGAGGAGTGACCGCCAGTGTGAAATGTGGGCCATGACCCCTGCCTGGCAGAGCTCCTGCCCCCAGCGTGCATAGTTATGAGTTATTTGACTAAGGCATCTTGCCACAGCCTTCTCAAATATCTCAGCAGCTCAGCCTGTCCTCTGTAGTTTGGGAGGAAGGCTGAATGGCCAGGAATAGCTGGGGCTTCTATTTCTTGTTTCCTATTTTAGTTTTTGTCCTTGTTGTTGGATGACGTGGAGGGAGAAGGGTGGGCTCAAGGTGAATAACCAAGCCCAGCCCCTGAAGGGAGAGTTCTTTTCAAACCCTGGTGGCCCCTGCCCGCCCCCCAGCCTCCCCTCCCCCACCTGGGGTATGTGTGTGGCTCTGGCACAATTAAGATTCTTGCTGGGTGCCCCCAGCCCCCGCTGGCCCTGCTGCTGAGCAGCCTGTCTTGAAGGATCTTCTGAGAACGGACTCCTTTTCTGGGAGCGTTTATAAGAGATTTCTCATGGCTCAGTTCCCCTATAGAAAACCAGGAATTGTAAGTCTTACATAGCTCAAGAAAGAAAGTGAAGGGAGTGAGTCAGAGCCGGCCAAGAATGAGTGAACAGGGTTGGTGGCAGTGTCTCGGGAGGAATTACCAAAAAAGAAATGAAAGGAAAAAAGAAGAAAGAAAAAAAAAAAGGAAAAAGAAAAGCAAAACCAAGTTCCCCCCAACCCCCCACAAAACAGAAAAAAAAGATAAACTTTTAGCAAACTAATGTGGACAGGGGGCCTCTGAACTCCCTGGCAAAGCAGTTGGGCGAGGAAGCGGATGGTTTTCTGGGTCTTCAAGTGCATTCTGCCTCCTTAGTCCAGGCCTTTGTGGACCTGGTCTGGGGGAATATTTAGCAAAGCTGTTTATTTTGCATAAACCCGAGTAATGACCCAGCCCTAGGGGAGGGAATTGTGTGGGGCTGACAGCAGCGTGATTTAAGGGGGAGCCACCTGACCCCTGCCCCTCCCAAACGTCCCCTGCAGAATAAACTCGCTTTCTTCCCAGCCCGCTGCATGTTAATCAATGCCGAAGGCTGAGGCCCGAGAGGCCTATTGTGGGGACAGTCGGGTCCTCCTGGGGCTTTGTGGCAGCTCCAGCTGAGTTCCTTTCTCTCTGCTGCTCACTCTGACTTTCCGGAAAGGCCCCAATCTCACCCTGGAGCTCAGCTTGCTTTCCTGGTTCTTCCCAAGCAATTGTCCGTCTCTCAGATCTGTGCACTTTTTGAAAGCAAAACTCATTAGTATATTTTTTAAATGTGTTTTTGTGACAGATGTCCCTTAGAAAGGACACCCCTTAGAAAGGATAGCTGCCTGGGGCCCGCGTAGCTGATAGCTGCCTGGGACCGGCGTGGCTCCGCTGACTCAGGCTGGGTTTCAGCTACGCCTCTGGGGGACTTTAGCCTTGAGTATACGCAGCCTGGGAGTCTCCAGTGCTCAGAGTGCCTGCTCTGTTCCCTCCTGAGCATTCTGTTCCCTTCTCACTCTCTTTCTAGAGCGCCAGTGTGGGATCAGTTCTTACTGCCAGGGGTGGGGGCTAATCTGTGTCTTGTGTCCTTGAGGACCACAAATGAAGACATGCATTAACCCTTGGGGGGGGGTACCAGTGATTTCAAACCGCCCCCCCATAAATCCCCCCACTTCCATTTTACCTCTTTCCTCCCATATGGTTTTCTTTTCTTTCTTTTTTTTTTTTTTGAGACAGAGTTTTGCCCTTGTTGCCCAGGCTGGAGCGCAGTGGCGCGATCTTGGCTCACTGCAACCTCTGCCTTCTGGTTTCAAGCGATTCTCCTGCCTCAGCCTCCGGAGTAGCTGGGACTACAGGCGCCTGCCACCAAGCCTGGCTAATTTTTGTATTTTTAGTAAAGGCAGGGTTTCACCATGTTGACCAGGCTTGTCTTGAACTCCTGACCTCGTGATCTGCCCGCCTCAGCTTCCCAAAGTTCTGGGATTACAGGCGTGAGCCACTGTACCCGGCCCAGTATGGTTTTCTTTCTAGTGCCTCAATGGGTGCCTCCTTGAGGACCTGGCTGATGGGGAGGGGAGGGGAGGGGCTCCCCGGTGGAGGCTTGGGCCACCAGGCTGTGGACACTGCATGGACCTCAGCCATCCCTGCAGGCTGGCCTGGCTTCCCTCTGTGTCAGCCTTTCCAGCGTTTGCAGCCAGCAATTCTCTCCTTGGAAACTGGGAGGGAAAAGAAAACAACAACAATGAAAAAACAACAACAAAACTAAACGTGTGAACTTGGCTGTAAGTATGGAGCAGAAAAGTTTTGCTTGGATGTGGCACTGGGGAACTGATGGAAGGAACAGTCCTTTGTTAGAAGGGGAGGAAGGGGAAGTGAAGTAGTCTCTCCTTAGAATTGGGGTGAATTGTTATGAATAAAAAATACATACTTCTCAGGGCTGGATGCAGTGGCTCACACCTGTAATCCCAGCACTTTGGGAGGCCAAGGCAGGCAAATCACCTGAGGTCAGGAGTTCGAGACCAACCTGGCCAACATGGTGAAACGCCATGTCTACTAAAAATACAAAAAGTAGCTGGGCATGGTGACATGGGCCTGTAATCCCAGCTGCTCGGGAGGCTGAGGCAGGAGAATTGCTTGAACCTGGGAGGTGAAGGCTACAATGAACTGAGATTGCACCACTGCACTCCAGCCTGGGTGACAGAGCGAGACTCCGTCACAAAAAACAAGAACAGAAACAATAACAAAAACAAAACAAAAACATGCTTCTCAGTAAGTTTCCCTGGGAGGATGGGCCCGGAACCCAGAGACACTTCGTCTGGTCACTGGTCTCCCCTCGTCTTGTAATCCCTTCCTTGCCTCTTTTTAAAAGGAAAGGTTTGAGCCCACTGTGGTTGCTATGGTTTTCTAACCAACACCTTGATATTTGCAAAGGGCTCTGAAGTCATTAGAGCTATTTCTTGCTCATCACCTCCTGGTGAGACAGATGTGACTCTCCCCTCCCATTTTATGGGTGAGGAAACTGAGATTGGAGAAGGCAGACAAGGGCCAGGGTGTCCTGGAGCTGTGTGAAGGTTCTAGGGTTGTGATTCATCAAGCCAACAGTTAGAACTGTCATAGTTTTCCTGTCCCTCTCTGTCCCTGAGTGATCTTGGGCAGGTTGGTTCTCACCTGCCTTGATGGTCTGTGGATCTCATAGCATTAAGTGTGGCTCAGATTTCTCCCTCCCTTCTTTCCCCCACCCTCTCTCCGCCCCACCCTGAGGTCAGCCTGAAGGCAGCCCCCTAGCCCCACCCCAGGCCTAGTGGGAGACTCAGACACACCAGGGGTGTGGGTAGGCGAGGGCCATGACCCCAGAAGGCTGTTTGGGGTCCAGAGGGAGCCCAGAGGGGCCCTGTCTTCCCTGCCTGAGGCAGGGTGGGATCCGGCATGTCTCAGAGATATGAGTATTAGCCAGGCCCACCAAGCTGGGGTGGGGGGGTATTGACAGTAATAAGGAGGTGGTTTCTGTTCTGAAGGGTGAAACTCTGAAGGCCCTAGTGCTGGTGTGGTGGTAACAGCAGTAAAAATTTTAGCACCACCAACAACTGGCATTTTGTTTTGAAGGTGGAAGTGTCAACAGGTCTCTACCATGGCTTCCTTTGAAAAACACACATACACACACACACACACACACACATACACCCACCCCCCCACACACTCACACACACCCATACACACACACACACACACACACACACACACACACACACACAGCCTTCTTCGGAGGCCTTGGCCCTTTTTCTCAAGGAATCCCCAGCTTGGGCGTTAATCCCTCAAGAGTCACCAAGAGTTAACTCTTGAGAAGCTCGTTTATTCATTTTTACCCTATGTAGTTCTACAGGCAGCCTCCAAAAATGCATAGTGTGTAACAGGGCTGAACAAAAAGTGGCGGAGATCAGGGGAAAGAAAAAAAGGGGATCATGAAATAGAAATTAACAAGTTGAAGTTGAGGCCAGTGCTTGCCTAGGGGCAGGGGAGGAACGTGTCCACCTCTGTCCCAGGTGGCCTGTGTGAGGGAGAGGGGCTGGGGGAAGAGATTCCTGCACTGTTCCCCATGGGGCTGCCTGCGGGCACATGCCTCTCCCCAGCACCACCCCCACTGACACGCTCCAGCCGCCACGCCCTCTCCATCACAAATGTGGCCACAGCTCCTGGTCTTGTCCGGGTCAGCCTCAGAAGTAGCAAACTCCCCGTGTTGACTTCCTGTTAGGGGAACGAGGATTCCATCCTTTGAGTCCTAAACCTCTGAAACAGCATGGGCCCCTGCTCCCTGGCTCTGCCCAGAGTTGTCAGAGATTCAGAGAATCGTCTCTCAGTTTTGCTCAAGAGCCTGAACACTACCGCTTTCCTACTAAAGGCTAAAAATAAATTTTGAAGCAATAAAGGTGATCACAGTAGAGACAGTTCTCCACTTACAATGGCTCGACTTTACTGTGGGTTTACTGGGGCATGGTAAGTTGAGGAGTAAATGTGTTACTTTGTAAGGAGGGCAAAGATTGTAGGCACAGGGTTTTTGGAGGCCAGGGGATTGATTCTGTTGGGTTTCTAGTCTCCTCTGGATGACATCACCAACCTGAAATCCCTTACCTGTGTCATAACAAAGGACACTTTGTGTAATTTTCTTAGATACTCACATCTTTACCACTCTATTCTGGAAAAAAATACCCATTTAGGCCTTGCCGTTAACATGTCTGATCTCAGGCCTGAAGATCTCTTAGAGACTCAGTTTCCCTTTCTGTACAATGAGTGGGTTTGACTGATACTCATGCTGAGCTGGTATCTTTTATCCTGTATTTATATAACATGGTCACCTCTTTAGGGTGCTAACATTTTATGAGACCTCTTTAAGGTGCTAAAGTCTCATGATATCATCCAGTAACTCTACCCCATGAAGGGACATTTTATTACTCATTAGGCATCAATGTCAGGTTCAGCAAGTCTTATCTTGATGCTGACCCTTGGGAACTGCACCTTTCTGCTTTCCACCGTTCAGAGGAGTTGATACACTGTGATTTTCAGTGAAGGGGGACCACAGGTCCCCTTCACCTGTGGTCTTTTCTTGTTGCTGTTTTGTGGAGTGGTTTCCATCCACCCCCTACTCCCTCGAAATTAGGGTTAAAACGCAATGGCATAAGGCACTGATATAGATTAAAACACACACACACACACACACACACACACACACACACACAAAATGATTGTCATAAAGAAAATCATTCCAGTCCTGTGAGTTTGGGATTATATTTTCCCCAGACATTTACTGTGTTTATAGAGAAAAATAAATATCTCTGTAAACATGTGTTGTATTTACAGTGAAAATAAATATCTAAATAAATATTAAGCTTTTAAAATTGGAGCACTCGCAGAAGGAAATGCAAATGGATGTGAGCGAGGGCTGCCTCACTTGGGGCGTGCATGCCTGGATTCGCACTGAATTGGGGTGCGTTTGTCTTTCTTTCCAGCTCGGAGTGCAGAGCCATGCTTCAGGGAGGGGAAATGAACATTTATGGAGCACCCACTATGGGCTCGACACTTTACAAAGAGAGCTTCATTTTATCACCACCCGGCTCTGGGTGGCAAGGAGTATCTGTGTTACTTTGTAAAGAGGGCAAAGATTGTGGGCACAGCGTTTTCGGAGGATTCTGTTGGTTTCTAGTCTCCTCTGGATGACATCACCAATCTGAAGTCCCTTGCTTGTATCATAACAAAGTGTCCTTTGTTATTTTCTCAGATAGAGAAAATAGATGAGGAAACTGCAGCTCAGAGAGGTGAAGCGACTTGTCCAAAATGACAGTTACCAGTTGGGGTAGCTGGATGTTGTTCTCACCCAGAATGAAAGAGCAAGTTATGGAACAAATCTGTACATGGCTGCTGGTGCTAAGACTTTTCTAAATCCAGGACCAGGGTTAGAAAAGCCAGGAGCTATGGCAGTTGTCAGCACGTGGCACCTCCAGACACAGAAACGAAAGGGTCTGCGGTGGAGTCCTTTTTCCTCTACTCCCTCCGGGAGGGCCTGGCTGCTCACGCATTTACGCCTCTCTCCAAACACTGGGTCCTTCACTGGAAACTCCTCTGAAGGACAGCAAGCCTCCTGCACCCCGCCAGGAGAGCTCTTTCCTGGAGATCAATCTGCAGAGAGCAGGCTCATTGTGAGCCATTGTGAGCCAGAGCAGGCTGCAGCTGGGCCTCATCTGTGCATTTGTGTTTTACAAGCAGGCGTCTTGGTGGGAGATGGGTTTTGCAGATCAGTGTAATATAGAAGCAAACACTTGAGGATGGGAGGGAGAGCACGTTTCTCACTTTAGGGGTTTGCTTCCAGGACTTCCTTTTTTGGAAGTATGTTCTTTTTCTCTCTCATACACACTTGTGTGTACACACACATACACACACACACACACACACACATACACACATGCACACACATTCCACCCCACAGCCTGTTCCTCAGGCTGCAGCTTCCCCAAGGAAGGCGAGTGCCCCGAGCCTGCTCCTAGCTGAGCCTGCGCAAGGCCATCAGCCAGTCTTGTCTGGGTCGAAAAGGTCTCGTTGGCTGTGTGATGCAACTTGCAGTGAACTGAGGGTGACTGTGGGCGTCACAGCAGCGTCTCAGAAGGCCCTGTTCAGCCCTGTCTGGGACCTGTATATAACGGAACTCAGTCTCACCTCTGCAGAATAGGAATGGCGGTGCCCATCTTCCTCTTTCTTGTGGCTACTCTGAGGGTTAAGTGAAGTCATCGATGAAAATACGCTTTAGAAATGAGGTTTGTACAGCGAGTGTAAAGGCAGGCTGTTTTTCTAACTGGTGTCCAAGCCAGGTGTGGACCTGCAGTAAAATGCAAATGACCCTGTTATGTGGACAGGGGCCATTGTGACAGTGAGCTTTGTTAGGATTGCTGCATCACCCACAAGCCTGTTACTGCTGAGCCCCAACTCCAGCTTCTGATTCCAAGGGCCTGGGAAGGTGCGGAGGATTTGCGTCTCTAGCAGGCTCCCAGGACATGCAGAGGCTGCCGGCCGGGGGCCACACTGGGAACTGCTGGGGAAAGTTTGCTTTACTTTGAGTTCTGAGGCAGGCAAGGCAGAAGAGGCAGAATCTCCTGGGGGTGGGAGGGTGGTTACAAAATGAGGCCCCAGCTTGTTTGCAGCCCCCATTGCCTCTTGAATGGTGGATATCCTGGCTGCCTTGCTCTTTTCCCTTCCGGCTCTTTCTTGTTCCTTCTTTAACAGAATATATCCCTTAAACCAGTGCTTCCCAAACTTCAGTGTGCAAAAGAATCAGCCCAGGATCCTGCTAAACTGCCAGCTTCTGAATCCACAGGTCCAGGATGGGGTCTGGGAGTCTTCATTTTAAACACACACCAGGTGATGGCCACTGCTGCAGCTGCTGAGAAGCAAGGACCAAAACAGGCAGTTTCCAAATAGTAAAGTCACTTCTGTTTTGCAAACTCAGATGGCATTTTCTCCATGAAGCTCTCATTACCTAGCTTGGTGACCCTGTGCATAGGATCTGAGAACTCGCTGCCTTGGTTTCCCTTCTGCACCCTAGCGATGTTAACCCTTGGCCCTATGAGGGTTCTGTGGAAGAAACAAGATGAGGGGACAACACCCAGTTCCTTTTAGGCTCTAGATAAACATTATTTGCTGTCTTCTTCTGTCTTTTACTTTCACAGCCCCTGGGTAAAATAGACAAGGGATGTGCGTGGAGACGGACATTGTATCCAAAAATCGGAGGTCAGTGATGTTGAGCGGTTTGCTCAGGATGGTAGAGGCGGCTCTGGAGGTGGCCCCACATCTGCTGACTTCCATGTTCAGGTTCAGAGTTGTGGGTTCAGATTTCAGAATGCGGATCCATCAGAGAATCTGTCTGGTCACTCACTTTCCTTTGCACTTTTCAAGAATTTGATCCTTTTTCTTTTTAAGAGGGAGAACAGAGCCCTCTTGGCTGGCAGGTGTAAATCTTCACTTTGGGGTTTGTTTGTACCAGGGTATGTTCTTTCTCACACACCCACATACTTACCCTCGCCCCCACTTGCATAGGTAAACAGCTTTTAAATGTGTATTTTCTTTCAAAATAAAGCCACTTAAGCTTTACCAAAATGCACTGCTGACATGGAATTCACATTTGGCAAACCCCTGCCATCCGTGTTTTACTGAGTGCAGACTATTGTAAATTAAGGGAAGTCACTGTGTGTGTGTTTTTTTCTTCCAGACTGTTATGGAAGCAGAGCTGGTCCTAAGTAAAAGATAAATTATGGCGGGATCTAAAGAGGCATCATTTAAAAAGTGTCAGGATACAATTGGGTTCTTAAAAACCATGCAGAGCTGCTAAATTCACATGAAAATTGAGTGGAGCTGGATTGCCTGGGGTGACAGCGTCCTTGGCATTGATTTATCCCATCTGTTTGGCCGGCCCATATGACTTGAGGCCTCTGGTGGAGAGGCGGCTTCCGCTGGGCCGGTGCTGCTCCGTGGCCTCTGCAGGTCTTCCTGGCCCCAGCCCCCAGCCAGGCCACTGGGGAGCATGAACAGGTCCAGGGGTCTTCATAGACCACTAGGAGAAAGACACCAATGAAAGGCAACATCCACGGAGTGCACATCCTGTTTCTTATTATTTGTGATAGAATCCTTGCAATATCGTCTTAAAGAATGATTCTGGACTGAATCTAACCACTTCCCCCTTGTTGAGCTTTTAGATTAGATTACCTACAATTGTTTGGTATTAGAAGTTCTACTGTGATTAAAATCTCTGTTCCAGTGCTGTTTACCACTTAGATTTTTACCCTGGAGTAGATTAAGGAGGTGAGATTACTGACAAAGAGTAACTGTTTCCAGCAAGGTTCTTCACAACACTCTTTTCAGCATTGGGTATTCTCATTTTTAAACATATACTTGTAATTTTTTAGGTAGAAAATCGTATTAATTTGCAGGAAATTCAGATTTGTTGTGCCTTTTTTTTAATAAAAAGAGTGTTGTGGAGACTCAATTTGGCAGTTGCGTGCTGGAGCCAGCTCATACCAGCTAACACCAGCTTGTGAGAGCTGGTTCTACGCATCTCTCCCAAACTATATGCTCAGTGTCTTCTCCTTGGTACCTTGAAATCAGCCACAGTGAGAGCATTTACACCATGGAAATTGGCACATGCTACAAGCCATTGACACCCACCCCCCCCCACCCCCAACCCCTTGCCCCATTGCTTCCCCCAAAAGCTGGTTGTTAACATGTGTCAGCATACCACTGCAGCTATTTAACAACCGGCTATAGAGGACTTGCTGGGAAAACACACAATAATAAGAAAAGCCTAGGGTCCAGTGAGAGAAGAAGCAATGGTGGTTAATATTATAATAATTGACACTCTGTGGCCAAGGGCTGTATCTTTGCAGTACTCATCGGGTGTAGTGGGAGGGGAAACAGTCCCTTCAAGGTTTGAGTATTTCAGGAAGGCTTTGCAGGAGAATTAGAGCTCCAGCCAGATTCCCCAGAGTGTGCAAAATAAGGAGGGAAGGGGGAATGAAGGCTGGAGGTATGGTGTGCTCATGGGGGTGTCAGGAGGCACTCATTCCTTGTTGTAGATGATGGCCAAAATAAAAATTCCAGCTGGTGCTGTGAACCTGAACTTTGACATTAGCCAGAGCCCTCCAGAGGCTGTGCTGCCCCTCGCCGGGTCCCTCCTGGGTGATGGCCATGATAGCAGGATGCTGTGCACCTCCTGTTCCTGGCATCTGGTTCCTATTTTATTAGAGGTTGGAGTTCACCCTCAGCAATCTACAGCATGCATGCATTTCAAAGGAAATGCTTAATTAGTCCCCAAGCCTGGGCTTCTTTAGGCTCCCAAGGAGAAATGAATTTTGTTGCCTTGATGGATTGGGGAGGACAGGTGGAGCTCTCAAGTATGTTTGTAAGTTGCAGAAGTTGTTCATTTGGAGACTGTGGGTGTAATAAATGGTATGAGCTGAGGCAGGAGAGGGAAGTGAGACTCAAGTGATGAATGGCAGAGGGGGCATTTATTGAAGCCAGTTCTCCATGGCAGGATTTGGGGCCAGACAACATGGGGGAATAAACTTTTTTTAATGCAATTCAGGGCCGGGCGCAGTGGGTCATTCCTGTAATCCCAACACTTTGGGAGGCTGAGGCAGGTGGATTACTTGAGGTCAGGAGTTCGAGACCAGCCTGGACAACATGGTGAAACACGATCTCTAGTAAAAATACAAAAATTAGCCGGGCACAGTGGCAGGCACTTAGAAGAATTGCTTGAACCCAGGAGGCGAAGGTTGCAGTGAGCTGAGATCACGCCACTACACTCAGGCTTGGGCGACAGAGTGAGACTCCATCTCAAAAAAAAAAAATTGCAATTCAGACAGTTTCTTTAAACAGTCCACCAGCCTCTTGATTGTGGGTTCTGGGTGCTAGTGACCCTCCCCCTGAGAGCCCCCAGGCAGGCCTGGGCCTCACTGAGAGAGACAAAGTCCCACTGTCAGTTCTGACTGACTGTCCCCAGGACCCTCAGCCTTAGATCCCTGGACTTTGGCATAACCACAGGCAGGTTGGCTAAGGATGCCTGAGAAAAAATAGCCAGGCTCTTGGAGTCAGACTTAGCTCGCTGGTCCTTTATTTCACATCCTGCCTTCATTTCCAGAGCGGGTACTGTGCAAGGTGGGTGAGTCTCTGTCCACTTGAGATGCAGGGTGACCTACACAACACACAGTAACATCTGGGTGGTGACAGCCAAGTGACAAGCAGCCTTCCCAAACCCCTTTGTGCTTCCTGCCCTTGGCTGCTGCTGTTCTGCCCCTCTTTCCTGCTGAGCCCAGATGTGTTCCTCCCCAAGGATCCAGAGGGATGAAGACCAGGAACTTATGAAGCGGGCGGGTGACTGTGGTGACTTCACATGGGCCAAGAAACTCAGGGGTTCATTGCTGCAGGTGGGCTTTCAGGAAGGGGAGATTGGGGAGGGGCAGGTGGGCAGTGCAGAGTTTTGGGGGAATATAACAAGCATGGAGTGTGATCCAAGGGTGGGGAGGAGGCTGTCCCCCTCCCCCAGCTCACCTCATCCCCAGGCATGTGTTTATCCCATGAGGACAGCCATGGGCAGTGGGCATGTATCTAGAAATGGTGCCAAGAGTGACTGGGAGGATGGAGACCCCTGAGTTCTGGAACATTCTAGGCCCTTCTGGAAAGAGCATTTGGAACACCAAGCAGTATCCTTACCTGTAGGACACTGAGATGGCTGAATCAGTTACTGTAGGTAAAATCATTCATGGATTTATTCTTTCACTCATTCTTCATTCCTTGAGCATGAACCTGTGCCTGCTGTGGGGGCAGCCCAGGACCAGTCTTCACCCAGATGCTCGTTCTAAACTCTGCCTGCTCTGGTGGGAAGGCAGGGCCCTGGGCTCTGAGAGCCTGTCGGTCCCTGGCTTTCTGTGACCTCACGAGCTCTGGGTTTTGGTTTTCTCCCATCAGGAGAACGTCTGCCTGGCACCTCCTGGGTGCAGGACAGGGTCTGTGTGAACATGTGTGAGCCATGGAGCGGCCTGCCAAGGGAAGTGGCACTGTGACTGAGGAAGGACCCACCTTCCCAGGAGGAGGGACCCACCTTTCCAGGAGGAGGCGCAGCTGTTCTCAACGCCCCCTGCCCGATGGAATCCACTGGGGAGCTTTTTAAAACGCTGGTGCCCTGGAGCCACCCCAGAGAGTCTGCTTCTGTACTGGGCTGGGTTTTGGCCTCTCTTGATTCCCTGGTGTTTCTCCTATGCCTCCAGAGCCTGCGATCTACCAAAGTTGGAAAATAAAGGAGGTGAGGTGGGGGTGGATGATGTCTCTCCCAACTCTATTGGCCCCTGTGCTTCGGCCTCTGGCCCAGCAGAGAGAAGGGAGGGAGTTTGGCTGGTGTGGGGCAGGGAGGCAGGAAGGACAGAGCGCCTGAGCTGCAGGCTTTCCCTCAGCCATTAAAGTTTATCGTTGCCACGGACAGTGATTGAAAAAGGCTTTTTGCAGGACTGAAATGTGAGCAATGAAACTTGCCAGTTGGTACCGACACAGGGCACTTATCTCATAAAAATATCCTCCAGTGTCAAAAGGTTTCAGTAAATGTGGCTGGAAGTATTAGCAGTCATTTCTGGCAGCCTCAGGCTCCCTTGGGGCCTGCAGTGAGGGGCTGTAAAAGGGGGCTCTCAGTTCCTGCAAAGAAGAAGGGAGGGAGGGAGAGAAGGAGGAGGGGAGGGGAAGCCCAAACTCAGCCTACTGCTGTGGGGAAAGTGCTGGAACCTCTACGGGGCGCCCCACAGCATCAGTGGGGGTGCCTGTCCCTGTGCATACTCCAGCTGCTGACTTGGAGGGTGGGAGAACTGCCTACCAGAGGGGCCAGCGTGCCGACTTCCAGCCAGCCAGGGAGTGAGGTTATGGGTATGTGATCCTGCTTCTGCTGACCTGCAAGGAGGAAATGGAGACTCAGAGAGGTTGGGTGATCTGCCCAAGGTCACCCAGCTGTTAAGTGGCAATGTCAGGATTAGGAAGCTAAAGCCCTCCTCCTTTCCAGACGCTCAGAGCCTGGGATGAGTTCTCTGTGTCTGGGAGCAGGGAGTTGCCAAAGACCAGGCTGACCTGGGCAGGCCTCTGCCCACTGTCCAGTGGCTCCTCAGGGCTTGGGCTTGGGGCATAGCTCAGGCCCGCATCTGGAGGGCCCTTCAGCAGGAACGAACGTTCTCCAGGAAGGCCTGGGCTTCTCTTGTTCTTGTTATTCCATCAGGACCCAATATAGTGCCCAACACACCTTAGCTAATTGTGAAGCAGGTGTTGGCTGTTGCCCTGAGGTTACCAGGGGCTGATTGGGGGAGGGCTACACTGCCCCCCCCCCGCCCCCACATGGGCCCCAGTGTCCACCCAGGTGGTCAGTGCACTCAGCTTATCCCGTCCCCTGCCCGTCGTTGGGCTCCGGTTACCTGCGTAGGCCACCCTTCGCCCAGATGGGGCTGTGCAGTCCCAAGGAGGGCCGGCGCTTCTCGCCAAGATGGCATGCCCTGCTCGCTGTGGGCACAGCCACCTGAGCCCAGCCTCCTGCCAGCAGCCACACCTACTTGGGGAGCTGGGCCAGGGACCTGGTCTCAGGCAGCACGGTGCGGGGCAGGCAAGGTGTTCAATAGGAAGTCAGGGCCCCTGGGGTGACCAGGACTCCTTGACTCTGACTTGAGGGGACAGTGGGAGTAGGATTGGGTGGCCACATCCCTCGAGTGGTTTCCCCTCTCCCTGCCTGTACCAGCAGGTGGGTGATGAGGCCCACTCCACACATCAGGCCCGGAGCCCAGGGGTGCTGGGTGCAGACCATGGGGTTCACCCTCTCCTGCCCTGGACTCCAGGCAGGCTGGAAAGGAGTGGAGCACCCAGGGTCCAGATTCAGCTGGCAAGGCTGGCAGCTCAGGAATATGCCTCAGGGTCAGAAACTAAGGGGCCAGGTGAGCACCGGGCAGCTCAGGCAAGAGCCCTGTCCCCAGGCTCTAGCTCCAGCGCACTCCCTCTCTTTACACACTGGCCGTGTACAATCTCGTCCTCCTTCAAGGTCGCAGCCACCACCCAATGTCTCCCAGAGGACAGCCTCCCACCAAGAGCTGAGCCCCCAGCTCTGGCCTCCTTTCTGTAACTAGTCTCTGGACACAGCCACTCTGTGTTCCACAGCATCTCAAACTCAGCACTTTCTCGCCCTCAAAACAGGCCTTCTCCCCTGTGTCCCCTCTCATAGTTGAGGCCACCAGCACCCACCTAAGGTAGTTAGCATCCTTCCTCCAGAATGCTTGACTCGCCCTCCCTGCATCCCCGCGTGGCAGAGTCCTGCTGGCCCTGCATCCTGCATTGAGCATGAGTGCACCCCTCCCTCCTTGCCGCCTCTGCCCTTCCCGCCCTGGTAGAGGCCCTCCATCTGTCACCCAGTGGTCACAAGGTAAGACCAGTGTCTTAATTCATCCCCTTGTCTGCAGCATCACACACACACCCCACCCTCCACACCAACCTGTCCCTGTCACCCCCTTGCATAAACCTTCCTAATGTCTCTCCATCACCAGCAGACTTGTGCCCAGCGTCATTACATCAAACAAGCCTAGTCGCAGCCCAGCCCTCACCTGCTGCCTTGCCGCTGATGCTCTGACCACACAGGGCTCTCGGAGTCCCAGAAGACTCCACTGCTCCTCATCCCTGTGCCTTTGTGTGTGCCTTCTCAGCCCTCTCCTCGGCTTGGCTTCACCTGTTGACGGGTGCCCTGGGTGGTCCTTGAGACCTGGCCCAGCACTTTTTCCTCTGTGCATCTTTAGAGCAGAGGCTGGGCCCGAGATCCTGCTGGAGGTCCGTAAACCAGAGAAACTTCCCTGACCTGAAGATGTGGGCTGCACGGTGGAGACTGAACTGGGAGCCTGGAGACTCTGGGGCTCTGGGTGGCAATGGCCTCTCGTAGGAAGATCCCACAGGGCTCATTTATCCATTACCATGGGGAGTGCGTTTTCTGTAGTCAGGGCTTTTGCTTCTCACGTTATTCAGCCGGGCTGTGTAATGGGAAAGAACAGTCACCATCTGCATGGCATCTTCCTCGCCAGCCAGTGGGCAGGGCAGGTGGCTGCTTAAGGCTGCAAGCTGGAGAATCGCAGACGAGGGTTCAGATCTTCCTTGACAGTTCCTCACTGTGTGGTCTTGGATGGGTCATGTACTCCTCAAGCCTCTGTTTCCTCAGTGTAAATGGGGGTGGTGATCATAACCCCCCCAACACACACACACACAGAGTTGAAATGAAGAGCAAATCAACACAGGAATATGAAGTGCCTACAACCGTGCCCGCAGGGGAACTTGCAGCAGCTTTTGTCATTGTGTGGTACACTGAGTGCTTCCCACCGGACTGCTGGGCATGGGAAAGCAATCTTACTATCAGGAACGATGCAGCTGTGATGGGTGCTGCCCTCAAGGGGGAGCCAATTGATCCTTTTTCACCACCTGGTGAAAGCCCCCAGCAGGGGGCTAGACTGTCCTCAGGAGCCCTGGTGTGGACAGCACAGGATGGCCTCATGCCCACATGGGGCCCTATTATAGGTCATTAAACCTGCCCTTGGCACTGTGGGGTCAGCAGGACTGGTTGATAGTGGGGACTCTTATAGCAGAGGAGCCATGGCCTGGGGGGCCTGTCACCCAGGGGTGACCCTTCATGCCCTGGTTTGGTGGTCTGTGCACTCAGCCGTGCTTGGCTTTGGCCTGAGTGGGGCTGGCCATTGGGGAAGGTGCCCAAGACTGTCCAGAGCGTGGCATGGACATGGGTTTCAGGGTGACTCATTTGTGCACACTTGGGTAGAACAAGAGAAGTGGCATCCTCGCCTCCCCTCTGGTGGGCAGCTGCATGGGGACCCCTTTCCCAAGCCCCTTGCATATGGAGGCCCCCTCTTCTGAGCACTGGATCTGCTTCCCGTGCAGACTCATGCTCTAGAGTCATCCACTGTGGGTCCCTCTCAGCACCTGAAAAGGGAAAAGAAGCCTGGGTCCTGGGCTGAGAACTATGAGGCAGGGCCCTGCAGCCATCTGTGATGTGGGAGAAGGCAGTTTCCCCTTCCTAGGAGGGAAGACACCCCCTGCCCCCCAACAGACCTGGCCACTGCTTGGGCCCCCTGGCTCCAGCCCCTCCCACCGATGGGCCACACATAGCATGTGCTCTGAAGCTGAAGCTGTGGTTTAGGGGAAACCAATGTTATGGGAACAGCTCCCAGCTCTAGCTTGTGTCACTCCAGCCTGGAGGCAGATTCAGGGTGGGTGGTTTGGTTTGGGAATCTTATTTTGCCCAGAAAGGAAGGGGGGAGCCAGCCACTAAGGAGAGTGCTGAATGGCTGATGGCTGGAGGACAGACTGTCTACAGGAGTCAGATGCAGGCTGAGAAGGCTTCACGTTAGTGCCTAGATCACCCCCCGTCTCTGCCTGTGCCTGGAAAATGGCATCCCTGACCCAGGGTGGGGAATTGGGGTGCAGTGTTGTCTATGGCTTGTGCTTGTGCTGAGGAGTTAACCTCCAGCAGAGAGGCTGTGAGGCTCCCCCAGTTCCCCGGTCCCCTGAGCCACCAGAAGCCATAGGATTGTGGCATGATTGTTGTCATTCATTGGGAATAAATGCACCCTCCGCCTTTTGGCTGACGTGGGGAGGGCTTGCTCCTGCCCAAAGTGCTCTTCCTGGTTGGGTCCCACAGAGAGATCACCTGGAGGTGCCTCCCACCTGGTGTTCCCTGCCTGGCTGGGCCCTGCAGCCTCTTCTCAAATGTGGCCCTACTGTCTCCCTCCCCACCAAGCCCAGCTCCCCTCCCCTGCTGCCCTTCCCTCAGCCACTATCTCTGGTCAGCCCTACCCCATGCCAGCTTCCTCCCACTGCACCTGGCTCTGTCCCTTGCTGTGAACTGTCTTTTACAAAGTGCCATCCAGAAGGAAAGAAATGCTCAAAGGACATTGACTTCATGGCCCCAGACCTGGCAACCTGATGCCCAGAGGTATAAAAATATGCCTCTGTGACTGTGGTTAGATCGTGCACACCCCCTCATTTATAAACCCACTTTAGGCCGGGCGTGGTGGCTCACACCTGTAATCCCAGCACTTTGGGAGGCCGAGGCAGGCAGATCACGAGGTCAGGAGATTGAGACCATCCTGGCTAACACGGTGAAACCCTGTCTCTACTAAAAATACAAAAAATTAGCCGGGAGTGGTGGTGGGCGCCTGTGGTCCCAGCTACTCGGGAGGCTGAGGCAGGAGAATGGCATGAACCCGGGAGGCGGAGCTTGCAGTGAGCTGAGATCACGCCACTGCACTCCGGCCTGGGCGACAGAGTGAGACTCCGTCTCAAAATAAAATAAAATAAAATTTTAAAATCCACTTTACAGGTGGGGACCCCACAACCCTGGGGACAGCAGACCCTTCGTAGGCCTTCCTACAGATTTATTCCATAAGGGACCGATGACTGAAGCCATAGCTACAGCTCCTCCGTGTAGGCCCAGCTGGGGGTGGAGTGAGCCTCCGTCCAGCCATAGCTGGGGCTGTGGGTCCCATTTCCCTCTGGGTCCCCTCCGTTTTCCTGTGCTGTGGTTTCCTCCTTTTAGCTGTCATGTCCCAACCTTGATCCCCCTGGGGCATCTGGTCCACCCCTGCCCATGAGGCCTATGTCCATCCCACAACTTATAATGCTAACAAGCCGTTTGGGGCCTCCCGGTGGTCAGCAGGCCTGAGCCAGGGGTGACAGCAGGGCCCTCAGCCACCTGGTCCCTTGGCACGGTCTGTCAGGGCTTCTTGCCTAATCAAGGGATGCATTTTAATTTATGCAAATGGGGGAGGGATGGTGGCAGGGAGTCACAGACATCCATCACCCCATTTCCTAGCAGCAGTCATTCATCAGTGGGGCCTTAAAGATAATACACTTTTTGTTTCAGGCAATTACTTAATCTTGACAAACTCCTGTGTTAAGCAGGGCTATTAGCGGGGTCCATCATTAATCAGCGCAGAACCAAGTGGGTGCTTTTTCTGAACTGCAATCACTCTTGGGGACCCGGGGTGGGCCCTTTGCCATCCTCGCCGCCCTAATTACACAAGCAGCATGCTAACAACCAGCATCCCACACGTGTTGCAGGGGCGCCAAGCCACGGGCAGAAGAGGGGCCCATTTTTAACGCCAGTCAGAATGTTTTCGGAGCCAGGCAGAATGATACATGGGGGTTATTAGCAGCCACCAGGAACACAGCTGGGGAAACAGATAACTCCCCTCCCCTGGGTCCCTCCCGGACTTGCCTCTGACTTCGCTGGGTACCTGGGCAGCACTTAGATGCCGCTGCATGGCAGACCCATTCTGTTTTAAGGGGTTACATTTCCTTTTGGAAAGACCACGAATGAAGTGAAAATACCAAGGCTGGCCTTGTGTTTCCTGGAGTTTGTTGGTGCTCCACCTCCTTACCAGGGCCTGGGTCACAGAGTACTGCTCCCTCCTCCATCACACACCTGTGACCCTTATTACACCAATGCCTGGCCCAGGCTGCCCTGAGGGGGAGTGGGCACCCAGGAGAACAGGGGATGAGTCGGGCAAAGACTGGGACCTGGGCCTTCCCCCGGCCTCATTTCTTCTTCCTGGTCCAAGAAGAGCTCATACCGCCCTACCCTACCCCACCCATGTCTGGAATTTCAGAGAAATGGGCATGAGGTCTGGCTGTGACACAGATTAGCCATTTGACTGAACCAGGGCAAGTTACTGAACGCTCCTGTGCCTCAGTTTCCTCATCTCTAAAGTGGAGATAATAGTAACAATACCTTCATCAATTGCTATGAGGATGAAATGAGTTAACAAATGCAACATGCTCAGGAAGGCTCCAGTGTGAAGGAAGCCCTGTGCACTGGCTGTTAGAACCACTGCGGTTTCCAGTCTCCAAGGAAGGGCCAGTGCGTGGCTGACTCCTAGAAACTGCTCTGTCTCCTACTGCGGCCCCGAGCAGCATGGCTTTCTCTCCTCGGTCCTAAATTAATTTAGACTGACAGTCGGTAGCTACTGGCCACCCTTGTTATCCTCGGGTTCTGTTTTCCAATAGTGGGAGGATTCACTCATTCATGTATTCATTCATTCACTCACTGGGCACATACTCCTCACCTCCTCCATGCCACTCGCTGGGCTGGTCGTTGACTCAGAGGAAATGGTGTGGAGGGAGTATCGTCTGCCTGCGGTGGAGGGGGGTGGCAGAAGAAAGGTCCAGGAAGCTTCCTGGAGGCAGGCTCGTGTGGACTGGGGTTGCTGAGGGCAGGCTGAGTTGGCATGATGAGGATGAGGGGGTGTGGTGGGGAGGGGCTTTCTAGGCAGGGTGGAGCCTAGGAGGCATGGGGTCTGCAAGGCTGTCATTTGACCCTGGGGCTGGGAGAGTCTGTGGGGCAGGATCTGGAGGTCCTGAGTGCCAGGCTGGGGCTCTTGACTCCATTCTGCTGGCAATGGCAGGACCTGGGGACCACCTGTCAGTCACTCAGACCCTCCTCCTGGTCCCCCTACTGAGGTGTGACTGGACCCACAAAGCAGGGCCTTTGCCCACAAACGCCTCGGATGAGAGTGCACAGGCCAGGCTGCTCTTGGGTTTGTGGAAGGGCAGCTCTGGTTTCTCCGGCCCCGAAACACATTGTATTTGGGAGTTTTCCCCTAGATCTTAAACCCTGTTTATTTAAAAAGAAGTAGACTCTGTCTGCTTTTAATTCACATGCTTAGCTCATCAAAATATTGTTTTGCAAGAGGTTTTTTTTTTTTTTTTTGATGTCAGGAAGGCTTTGGCATGTTTTCCTCCTCCCTTTCTTCTACAGTCTTATTCTAGGAAATAAGATTCTGGGCACCGCTCAGGGCTGGAGGGTTGGGTCATGAGACCACATATTCTGTGTCTCAGTTTCTGAACCAACAAAATAGGGGAGCAGGCTCTTCCCACGGATTCATGGACTGGCCTCCAGTCCTGCTGGTGGACACCGTATCCCAGCAAAGAGAAATACTGTTTCCATGCGCCACAGTGGTCGTTGGTGGGGAGAGTGGGGAGGGTGGTGGGAATGGCATGTGCTCCAACCATCATTCAGTTAACTGGGTCCAGAATCACACGGGCAGGGAGCCAGGCGTCCGAAAGTGTAACACGGCTTGCCCGGTGTTTCTCCACGGTCCTGCCGCACTGCCCCTCATGACCCCGGCATGGGCTTTGCTTTCTGCGGACCCTCTTATTTGTCGAAGATCTCGGGAGTCCACACACCCACTCCCGTGTCTGGGAACACTCCAAGCTTATCAAGAACGCAGCGGGCAGCAATCCAGGGCAGAACAAGGGAGGTGCTGTCGACCAGCTCTGCGCGGAGAGGTCAAGGGTGTGGAAGGGTGGGGAGAGAGGCACAGGCTGACTTAATCCCTTGGGCGGGGCACCGGCCTCACCCACAGAATCGCAAGTAACCCTCCTACGATTCTGGGAACGTTTGTGAGTTAAATGAATGGAAGGGAGGGAGGAAAGGAGGGAAGAAAAATAACTGTGTTTTCATCAGTAAATGTAAGCGACCAAATAGAAGTCTGTAGGAAGCTAAGATTCAAAGGTGAGGAAGGACTGAGGTTTGGGGAGAATTCTCATCACCATATTTTGTGTATTGATGGGACTTTTACTAAGCTAGACTAGAATTCTGAAGCAGTGGAAAGTCAATAATGATAACGAGTTAGGCCTGAGCTGTTCAGTAGGGTAGCCGCGAGCTGTGTGTGGCTGAGTGCTTGCAATGTGGCTATCCTAATTGAGATGTGCTGTGAGTGCAAGATAGGTACCAGGTTTTGAAGACGTAGTAGGAATAAAAGCATGTAACACATCTCATTAACAATTTTTTTACTGGTTCCATGTTGAAGTGATAGTATTTTTGACGTACTGGTTCAATTAAATTGTGTTATTAAAATAATCACCTGTTTCTTTTTAGTTTTTTTTAAATGTGGCTCCTAGAAAATTTACAATAACATATGTGGCCCACATTGTATTTCTGTTGGCCAGGGCTGCATTGGATGAGTGGACACCTAGGGAAGATTCTAGTCCAAGGTAGAGAGAATTGTAAAGGATCCCTTTGAGTAACATAATTATTGGGACTGACAAGAGGCTCCCAGAAAGTGGCCCTTACGGGACCTGCTTGGATGAAAGAATGGAGAGCATTTTGTCATTCCCCTGTTGATTGCAGAAAGACAGTAAGTCCAGCCCCAGTGCTCGTTTGCTTGTCCAGGTGGCTGATTCCGCTGCCCGGTTTTAAAGGTCATTGATTGTCTGTGGCAGGCCCTGCCTCAGAATGCAGCCTGGAATAAAGAGGTGCCTTGGCTCAGCCTGGGAAACCATCACCAGGGCCTGGTGGAGACCAAATGTGGTGGCCTTACTGTCGTCTCAAGAGCTATGGCAGAGTGCAAAGCTGGGACTTGATGCTCTCGGCAGGACGCAAGGCAGGACCTATAAGCCAGATCAAGAAACCTCTTGTTGGGCTCTGCAGGGAAGGGGCTGGATGCTAGTTAAGTACACAGAATGGCAAGTGACACCTTCACGACCCGTGGGGACCAGACAGAGGAATGGCATGGTCATCCTCCTGAAAGGGAGAATCACCTGCGACAAGTGGGCTTCTTGCCGGGGACCAGTCAGCATTGCAATAGCTAGCCGACAAGGTCCCTGCCAGCTGACGGGGTCGCCAGTGTATACTGTCAAATGAGTATGTCAAGGGGCAGCAAGATTTTAGGGGAAAGCCTGAATCCATCCCAGGCCACCTGGCCTAGCCCTGGCCTGTGACAGGTGGAAGGAGCACTAGGGCCTGGGCACCGTCTCCTCCAGCTCCTGGGCTGGATTCCTGCTTTCTGCATTGGATTCTGCAAGGTGCCAGGGTCCCTGGGAGCCATGGTCCTCTGGGCTTCAAATCTATTGCATTTTGCAGTGGGGAGGCTGCACACTACTTTTTTAGAAACCTTCTGTGACCAAGACAGAGTTTTCAACCTTAAGCAAGCTTGACCAGCCCTATTGTTTCTTCCAGCCCTAAAATTCTCTAATGTGGGACTCTACATGTCTACCCAGACAGACAGGCAGCCCCTCCCATTCCTTGTGATGGCGGGGATCTCCCAGGTGTCCCTCTGGAGCTCACCCCAGTCTCCCACCCCTTGCTAAAGGGGCAGGAGCCCAGCAGAGGGGTCTGTAGGGATGGCCACACCGGCACCCTTCGGGGCCCTACTGCGTGCCTGGCCCTGCACTAGCTCTTCTCCACTTCACAGTCTCCCTCTGACATGGGTCCTGTCCCTATCCTCATTTTACAGATAAGGACACCGAGGCACAGGAAGGTTCGGTGAGTCAGCAATCAAGCCAGACTTGGCTGTGGCACTGGCGGCAGCCTCAGCTCTGTCCAACAGGACACTATGCCGCCTCTTGTGGCCTGTCTCCTGTCACTTCAAGGCCACTGTTGCAGGGAACAGATCCCATGACTGCCTGGCTCCCGAGCGGCCAGACCCAAATGGCACGGGGCTGGCCTCTCCCGTGGCGTTGGCTGGAGCACACTCCTCACCCTGGAATGTGCAGGTCCCTCTGCATCCCTACCTGCCCTCACCAGGAGACCAGTCTCAGAACTCTGTGCCTGGTGTGGAGTGGCTGTGCTGGCCCCAGCCCAGCACACTCTCTCTTTCGGCAGCTAATTTGTCAAGTAACACCTCAGCCTGGGGTGGGCAGTGTGCGTGGGCGGACCCAGCAGAGGCCACGGGTCCTGCTAGGCTGTGTCTGCAGGGCAGGCCTGATTGCGTGAGTGGCCTGGGCCTCAGCCAGCCGGACACCAGCCAGCTCGTGGTGTTGGAATTTCCTGTCTGATTTTAATTCCTCCCCCCACGTTTTTCCCCCAAGTGAGACAGAAGCACTTTTTAGTTGCACGTTGTGGAGTGGCCATTCAGGATATTATTCTTATTAAATGCTTCCTGTGGGGTGGTGGCTGGGCATCAGGAGGGCCTCTGGAATTCTCCTGTCCTGTGGCTTATTATTGAAAATCATGGTGCCATTTGCATAAGGCCCTGGGGAAGGAGGTTTTCCATGATTCGTGCTCTTTTGGTGCTTCCTACCTCTGATGCTTAGGCCAGTGACTTCGTCCTCATTTGCGAACGAACACCTGGTCACCTGGGCTCACGTGGCTGAAGGGCTGGCCTTTGAAAGTGTCAGGATCTCAGAACAGACCAAGGCTCCCTAGCAAGGGGAGAAAGTCCCTGGCAGCCTCTCCCAGCCCTGGTGTGCACTTTCATTCATGTACCATCGAAAAGCACAGACCCCTGGATGCCTTCCAAACCTGCATTCCCAGTGGCACCCAGACCCCTTGCAGCTGCTGCTCAGAAGCACTGGTAAATGGTCACCAGGATTCAAATGTCTCCCCCACTCCCGCCTCTCTGATCTTCTGTGTTGAGTTTCTCCAGTTAGTACAATGCCTAGTAGGCGCATGGACATGATAAATGATTTCCCCTTCCTTACTGTGCAACTGGGAACTATGGAGCCACAGCAAGTGTGGAAATGCCAAAGGGCCTGTGAGTCTCCCTCCCGGGGTGGTCCCTGGAGCAGCAGCATCTGCATCACTGGGAACCTGTTAGACATGCCCAGGCTCACTGAGGCAGGAGCTCTGGCAACAGGGCCCAGCAACAGCCTGAGAAACCCCGATATCAGGGCTTAGTGGGTGCTTCATCATGTACCTCTTACTATGTGTATTACATCATGTGTTCCTCTCGAGGACGCCAGCAAGAGATGTTCCTCATCCTGTATGTATAGGAGAGGCCACATGCTTTGCACCGGGGCTTACACTTCACTCGGTTCAGTGCCAGGGCACAATTGGGCATCCTGGGCTCACTGTCCGCACTGCCCTGAGCCTGAAGAGCCTGCCATCCTCCCCCTTCCTTCTGGCTCTGCCAGGTCTGGCCTCTTCCAATGAGCCTTCCTGGCTGCTCCAGACCTCATGGAAATCTTTTCCTGACTTTGAGGCCACTTGGGCAGTTTGTGCTGCGTGGGCCTCGCTGAATCCCGCAGGGTCAGGCTCTCCAGCTGTGGCAGTGGCTTACACAGCAGCGCCCCGGGGCACTCCCTGTGGGCAGGAATTATGCCTCTTGTTCTCTGTGGCCTCCAGAGCCCATGAGCAGCGTCCTCTTACATTGAGCGAGTAGGGGAAGCCTTGACCTGCAGCAGGGTGTGTGGTTGTGACTTCCAACTGTGGATGGAGAACTCTGCCCTGGGTGGTGAGCAGCTCCGCCGTGGATTCCAGAGACAGCTGTGGAGCCAGGCTTGATGGGGCCCAAAGCCTGTGTATGTCAAGGCCATATTAGTGGGACAATGTGTCTGAACTACATCGTATCCCTAGATCAGACCTGGATGGTTGAAGGAGGGAGCATCCAGCCTCTTCTTTGAAGCTGGTGTCGTCGTTTCTGGTATCTTCTGGGAAGCCTTTAGGTACAACTTCCCTGGGGATTGGGCCTGGGATCTCCACAGGAATAGGAGAGAGCAGAGTCTTGCTCCATGGGATTTGTGACAAGCCCAGAATAAATGGCCAGAAGCGACCTTAGCCATGCAAACAGCAAGCTGACATCCAGCATCATTGGTGTTGGGAGGGCGCTGGCCTTCTGGGGTTCATCACCAGAATGACGGTGCTGATCGCCATCCTTACCCATGAGGTTAACATTTTTCATTTCATAAGGTGTCTTCACATTCCTGTTTCATATAGGATTAAGTGGTTTAACTGATCAAATTGTACATTAAGCGTGGAATGGAAAGTAGCAATCACTCTCACTTTCTTTCTCTCTGTTGAGACTGGGGAGTCATTGACGACCATGTAGCCAGTGGTGCATCTGTTCTTGTTTGACAACTCAGACCTGGCCCAGGGCCCCGAGATGGCACATGTGTGCATTCAGGCCCCACTCTGTTCTCCTGAGCCTGTGCTTCCTGGCAGAGCCCAGAAGCAGCCTGAAGATGCAGTACCCTGCCCAGCCTTGCCCTCCTTGCAGCTTTGTCCAGGCCATCCATGCGCCCCCTTTCCTGGAGGGAAGTAGTACTGGGTTTGGTGTAAAATAATTGAATTGTAGAGGAGACCCCATCCTCTGCACTGCTGCTGCCTTGCAGCACACAGGAGGAGCCTTCATGAGATGTCATAGGCTGGGACCTGGTCACATCCCTTCTGCCTTGGGCTTCTCCTGCTGCTGACTTTCCCAAGAGGGGAGTTATTGCTGCAGCCATGGGATATGTGGCTGATGCAGACAAGGAGAGTGGGAGCCCTCCTTTTAAACGGAATTCACAATAGTGTTCACCTGAACTCCCAGACCACCTTGCAAGTTCCCTCCCCTGCTTATTTTCTGCGGGCAGCATGGACACAGACACTAGGGAAAGAATGGTGGGAACCACCAGAGCTTGTAGTAGCCAGCCTAAGCCTCCTGGGGATTGGTCATCTGGGAATAGGGGTGAGTGGCCAGCAGGGATTAATTTATAGAAGATCTTTCCTGCAAAGCCATGGCTTTCATCAGTTCCTGCATCCTCACTCTGTCAAGCAGTGAGTTTGCACAGAGTACACATCTGTGCATGGAGAACTCTGCCCTGGGTGGTGAGCAGCTCCGCCGTGGATTCCAGAGACAGCTGCAGAGCTGGGCTGGGTGGAGCCCAAACCCTGTGTATGTCAAGGCCATATGAGTGGGGTGATGTGTCTGAACTACATCGTATCCCTAGATCAGACCTGGATGGCTGAAGGAGGGAGCATCGGTGGATGCCTTATATGAGTTTCTATCTGATACATCTCAATGTCCCTTATACTGGGAATGGAGGAAAAGTTCTCTTCATTACCATAGCACCGGGACCCTTGTCACATCTGCTCAGAGATGGGGAAGGGCATTATGACTTATTAGGGGTTTCTACTCTATGGACACCATAAATATTCTTTTTTTTTTTTTTTTTTTGGATATGGAGCCTCTCTCTGTCTCCCAGGCTGGAGTGCATTGGCGCAATCTCAGCTCACTGCAACCTCCAGCTCCCAGGTTCAAGTTATTCTCCTGCCTCAGCCTCTCCAGTAACTGGGATTACAGGCTTGCACCACCACCCCTGGCTAATTTTTGTATTTTTAGTAGAGATGGGGTTTCGCCATGTTGGCCAGGATGGTGTCAAACTCCTGACCTCAGGTGATCCACCCACCTCGGCCTCCCAAAGAGTTGGGATTACAGGCGTGAGCCACTGCGCCCAGCCCACCATAAATATTCTTCACAGCAGTTGGGTTGATGTCATTCCTATTTTACAGATGATGAAACTGAAGCTTGGAACACTCATTACTTGCTAGCGAATGACAGAGCCGTGGTTCACACTCAGGTCTGTCTGGATTCATGGCTCAGGTGCGTTCTGCTCCTATCCCAAGCTCCTTAGACAACAGGGACAGGTGATGTCCTGTAGGACTGTCCTCTGGCTGATGTGTGACACTGGAGCAAGCTGGACTTCACTCTGACTGCAAAGGTTACCTTGACTTCCAGCCTGCCCCTCTACTGCTTTTTTCTTTCTTCTACACTAGCGCCTTCTTTTGCCAAAGATATTGGTGTATTTTGTGCCTAGGTCCTTCCATTAGGAGAAAAGCAACCAGTAAGCCATCTACACTTTGGTGTGAATCCATTCCCATGACTCCCAAGTTCTGTTTGCTTCTAAGAAAATAATACTGTGCTGGATGTTACTTAATATGCAAGGAATTCTAAGTTAAAGGAACATGATAAATTAGTTTTTAACTGGAGAATCCCAAAGTCCCCCATAGTGGGAACAAAATTGGATGTCAAAAAGCCCTTCTCCAGTCATCCCAGAGACGTGCCAAGTAAGAATGCCTCCACTTCAGCTGATTGGAGTCCACTCCTCACGTAAGAGTGCCCGACCCGACGCAGAGCAGGCACCCCAGGAGTGCTTTGTGTGCGAGTGCTGGCCAGGGTCCCACACAGACCAAAGCCTCCTGGCCTGAAGGCTGGGAAGGTGCATGTGGGCATCACAGAGGCCACCTGAGTGTGGCAGGTGGACAGGGCATGGGGACCTATGGTCCTGACACGGGGCCCACCCGGTGGGTGCAACATGGCTGCTCCAAAGGAGTCTCTCTCCACGTGGCTCCAGCACTGTCCCCTGGGATTCACACCTGCAGCATGGGAGCCAATCCCTGGAACCCTCCACAGCAACACTCAGCATCACCGGGCTTCCCCATCCTGGCCACAGCCAAGGGGCTGAGGGCCCTGGTGTTTGGAACCAAAGGCCTCATGCGCCCTTCCTTGATTTCTGGTCATGGATGCAGCTACCGCACTGGCCTCCTACATGGTGACCCTGGAGCGGCCAATTGCCCAAGAAGGATGGGGATCCAGGCCCCAGCCATGCCACTGCCTTCCTTCCCGGGCCCACAAGCTGCACTGAGATGTGTTTGCGCTGCCTCGTCGTAACACAGACCTGTATGGTGCAAGGCTGGGCCTCACCTTCCCTCCATCAGTGCTGGGGCAACTCGATTTCTCTCTGAAACCGGTTTCTTCTCTGGTCCAGGCCGGCCTGGTGCACAGCGACCACATGCTTCCAAGCTAATTCCCTCCCGCAGTCTTGATGGAAGAGACCATGGTAACTGGAGATGGTGCTAATCTCTAGGACTGGACAGCCCAGAGGGCTGGGGCATCCCCAACACAGCCACTCTGTCCTGGGAGGTGGCTGCTTTCACCTCCCTGGCCTCTCTGCCGTGGAACAGGCCCTCAGGCTTCTCTGGGAGCCCAGCCACGGGGCAGTGCCTCTGCGTTGTGGCAACACATGACTTCATCCGAGGAGAATTCCTCCGGCTGCTGATGGAGGCCGCCTGGTCATGTTTCCATGACCCAGTTTTCCCGATTCTTTGTCTGAACTCTGCAGACCCCTACCTCCTTCTCTCCCCCAGGAATCCACAGGATCATTTCTAATGGGGCATTAACTTGAGCCAGGTTTCCGGGGAAGGGCTGTCCTTGCCCCCTCACTGCCCTCCTCACTAACACAAGAAGACCATTACACCCAGTACACTGCCCACACCAATGTCTGCTCGCCCTGGGACCGCCAGCAAGAAACATTTGGTGTTGAAACTGCAGCGTAGAAAAGTTCCAGGATTTTAAAGAAAAAGCCGTCACTCCGCCGCCACCCTCAGCTTCTCAGGCTGTTGGGCTTTCTGTGTAGGATCAAAAACAAATGTGCATTTTTTTTTCCAGAGGGGAGTGATGATCCATTGAAAATTCCCATCTTAGAGTTTCTTCCTCAGAAACTTAAAAAGAGAGTCATTTCTTTGAAATGGCATACGGGGTGTGTATGTTTTCAGGGGGATGGTGTGTCTGTCCCTCTGCCGGAAGGACATGATTAATTTTGGATTTTTTCTTTTACTTGAAAAAAAAAAAAAAACACAAAAGCCAACAATGAAAGCTGTGTGTGTAAGGGTCTGGCTCAGGATGTCACTCAAGGCAGCGCCTATTCTTCCCACGCATCTTCATGCTCCTCGTGGGCTTCTGCAGCCTCTGGATGCAGCAGTTTCTTGCCAGAGTTGGAAAGCAGAATTTTTCCCTCCTCAGCCTGGCCAGGGGGCTCTGAGCAAGGCATTCACCTCTGAATGTTTCCATCGGGGGCTGTGGGACAATCCGTGCTGGTCTGAAAGAGACCACCAATGAGTCAGGGTCAACCTTTATCCCTCAGGTTACTTGGGAAGAAAAGGTGGTCTGTAGAGACTGTGTGTGCACGTGTGTGCATGTGTGTTGGTGGGGGGTGTTGGGGTGCTGTCCTATTATACCTGGGCTCAGAGGATTGGGGCTGGGGCTGGGGCTGGTGTGTCAAGTGGGTTAGAAGGGCCGTTGGGTCAGTCATTATACATACAGGGCCACAAAGATGAGCCAGCATCTGCACCCAGAGCCCTGGTCTGGGCCTGCTCAGGAGGTCCCTCCTGAAGCCTTGGGGTGTCACTGGCTGGAATAAGCGAGGCCCTTTGCCTGGGAAGTGGGCAACCATTTACAGATAGCAGGAATGTGCCAGTAGGAAGGGACCTCATAGCTCCTCTAATCCCTGTTGTACAAGGAGTGTGAGACCCAGAGAAGGGACATAATTTCCCCAAAGTCCCATGGCCACCTAGCGGCAGGGCCAGTCTGGGATTCCTGGCGGATGGGCACCACTGCCCCACAGCACTGGACCCTCCTTGTACAGCATTTCCAAAAGTTGTATCAGAGCAGGTGACTGCCTGCTCAGGACTTCCCAGGGGCTTCCCAGATTGCTCAGAAAAAAATCCCAAGGTTCTTCCCATGGCCTGGCTAGTGTGATAGGACCTTCTCTCCTGCCTTTCCACCTCCATCCATCCTTCTGTGCCTGGCAAGTTAGCCTTCATGCTGAAATCACTGAGTTCTCCTGACACCTGGCCTTTGAATTTGCTATTCCTTCTGCCCCAAGCTCCTTCTCCAAAGAGGCTGACTTACCTCCGTGCCTCATCCATGTCTCCTCTGTTCCCTCTCCCAGGTGGATTTCCTCCTTAGCTTCATCCCCCTCTGACACTATGTTATAAATATGTTTGCTGACTTGTCCACCACCTGTCTCCTCTCACTGGGCCATGGTGTGGGCTGCCTTGTCACAACACTGTTCCCAGGGCCTAGAACAGTGCCTGCCACATAGCAAATGCTTGATACAAGGTAGATGCATGCATGCATAAATAAATGAGTGAATGAATATTTCTAGATGACAGCTATTCATACTTCACAACTGCTGATGTGAATAGATGGGGTCTTCTCTCTGAGGGTGAGCGGAAGGGTCTGGGCAGGTCCCTGGTCTTACTCCTTGCAACTTGGCCGACTAGCTGGCCTTATACATCCCTGTCCATCCTGGGGCAAACACTGTGCTACTGTATTGGGATAGCAGTGCCAGAGGCCCTACTCACTGAAGGCCTGCTGCATGCTGGGTGCTGGGCTGAGCTGTGTGGGGAAAAGACTATGAGACCACCAGTCACTTACCACCCAATGGATCATTGCTCTTATGGAAGTAGAGTCCCACCACCCTGAGCCTTGATGTTCTTTCCTGAAAAATGGGAATAAGAACAAGGTTAATGGTAAAACTAAAGGTGCTGTCAGCAAAGCCCCATGAGGCAGCAGACCTTGCTGGAGATGAGCCCCCACAACAGCAACCCTAGTGGGCACATTGCCACTCTGCCCTGGCCAACCTCACACATCACCGCCAGGACAGGAGGACCCACTAACACGTGTTCCCAGGCTCCTCCTGGGGATTCCAGGGGGTGAGAGAGGAGTGCACGGGTGCAGCCTGCACATTCCACAGGTGACCCAGGCTCCTGGAGAGCAGCAGAGCTGGTAAGAGGTGCCACCTGCAGCCCTGCCTACCTGGAGAAAGAGAAAGTGCTTCTCCTGTGACCTCCACAGCCTCCACCCCAGGAGCTGCCAGACAACAGACGGCAGGCCCCACTATAGCAGGACTCTGTGGGAACCCTCCCCAGGCCTCTTTCTGGAAGCCTCAGGCCCCTCCTCCAACACACACCACATGTACGTACACACAGCAATACACACATATGGCACACACACACACATATACACAGCAACATACACACCATATGCACATACACACAGCAACACACACATATGGCACACATACACATACACAGCAACATACACACACCACCTCCACATACACACAGCAACACTTATACACATACAGCACACACGTACACATATACACAGCAACACACACACACAACAGCACACACATACACAGCAACATACATGTACAACACACACATACACAGCAATGCATATGTACACATACAACACACACATGCACATAAACACGGCAGCAGACACATACCACACAGCATATGCATATACACACAGCAACACATGCATACAACATGCATGTACATATACACAGCAACACACATGTATATACACACAGCAACATGCACATACAACAACACACACATACAGCATACATATGCACGTATACGCAGTAACACACATGCACATATAACATCCATGCATATGCACACAGCAACACACGCATACAGCACACACATACACAGCAACACATACATATACAACACACAGCATATCCACATACAGCAACACACACACCACATGCACATACACAGCAACGCACATACACATACAACACACATGCGCATATAGCGATACACATACATATAAAGACACACACGTACTACAACAGAGACACACACGACACACTACACACATACACGCACTGCACATACTCACACATGCACGTGCAGCACACACATATACATACCCCACACACGCTACATGTAGACACATACCACACACATATGCAAACACACCTCACACACACGTACATACACACACACACACACCATGGCTTAGTCTTGTGGGGCAGAGAGGCAGCCTCAGTGGTACCTGTACTTCATGTTTGCCTGGCAAACCACTGAAGCTCACAATGTTCCATAGACTTTATAGACCTGGGTGAAGTTGCCTGAATCCTGAATCCTGAGCAGAGCATGTCAGCTCATAGCTGGGGGTAGGGTGGGGTGGTCTGGGCTCTGATGGCATTAGGAGACCCCCCCTCAGCCTCTGGAGGAGCAAGACCATGAATGGTAGGCACACCAGGGTGCTGGGGGATGGCCTGTGTGAAGACCAAGGAATCCTGGACTGAATGCAGCTTCCTGGGGTCGCTGGGAAGACCCAGGAGCTGGTATTTGCCAAGTGCTGAAAGCAGAGCTGTGGACTGTGTGTGCATTTGTTAACTAAAGTACATAGCAAGGTGGGGACGTGGTGGGTCGATGGGGGTCTGGGATCACCCTGGCACTTGGGAGCTGCCTCCGAGTGTCATTTAGGCTGGGTGGAGGGAAAAGCCATTCAGAGCCTTCGATTCTCCTCTTGGCACTGTCGTTTTTTAGTCCTGTGACTTTGGGCAAGGCCATGAATCATTCTTGGCTTCCGTTTCCTCATCTCTTTAATGGGCATAGTAACACTAGTTGCATCAGGGGGCTTCTGGATGTGCAAGGAAACATTTAGAAATACACACACACACACACACACATACACACACAACCATTTTTATTTTGTTGGCAAAATACTGAAATCTGGTCTGCCCTGCCATGTTTTTAAGGCCCTTTTCTACACATTTGGGAAAGCGAACACTGTTTCCCTGCTGACTCCCTGGGGATCCAGTGGTCTCTTGGTCTGTGAGCAAGCAGTGCTTGGCCCCCCACCCTCCCTAGGGTTTGCAACCAGTATGAGCCAGTTTTCCTGTGCCCCACATTAGTAAATTCATAGTTTGATGATGGACTTTGGAGGCTCCAAACATGAGTGCTACTTGTCCTCCTCAGCAGTGACACTTGTTGAGTGTGTCCTATCTGCACAGTCTCCGGGCGAAGCGCCTCCTGTGTGTGGGCTTTTTACGTCTTCACCACAGCCATGTAGGTAGTTACTGTTATCCATTTTCAGATGAACAAATGGAGACTCAGAGAGGCAAAGAAACTTACAAAAGTCATGCAGCAGGTGAGTGAGCTCTGACCCTCAGGGTTCCCAGCCTCCGGAGCACCTGGTGGTCCCGTCACAGCCACCTTAGTCACAGCCACATGCCCGGCTCACCTGTGCAGGGCCAGGGCCTCAGAGAAAAGGTTGTCCTTCCAGCACTTGGTGGCTCTGGAAGTGAGAGCTGGCCCAGAGGCTTGGACCACGTGCCTGCAACCAACTCCTCTTTGAGTCTGAGTTGGGGAAACTGATTGAATCAGGGTGAGAAGATTTGCTTTTTGTTTTTCCTGGTCCCCATGGAAAGTGCCAGTATTGTGAAATTATGAAGATGGAGTTGAACATGTAAAAATTAAAGTTAAAATTTCAGGAGAAAAATTTCTTCCCATTAAGAATCCATTGTGTTCAACCCAAGCATCCATTGACAGATGAGTGGACAAAAAAAATGTGGTCTATCCAATACAATAGATTGTTATTCAGCCTTAAAAAGGAAGGAGATTCTGGCACAGGCTGTAACATGGATGAACCTTGAGGACATTATGCGAAGTGAAATAAGCCAGTCTCAAAAGGACAAATACTGTCTGATCTTTCCTGCATGGAATAGCTAGCATGGGAAATTCATAGAGGCAGGAGGTAGAATGGTGAATGTGCAGGGGCTGGGGGAGAGTAATGGGAGTTAGTGTTTCGTGGGTGCAGAGTTTCAGTTGTGGAGATGGATGGTGGTGATGATTACACAACAATGCAAAGGGGCTTAATGCCACTCAACTGTGCATGTAAAAAAATGGTTTAAATGGGCCGGGCGTGGTGGCTCACGCCTGTAATCCCAGCACTTTGGGAGGCCGAGGCGGGCGGATCACAAGGTCAGGAGATTGAGACCATCCTGGCTAACACGGTGAAACCTCGTCTCTACTAAAAATACAAAAAAATTAGCCGGGCGTGGTGTCGGGCACCTGTGGTCCCAGCTACTCGGGAGGCTGAGGCAGGAGAATGGTGTGAACCCAGGAGGCGGAGCTTGCAGTGAGCCGAGATCGCTCCACTGCACTCCAGCCTGGGTGACAGAGCGAGACTCCGTCTCAAAAAAAAAAAAAAAAAAAAAAAAAAAGATTTAAATGGTAAATTTCAGATGTCTTTACTGCAAGAAAAAAAAAAAGAATTCATAGTATTTATGGTATTGTACCAGAATCTGTTTGCACAGAAACAGTTAGTAGCATTATTTTTCTATATTTTTTTGTTTGTCTGTTTCTTTTTTGGTTTTTTGAGGTGAAGTTTCGCTCTTTGCCTGTAATCCCAGCACTTTGGGAGGCCGAGGCAGATGGAGGTCAGGAGTTCGAGAGCAACCTGGCCAACATGATGAAACCCCATCTCTCCTAAAAATTTGTCTGCATTTCTTAGCCTAGCAGTCAGCTGACCTGTACATACCTATCACAAACCCATCCACATTTCTTTAAAATATTCAGAAATCCAAACTTAACCCTGCTTCCCACTGGCCTGTGGCCTTCAGACTGAGGGAGAGTTGACTAAGAAATCCCCACTTCTTAGCCCTTTTCCCAGTATAACTACTTTGTTAAAAGCCTTCTTTTCCTAAAGCCTATAATTATGTTTGCCTCCAGGGTACCCAGGAATTTTTTCTTTTAATAAACAAAGAGCATCCTACAATTATCATGATGATTTGTCGAGGGCAGGCCAAGTTCAGACAGGAGGCTGACTCAGCTCTGGAAACTGACACGCACGTGCTGGCGTTTTCGATCCTGGGGGCACCCGACAGCGTTTAGGGGTCAAGAATTAATATTAAGAGCTGGAGAACTAACAGATCCACATAGATGTCCACTTTATACTGCCAGCAAAACGGGACAGCAGTTGGGTGGGATTTGGCCTTCCTGAGGCTGGCGGCACCGTCTGTGGGCCGTGCCATCACAAATGGCTCTAGGTCAACACCTCCAGCCTGCGTGCACTGCAGCATCCGGATGCCGTAACCTGGTGCTGCTGGAGCCACACGCAGCCAGGGCCGGCATGGGCAGAAGCCGGCGGAGTTGGAGCCTGTCGCTCTGTCAGCCCTGATTTGCGGGCTGAGCCCAGTTTTGTGGCCCTGCCTGTAATCTCCCCGAGTTCAAAGAGTGCTTAGCTGCTTGTCTTTGTCAAGAGCGCAGTTGGGGATCTTTTATGTGAAAGATGTAGAATTCTCGGGCAGACTTTGATTATTTATTCATCCCCCTTCGTGGGTGTGTGATCGCGCGGGCACTGCGGAGCCCCTTGTCCTGGCTGCTCTTGCTATGAAATTCATTGAGCTTTAAAGCCCTTTGAAAGTAGCTTTTTGAGGGAGGGGGAAAGTTTTTGAAGTCTTGTTTCTCTCTCCCCCTCTGCAGTGCCGCAGCATCTCTTGCCACCATTCCATGCGCCCCTACCGATTGACATGCGACACCAGGAAGGAAGGTACCATTACGAGCCTCATTCTGTCCACGGTGTGCACGGGTAAGTCCTGCCCTCTGCCTGCTGCTCCTGGCGTGCAGTCACCTGCCATGGGGAGGCTGGGCCGGCAGCCTCAGCCACATCTCCTGCCTCTGTCTTTCTTTTGGGGGTTCCTGATCTACATTGTCCTGAGCGGGCGATCACCTTTGCTATCATGGCCTGGGACCCTGTGTGAGCATGTGCGTGGGCAGTGTATAAACACCAACCACCCCCGAGCCCACATCACCACTTATAAGGCTCTGGGCTTCCTTGGTGTATCTATACATGGTTTGGAGCTCTTTCTTCATCCATGAAGTGGGAATCCTCTCTAGGTCTAAGATCCCATATAAGTAAGGTGATCTTAGGTATCTGTTGTTCCAGCATAATAATTCAGAGCACCCTTTTTCACTTCTTCAAGTGTCCCCCTTTGAATAGTAAATTGTATAGTCACCATACTTAAAAGGACAAGCTCAAAGTGATGCTTTGGGGCCCTTCCTATTCCCAGCTTTGAAGTCCCCAGGTAGAAGGTGTGGGGTCACCCTGTGGTCTCCACCTGCCTAACCCTGTCCCTGTCATACCCACCTGGGGCCTCTAAGCCCATTGGCTGGTGTCATTTCTTGGCCTTTAGGGCTCAAAAGTCTTGGTCTCTGGCTATCCCATCCGTCCTCCTTCCAGGAAAGAAGGCCCCTCCTTCTCCCTACCCCCAAACTCTCCACTGCTCCCCGCACCTGCCTCCAGGAGAGCTCTTACAAAGGTCAGCCAGCCCCAAGACCCCTCTCGACCCAGCATCTTCATGCCCACACCCTCCAGCCCCCTCACCTGTTCATGCCAAGGTGCTGTCTGTGGTTCTGTCCCATGTCTCTGTGCCTGGGGCCAGCTGCCTGCCCAGTGTGCCTGGAATCTCCCCCCAACAGGCCACCTCCAAGCCTCAACCGAGGAGTCACCTCCTCAGGGGCAGTGTGATCCTTCACACTGAGCGGGGGCTGCTGCCCTCAATCCACAGCATCATCATCTGTTTTTGCACCTGCCTCCCAGCCAGCTCTGAGCTCTCCTCTCACCTCTGTGTCTCAATGCTGACATGAATAGGTGTACAACCAGTGCTCGCTGAGTGGAGAGCCTCTCCCCGCCTGCCGCCACCTATGAAGGCACATCCTCCTTCCTCTACCATCTCCCATCCCAGTGAAGTCAGTCAACACTTGCTGGGCCCTCACTGTGCTCACAGCATTGTGCCTCAGCAGAGTCCTGTTTCCGGACACCCATTGCCTCCCCAAGACGGAGCAAACCTGGGACTTCTACTTTCTTTTTAAAAACTGTTTTACTTTTAAATATTTTACTCTGAAATAATTAAGGTCATACAAAAACAGTTCCAAAAACCATAAAGGCTTTCTTGTATATGCTTCACGCAGCTCCTCAAATGTGGGCATCTTACATAACCCAAGACTGACAGAATGCTCTTCACTCACCCACAGAGCTTATCCAGATTTGCTCAGTTGCCCACTAGTGTCTTTTTTTCCTGGTTCAAGACCCAATCCTGGATCCCACGTGGCACTTGGTTGCCGAGACTCCTTCGTCATCTCCTGTCTGGGACGGTTCCTTAGTCTCTTTTGTCTTTCATGACCTTGGCAGTTTTAAAGAGTACTGGCCAGTTACTATATAAGATGTCTCTGGGTTTGGGTTTGCCTGATTGATGCTGTTTCATGATGACATTCGGATCATGCGTTTTGGGGAATAATACTATAAAAGTGATGTTTGTCCTTTGCAGGCATCCTGTCAGGAGGCCTATGATCTTCACGCTTCTCACTGCTGGAAATGTTGATCATTTGGTTATGGGCCTGTCTGCTGGCTTCTCCGCTTTAAAGTTGTCCCGTTCGTAATTAATAAGTATTTTGTGGGGTAATACTTAGAGGATATGGAAATATCCTGTTTCTTATCATATTTTCATCCGTTAACTTATACATCCATCGATGCTTCTTGCCAGAAACAGTCGTTACTAGTGTTTGCCAAATGGCGATTTTCTGTTTCTATCATTTTGTCCACATTTAGTGGTTGGAATTCTCCTGTAAGGAAAAGCTGTCCCGCCTCCCACATTTCTTTGTATATTTGGTTGTCTATTGTTATGCACATGGATGCATGGTTTTTTGTGTGATTCTATGGGTTATACTCTATTACTACCAATATTTATTGTGTTCTTCCAGTTGTCCCAGATTTGGCCGTTGGGGTCCCTTCCAGTTGTCCTCTGTGTCCCGTTGACATGTTGGGAACTTTTTGTTTTATTTCGGTGTGCATACCTGGTTCTCACTTGACTAGGATCCGCTGCCGCAGCCTTATGTCTGCCTGGTGGGTGTTGGAGTCATTTCCACCCTCTGCTCACCTCCAGGGCCCCTCCACCTGCAGGTGGCTGAGACCACAGCTGGAGAAACCTCTGGAAGGTGCATGTGTTTGGAACTAGTTGGGCCACCCAAAAATTGCCCAGTCAGTGGTGTCTGAGACTCCTAGGAGCATCCAGGGAGCTCAGTCCCTATTTGGGAGGGGGTTGCTGTTGCTGATTTCTTGCTCATGAGTCATGTTTGGCTGGTTCCATGACACGGATCCTGGGCATAGCAGGCCTGCCTCAAAGTGCTCCCTGCACGGGATGTTGGTCAGGAGACCTGGGCAATGCTGAGAGCTTTGTGCAGAGACAGTCCATGCTGGAGTGCTTCTGCCTGCAGGTGAATGTCCTGGTTCACCTCTCCCTATACACCTGAAGTGTGTAGAGGCACCACCAGAAGTGTAGGAAGACCCCAACAGCGATGACTGCCTTCCTCATCATAACTGACCTTGTGAACCGGCCCTGCTGTAAATGCTTTTATGTGTTCATGCCGTTTAATCTTCTCAACAACCCAAAAAAGAGTCATTTTGTGTTTTTCCATTTTACAAATGAAGGAACTGAAGCAGCACAGAGTGGGTAGATGACTAACCCTATGGCTCACCCACTTTGCAAGTTAGAAATCAAGTTCCAGCCCCCTGAGCTCAGGCCCTCCGCTGCATGCTGGCCTTTCTTGTGGGAGCGTAAGTATGGACCATGGGTCCCTCTGACGAGTCCAGCCGAGCCCTTCTTGACAGCACCTCGGCCCTTCGTTAGGGCACTGCCCCGAGTCCAGTCGCTCCCAGAACCCCTGGCCAAGCAGCAGCAGTGTCCCCTGGGAGTCTGTTGTGGGTACTGCAGATCCTCAGGCCACAGCCCAGCCCCATTGAGTCAGAGACTCCACGGAAGGGGTCTGTGTCTATGTGTGCCACGCCTTGCAGGTAATGCAGTTGCAGGCTCCAGCTTGACAGCCCTGGCTACAGGCAGAGCCCCCACTGAGAAGGGAGGCCCTCAGTGCCGTCCTTCCCTGTGTAGGTGGGAGCCCTGGGCTGGGAAGGGGCCTGGGTCTTCACCAGGCTTTGCCATGCTCCAGCTCTGGGTAGGGCCTGCTTCCTTCCCTTGCCAGTGAGGGTGGGGTGTGCGCAGAGCACTTGGAGAAGGGGGCCGTGGATGCTGGCATGCAGCAGGGAGGAGTGGCCCAGCCAGAGGCCCACAGAAATGGCCTTGTCCCTCATGGCCTACACAGCTCCTTCACTGGTTGGATTCCTGAAGAGATTCCTAAGGCTGCTGTAACTAATTACCACAAACTTCATGGCTTAAAACAATGTAAACTTATCCTCATATCATTCCGGAGGTCAGAAGTCTGAAATAAGTCTTATGGTACTTAAAATCAAGGAGTTGGCAGGGCTGGTTCCTTCTGGAGGCTCCAGGAGAGACTCTTTGACATTTCTAGGTTCTGGAGGTTGCCTGCATTCCTTGGCTTACAGCCCCGTCCTCACACACATCACCTTTTCCCCCTTGCTCTGTCCTCACCTTGCCCTCTTCCTAGTCTGTGGGAGTTTTCTCCCCTGCTTCTCTCTTCTAAGGACACCTGCTATTGCCTTTCGGGCCTACTGGGATAATCCACTTGTGGCTCCCATTTCAAGATCTTTAAAGTAGTCATGTCTCTTAAGTCCCGTTTGCTGTAGAAGGAAACACTTAACAAATGCCAGGGATTAGGGTGTGGATGTTCTTGGGGGCTGTTATTCAGGTTATTTGGGATCACTGAGCCCCAGTGTGGAGTCTGGCATCAGCCTGTAGAATACAGTAAATCATATTTATAATTTGCATGGGTCTGCAGCAGGCCAGGCACGGCCCTGGGCCCTGGTATATTGTACTGGTGAATCTTCCTGATTGCTCTGTGAGATGGGGGTTAAGCTTCATCTTGCAGATGCAGACATTGAGGCTCAGAGAGGCACAGTGACTTCTGTGTGACATCCCTGCAAGGTAGTTACTTCCGTGAGGGCAAGGAGACCAGGCTCTGGGGTGCAGATCTCCTCCCCAGCCAAGGAGGGGCTAGTCTGGTTAAGCCCCAGTGATGGGCAGCAGCATGGTGCTCCCAGAGCCCCCCGTCCCTACGCGGTCCTGCTGGGGTGGGCTTCCAGCGGCTCCACACTATCCTCAAGACAGTTGGTTCCCGCCAGACTGAGTGGGGGACACAGCAAGAGCCTCGGGGCTGGCCCTGGGCTCTGGAAAGCCCATGCCCTCACCTCTTCCGCCCCCAGTGTCCCAGGTGAGAACCAGGGCAAAGCTTGTGAGGAAAATGGCCCCGTGGCTCTGGCTTCCATGATGAATGTGGTTGGAGCCCGGTGGAGAATCCCGATCCATCAAGCCCATGTTGTAGCTCGCTTCTCCCTGCCAGCACCAAATGTGTCTAATTACACAGATGTTTGCACAGCAAATGAGGTACGGTGTCATCTCATTTCTGTGTCAGCTGAGCCTGAGCCTGAGCCTGCTGCCCTGAGCTGGTGACCATTTCGTGGGTGTGCCCGCCCCTCAGCCCTTGCACCTCCTGCTTTCCACTGCTCAAGCACCCAGACCCCCTCCCCGTTCCCTCTCAGGATCCTGATAGCTCCAGGGAGGGCGCACCCAGTGTGTGCAGGCTCCAGAGAGGTGTTCCCTGCACTCTCTCATTCTGCCCTGCCCTCTGCCCCTCCGGAGTACCTTGGTCATCACCCAAGAGCCTGCCATTGTCAGTTCTCAGCCTGCCAGGCTACCCGCACTGGGACCCATTGCCGAACCCTCCCTAGCTGTGATTAACATGAATTAACTCACCTCAGCTTTCTCATCTATAGAAGGGCCAGATCTGCTGAGACAACCCACATAACCCAGCCAACTGAGTTATTTTGAGAAGGAGACAGGGTAATGTGAGTAAAGCGTCTAGAACACTTTGGAAACATTCAATGGATATGAGCAACAATCGTGATCATTGTTGTTATCCTCACTTGCTGATTTGAGAAGGGGGCCACGGCAGGCTGGGAGACTGGGTGGCAGAGGCCGGCCACAGCATGTCCTTGGGAGAGTTGACTGTCTGGGGACTGTGGCACAGAAGGTGGGGGATGGGGCTGAAGGAGTGCTGTGGTGCGGTGTGGTGGGGGTCTTTCTTTCCCCCAGTTGAGGAATTTGGACTTCCTCCTTTTGGCAACCAGGAGCAGCGGGGAGTGGTCAGATTTATTTTCAGGCAGCTACAGCAGTAGTTAGGGAGTAGACAGGAGAAGGGCGGGAACTGTGGTGAGAGGACCTGCCAGAGCTGCCACAGTGGCCCTGGGGAGAGGGGAGCAGGACCAGGGCTGACCACCCGGCTGTAAACAGGCAGCTGCACGTGGGGAAGGCAGGGCATGGAGGTTGGTGTGAGGACAGCCTTGCAGCCCAGCCCAGCTCGATGGCCTCCTCATAGACACCCAAGCCCACTCCTCTGCAGAGCACCCTTCCCGGTCACTTAAGGTTCAAATGCACAGCAGGCTTGCATGGCTTACTGATGCTCACGTGGTTCCAGGGGAGGAAAGTCACCACCCACCCGTGGACTCCTGCTGCAGTGTCTTTGGGCTGTGCAAACCACAAGTGATGGGGAGACAAATGGGGCAGGGGTGTGTGATTGCTGGTCAAGCAAGGTTCTCTTGAAGCCCCCATGGGGACATCCCTAAGTCTCCAAGAGTCTGTACAAGGGCGAGAAGAGAAGGCCGGCTGTGAATAGGGCCACACACCCCCAGCAGTCTCTCCAACCTTGTGACGCTAACAGGAAAGAGAAGCTCTTTGGATGCCCTCTGGGCCCCCTGCCTCCCAGAAATAGGCTTGCCAGGGTGTCATGGGGAGCAAGGCTGAGGTGTGGCGAGGAAGGGTCCCTAAGTTGGTGCTCCCCATTTCCTCAGTGTATGTGGTCACACAAGCATGAGTCCGGCCTGCCCTGGGCCAGCGTTAACTTGTGTCCTGGAGAGGAATGTAGAAGTCCATGCTCCTGGTTCGGGGGGCTGGGGTGGACCTTCAGCTCCCTATGTTGCTTTTGAGGACCTTTCCAGCCCTGCCCTGCCCTGCCCTGCCCTGCCCTGCCCTGCCCTGCCCTGCCCTGGGGCTTCAGAGAAGACCAATTTCAGCTGCTTCCTGCCCAGAAGGGCGTACAGAAACTGCCCCATGCAGAGGTTCCCAAACCTGGCTGCAGATCTGAACACACAGGGTGGGTCTTAAAGATGCCCATTCTCAGGCCCTGGCCCCAGGAGTTCTTGTTGATTTTCAGACTAGGGTGAAGCCCGGAAATCTGCTTATTTACAGGCGCCCATAGGCCAGAGTTTGGGGACCACTGCAGGCGCCGCTGCTTGCTTGACGTCCGGGAAAGCAGCCCCAGAGCTGCTTGTTGGCTTTCTGGACTCATCACTGACAGCGCCTCGCCGCCAAAACACGGGTTGTTAAAAATCCCCTGGTTCCTCGTGATAACCCATTCACAGACAAGTCCCTCCTAAACCTATTCATATGACCTAAACCTATTCATATTCTCAGCTTGCAAAAGGCAGTGAGTGTATGGGGTGGGAACAGCTGCAGTATCTCAGCCTTCCTTTCTCCTCCTGCCTGGCACCATCTGACCTCTGACATCCACGACTCCACCCCCGACCTGACCACTGCTGATGGCTTCCTGCAGATCTCTTGATCCTGAGCTGTAGTTGGTTTGCATTGCATTGGCAGTCACGGCCCAAGGCCACCCTTCCTGGAGGAGTGACGAGGGGGCTCTTGCTGGCACAGATGGCTCAGGGTTGTAGCTATCAACCCAGGCCCAGGTATGTTAGGGCAATAGAGTGAACGCCAGCTGGTGGGCATGGGGGCCTCACCTCCCTTTCATCTGCATGCTTGGTCACGCAAAATGCATATTACCCAGGGCCTCCGGAGACAGCATTAAGAGTGTCTGAAGCCCCACTTGGTCCCCGAGACTGCATGTTAATGGGGATGTTTAGCCGGGTGTCGGTGTGCCTTCACTTAAGAGAGTAGTTTCTTTGCTGCCACTGGGCCGAACTCATGAACTTTCCAGTCTGGGGGGATTTGAAGATTGCTTTTTCCAAGGTCAGTGTCCCATAAAGACTGCACCGTTCACCATGAGATTAATGAACACAGCAGCCTGCTCAGCCTGTGACTCACCAGTGTCATCCCGGGCCTTTATGACTCTGTCCTCAGTCATTCACTGAGACGGGTGGGTTGAGCAGAAAGATATTTTCTTCTTGATTCTTGGCACAGCACCCGAGGTTCACGATTCATAGAGGATTGGCTTTGTTTGTTTTTTGGGAAGAACCTTCTCCTCCCTCTGCAAACATGCTCGTTTCTTTTCAGAGCCTAGAGGAAGGAGGAGACTTCCGAAAGGCATGTCCACCTGCCCCCTGGGATGAGATGCTGGGTGGGCCCAGCGTCACCCACCAGGCAACTTGTCCTTCCTTTCCACGTGGGTCCACACTGCCTCTCCATCTCCAGGGAGCTCTTCCTTAAAACCGGCTGTTGCTGACCACTTCTTCAGAGCAACTGGACAGCAGGTAGACAGGGAGCCCAGAAACCCTGGGTCCAGGCGATGTGTCGGGCAGCACATCCTTCCACGGCTGTCTGAGGGTAGACCGACTAGATGTGGAGCCTTGGCTCACTGTGATGTAAACGGCCCTGAGACCCCATCAGGCAGGCCCCTCCCCATCTCTGGGCTGTGGGATACTTGGGTCAGACCAGCAGAGGAGCAGTAGCAGGAGTCTGTGCCCAGCCGCCGGCTTATGTCATGTCACCCTCCCTGCAAGGTGGGATTATCACTCCCCAATAATCACTCCCACTTGATAATTGGGGAAACCGAGGCATGGGGAGGCTGACTGCCTTTCCAGTGACACACTCCTAGTAAGCAGCATAGATTACTTACTGGGCATTTTGACCCCCCACCCCTTGCTAAAATCTTCCCCAGCTCTGAGAGCTTCAGATTCCAAAGCCAAGAATGCACTCGCTGGGCTGCGTGGGACAGACAGCTCATTTATAATGGAATCTGGCCTGTAAAAGTTTAACGAGGAGCGTGTGTGATAAGACGGGCTGGTCTTTGATCTTTACTGAACGCCAAAGCCCTCGCACAAGAGGAGCTGCTGGCTCTGGGTTTTGGAGAGAGCCGTGGTGGTCAGCCGAGAGCAGGAGGGGCCAGGGAGTGGAGCAAATCTTGATGTGCAGGCCGAGGTGGGCGTGCAGTGGGGGAGGGGCTGCGGCAGGATCGGGATGAACTATTCGGTTCCTCTCCTGTCCCTCGGGGTCCCCACTGTCGGACATTTCCCCTCCACACCCCCAGTATGTAGACAGAACAGGGTTGAGGCCGGGGCTCACATCTTGCCTATGCTGCTTATACTCTTCACATCCTTGGGCTTGCTTAGCCCCACAAGCCTCAGTGGCCCCATCTCTAAAATGGGGACATAGTGGCTCCCCATGTGAAACTGTTGTGAGGACTAGATGGGTGTCTGTAAAGCATGTAGAAGCACACCTGGGACATACCGAGTGGCGGAGAGACCCCTGCTCTCATCACTGCCCTGCTAACATTAGAAGGAAAGCCAAGTTTCACTGCAGACACCCTGCAGGGTGCTGGGCCAGTGGTGTCCTATTCAGTCCTCCCAACACCCTGTAAGGTGGGGGATTTTCTCCTCAATTCATAGAGGCGAGAACTGGGCGTTCCCAGAATTTAAGAACTTCCCAAGATTGCCCAGCTTGTGAGATCTCACCAAGCCAGAGCTCTTCCCTATGCCGTGATTGTCCTCAGAGAGGAAAGAGAGTCTCGCCATGGTTCTCAGGGCTGCAGTGTGTTGTTTCTGTCTGCAGACATGGAAACAGAACAGTAATCAACCCAAAGGAATTAATCACTAACAGTAAAGTTTCAGGCATTGGTGGGGTGGATTGGCCTTTGAGGTGGGGAGTCCTCTTAGACTGCACATGTTCAGACTGTCCACTCGGTGGAAGCTGACGCCACTGCCAGATGCATTCATTTATTCAGCCAAACTCATTGTTGCTGGATTTATTGTATCCCAAGTGCTGTCACTTGAGGCCACTCCTGCCAGCCCGAGTCAAGGTGTTGCTGAGGGAAAATGTGAGCAGTGCCCTGCCCCTGAGGCACTGCTTAAAAAGGTCAGAAATTGCTGCTGCCCTCAAGCCTCTGTCACTGCAGCCAGCACTGATGGTATGTCTGGTGCCCGTCAAAAAGTACGCTGGACATGTCAGGAGCCCCATCCCTCCATCCCCTCCTTCCAAGGACTGCACCTCTGAAATGTACACTTGGCCTGTGCTGCCCAAACAAAGTAGCAAGAGTTCAGAGTTGCTTAACTCAGTGGGGAATGTTCTTAATGCTCGTTCCTCTGAGGACACTCACCCAGGGACCATGTGTGCCAGCCTCATGCCAGGCACTGGGGATACGGGCCCAAGGAGGCACAGTCTTTTTTAATAGAATTTTTATTTGTATAAATTTATGGGGTGCAAGTCCAATTTTGTGACATGCATAGATTTTGTAGCAGTGAAGTCAGGACTTTTAGAGTATCTATCACCTGAATAGTGTGCATTGCACCCACTAATTTCTCAAACTACATGCCCCTTCTACCTCCAGGAGGCACAGTCTTGCTGCCCACATAGACCCCATGATCTGGTTGGGGAGAGGGCAGAAATTGGCCAATGACAGGGTGGTATGCTGGAAGAGGGGGTATGGGAAGCCCAGAGCACCAGGAATACAGGAACAGAAAGCGCTTATCAGCGGGGACGCATGAAGGCCTCCCCCCACGTCCCAGCCTTTCCCCAACCCCACCCACTGGGGGCCCTACCACCTTCTTCAGGTTGCCCTGTTCCAATGAGGGGCCTCCACTTCCAGGCAGACACCAGTGCCACTAAGGAGGGGAATCTTTTCAAAGCACATACTCATGAAGGCTTGGTAAAAATCAGCAGCACACCCACCTCGAAGAAGAGATATATGTGAGCTGCTCAGGATTCTCCAGCTAGTTTTGACAGGCATCCAGGAAAGGAAATTCCACACACCACTTTGGCAGGCTGGGCCAGAGTTTAAGAATCTCACTGTGGAGGAGTTTCTATCCAGCCCGCCGGCCACCCAGGCCCTTTCTCATCACTAAAACCCAGGCCTCCAGTGAAATATAATGAAATCTCTCCCACTAACGAAGGCCGCTCCCCACAAACCCCACTCCCAAGACTGCACATCTTATCTCCTATTTCCTTATTCCCGCCCATGGCTTTAAACCCTTGACTTTCTGGAAGATTTGGTTCAGCAGTGCTCAGCCCATGGCAGCTTCTATTACAGACAAAGTCCCCCTGTACTCGGAGGTCAGTGGTGCAGTTCACCTGGAGAGGGCCTAAGCAGGACCGACTCCCCCAGGGCCTCCTCCCCGGACCCAGACACATTCCTGGTTCCACTGCACAGAAGGAGTAAACCCAAGGCTTCCAACAGGCCCCACACCTCACTCCTCCCCTCCCTACCCTGCTCCACCAATGTCTTCACTTTGCTAGGAAAAACGTCTCCCTGATAATCCCCTTATCTTTTATGCTTTTTGGGTTTTCTGTTTGCAAAAACTGATAACCTTCTTATTCTGCTCCCAGGGGAAAACTGATAAAGGGTGAGTGCATGAATCAACTGTTGTGGACCACGTGGCTAGATTGCAACCAAGTCCATCTGTATTGCCTCCTTTGTAGGCACAATTTTATAACTTAATTTCCCTACCAAAACATCAGTGTTTACTTAGTAAGAAATCTGCTCTTTGTCAACTGAAAACGGTGATTTCTTTATTACAGCTCTGCATAGGGAGTGACAGCTGAAAGCTGGCCAGGTCTGGTGTGGTGTCCGGGTCTTTGATGGGAACGGGGTGAGTGCAGGTCGCATATATGGGATGCGTGTTTGCTGCAGACGGGGCTAGGGCTGGCCTGGAGGGAGCCTGGACAACAGATAGATGTTGTGGCCAAGAGGGCCCATGGAGTGATCATGTAGACGACTGAGCCTCAGATGATTTCCAGCAGTCACACACATTCACCACCACCACCAGCCCTGAGTTCCCCACCAGCGCCAGCCCTGTAGCCGTCCTGCTCCCGGAATCCCTATCCACTCAGCCAACTTAAACCAGAGACTACTTCTACCCAGCCATCCTTTTAAAAAAAAAATTGGTCTTATTGATTATTGAAAACATGCAAAAGAACAACAAAAGTGGCCAGGTGTGGTGGCTTACGCCTATAATCCCAGCACTTTGGGAGGCCGAGGCAGGGGGATCACCTGAGGTCGGAAGTTCGAGACCAGCCTGGCCAACATGGCGAAACCCCGTCTCTACTAAAAATACAAAAATTAGCCAGGCGTGGTGGTGGGCACCTGTAATCCCAGCTACTGGGGAGGCTGAGGCAGAAGAATCACTTGAACCTAGGAGGCGGAAGTTGCAGTGAGCTGAGATGGCGCCATTGCACTCCAGCCTGGGCAAGAGCGAAACTCCATCTCAGAAAAAAAAAAAGAACAACAAAAGCATGTTTAAGATATCTGAGTAATTATGACATATACACCCTTATCCCCTGCTCACTCTAAGGACTGAGGACATGCCAGCACCTTTGAGGTCCCGTGTGCTCCCCAATCTCCTGCCTCAGGTCCTCCCCATCCCACCATTCTTTGGGATTCAGAGTTTATCACCCCTCACATCTTATGACGGTTTTACCTTGTGTCTGACTCCCCTAACAATGTATTAATTCGTTTTGCTTTGTCATGCTTTATATACATGGAATCATTGCAGAGGTATTCTTCGGGAACTTGCTTTCATACTCCACGTTCTTCCGAAGATTTTCCTGCTAATGTGTAGGGCTCTTCATTCATTTGGGCTGCTCCGAAGCAGTCTATGTTGACTGGCATTTGGGATGTGTCTGTTTTTGCTAATTTGAACATGACTGCAGAAACACTTTTATACCATCCTCTGGGCCCCAAGTGCGGGGTTATTTAAGGTAAATGCATGTCTGGGAATGGAAATGCTGAGTCACAGTGGATTCATGTTCTCACCCTCCTAGACATTGCCAGACTTCGCCCGCTGGTTTTGCTAACACTCACTCCCACCAGCAGAGTTTGAGAGCTGGCCTTGCCCTGTATCCTTGTGATATCCTTGCCCCATCACTTTGGAGGTGATGGCCTCTACATTTTAATTTTTGCCAAAATGGCTCTTTTCTGTGATTCTAATTTTCTGTTTCCCTTATTGCTAATGAACCTTGAGTGTTCTTTCACATGCTTATGGGCCACTAATGTTTCCTTCTTGGGAAATGTCTGTTGGGCTATTTTGCCCATTTTTCTATGAGGTCGTCTTTTTCCCATTATTTGAATAAGTATTTTGCACACTAAGGTTACTCATTATGTGGTTAGCAACATGTGTTGTGAATATCCTCTCCCAGTTCGTGCCTGGTCTCTTCACTGCCTTGATGGCAGGTTTGGGTGAAGAGAAGTTCCCATTGTAAAATAGCTCAGGTAGGTTACCGACATTTCTACTATGTTTTTCCCTGCATGTTCTCCTCCCACCCAGATGTCTGGTCAGACCTTCAGCCTCTGGACTATAGTGGTTGTTCCCCAATACAACATGTCCTTATTCAGCTATTCTCCCATCTCAGAACACCAGGCCTATACTACTCACCACCTCCATTCCATTCTCTTATAAGAGTCTGGGCACAGTTCAGATGCCACCTCCTGCAGGAAGCCCTCTCAGATTGCACCAACAGAGTGGGTGAATTATTTTCCTCCCACCCCTCTTCCTGCTCCAGCACCTTGTATACTGTTAGAAGGCTATAGTCAGTGTCCATTCTCTCTCTGTGACCCCAGAGGTCCTGGCATGGTGATTCGGCCAAAGCACCAGTGTGAACTATGGGATTGAGGGCCTGTGATTTCCTGAGCTCGTAACTGGTCTTGGGAATGCCTGCCAAGCAGCAGCACCCTGTCTTACCATCACCATGGCTTCATGGGCACTCAGGGGGTCTGCTGAGATCTGTGCACTTGTGGATTCAGAGTAGACCTTGGGAATGTGGGGCATAGCACTTGTCAGTCAGGTTTGCAGCCACCTGCCCCCTCACTACCTGGGTGCATGCGGGGCCCTGGCCGGGTCTGTCTCAGAACCCCAGCTCCCCACACCTGCTCCCTCACTACCTGGGTGCATGTGGGGCCCTGGCCAAGTCGGCCTCAGACCCCCAGCTCCCCACCATCAGTGCCATCAGAGGCCCATGCTCAGTAAACATCAGCTGATCCGGGGGAGTGACGTGTGGACGCAGACACAGATCAGCAATGAATGTCTGCAAACTGCGGCCTCAGCTCCCGTACACAGAGCCTCCCCATGAGGACAGACTGCCACCAGACACACAGGAGAGTGCAGATTGATAAAAGACATGGACTGCGCTTCAGTTTGAGGAAGGGACAGTTCTCCATTGTTTTCCAAAAGAATTTGCTGTATGGCTCTTAAAAAATGCAAATCCCCTTAGTACATTTTGGAAAGGACTTGATTTCTAGAACTTTTTAAAACAAATGTATGGGAAACATGGTAAGCAAGCTTGCCAGTGTACAGTTTCACCTACAAAACCAAACAACAAAACTCAAACCAACAAACGAAAACCCTGGGGAGGAGATTGAATTCCATCCAGAGGAGCGTTCTGGAGCTCTGTTTCTATTTGTCGGTAGAGCCGAGGGTGGCAGGAGCTGGCCTTGCTCTCCAGGGAGGCCCTGGGAGAGCAGACACATGCACGCCCTGTCCTGGCAGTAAGAAGTTCCAGTTTGGGGAGGAAGAGATGCAGGGCAAGCTTTGGGGACTCCAGCTTCCTTTCCAGCAGGTCAGTGGGCCCAGAGGACGCCTGCCCAGCATTTCTGAGGAAGTGGGCACCTGGTCCTGAGCAGCTCCGCAACAGCAAAAAGGTCCCAGTGTCTCCACTCTGGAGCTCCGTGGACCCACCCATGGCCCTGTGATCCTGGTGGGTGGTAGGCATCTTGGCCCAAAGGCAGGGCTGGTGTACACAAGCCAGCGGTTCCGAGGCAGGAGGAAATGGCATGCTGGGGCTGTGTGCTGGGTGGATTCTGGCTATGGGGAGTCAGTGACCATGAAATCCAGGCGGCAGGGGGGAAAGCCCGCTCCACAGCCCTGTGCACATGGGGATGGGAACGCAGGACTCAGACACCTTCCTCCACCCAGCACAGGAGTTCCCCTACCCTGCCAGCCTGCCTCAAAGGGAGCATCTACTGGAACCTGGTTATTCCGAGCAATAAATAGGAGCCCTGCTAAGAGTTTAGTCTCAGAAGAACGATGGCACTAGTGACGGTGATGTCTGCCACCTCCCTAGGGCCAACTCTAGGCCAATGCAACATGCTTTCCATGACGAGTTCATTTCCTGGGGCTGCTGTAACACGGTACCACGAACTCAGTGGCTTCAAACAATAGAAATATGTTCTCTCGGTTTCAGAGGTCAGAAGTCCAAAATCAGTATCACTGGAACAAGATCGAGGTGTCACCAGGGCTGTGCACCCTCAGAGACCCCCAGGGGAGACTCTGTCCTTGCCTTTCCCAGCTTCTGGTGCTGCCAACTTTCCTTGGCTCCTGGCCATTTCCCTGTAGTCTCTGTCTCCCTGTCGCATGGCCATCTCATCTTCTGTGTCTCAGATCTTACTCTGCTGTCTAAAGACCCCATGATGGCATGTAGGGCCCACTCAGGTAACCCATAATCTCCTCATCTCCAAATCCTTGTCTTAATCACATCTGTCAAATCCCTTTTCCCAGTAAGTTCTTGTTCACAGGTTCCGGGGATAGAACATGGACATATCTCTGGGAGATCTCATGAGCCCCCCACGTGCCTTCCCTCTGCTCCTCACAACAGATTTGTAAGATCACTGTCGTAACTGTTCAGAGACGGCACATACGTGCTCCCAGGCAGGAGTGAGCTGAGGTGAGCCGGGACCCATGTCTTCTGCAGTAGTGTCTGTGCTCTTCCCTGGACACGCTCCCTGCTTTATTCATTCATTCATTCACTCATTCGTTCACGCCCTCACTCATTCATTCATTCATTCGTTCACGCCCTCTTTCATTCATTCATTCATTCATTCATTCACTCATTCGTTCACACCCTCACTCACTCATTCATTCATTCGTTCACACCCTCACTCACTCATTCATTCATTCGTTCACGCCCTCACTCACTCATTCATTCATTCATTCATTCAGCACACACGTATTTGAGCATGCTGTATGTCCCTGGCATGTGCGGAGCCAGGTGCAGGGCCAGCGTATGAACAGAAACGGATACAGGAGACAGGAGGCCTGTGAGCTCACAGCTGAGGATATCTGGTCATCAGCTGAGATGGACGTGCTCAGGTCAGAGGAAGGAGCCACCTAACACAGAAGCACCGTAGGAGGATCCTGACCTTGACCTGGGGCTAGGGGGCACCTTGGGTGAGAGGTCCCTGAGCTGGCACCTCTGGGAGGAGAACAGGAGTTAACTGGGGGAAGGGATGAAGAGGGGAAGGGCATGACTGGAGGTGCAGACATCAAAGGGCAAAGCTGTGAGAGGCAAGCATGGCCAAGGACCAGAGAGTGGCATACAGGACACAGAGGGGAGAGGCAGGCCCTGGCCACATGGGATTGTGGCCCCTCGCCTGCTGCCACTGAGGTCATAAGTCACCCTGAGAAGCAGGCAGGTGGTGAGATTTGTAGGCTCATATCCCCAAGTGACTGGGCCTCCTTTTCTCTTCATCAGCAACAGCTGTTGGACCAGTCTGGGGGCATCCGGGTGCCTGTGTTCCCACCCGCTGCTGCCGCTGGCCTCACTGTGGCCATGCCCCTGGTGCTTTGGGACTCAGCAGTGCTGTCTGTTAAATGGGACATGAAGGAGCTGTTCCTGCCTGTGTCTGGCCCCAGCCACCAGCACAGATCTTGGAGCAAAGCCATCTCTGGCATGCCAAGGGTGGGCTTCTCCTCTGACTCCAACCCCCGAGTGGGACAGCCCGCCCTGATGGCTGGTGCTGAGTCTGGGTGAGTCAGCAGCCCTCAGCTCCACATTGTTCAGCTTCTCCAAGCAGGCACCGAGGCTGGGGTGTGGGGGCCCCAATCCCTGCACTTCCTTCCCTTTCTCTCACACCTTAAGGAACATGCCGGTTCTTGCCCCCACACCTTGGCTCAGGCGGTGCTCAGGCCAGATGCCCTCCTTTCTCCTCCCCAGCCCTCAAAGTCTTACTTGTTTCTCAGGCAGAAGCTACACACCGTCCAGGTACACATCCCCCATCATTCTCACTCCCAGGGACAGCACCCACTCCGAGGGTCTGGCATGCTCGCTTAGGCCCAGCCAGCTGCATGCTGAGTTACACATGGCTGTGCAGAGTGCTCATTACCTTGACCTTTTATCTCCCACCAAAAATCTCATGGCAGCAGATGGGGAAGGGTCCTGGGATTTGATGCCGAAAGGTGTGGCCTGGGTCTGCTGCACTCTCTGAGCTGCTTCCATTTGCTCATCTGCTAGATGAGCGGGGTGAGCACTAATTGAGCACCTACTAAGTGCCTGGTGCTACACTGCATGCTTTCCATGCTTGGCTCATCCTACCTCACAGCTGCCCCACCTGCAGGCAAGGGATCCTGAGGCTCAGGGCACATAGCACTGAGGCTGCAACAGCACCAAAGCCATGATTCAGACCTAGATCTGTGACTTCAGAGTCCAGATTCTGCTTATCAGTGGGGGTGGCCCCCTCAGTCTGCACTGCCCCAGAGTCACCTTGGGGATCAGCTGAAATTAGGCCTGCCAGGGGACCACCAAGCCAACCTTCTCGAGAACTGAGACAGCGAGGGTGGAGCCAGCACGAGCCTGCATCTGGGTGGACCATTAGACATGTCAGTGCCCAATCCAACTTCACAGGGGCAGAGAGGCTGGCCTTCTACTCCCACTCGGCCACCTCCAGCTCTGCAACCGTGGGCAAGTCACATGACTTCCTTGAGTCTCAGTTTCCTGGTCTGTAAAATGGAGATAATGAAATCTGCCTTGCAGGCTTGCTGGATGTATTGCACGTAGTAGGCGTTCTGCAAATGCTGACGACTTTGTCAGCAGCAGCAGCATCCCTGTGGCAGCAGCCACAGAGTTAACACAGCAGCCATGCAGTGACACCTCAGTTTACTTTATCCATTCTCCCTTTTCCCCTCTTCCTTACTTCCATTCTTTCTTACTTCCCCTAACCACCATGCTGACCCTTGGGCCTGGTCCTGAAATCCCATCCAAGGGCTTTGCCAGGGATCTCCCACTAGGGAGGGAGGGAAAGAGGGAAGAGGAAGGATCCTGCTAAGGAGAGGCCTTTCCTGGCACTGCCTGCAGCCTCCTGGGGCAAGGACCCAATCACAGTCAGCAGGCCAGAACCAACATCGGGAAGAAGCATAGGCGTCCTCCACTGCAGCGGAGTCAGCCGTGAGGCCGGGCTCCTGCTCCTTGTTGCTGCTGCCGCTGGTCGCTAACATGTGCACAGCACACACACACACAAACACACACACACGAGGAAAAGGGGCTTTGGTTGGTTGTCCTACTTACCCAGAGTCCCCTGCTTGTGCCTCATGCCCAGACACAGAAGGACATGCCCAGCTGCACCCTCCAGCCTCGGCCACTGTGGGCAGGATGTCCAGGGACCCTCTCCTGTTCTGCAGGTGGGTGGATGGACAGGCCCGAGCACTTATGGCTGGGGTCTGCCTTGCAGGGTGCCAGGCCCAGGATCATTCTGGGCAGTGGGAAGCTGTGTGGGTCAAGAAATGTCTTAGCTCACATAACTGAGAAGGCCAAGGATACTAGCTTTAGACAGAGGGACTCAAGTCAAGAAACTGGCTCATCCTCTCTCAGCTCTGATGTTCTCTGTATCATCTTCCTTCTTGGGCTCTCCCCTGCATGGCCTCCAGCAGCCCCACGCTTGCACCCTACGAGCTCAGCAACCCTTGCGGACAGAGAGAACCAAAGACTCTAGCCAAAGCTGCTGTGTTGGGCACATGCCTATCTTTGAACCGATCACAGTACTAGCAATATGGAATACATTGATCACCTGGGCTCAGGTCATGTGTCCCCTGCCCAGAGCAGCAGAAAGGAAGTGGGTTCAATATAGACCCAGCCCAAAGCACTCTGTGGGCTGTGCCCTGCCCCTCAGGCATAACCTTCTCACACACACACACACACACACACACACACACACAGCTTTGTGCTCCAGCCTTTCTTTGCACACACTGCTTCCTTTGTTGGTAATGCACTACCTCGTGAACTCCTATTCATCCCTCAAGACCCAGCCCTAATGTCACCTTCTCTGAGAAGCCTTCCTGCACACTTCCAGGCAGAGTTAGAGAATCACTCCTCTGCTGGAGCCCTTATCATACTGCCTGGTAATTACCTGATTTCATGGGTCTGCCTCTTTCCCCCTGGGCTCTGAGCTGCCTACAGGTCCCTAGGCACAGCCCTGTTGGGAGCGTGAAGAAATGTAAGAAGGAACAACTGGTCAGATCAGGCTCAGACGAGCTCTGAGCTGGACTGAGGGGAGAAGGCAATGCATAGGGGCAGTGTACTGAGCTGAGCGGCCTGCAGAAGGGCTGGCTGTGCCACTGGTTGATTGTGCCATGGGAGTGTGTGAGGGTGTGCACATGTGTATCTGTGATGTAGGAGACTGTGACCATCTTTTAAATTGAGCTCATGCAGCCAGCTCCTCCTCCCATCCTGAAGGGCGTCTCTTTGAGTCTCTGCCTAGCTGTCGGAATTCAAGGACTGGATGGCCGTGGCTCACACCAAGGCCGGGCCCCTGCAGTACAGCAGTGTGGAAATGGAAGAAGAAAGGGAGGTTGCTGCTGGGGTCAGCCTGAAGTGGTGGTTCAGACTTCACCAGTAGTCGCCTTTCCTGGTGAAGTCTCCATGGCTCAATCGTCTGCTCACTGGCGCTGGCAACACTGAGGTATCATGAGACCCTCAGCTGGGGCCTGGGATGGGGGCAAGTGTCCAAGAAAGAGGGGCACTGGACCCTGAAGGACCTGCTGTGTGGTTTGGCAATGCTGGCGTGTTTCAGGGCTGCTGGGAAGCGCCCTCAGGCCCCACATGCCTGTGTGATGCTGGCAGTTCTGCCAGCTCTGGCCCATTCCTCTGGCTGTGTTTAGTCTGTCAAAATGACCATCTCTGGGAACATGTGTGCCCCTGGATCCTTAGCGGTCATCACAACATAGTGGGGTTGGGGGGTTCCAGCTCCCTACCCAGAGTAGGGTGGGATTGTATGTGATGACCTGGTAGGGGTGGGGTGGGGACCAGAGACAGAGAAGAAGCTGAAACGGTGGGGAGAAAGCTCTCCTGCCCTCAGGTACTGCCCCCTCCCTTATCCTGTCCACACCCTGAGCCCTGCTTACCACCAACCAGTGTCATCAAGAACGCCCACTTCCCTGCCAGGGCACAGGCAGGGGCTCCAGCCCAGCCCCACCTGGGTTGGTTGTGGTTCTACCACCTGCTATCTGGGCACCCTTGGCCAAGGGACCTAGCCTATCTGGGGATGTTCCCATCCACAAGATGGGCATAAAGTGCCTGTGTTGTGAATGTTTTATTTGAATTCACAAAGAAAATATGTGCATGTGCCCCACCGATGGCTGGCACACAGTCAGCCCTACCCTGGGGAGATACCAGGTAAGAGCACGGCTGTGATCTCACTGGCCCTGTGCAAAAGAGACATCTCGGAAGGCTTCCTGGAGGAAGTGTCTAGACAGTCATTGATGGCTACGATGGCCAGTGGGCCTGTCTCTGGTATTGTGTGCCCTGGGTTTCCAGGCCAGCAGACACTCTATATTCCAAATTGGCTTGTTGCTGAGGAGAGAAGGAAAGGGAGTTAATGCATATAAACCCCCTACCAGGTGCCCGGCCCTGGTCATTTCACACCACCCTGGTGAGGCACCAGAGAGGAGCAGCATTCTGGCTGAGGCTACACAGCCAAGCGGGAAGGATTAGGAAGCCAGTGCCCTTGAAGGGACAGGCAGTGCCAGGTGCAGCATCCTGCCCCACCTTGCTGCATCCCGAGAGCATTTGTATCTGCCTCCGGGGGATGGCTCTGTGGCTCACATCCCCCTCTTCAGGCCCGGCACTGCAGCCTTCCCTGGCACAGGGGAAGAGCAAGGGTTGCTCCGTACCCTTGAGTTGGACCTGTTGTGGAGGCTGGCCTGTCTCTCCACTGCCCCTGATAGAATCTGTTCTGGGGTAGGATAGTGGCATCTTCCAGCTTTCTGTCTGGTCACACCAAGGGAACAGTCAGTCCTGGACAGCAGTGCTGTGATGGGGCGGGTAGTGCCTCGATGAGGGAGTCCCAGCCTGGGAGTGAGGCCCGCTGGAGGGAGCTCCTGCTTGCCTCTCACTGGCCGCACAGCATGGAGAATGACTCCCCTGTCTGGATGCAGTGTGCTCGTGGTCAAGTGCAGTGGTTGGTTCCATTTTTCCATACCCTCCTGAGGGGCACACAGCCGGTGCTTACTTCATGGGGGCTGCCATGAGGATATAGTCCAGGCATCCCTGCAGAGACCCCTGGATGTCCCTACAGAGCCCAGGGCCTGAGAGAGGAAAAGGCTGCCCTGGGCTACCCCTGGGCTCCTGACTCCCTTGGTGATGCTTGCGGTGGGAAGGGGGAGGTGGAGTCTACCTTCCCCAAATGGTGGCAACTGCACCGTGGAGGCGGAAGTCCCAGCTCCTCCATGTGTGACCCAGGCCCCACCTGCCATCTCCAGGCCCAGCTGCCTCCATGGCAGCCCCAGACAGTGGTGTGCATGTGGCTGTGACAACACCTCACTCCGGGCCTCTCAGGGGAGGCTCACCTGGCCAGTGGGACCTGGGTCACCTTGGACAGACTGGGCCTGCTGTGTGGCCTCACCATGTAGCTTGAAATCCCCACGTGATCAATGGCTATCGCAGGGGGCCTCAGCTGTGGTTGGCACACCCCACAGGGCAACCCTGGTGCCAGGGAGGCTGGCATTCCCGGGACCTGAACAAGCCACGTAGGGCCACCGGCATCTGATTACAGGCTACTGTGACCTCAAACCCTGGCCGGCATCCTGCAGGCTCTGGGAACCTGCCGTGCCTGGAGTGTCTGGGGAGGACCGAGAAGTCAGGACAGAAGGCACCTTAGCTATTCTCTCAGCCTGTAGACACCCTGCATTTTGCTGAGCCACACTCAGCCTTCCAGAACTTGTATCCTTCAGCCCAGGTCTGCCCCCAGGAGCCATAGAGGCGTGATGTTGTCTCAGAGCCTTCTCTTCACAACCCACCCATCCCGTGGCAGGATGTGAGTGTCATCCTGCTGCAGTCACAGGCTGGAGCCCACAGGACCTGCCCTTGTCCAGGGGTGCATTAGTCTGGTCCCACTTCTCCTCTCCCGGGCACACATAGCAGCCCCCGCCTAGGCTAAAGCTATCTGTTAAGCCCTCCGCATTTCATGCAGTTCCCATGCAGAGGCACCCACCTCTACAGGCAGGCTGTGAGTGAGAACGTCTTGAGGTTGTGACTTGTGACTTATTCCACAGTCTCCCTCCCATTGAGCTCAGTGGCTGGCACACAGACATGTGGCTGTCACTGATTCTGAAGGTACCTCTGAGCACCTGCATGACGCCAGTTCCATGCCAAGTGCTGAGCATGCAGAAGAGCCTCGGACATGCCCTGCTCCCAGGCAGAGCCTGGGAACCTGGCAGATGCACCTGTCAGCTTGAGCCTGGAACAGTGCACCCTTGGGGAGCAGAGAGAAGGGATCCTGAGCCAAGAGAAGGGGCTTCAGGGAGGGTGCCACCTGCTGGGCTGACAGGGATGAGAAGGAGTTTGCCACCACAGTATAGGGTGCAGGAAGGCATTGGAGGCCAAGGATTGGTGTAGGCAAAAAGGCAGAAGCAGGTTCGTGGGATCTACATGAGCAGGGCAGTCACGTCTGCTGAAGCTAGACAACCAAACTGCGGAAGACTCCCTCCAGGCCTGGCACAGCGGCCTCCCAGGGGGGTGTTTGTGAAACCCAGATGTGAGGACATCTGGATGTCACCTGTTTGGGTCCTGGTTTGTACTGTACTGTAAGCCCAGTTTTCATGCACTATTGAGCATGATCAGTAATTATCTCTGGTTTGCTCAGCCAACAGACAAATCATTTCCTCCCTGAAATAACCAGTTCCAGCAGTGGCCTTTCACACGTCCAGCATCAATCCAGTGTGAAGATTGGGAGGGCCTCCCGGGCAATGCTAGGTTAGCCCTCAAAGTGTGGTTCTAACCCTCTAACAGCAGTTCTCCTTTCATGACTGCCTGCCATGTCTCTGGCACAGTTTTGGGGACTTTCATCCTCACGACAACCCTATGAAACAGACACTATTATGATCCCCATTCCACAGATGAGGAAACTGAGGCTCGGAGAGGTTACAGTGTGATGTGGCTGGGATTCTAACCCAGGTTTGTCTGATTCTAACACACTCTCTTTTCTTTGCACAATGTCAAATTATAGACTAAAGAATAAAAATGAAATCTTGGTAAATGTGGTTCCTGGTGACTTAGCTGTGGTTTTGCAGCTGCTTCACCATAAAGTCTGATTCATCTTTAATGAGTGAGTTTTGGAGTAGATTACCTCAAAATACACCTGCAGCTGCATAGAGGCCCCAGGTCAGCAGGCCTGACATAAGGGCCTGAGGTCACATCGAATGGATTCCATGACTCTTGGTGGGCGGACTTGGGGACATGGGGGTGGGCCCTGGCCATGCCAGCCCAAGCCAGCGGCACCAAGCCCAATGCACACCTGACTATTGGGGCATCTGAGAAGGGTGGTTCTGTTAGCGCTAGGAGGAATTCCATGGAAGGAGAACGAGGAGATATTCCAAGATTTTAGTTAGGGCTCATCAATTTCAAAACTTGCCTTGAATCCTGACCCTGCGGCCGAGCTGGTCACACCAGCAACCAACCATCCAACTGAAGCCAGAAACTCTCCACTTGCAGGACATCTCCTGATCCCTCTCTTTTTCACATATCCTGTTAGCAGTATGAGCTCTTTGCGTTTTACCCGTGGTATTCGTATTTTCATATTCGTTTTCATACATGTTTCTAGCATGCAAGCCTGTGCCTAGCCCCGAGGAGGCACTGGGGAAGCCACAGTGCAACTGTGACGTGTGGGCGGCCTGCTGTGCGTGTGCTCCAGCAAGTCCAGTCGCGGGTGCGAGGTCCATTCTCCAGCGTGGAACTGGCCGGCGGGTGCACGCACCAGCGTGGAGCTTTCACTCTGCATTCACTGACTAATGCTTGAGAGTTCAGACTGTAATTCACAGATGACCAGGGGAATGTCGGTGTAGCAAATAATAAGTGCAGGTTGTTCTGGAAAGTCTTTCCAGGAGAGACAAGGACTGTCCATGTTGGTTTTGGGGTCTTGGTGGGGTTCCCTCTGTGTCCTCCTTCTTAGACGGCTGCCCATTGTCTCTGCAGGCCCCCTGCCCTCAGCGGCAGCCCTGTCATCTCTGACATCTCCTTGATCCGGCTTTCCCCGCACCCGGCTGGCCCTGGGGAGTCCCCCTTCAACGCCCCCCACCCGTACGTGAACCCCCACATGGAGCACTACCTCCGTTCTGTGCACAGCAGCCCCACGCTCTCCATGATCTCTGCAGCCAGGGGCCTCAGCCCCGCTGATGGTGAGTAGGGTGTGGGGATGGGGAGGGGCAGCTAGGGCACTGGGGCAGGGCGCAGCCAGCCTCTCTCACGCTAACACTGTCAACTCCTCAGCCTTGGTCCCCTTGAATGGTGACCAGGCTGGCTGGCGTTCCTTCACACTACTTCCAAACAACAAGTTTTTGGGTTTTATGCTCATTAAAGAGCCTTTGGTAAGCACTCTTTTGCATGCAAACCATATATGATCTATTGTAATAATAACAGTAAGGGTCTATCCAGGTAGGTCCTGTGTAGCTGAGAACCACTGGTTGTAACCAACCAAAGCCTGCAGAAGCTGGTGTTAGGAAAGGGGATGTTGTGTTGGAGTGTCTCATGCAGAAGGAAGGCGGAGTGGGCTGGCTGCTGCCTGCGTCTCTGTTGGATCTGCCCCTTGCAGGTTAACGCAGGAGGCCTCCAAGTGGCAGCCCAGGCCCTGGGGCTCCGGGGATGAAGCTGTGGCATTGTGTTCAGATGCCTGAGAGAGAACATTGATTGGCCCGGCTCAGAGATCAGATGGCCACCCCGGTGTGACTAATTTCAGCCAGAAAAGGGCAGGGTCACATGGTACAAATATGTCTTTATATGTATAAAGCAGATCTAAAGTTTTACACTTCTAGTCCCCACCCACCCCACCAACAGACACATGCAAACACATATTAGTAACCCGGACATTTAGGGGCCAGTCCCACCATGCCGTCTCCCTGGGAAGTGCACCCCCATCCATAGCATGGCATGGCCCCGTGCCGCCCCTGAGAGCGCTGTTAGCCACTCATTGTCCCCATCCTTGAAAGCAGCCAAGTGCAACTTCTCAGAATTCACGAAGCTAAGACTTGACCTCTCAGGCTAGAGGACATCTGCAACTTGAACTTCAGAGCCCCATGGGCAGAGGCTCTAGGAAATGGGGTCCCAGCGAGTCTCTTATCACTACCAGCATTCTCCCCGAGAGGAATGCATCCTCTTCCAACTGGTGGGTGTGACCACGAGTTGAAGCGGAGGCCTGGCTCTGAGAATGTGCAGGCTGGGATTGCACGATGAAAAGGAGGCATCCAGTTTTCAAATGTGCAGAAGGGCTCCCTGAATCGTTGACTCATCTTCCTGGCACGGAGGTTTGCACTTTGCCTGGTCCTCACAAAAGAGAAACCAAACAAGGCAAATAGTTGTAGCCAGGGGGCTTGAAAATGGCTAGCTGGAATGTGACACCATTCTGAAATGGCCCCTCAAGTCAGAACTCAGCCCTGAACTCTGCGTGCGTCCCCTGTGTGGCCTTGACCAAGCTGGGGTGCCCTGAGGCCTGTGCTGCCTCTATGCCCAGCTGCTGTCTTGTTGGACAGTGGGCCCAGCCCTATCCACATCACTCCTGAGGTCCCAGTGCTGGGATTATAGGTGTGAGCCACCATGCCCAGCCCATGATGGGCTGACCAAGAGTGAGAGGACACAGGTCAGGTTCCAGAGTCTGCCTGGCTCACACTAACACTGTCAACTCCCCAGCCTTGGTTCCCTCGGACAGTGACCAGGCTGGCGTTCCTTCCTACTACTCCTGAACAACGGGTTGATGGTCACACCTAGTATGGCAGCTGAGGGGTGCCCCCCAAAACACAGGTCCATATCCTAATCCCCAAACCTGTGGGTATTCCCTCATTTGGAAAAGCAGTCTTTGCAGATGTCATTAAGTTAGGTCTCTTAAGCTGAAGAGATCATCCCAGATTATCCACACAGGCCCTAAATCCAATAACAGGTGTCCTTACAAGAGACACACTGAGAAGGCAGACACATTCATGCCCGCCCAGAGACACACACAGAGTCACAGAGGAGAAGGCTATGTGAAGTCAGAGGCACAGATGGGAGTAATATGGCCACAAGCAGGAAGCTGGCAGCCAACAGAAACTGGAAGAGGCGGGAAACCATCTTCCCCTTGAGCCTCTGGAGGGAGTGCGGCCCTGCCAGCACCTTAATTTCAGATTTCTGGCCTCCAGAACTGTGAGAGAATAAAGTTCTGTTGTTTTAACAACAGTTAACACAAAGTTTATGCTGATCTGTTACAGCATTTGCCCTGGGAAACTAATACACATGGTAACAGGGCTTCCAGTGAAGAGGTGGAAGGAACCTGGCTGCTCTCCCAGGGCCAGGGCCAGAGGGCCAGTAAAGACGTCTACGGGAGGAAGGAACAGAGCACCCTCCTGGAGATGCTCAGGAAGCAGAGACGCTGTATTCCACTGATTGCAGTGTAGCCCATGAAGAGCTGGGTGGGCTGGGCACAGTGGCTCATGCCTGTAATTGGATTTTCGGAGGCCAGGTGGGAGGATCGCTTGAGCCCAGGACTTCAAGCCTGCAGTGAGCTAGGATCGCACCACTGCACTTCAGCCTGGGCAACAGAGTGAGATCCTGTCTCTAAAAAAAAATTTTAAAAAGGAGCTGGGGGTGGTGAGACAGAGCTGCCCCTGGAGGAGAGGCCTTCGACGGATGGAGTGCCATGCTATGCATGAGTTCAAGATAAACACTGAGGTAGCTCCTGGAACACCCACGTACCCGCTTACAGCCCCACGACATAGCAGGGACCTGGCTAATTTGCATGGCCCTGACTCCCACAGGAAGTAGACCAGATACGCCAAGGCCTCATCAGCCCTTGGGCTACTAAGTGACCAAGGATGGCAGATTAGGCTCAAGAGCAGCTGGCAGGAGGTCTGAATTCGAGTCCTGTGTGCCCTGCTCGGTATCAGCCCCAGAGCCTGCCATGTGAGGTTAGGAAGCTCATCAGCGATCCGAGGCAGTGTTGGCCAGACCATGTGTGACTGGGGACAAATGGGATCTCCACGGAAGGTTTTGAGGGAAGGTGGGTAGGCAGGAAGGAGTAGGGGAGGGAACTTGAGGCATGGACAGGGGAGGCAGAGGCTGTGGGCGATCAGCCTGGCTGGAGGCCCGGACTCTTGGGAGATGCAGCAGGAGATGGCAAGAAGGAGGCAGAGGAGGACGGCAGCTTCCATGGCCTGGTCTCCTCTCTCTGCCAAGTGCATAAGAGAGCTCTTTTGGAATTTGTCGAGACTGCTAACAGAGAGGCCGTAGTGCACAGTGGCTAGGAGCTTGCTTCCTAGATTCAGACTGCCCTCTTTGCACACCTGTGGACTCTTGATGGGGGTGCTAGGTTTCCAAGCTCCCATTTGTTTCCTGACACCACCCTGCTGAGGGCCAGCCTCCCTCAGATGCTCTGAATTTCATCCTCGCTGCATCTTTCCTAAGACCTGGGCAGGGCTGACCTCAGGGTTGAAGCAGACAGCCCCGAGGCTCTGCGCTGCAGGGATAAGGATGTGTGCAGGCCAGGAGCTTTATCTGGCCAGGCCTGGCGCCCCGGCAGCGATCTCACCCTGAATGTTCAGGCACAGACTGACCTGGCCCAGCCGCGTGCCGCTGAAGTGCCTCTGTTTGCACCTTCTTTTAACTTTGAAGACTCTGCTGGACTATGGATCCTGTTGGCATGGGGCTCCGGGATTCTGAGGGGCATGGAGGCAGAGTAGGGAGAGATTGTTTATGAGTCTAATGAAGTGGTGGAGTACAGAGGTCGGGGTCTGGCCTCCTTCAGCAGCAACACCGCAGCTCGTGCTGGCCAAGCCCAGGCCCAGCACAGTGCAAACAGTGGGGCAGTGGGGGAAAATGCCGAGGAGAGAAACCCCGACACCAGGTGTGCATTTCTCTCTGCCTTTTTTTTTTTTTTTTTTTTTTTTTTTTGGCAGGAGAAGGCACAGCCAGTGCCAGGTTCTGACGGCTTCTTTCTCTCCCCTCTGCCCACAGTGGCCCAGGAGCACCTTAAGGAGAGGGGACTGTTTGGCCTTCCTGCTCCAGGCACCACCCCCTCAGACTATTACCACCAGATGACCCTCGTGGCAGGCCACCCCGCGCCCTACGGGGACCTGCTGATGCAGAGCGGGGGCGCTGCCAGCGCACCCCATCTCCACGACTACCTCAACCCCGTGGACGGTGAGTGCTGGCCCCCAGGGGCTGAGGATGGGGCTAGCAGATCTCCTCTTGAGGCTGAGAAGGTCACTCGCTGTTTCTTTTGGGGACAAGGACCCTTAAGGAGAGGTCGGGCTGTACCCCAATGCCTTCCAGGATGGCTGTCCACAGGCACTGAATCTTTGGACAACACTTACTGAGTCACCACAGGCCAGGAGGCGTTGTAAGCATCGCAGACACCACAGCAAACAAAGCTGGAACTTACAGTGCAATGGGGAGAAACAGATGCCAAGTAGCTCTAGGAATTACGTATGAAAGTAGCCAATTATAAATGGACCAGGGAAACAAAGCAGGGGCGGGGGGAGCGAGCACTGGGTGAGTGGGGTGCAGTTTGGAATGGGGAAGTCAGAGGAAGCCTCACTGGGAAGTTGAAATCTGGGGGGCGAGTGCTCCAGGCAGAGGAAACTGCAGTGCAAAGGGCCTGAGGCAGCAGTGGGCCTGCCAAGCTCAAGAAATAGCCAGGAGCCAGTGCTGGCAGTGAGGGGTGGGAGTGGGGGTGAGGCCAGAGTTTCCAGGTGGGGTCTTGCCAGCCAGTGCACCTCAGAAGAGACTGGCTTTCACTGGAGATGAGGCTGGGCAGAGGAGAAAAGAGAGCTGACTGACTCACAGAAGGAATCTCCTTCCGTGCTGATGTGAGAATTGATTTGGGGGCAAGACGGAGGCAGGAGGTCCAGTTGGTAGAGGTGGGGAGAAGGGGCCAGGTCTTGGGAAGACCTTGAAGGTAGAACCACAGGATGTGCTCCCAGCTGGAATATAGAGTTGAAAGAAAGAAGGGAGTTGAAGTTGACCTCAGGGTCTCGGGCCTGAGCATTTGAAGGATGGAGTAGTAACTGAGCTGGGAGGCTATAGGTGGGGCCCTCATGGAAGGGAGGGAAGTCAGGTATCCTGGGTAGATGAAGCTTTTGGTGCCTGTTAGACACGAAGTCCTTCCCACCCTCCAAATGCCATCCTCACAGCTGCTTTCACAGGGACACCTGTGACCCTCTGACCATGAGCCTGCGGTCAGCAAGGAGCCCGTCTCAAGGAATAGTGGAGGGAGTGGAAGGCTCAGCACCCCCTCCCATCCCCCAGTCAGCGCCACTCCGCCTGCAGGTCCTGGAGCCCTGGCCAGCGGCACACAGGGAGGCAGGGCAGCCAGTAAAGCTGGAAGCCACCACAGGGAACAGGCAGGCACCTCCTGCAGAGCCAGCCTCCCGGAGCCCTGCCTGGGGTGGCGTTTTCACTCCCTGATAGCCCACGGCAGGGAGACAGGAGCCTGCAGGGAGACCGTCCTGCAGGGGCAGCCCTGGTGCCTGCAGGGCCGTGCAGCCTGTAGCAGGTTGGGGTGGGCTGGTGGGAAATCATGTGGGACCAGGCGGGGCCATGAGACTCAGGGTGGGCTGCTGCCTTGCTCACCCCGACCCGCCCCCAGGGCTCTGTTCCAGGGGAGCCCTTCACTTCTCTAAGGCCTGGCTGACATCTCGCCTCCTCCAGGAAGTCTCTCTGGAAGCCTCCTCCTTCCCTTTCCCCTGCCCCCCTCAGTCACTGGGACAGCTCCCTCCTCTGGCTGCTCCTTCACTCTTTGCCTGGCCCACCTCATACTTACAGCAACCACCTCACATTGCTCCTCAGCTATCTTGAACATCTCCTGCTTCCCAGGAAAAGTTTTGCTGAGAAGAGGGCGGCCAACCTCCGAGGCTGGCCCCTCATGGATATGGTCCTCGCCAGGCCCTGGTGGGAGGCCATAACATGCCTCAGTGATGCCACCAGAATTTGGTCCCTGTGTCTGTCCCGTTCTTCCTTGCCTTTCCCAGCATGGTGTTTAGTCCAGAATTAAGCACACCATCCAGATGTTCAACAACACCTGTCAGCTCTGTAGGACATTGACGTCCCTCTGAGTACACACACATCCATGTGCTCTGTTCCCCTCTCCTCTCAGCAGCCCTACACGGTGCTCCCACAAGCCACAGTGAGGTGTCAGAGATACTGAGAGAAAGTTGTGTGCTAGACACGCTCCTTGCCAATATTAGAAACCAAACAGCAGCAACCGAGTGCATGAAGGATCATGTGCAAATTGCCACACCCGAATGTCAGCTTCCTGCAAGCAGGACCCTTCTTCCAAGGGCCTGAGGGTGGCACCAGGCCAATAGGAAAGTGGACGAGGCAGAGAAACCACGGCCAAGAGAGGTGAGATGAGGCAGGTGTCCCCACAGGGCAGGAAAGGCTAAGCCAGGCAGCCGGGAGTCATCCAGTGATTTTCAGCATGAGCGTCTGTGTGTGCACGTGTGTGTACGTGCACACGTGAGAGACAGTGAATTGGAATGCAGACTGCCTCTGTTCTGTGCTTTTAAACACATTCTTCCATGTAATTCCCTTAGCCACCTTCTGAGGCTAGAAATATGCTCCTTACTTTAAGATGAGCAAATGGGCTCCCAGCATCTAGCGGCTTGACCCAGGCCTTGCTCTGTTTGTTACCAGCACCATCTGCCCTTCCCTGGGCTGCAGTTTTCAGCAGCACATGCACCTGACCAACCATGAGCCCTGGCCCAAGGGAGGGCCAGCCGGGCCAGGTGGACTTGAGCTCAGCCCAGAGCAGCTGGGCCGGAGCCAGAGGGGAGAAGTAGTACAGCGAGCTCCAGGGCAGGCCTGGGTCAGGCCTGGCTGCACGGTGTCCTCCCTGTGGTAGCTGGGCTCAGAGGTGGTGACAGGACTGAAGGGGTGTGGAGTGGCAATCCCAAGCCCTGCGAGCTGTGTGGATTAAACACATTGACTGAGATGGCACATGTGAGCCTGGCCCAGTGCCTGGCATCTAGCAGGTGCTGGAATAATGCTGGTGCAGGTCTCTTTCCACCAGTATATCTTTCCCTCTTTAAATCCACTCACTCTTGCAGGATTCTGTATCTTCATTGTAGGCAGCTCTGTCCACCTGCTGCCTAAGCCCAGGCCCCAGGTTCTCCCAGACCTTTTCCTTGCCATCTCCCATCCATCCCATCCTGTCCCTCAGGCCTCCAAGAGTGGCGTGTCACCCCTCCCGGGCCAGACAGTGACATATCGCCCTCGTAGCACTGCTCCATGGCTGCTGCTCATCCAGCATCCCCATCTTTATCCTCTCCGCCATCCTGCGCTCAGCCCCTGCCACTTCTAGCCCCCTCAGGATAAAATCCAGACTTTAGAACCCCCGTCCAGAGGCCTTCCTCTCCAGCTCATCTCTCTCCACTGCACACTGGTCTTGCCATGCACTGCCCCACATGCAGGTCCCCAGATACCTCCCTGAGCTCATTCCTGCACAGAGTCCTGTGCACGGTGCGCTAGGCCTTCTCCTGAGACCCCACAAGAATCCAGCCCCAGGCCTTTCAAGCCACCAACTAGCTCCACTGCACTAGCGGGACCCAAGGCGCCCCCAACTGGAACTGGCTGGGACTTCTCCTTACGTATGGCCGATGGCCCGCCCTGTCAGGTCTGGGAGCACATCTGGCAAGGAGCAGGTCCTCTGTGTTTGTTGGGTGAGTGAGTGAATGAGTGAATGGCACTTAGAAAAGACCCTGGAATGGAAAGATGCGCTCCAGCTAAGGAAAGAAGCACTCGAGGAATGTAGCTGTTGGCTCACAGGGGACTGGAAGGGGCTGGGGAGCAACTTTGCCTTCCGGGCACTCAGCATTTGGCAGCCCCGGGGGCTGAGCATCTCTGGGAAGCAGCAGAGGAGTGCAGAGGTGAGCTCAGCAGTGGGCGCGAGAGCTCCCAGCCCTCCAGCAGCTGCTGGTTAACTCATCACACCCCACCCGCTGTGCCTTCTCCACCTCCGCCTTGGGAACACATCTGGCTTCAGGACATGGAGGTAACGGGGAAGCATCACCAGATTCCAGAGTCCACCTGAGGAGGGATATCAGTTTCTCCAGCTCCAGTATGGGGTGGGGGTGGGAGCATTTTTCTTATCCATGGATTTCAGGAGCAGATGCCTTCTTTCCCTTTGTTCCCAGTCAGTTACAATCCAAGAAAATCAGAGTAGTCCAGGATTATCTCCTATTTTTATTGCTACTTAATACATTTTTTCCAAAACCAGTTTCAACTAGAACCAGAACCTTCGCTTCACCTTTTAAAAATGCTTTCCGCACTTCCACTTAGCTCCGAGGCCTGTGTGGACGGTTACTCACGTATGTCTCTAAGAGACGCTGAACACAACACCTGGGCTCTCAGCCAGGCGGCTCGGGCTGGACCTGTCTGTGGGGTGTCCCCCGGCCCCTCCCCTCCCGTGAACCATGGGAGCTGGGGAGGTGTTTTCGGTGGGTGCCTGCTCCATGGGTCTGTGCCAGTCCCTCCCGGAAAGCTCCAGACCACACAGCAGAGAATGTGAATGAGCGTTTCCACTAGGTTTCTTTTTGCTCAAATCCTCACTGAGAAAATTGTGTGGGCCATCCCTGGCGCCAGCAGTGCAGCTCAGGAGACCTGTGGAAGGGGCCTGGCTCTCTCTGAGGAATGTGTGTTCACACCAGGAAGCCCCCATACACATCATCTTGAGCATGTGAGCTCTGTGCAGGCGCAGGGGGCCTGGAGAGCTCATGGACAGCCAAGGAGAACAGGCCTTCTCTCTCTGCCTTTCTCTGTCGTTGTGTCTCATGCACACACGCTGGTTGATTCGGCAGGTGTTTATTGGGCACCTTCTATTTACCAGGCTCGGTTCTAGGTCTAGGGACGCAACGCATCATGAGCAGCACACAAGCCCTGCCTTCCTGGTGCCTGAGCTCCAGCGCAGCCCTGTGTGAGTTCCTGGGCGGGACCAAGAATGCCTGTCCCGACCTGACGCCCCTCATACCCCAGCCTCCTTTCTCAGCACCTTCATTCATGGTCCCAGAGGAGGGAGCACTGTAGGGGAGAGAACTTTCCAGAGGTTTTGAATGTCCAGCCAAGGCATGGAGAGGGCTCTGCCAGGCAAGAGGGCGAGCAGGGAGAGGTGGGTGGGAACTCCATGTGGGTCCTCATCCTGCAGGGCCTTGTCCCCAGTACACCGGTTTGCAAACCACCAGCCCAGTTTTTACCTTAGCTGAGTGCCACCTGCACAATTGTGTATTTAGTAATATTTTTTAACAGACTCACCTTTTGGGGTTAAATAAATGGTTCTTCAAATGGAACTTTGTATTTTTTCTGAAATGGAAAACCTAATCCCTGTCTGAAGAGGATGTTCCTGTCTCTGTCTCCATCAAACCTAAAGTAACCTCATCTGGGCCATGTGTGGCCCTACATTTGGGAACACACTGCAGTGGTGGAAGAAAGGCCAGAAGCTAGAGAGGCCTCTACGGGGCTCTTGTGGGATTGGAAAGCCAAGCCCTGCGTTCCTCCCAGGGCACTGAGGCCAGGGTGCCGGCAGGACAGAGGGATTTCCCAGGCTCTGATGAAAACCCACCCTCCCTGGTCTCCCAGTGGTGGGTGAAGGCCCATTTCCTCTTGTTTTTAAAGGGGTCCTGATTTACAGCAGGAAGACAGGAGCGCTGCTGTGTGGGAAGGTGATAGAGAACCAGTCAGGGAACCGAGGTCATCATTCTGCTGAGCGGCTCCCTGGAGAGCGGAGAATTCACTGGTTGTCACCCGGGCCCTAAAATGGAATTTTCTCATGTTATGCTGTTGAATATTGGTGATTTAACGACAGAACAGCCACCCCCTCCCCCTCCACCACATTGAGAAGATTGAGATGTTTCCGACTGAAATGTTGTCTGTTTACTGCTCATACTGCCTCCAAGCCATGCATTTTATTGTCATATTGACACTAATTTGGCTCGGATGTCACCTCCATTCTGACGCCTGTTCTTTATGCTGCCTGTGGATCCGGGGGGTTTTCAGAAACCAATTACATTGATCAAACCCAGAGAGGCAGGAAGAGCTGGTAGAGGGGCTGCCAGAGGCCCAAGTCAGACAGGGATCCCTTTCCGAGACAGGAAGGGGAACCGAGGCAAAGGAAGCCACATTGCAGGTCCCTGCGTGAGATGGTGGAGCTGCTGTGTACAGGCACGGGCTAAGCGGTGTCTATGGGCCATCTGGTAAAGCCACACAGACTGTCCCGCCACACCAGCTTCACGAAGCCGCTTCACAGGAGCCTGCAGCACAGCCTGTTTCTCTGTGTTCATCACTTAGCTAGGCCGTGGTCCTGGCAACTCTGAGCCTCGCTGCTCCACGGCCCAGGCGCTTGCTACTCCCCCATCAGAGGGGTGAGAGGGCTGTGGATGGCTAGGTGTGGGGGGCATTAAGGTCCTCAGGTCAGATTTCCTTAGAGCATCTCCTCGGCAAGCCAGAAAATATCTGGGTGAGGGAGTTGGGCTATGCAGGGAACACATCTTAGCCAGTGAGGATTCAGGGTACCCGAGCCCCACCACCAGGCTGCATCCTGCTGGCCTTGTATTTTTTCCTGAAATGGAAAACCTAATCCCTGTCTGAGGAGGATGTTCCTGTCTCTGTCTCCATCAAACCTAAAATAACCCAGCCCCGGGCTGAGGATGGCATCTGGCACAGAGAAGGCTCCTGGGACCAGGTGCCAGGATGATGCTCTTTCCTCCTGCCCCTCAGCCCAGGCTCCTGGGCACACAGGCCGTGGGGGGATCCCCAGCCCCGATTCCATGCAAGTCCACCCACAGGTATAGATGATATGTTGGTTGTCAGCCCATAGCATCCCTGGGGTGGGTGCTGGTAGCCCATCTTCTGCATGAGACAACCAGTGATTGGCTCAAAGCTACCCAGTTCAGAGTGTGCAAGCAGGGTTGGAACCTGGGTCTGCCTGAGTCCAGGGCCTGTTCTTGCATCTCCTGCCCTTCCTACTGCCTCAGGGAAAACAATGATCTCCCTCCTGAGCACCTTGGGATTCTCTAGAATAATTCTGCTTAGATGGCACCTTGCAAATCCTGCCTGGTGCCTCGGAGTACTGTCTTCATCTCTCTCCTACATGGTGAGCTCCATGAGGACAGGGTCAGAGGCTTCCCTGCCCAGAGTCCCCATGATGTCCAATCAATGCCTGGTGTGCTCTCAGCACTACACGAGGGGCTGATGGATCAATGAATAAACATGTGAATGAGCAACAGAAAGCGCTAGTGGGTGAAGCAAGGTCCAGAGGCAGGTGGTGTTGGCGTCCGCCCAGGTGAGGGTGGGCAGGTGGCCAGTCACCCGTGGCCGACCGGCATTAAAACAGGCGCCTCCACAGATGAATACTCCATGTTCCCGGTCATAAATCACAGGAGAAACCATGGGAAATGAGTGCCAGGCTTTTCTTTCTATTTAGTAATTTATCAAGGGAAGAGGCGCATTAATAAACATATTTCCCATGAGAGGCGGGGATAACAGAGATGAATATCACTGTCAGATTTGGCCTGTTTCCTCTTGTTAGGGGCACATGAGAGGGTGGGAATCCAAATATTAGCGGCAGATTCTTTTTTAAAAAATGTGTTACGAAGATGTGTGTGTTTCTTACTTTATATCATGTTAGGTGGTTTTTCCCCTCACATTACCGTATTTGCCACTCAGTTTGTAAGTAATAGGAGCCTTTCAGAGAATTCACTCCTGCATCTTTCTTTGAGTTTCCTTTGAAGCGAGGATTGACAAGGAGTGGACTCAGTAAATAAAAACCCAGAAGCTGAGAGGGCGCCGAATGCAAGCCGATGAGTGAATGTCTAATGACAGCTGTGTTGCTGAGTGGCCCAATCATCTTTCCTAGACTTGCTGCCCTTCACTCCATTATTGACTGGAGGCTCACCCTGCCCCTTGGAACAGTCCTCCTGGCCCTTGAAGAAGCCACATTCATTAGCAATTTCATTTTGGAATGCCCGCTGGGTTTTAGGCACTATTCTTGGCATTCTATGTGTGTCTTCACAACAGCCCTGCAAAGCAAGCCACACTGCCCTGATTGTACAGATGGGGAAAGAGAGGCTCAGGAAAGCTAAGTAAATGTGCTCCAAGGAAGCCACAAAGTGACAGGCTTGACAGGGACAGTGGCAGAGGCTGTGTGCCTCTGCATCTTGTGTGTGTGTGTGTGTGCGCGCACGCGCATCCACCTGGGGTATGTGTCTCCACCTGGGGTGTGTGTCTCCACCTGGGGTGTGTGTGTATGTGTCCACCTGGGGTGTTTGTGTGTGTGTCCACCTGGGGTGTGTGTGTATGTGTCCACCTGGGTGTGTGTGTGTCCACCTGGGGTGTGTGTGTGTGTCTCCACCTGGGGCCCCCCTCCCATGCAGGGGGCCCTCCCTGTGCCTTCCTGCCGTCATACTCCCTGCCCCCTGAGACACCTCTCCTCCTCTGCACCCTGGGCATAGGCCCTGTGGCAGGTGGTTTTGGTGTCCCTGTACCTTGGGCAAGTTACTTAGTGTCCTGTTTTGTCTTCTGTAAAATGAGCATAACAGCCCCTTCTTTATGGGACAGTCGTGAAGATTAAATTACTTAACACTTTAAAGTTTGAAGGAGTCCTAGCGCATGCGATGATAGCATTGAGTAAGTGCTGTGTTTAGGTGACTGTGAATCTGTTCTTTCTCAACACATCCTGTCTGTGCCATGGGTCAGCCCTTGGCACCTCCCACTGGGCTCATGGCTGTGCCACCTGTATTCGAGTGTTGGGGATGGTCAGGTGGGAAAAAGGATTTGGGCTCCTAATGCATGGTGAGAAAGACAGGAGCAAGCAGATAACCACACAGTGGATGAAAGCTCACCCCCACCCTTGTTTGGAGAGAGAGGCCTGAGCATAGGGAAGATCTGCCCAACTCCAGGAGGTCAGGGAAGGCATCCCAAGGGAGGTGATGACTCGGCTGAGGTCTGAGCAGGCAGAGGAAGCTGCACGTGCAAGTCCCTGAGCAGGTGTTATGGAGGAGGGGCTGGAAGGAGACCTGGTGGCTGGAGTGAGGAGATTCCACAGGGCCACCGCCTAGGCCTTCTTTGTAACAGCAGTGGGGATTTTTGGAAAGTTTTGGGGAGAGGGCAGGGACATGATCTTATTTCCAAGTTGAAAATCTGTCTTTGCAGTGAGCACTGTGGATTGGACAGCTGTTAGCTGAGGGCCCCAGAATGATCCAAGCAAGTGGTGGGCTGTGCTAGGGGTGGAGTTTGAAAGGAGAGATTTTGAGAGGCGTTCACGAGCCCACACGTAAGTGGGCTCCATTGTGGTGGAGGGGAGGAGGGAAGGCCGACTCCCGGGTCTCCCGCTTTGCCACTGCGCAAGTAGCAGGCACGTGCTGTAGGAAGAGCTGGTCCAGGCACAGGGCAGGAGTGTGGGGCTGGCTGTGCCAAACTGGAGCTGCCTTGCAGACAGGAGGAGAGGACGAGGAGGCAGCTGGCTCTGAGAAGGCTCACTCTTCAGAGCCACTGAAAGTGGGAGGTCGAAAAGTGTTTGTGGGACGGGACGTCCGCCTGGCCCTGGGCCTCTGCTGACCTCTCTGAAGATGGACAGAGAAGACACAGAGTCATTAGAAAGTCCAGACATCAGGGCTTCTTTGGACCTGGGTTCAAATCCTGCCTCTGTAGCTCTGTGACCTTGAGCAAGTCACTGACCTCTCAAGCATAGTTGCTTTGCTGCTTATCTGGTTTGCTTGGAGGATGGTGGTAGCTGTTAAATGAGTCAGTGGATCTAAGCGTCACTAAATGGTGGTTGTCACTGGGTCATTATTTGCATAAGAATTCAGAAGCAGGCATTTATCCAGATACTGCATCAGAGGAGCACGCTCCAGCCAGGATGCAGATGCTGCAGCAGAGGGGCACACTCCAGCCAGGATGCAGATGCTGCAACAGAGGGGCACACTCCAGCCAGGATGCAGATGCTGCAGCAGAGGGGCACACTCCAGCCAGGATGCAGATGCTGCAACAGAGGGGCACACTCCAGCCGGGATGCAGATGCTGTAACAGAGGGGCATACACCAGCCAGGATGCAGATGCTGCAGCAAAGGGGCACACTCCAGCCGGGATGCAGATGCTGCAGCAGAGGGGCACACTCCAGCCAGGATGCAGGTGCTGCAGCAGAGGGGCACACTCCAGCCGGGATGCAGGTGGTGCAGCAGAGGGGCACACTCCAGCCGGGATGCAGATGCTGCGGCAGAGGGGCACACTCCAGCCGGGATGCAGATGCTGCGGCAGAGGGGCACACTCCAGCCGGGATGCAGATGCTGCGGCAGAGGGGCACGCTCCAGCCGGGATGCAGATGCTGCGGCAGAAGGGCACACTCCAGCCGGGATGCAGATGCTGCGGCAGAGGGGCACACTCCAGCCGGGATGCAGGTGCTGCGGCAGAGGGGCACACTCCACCCAGGATGCCCCTGTTTGCCGTCCAGGATCCCTATTTAGAGTGGGTGATCACATTTGCAGTGCAGCCTCACAGCTGGCTGGGAGGTAGCCTGCTCCATGGGCCTCCCTGCTTCTTTCTGTCCTCAGGCAGGTGACCTAGGATCCTTCCTGCTGTAAGAGAAAGAAGGAGTTGTCTGAGTGAGTTACCTGCTCTGCCCTGGCCCCTCTGTGGGGTCAGAGCAAGTGGGCATCCCCAGAAGCAACTATGGACCGTCTTCTGTGTACCCACTGTAGCTCTGCTTACTAAAATATCTGTAAGCCCCAGTCTTCATAGCCCAATAGAATAAACAGCGAAAGCAGAAAGTTTAGCTGACAAGGATGTCAAAAGAAAAGAATGTTCTGATTAACTCCACTTTTTTTTTCAACTGGGAGCTTTCCTAACATCACTTAACTCTTCTCGTTGAAAATAAAGTATACCAAGTACTGGGTCACATGACCATCTCAACTGTAGCCACTCTGGAGAGCCCAGGCCACCTCCCCATCCATCATCCCACTGGGTCACAGCAACCCCAGAGCTGGCAGGGACTTGTTTTATGCTGGTGTCATTGATGAAGACCCCAAGTCTGTGACAGGTAAAACAATTTGCCCCAAGTCATGCAGCTGACTTATGGCTCCAGCCCAGGGTACCCGGTGTGCAGCCCCCACTTCACCCCACTGCAGGCCACTGTTCCAGTCCAGGTCTCCATCCCTCTACCCAGAGTCCCTTCATCCCAGGCTGCTGGCTGTCTACTCCCCTCTGTGGCCTCAGACTCCCCTCATCCCATGAAAGAGGCTGTTAGGAGAGAAAACCCTGGAAGCCCCTTTCGGCCCAATGGTCCTGGATGTCCTCTGTCCTCTCTATGCCTTGGAGAGGTGCTTCTCCTGGTGGCCTGGCAGGAAAGAGCCTCCCCAGGGATCCCTAGGTCTCCTCAGGGTTGCAGCCAAGCTTGGGGCTGGGCCGGGCATGGTTGCCTCGAGGGGCCAACATGGATCCCAGGGCTTGCGGCTTGTTCAGTAGGTGGGTGCGGGCTCTGCCCTCACACAGCCTTCTTGGGGACTGGTAGGTGTGGAGTGGGGGGCTCAGAGGCTCGTAGGCCATCACCCCCTGCCCTCGGTGCTCCTGCAGCTGTGGAGACATAAGGAACTGCCACGTGCATGATTCAGAGTGGCCCTAAGGTCAGTGGTCAAAGCCATCAGGAAAGCTTTGGGAGCACCCGCCAAGAGGCTGTGTGTACTGTGAGCAGGAGGCCCATGGAGCCAGACCCTGCAGTCAGGGCAGCCTGCCTGGAGGAGGGGGCACCCAGGAGGGGTCTCAGCAGGTCTGAGCAGGCAGAAGGGAGGAACGCAGTTATCATAAGCCTGGGAACAGCCAAGCACAGACATGAGTGTGCTTGAGCAACCCCCAGCATCATTTATGGGCAACACCACCAGCCCATGGGGAACCCGGAGGCCTGGAAAGGATGGGTGGGCAGGGGCCAGCGGGACATGAGAAGAGGCTGCTCCATGCAGGTGTCCAGAAAGTCAAGGACAGGCCCAAGCATTTACTGTGCCCTACCATGGGCCAGGTGCTTCTCACGCTTCGCCTAATTTACACCTCATGCCAGCCCTGGTGGTCAGCACTATTAGAGCCCTTTAAAAAGAGGAGACTGGCTCTGAGGGATCTGGACAGGGCAGGAAGCTTGGCTTGTGGAGAGTCATCCAGCAGTGTTGTCAGACCATTTCTAGGCCACCGTTTGTTCAGGGCAGAGACCTAGAATCCTGATGGGGGCACCGTGATGGGGAGCAGTCTGGAACCACAGTGGAAGAGCCTTTGGTTCTAGGGTGCAGGGTACTCTTGTCTGGGGCAAGCCCTCTTCCCTTCCACAGTTATGTAGGTGTGCGACAGCAGCTGGTGAGGGCTGAGGGCATAGCCATGTGTCCACACATATGTGTGCATATGCATGTGTACACATGTCTGCGTGTGGGTGCACACAAGTGTTTGCATGCATGGGTGATGTGTGCACCTGCGTACATGTGTGCCTGCATGCATGTGGTGTGCACATTCAAAGCAACAGCTTCCCAGAGCCTCGGGCGACTTTAGAACTGAGGACCTCAGTACGCAGAAGCACCTGCCTGTGTCAGGATGCCTCTCGCTGCCATGTCCTCGTGTCCTCCCTGCCCTGTTACAGCAGGCTGCCCAGTAGGCTCTGGAGAGACAGCCAAAGGCCCAGACATTGCGAAGAGTCTGGGGGCCGCCATCCAGGCCTCTGCTTGGCAAATGCCCTATCAGGGGGCACTTTAGTGGTGATTCCAGGTACAACGTGACCTGTGACCTTGGAGCACTTACTTCCATTCCCTCTCTTCCCCATGGAATTCTCCATAGCAGTGGGAACAGGCAAGCTTCTGCCACACACAATAGCATGGAGAAATCTTACAAACTGACCATGTGGATGAAGGAGGCCAGATATGAAAGAGTATTTAAAAATTCCATTTACACAAAGCTCAAAAGTAGGCAACAAGAAGCTGTGTGTTAGAAGCCAGGATAGCAGCTGCCCTTGGGCTGGAAGATGGAGGGGGCCTGTGGACAATGGCCAAGCACTGTTTCTTGACCTGGGGCTGGCTTCCCAGGTGGGCTAACTTGGTGAGAGGCCACCGAACTGCTCACTTATGATTCGTGCACACTCCTGTCATGAGGTAAGCATTGCTGGATTCCAGCCCTGGTCTCTGCACCCAGTGGTAAATACACTATGCTCAGTGCTCATATTCACTCGCCCAAACACCTTACATGCACTTCTCCAGTCCTCACCACACCCTGCGCTGCTCAGTCCATTTTACAGATCAACAAACTGAGGCCGAGAGGTGACATCCTTCGCCCAAGAGCCCACAGCTGGAAAGTCGGCAAAGCTAGGATTCCCATTAGACCATCCTTGCAGGCTCTTCCTATCCCCCACCCACATGTCACCCCCTCCCCCATCCCCAGTGATGCTGACCTGTCTTGTGTTGACTATCCCACAGTGTCCCGTTTCTCCAGCCCGCGGGTGACGCCCCGCCTGAGCCGCAAGCGGGCGCTGTCCATCTCCCCACTCTCAGACGCCAGCCTGGACCTGCAGCGGATGATCCGCACCTCACCCAACTCGCTAGTGGCCTACATCAACAACTCCCGAAGCAGCTCGGCGGCCAGCGGTTCCTACGGGCATCTGTCAGCGGGTGCCCTCAGGTGAGCCCCGCCTGCAAGCAGAGAGCTGAGGACCAGAGCTGGGCTGAGGGCCCGGTGGGGAGGCGCTGGCTTTTCAGTGGGCGCTTTTGACCCGAGGAGAAAGACAGGACCTGTGGCATTTGTGAATCCACATACTTGCACCTTTTTTATGAATTCAAAACCAATAATGATCAAATTGAAATGAGCCCATATCTGAGTACATCTTCATGGACCAGGCCTGTCATGAATGACTCAAATGTGAAATCAAAGGTGTTTGAGGTCAAAGATGGTTTTCCTAGTATTTCACTGAATTTGGTGGAGCAGCCAAGTATTGGCCAACCTTGGAGACCACACAAAATGTGACATTGACATGGCCCATGCTCTCAGCAAGCCTCTGGGCTGGCAGCAGGCCTCCCTCTGTAGCCGCATGGTGGCACACCCAAGCCTCACTGACACCAGCCACCCTTCTCCCTTCTGTGCGGCTCTAGTCTGTCTGAGGACTCAGACCCCAGCCAGCTTGACTGAAACTCACATGCCTCTCCAGCACCTCCGGAAGAGGCCAGGAGGAGTTAGGAATGTCAGGAGAGTTTGTCCCAACGACCTGGAGATGGAAGGAATAACAAGTGTATTTGTTATCTTTTGCTGCCTAACAAATTGCTCCAACGCATAGCAGTTTAAAACCACAAGCAATTGTTCTCTCCCCCCATTTCTGAGGGTCAGGAATTTGAGACAGGCTGAGCTCCGGCTCTCTCAGGTGGCCACAGTCAAGCTGTCAGCCAGTGCTTCATCCCGCCGAAGGCTTGACTGGGCCAGAATGCCCCCTCACAGCGCTCTCAGCAGTGTCCTTTGTTCCTCATCTGTGAGCCTCTGCTTAGGGCTGCTTGAGTGTCCTCACAACATGGCAGACGGGTCCCAGCCCACCTTGCAGCCTATGATGTGAGAGGAAGCTGGAGGAAGCCACGATGTCTTTTACGGCCCAACCACAGGGGTCACCAATCTTTCCTTGGTATCCTGCTGTGTGAAGGTTGGCTCTTATGCAAGTGGTGTGACAGAGCCTAGAAGTGCAGTAAGAAGAGGAGAATAATGCAAGCTGGGGGGCTCAGGGCAAGATTCCTGGATGAGGGGGCATTGGAACAGGATTCGGAGGCCTCATGGGTTTCACGTAGTCAGGGAGCAGCGATACAGACATGCGTCTAGGTATCACAGCAGTGGAGAGGCCAGGGTGTGGGGATGAGCTGGAGCCTGGTCCCTGCTGGGAGCCAGCCTGCCAGGGGTGAAGTCTACATCCTGGGGCAGAACCTGGGAGCTGATCGCAGAAGGTGAGTGGCAGACAGTAGGAAGCCACAGCTGGTTCTTGAGTGAGGAAGCCACGGTGATGGTGGGGCTAGCAACATGCTCATCCCTATCCCCTGGGCAAGGTTCTCTCTGTCCAGGAAGTGTCAGCCTAAGAGAGCTCCCGATCCCCCACCCCCACTTCCTTGTCTGCTCTCTGTTGCAGCCCAGCCTTCACCTTCCCCCACCCCATCAACCCCGTGGCCTACCAGCAGATTCTGAGCCAGCAGAGGGGTCTGGGGTCAGCCTTTGGACACACACCACCCCTGATCCAGCCCTCACCCACCTTCCTGGCCCAGCAGCCCATGGCCCTCACCTCCATCAATGCCACGCCCACCCAGCTCAGCAGCAGCAGCAACTGTCTGAGTGACACCAACCAGGTAGGTGGGTGCAGGGGCCAGGATGGCCACTGGGTACTCATCTGGACACATGAGGGTTGTTCACTGCCAGCTCATGCTAAGAACTTGTGGAGGGCCTCTGGATTTACGTCTGGCCGCTAGGGTGCCTTCTGGGCAGAGGCCACGTTACAGAAAGGGTGAGACCTGGGCTCAGTCCATGGGAAGCTCCCAGCTTCTTGATTCTGCCGTCTCCTGTCCAAGAAGCATAATAAGTAGATGGAGAAAGCCTCGATTCCCAGGGCCTGGCACCATGGAGGCACTCCATGCACAGCACATAGCATGGGTGGGTGAGTGAATCATTATAAGACTGTGCAGTTTCGTTGTAGAATGTGCATTTGCAGCAGGCTTTCACACACTGCCTCATTCGACCCTTCCAACGGGCCTTGAGCATGCCTGGGCATCCTAGTACAGTGCCTGGCACATCCTAGGTGCCATTATTATTTGGCAAATGAAGTGTTCTTTTACAATAAGGACATGGAAGGGCACAGGCCTTAGCATCAGTCAGACCATCTTTGGGATCCCAACTTGCCTGAAAGCAGCACATCTCTTTCCCTCTCGCAGCCTGAGCTAACTTATCTGCAGAGTGGGATTCCTGATGCCTAGGTGGGGTCACTGTGCATACAAACAAGCTCATGTGTGCAGAGCCCCCATAGGCTCTGATCCTGGGAGCACTGACAACGACAATGCCAGAGGTGAAGGGACCACCCCAGGCCACCCACCAGCAAATGGCAAAGCCTGGATGTGGCTACACCCTTGGAAGGAAGACAGGACACCATGTCCTCTAGAAGTGTCCTCTGTTCCAGAATGTCCTCCCTCTCCACCCCAGGGCTCCTGGTGGCTCCCCAGAGCCTCCCCACGACAGTGGCTGTCAGCTCTGGAAACATCACCTGATACTTTAGCTCTAGCCCCTTCTCCTGAGGAACTGGGCTCTGGCCCCCTATGCCCTGGGCTGGCCAGGCCCTGTTCTCAGACCCACAGTGTCCCCTGCTCTGGAGGGCTGAGAAGTTGAGCCTGGTCAGAACAGGAGCAAGGGCACCCTGCATTTTCCAAAGAGAAGGTCTCTTTCCCATTTCCCAGAAGTCTTGGGGAGGCGGTGATGGAGAGATGGGGGTTGGCATGCCCAGGTCTGGGTGCTCTCCTGTAGCAGGACATGTGCCCCTGGCAGGACTGAGCTGGGGACTCTATTTCTGATACTTTAAACACAGGGTTAGCCCAGATGGTCTGTGCGGAGAGATCCTAGAGTTAAAGTCCAAAAAAATTTGGGATATCCCTGCCCTGCCCCTGAGTAACAGACTGTCCTCTGCACCCTTCCTCAGAACAAGCAGAGCAGTGAGTCGGCCGTCAGCAGCACCGTCAACCCTGTCGCCATTCACAAGCGCAGCAAGGTCAAGACCGAGCCTGAGGGCCTGCGGCCGGCCTCCCCTCTGGCGCTGACGCAGGTAACCTGCTGCCAGCCGCACCACCTTCCTCCAGCTAGGACCAGGCTTGTGGGCTGCCTTGGGGCTGTACCCTTGGTGGTGAACGGATGGCTGGCTGGCTGCCTGCATGGATGAATGAGTGACCCAGGGAGGACTGGGTGGGAATGCTGAGCTGTGACTTTCTCACCACTGTGTTCCCAGCACCCTGGACATACTACATTCCCATCACACATGGTGAATGAATGAATGAGTGAATGAATGAACTTCTGCCTAGCCATCCCTCTTGTCTCAGGCTGCATCTGTCTCTCTCTCGCCACACCTGACCTGTGTACAGCACCAGCCACAGCCTAGTTGAGTTGCTCACGTCCCCGGAATGGCCCAGGCCCTTCTAGGCTGCTGTCGCTCTTGGAACTCTACCCCACCCTGGCTCCTTCGCTGCCACTTCAGCCCTTCCTGATTCTCCTGGGTGATAGGACTGAGCTCCAGGCCCACACACCCAGCCTAGCTCAGGGGTCACTTCAGGGCATGTGCTGTGTGCACACCTGTCTCCCTGTCTGCACTCTAAGCTTTGGAGAGGTGGCGCTATGGGAGAAGTGCCTGACTGGGTTCCATGCCACCAGGGTTTGTGCAAGTGTGCAGTCACTGACACAGTATTTTCCAATGATTCAATGCACATTTGAGTCAGTGAGTGGCGTGGTGAGGGGGGAAGACAGGACAAGTTCAAGCGGGGAGAGAAGAGCGGAGCAGCCCACAGCCCAGTGCAGGCCTACCACGTGGCCCAGACCCTGTGCTGATCCTTTTGGAAACTTTGCCACTTATTTCTTCTGCTCCAAGACAGCATGCGGGCAGCCCCCACTCTGGGAGCAGGGGCCTGTCTTGTAAAGGGCATGCCGTGCCTGTTGACCTGGTAAGTAAGCCCCTGGTCCCCCAAGCCCTCTCATGGTGGCCCAGTCTTCATTCATTACCACAGAAGCCGCATCTTGGACACCAAGGATGCTCAGGGCCTCCTATCCCTGTCTCCCCTGCATCTGCCGAGCATCCTTTATCAAAACTGTGAACCATCAGGCATGCTCTGGGCACTTAATTTTCATGAAATATTGGCTTCTGTTATCGTCAAGCAAGCAGAGAGGTTGATGACAAATTCTTCTCCCCTTGCTGACACCAAAGCCGGTCTCAGCACGATGCATGGTTTCCACGGGGCCGACCATCATCGGGAGCCAATGAAATTGATGAGGACGGCACATATCCAGGGAAGATAAACACGCCAGAAAGGCAAGGACAGGGCCGGCAGGCAGGCACTGAGCACCTGGGAGCCCCATGGCCACACGCCGGTAGGGCCCTATGCCCGCCCTCCAACCCTGGCCGGCCATACAGGGCCTCCTGCCTGCCCAGCCTGGCTCTGCGCACGTGTCAGTGCAAGGAAAGCTGTTTATCATGAGGAGGTTGTCCCCCCGTCGCTCAGTGTCCCGATTCACTGACCAAGGACTCCCTGACTCATTTGTAAGGTGGATGGCTGACTTCCAGGTCTTCTCAAAGAGTGGAGAGGGTGATGGGAGGCCCTCTGGTCCACTCTCCCCATGGTCTCACCCCAACAGCCCCCAGACGATCCCATTGCTAAAGATCTGGAAAGGAAATGCTCCCACACCTTCCTTTGACTTGCTCCCAATGTAGCCCCTGGAGCTATTGTACGACATGTTGTTGCTTTCCTGTTGGGAACAAGTGGATTCGTTGAAAGGTCCTTTGAGAAACAATCAGGAACCCTTCTCGGAAGAGGTCTTTGCAGCTCTTATGGAAAGTCAGGTGGAGTTTGAGTCTCCATTGACAGCAGGGCGTCCTGAGGCTAATTTCTTCCATTCCCAGAAAGGGACTCAGCATTAGGACTGAAATTGTGACCTGGGCAGCTATGGTACCACTCATTGAGTCCCCGGAGCCAGTGGGGGTTAGGCCTTTTGAGTATGGGGCGAGGTCCTTCATCCCCCTGAGCCTGACTATACATGTTTTCCCCAGAGACTATTCTGAAAGACAACATTTTCCTGCTGGTTTTGGAGAGAGTTTGAAGTGCGAAGCAATCTTGGTAACATCTGCCTCTTTGCTTGGCTTTGCTCCCAGCCTTCCTAGCAGACCAGTGGAATACTGGGGAGTCCTTGACAGCCCTTGTAGGCCCTCCGTGGACTTTCCGTCCCTACCTGGAGTATGAGCCTCTCCCTGTGCCCCGACCCCAGGCAGGTACCTCCTACCTGTCCTCATGTTCTCTGCTCAGAGGGTGCCCCTGGTTAGCATCAGTGAGGGTAGGGATGGTCTTGTGGGTTAATTCTCAGTCTGTTGCCAGTTTGAGAGAAAAAGACTTTGTCCTTTTTGACGGGAATTTCAGGGACCTGTGATCAGGTGAAGGAATTTCAGGTACCTGTGATCAGGTCAAGGAATGTCTCAGGGGTCTTTCCTTCGCCTCATTAAAATGGCCACATGGGCCCTAATGTGGTCAGGGGACTCAAGTCCAGACCTAGGCTGCCTCGAGCTCACTGTGTATTCATGGGGAGGGCCTCGGATCCTCCCTATCGTACAAGAATGCAGATGCCCATGCGTTAGGGCTGTGGCAGGGAAAACTGGTTCCCCACAGCACTTCGATGAAGACAAGTGTGCACTGGAGAGGAAGGAGGAAGGGCCCCAGGACAGGCCATCTGACAAGGAGAGCTGTGGGCGGGGCTGAGTTGAGGAAAGGAGCTAAAAAGGCTGATGAGTGTGTGTGTGTGTGTGTGTGTGTCTGCATGCATGTGTTGTGTGTGTGCACACACACCTGTAACACACACACTTGCATCCACACCTGTAACAGCCCAGGGTCCTTGGCACAGAATGCATGGGACTAACAGCGACCTCTTTTCAGGGCCAGGTGTCTGGACACGGCTCATGTGGGTGTGCCCTTCCCCTCTCCCAGGAGCAGCTGGCTGACCTCAAGGAAGATCTGGACAGGGATGACTGTAAGCAGGAGGCTGAGGTGGTCATCTATGAGACCAACTGCCACTGGGAAGACTGCACCAAGGAGTACGACACCCAGGAGCAGCTGGTGCATGTAAGCTTTTGAACCCCAGCAGCCCGCCAACCGGGGCACGGCCCAGGCCATGCAGGATGCTGAGCCTTCCAGGGCCTCTACTAGACAGAAGGGGCTGGAGGAAGAGACCCCCAGAGATGCCTGGGCCACATCCCCTGCAAGTGGGAGGCATAATTACTTATGTGTGTCCTGCCTGTTTTTAAGATGGCTTCCAATACATATGTAATACAAACAATTAAAAGAAAAAATAAGTAAATGAGACTGTCAGGGAAAAGAGAACAATAAAGTGAAACCAGGAATAGAGTTAGTATTAAAAACCGAGTGCTTTGAGCTATATTCTATATACACATTTTTTTTTTCTGAGATTCCTAATAGCCAGTGCAAAGAGGGAAATACGATTAGTTAAACCAGCCAGTATCTACACAATAATAAGTGAAAGAAGCTTCTCCCATGAAGGAAGGAGTTGATCCTTTCCTTTTGGGGACTATTCACAGATACCCAGTGGATATGGGTGCAGGTGGGCGTCTACACCCAGATCAGAGAGGAGGTTGCTTAACAGTGCCTGAGTACTGACAGCTCAGGTGATTAGAGATGACCATGGGAGCCGGCGAGACCTTCAGGATATGCCTCTTGGTCCTCATTCCAAACTCTCATACTGCAGCGTCCCTTATATGGCAGTTAGGGGTGATGTGTGCAATGTGCAGAGCAGAGGCTTGGCACGGGAGACACCTGGCTCCAAACCTGTCCCCACCACAACCAGCTGAGTGGTTCTGAGCAAGTGACTCCACCTCTGTGAGCTTCATTTGTTTCCTATAAAGGGGGTTGATGCTACCCCACAGGAGGGTCAATCATGTTTGTCAGCACTTAGTGCCTTGCAGACATTCCGCACCTAGCAGCTCCCTCCTTCCTCCTCCTGCCTGTTCCCCACACCAGCCCTGAGTGGTTCTCTCTTCTCCATCCAGAGAAGAACTTAAATTCAAGAAAGCCACCTCCCAACTCCCCAGCACATGCTCCTTGGTGAGTGAGTGTCTATAAAGATGAACCCACTAAATTAGTAGCTCGATTGCTGGGAAGAGCAGACACACACGCACGTGCACACACATGCACACACACACATGCACGCGTCTCCGATTCATATTCAGAAGCTGTCCAGAGGCGCTTGCTTCTCCCCAGCTCTGTGAACTTAGCATTTAGGACACGCCGACTCCCTCTGCTTCTTCCACTTATGCAACTTGCTCACAAATACCGTAGGTTTCTTTTGTGTTGGAGTTTGTCCTCCCAAACACAGTTCTCACCCAGAAGGCCAGAATTTCCCAGCAAACGAATGCAGCTGGTGAAGCAGGGTCTTATCTAACCCCTTCTGGATCTCAAACTTAATTTTTCAACTTGTACCACCTCTTTGGGGTAAACAAGCCCTAGATGGAGCAGGGACCGTGGAGCTGTGAGTTGCAGAACAAATCAGTTAGATGAAAGGAGGAGAGAGGGACAGTCTCTCAGGCCAGGGGAAGGCCAAAGCCAGAGCATGCAGATGAGGATGTCAAAGACGTGCTCTGTGATAAGTGGGTCAGCCCCAAAGAGCAGGCACGGAATTCCTCAGATGAATGCGGAGGGTCCCCAAACTGGGAGGAGGGCTTTAGCCAGGGGCTTCTGCCTGTGCCCTGGACTGTCCTGGAGCTATAGGTGGCCACCTCCACCAGGCCCTGGAAAAAGCAGACCCCTTCACCCAGCTCTGTCTGTCTGTCTCTCTCTGTTTCTCTCTGCTCCCTGGAAAGATGGATGGAGCAGGCGCACAGGCGAGCTGGAGCCCCTGGTCGATTATTAACAATTTGTTGCTAAGTAAACCAATAAGAAAAAAATGAAAGCCATTGTCAGGAAGCATTTTTATCATTTGAAAGGCTTTAAAAATGGAAAGTGAGGCTAATATGATAAGATTTCCCTGGAAGTTCAAAGCGCTGGAGATTTCACATGCTCCAGCAGGGGCATCTGTACGCGTGACAGTTGGGCGAGTCGCACAGGGCATGAGGGCCTGGCAGTTTTCTGTCTTCTGGGGCAAGGTGCTGCCAGTGCCTGATGCTTGGCTCTTGGGACAGCCTCTTTTGGTGGCAGAGTTCCACAGCAGAATGTCCAGCAGAACAATATTACAGGCCACAAATGCCAGCTATCCATGTAATTTACATTTCCTAGGAGTGCATTTAAAAGTAAAAAGAAACAGGTGAAGTTAATTTTAATATTTTTTATCCAGCCCAATATATCTGAAATATCATTTAGCAGGTAGTCAATAGAAAAGAAAGTTATTGAGATATTGTATATTCTTTTTTTTCCATTCTAAGTCTTTGAAACTGGTGTGTAGTTTGCACTTCTAGCCCATCCCAGCTCAGGCCAGCCACATTTCAAGTGTGCAAGAGCCCCACATGGGGCAAGTGGTCACTGCATTAGACAGTGTGGGTCTAGAGGTTGTGGGAGGGGGGCTGGGAGGAAGTGAAGACGGGGGAGGAAACTGAGAACAGAGGAGGAAGGGGAGGCCTCTAAGACCTGAGTGTCCTGGCCTCGCCACCAGGCTGGGGAAGTAAACCCAGCCTTACCCGAGATACGCGGCAGGGTTAGTCGTGCTGCGCTGGCTGTCCCAACTCACTTGCCTGGGGCCGTTTTCTCCCAGGATAAGCTTCACACAGTGCCCAGAGCCCACCATTAAGGTCAGTTCTGGCTCCACCACGCCGACTGCCAGGGCCCTGTGCAGGCCACTGAACTCTCTGTGCCTTTGTGGAAAGGGGACAAAGCCATTATCTCATGGGTCAATGCCAAAAATAGAGATAAGCATGTGTTATTTTTCTATTGAAACAAAATATGTTATTTACAAACCTCTGAAACAATAGGGGCAAGCTTAGGAGAGGCTTCTCATGCACCCACTACGGGCACGTTTGCCTCGCTGCGGTTAGTGCCTACTGTTTGCAGCCTGGGAGCGTCATCACACCAGAGCCCAGGCTGCGGTGCACAGGATGGCTTTGCCCAATATAGACGGTCACTTTGAGGACTGATTGGAAAATGCAGGGCAGATAAGCGGCACGCAGTAGGCCTTCATTTAAGGGCAGCTAGTGATGATTCATGAGGAGGCGTGGCCCGGCTCGTAGGGGTGGTCTTGTTGGGTCAGTGGTCTGCGTATAGTAGGTGGGATGGGCAATGAGGAGCACGGTCTGAACATAATAGGTGTGGTCAGCAGGGTGGATGGTCTGCACACAGGTCGGGGAGGGCTGGGGGGGTGCCGGTGCAGGTGGTCAGCTGACAGCAGGGGGTGGTCTGTGGGCCTCTGGCCCTGCTTACCCTCTTCTGGGCATGTCCCTCCGGCAGCACATCAACAACGAGCACATCCACGGGGAGAAGAAGGAGTTTGTGTGCCGCTGGCAGGCCTGCACGCGGGAGCAGAAGCCCTTCAAGGCGCAGTACATGCTGGTGGTGCACATGCGGCGACACACGGGCGAGAAGCCCCACAAGTGCACGGTGAGTGGCCTTCTCCCCACCCCCGCCGCAGCATCAAGACTGGCCTGTCAGCCAGGCCGGGGGGATCATGTTTGGAGGTGGCTGGCCACAGGCACACCTGGGTGGGGCAGACCACAGCAGGGGCTCTGGGACAGGAGCCTGTTCCCACCCTGCCTGTTTGGGTCCTGGAGGCCCCTCGCCTCGTGCCGTCCCAGACCTTGATGGACTTGCTCTCTGGGTGTGAGCATCTCGGTAAGCATGGCAAAAATGTGTGGGTGTGTCTGTGATTGTGAGTCCAAAGGCATATCTGCACCCTGCAGTTTGCTTGGCTGGGTGACGCTGGGAAGAGGGACAGCTCCATAGTGCTCTGCAGAGAAAAAAACATCATTGGTGATTCAGAGCTTGAGCAATGATGGGTTAAAATGGTTGAGGGTTTTTTTGTTTGTTTGTTTTTTGAGACAGAGTCTCACTTTGCTACCCAGGCAGCTCATTGCAGCCTCCACCTCCTGGGCTCAGGCAATCCTCCCACCTCAGCCTCCTGAGTAGCTGGGACTACAGGTACATGCCACCAACCCAGCTAATTTTTGTATTCTTTTGTAGAGATGGGGTTTTGCCATGTTGCTCTTGAACTCCTGGGCTCAAGCAGTCTGCCTGCATCAGCCTCCCAAAGTGCTGGGATTCGTCTTGAGCCACAGCTCCCAGCTGAGTTATTTTTTTTTTAAGTGAGCTCAATGATAAGACCTTTTCTATGGTCTCCTTTAGAAGGTCAACAGGATTTATGACTATAGTTGGAGAGACTTATTTTTTTAACACACAGAAACTGCTGCCCCACAAATGCACACGTGGTTTCAGCTGTAGCTGAAACATCTGGGAACTCCTTTTTGTGAATTCTTGTTTCATAGATTCTGAGACATACATTTTGTTTTCACCTTAATATCTCTGAAGTCAGACTGTCTTAAAATCAGTGGTGTCCAGGATCCAATGAAATATGCTACCTTTGCTGGCAAGTCAGTTTTTTTATTGAGAAATAGCTGACATACCATAAAGTTCACCCTTTTCGGAAAATGTGCAATTTAGTTGTTTTTAGTACATTCACAGATTTGTACAACAATCACTACTAGTTAATTTCAGAACATTTTCATCACCCCAGAAAGATACCCTGTACTCATTAGCAGCCACTCCTAATTCTGTCCTTCCCACAGCCCCTCCTAATTCTGTCCTTCCCACAGCCCCTCCTAATTCTGTCCTTCCCACAGCCCTGGACAATTACTAATCTGCTTTCTGTCTGTATGGATTTGCCTGTTCTGGAAATTTCATAAAAACTGAAATCATACAATATGTGCATTTGTGTCTTGCTTCTTTCAGTTAACACGTTTGCAAGGTTCACCTGCGTTGTAGCATGCACGCGTACTTTCTTTCTTTTTGTGGCTGCATAATACTCCATTGTATGGATAGACCATGTTTTGTTTATGCATTCATCAGTTGATGGATATTTGCATTGTATTCACTTTGAGGCTATTATGAATAATGCTGCTATGAACATGTGCGTTCATGTTTTTATATGGACAGAACGTTTTCACTTCTCTTGGGTATGTGTAACTAGGAGTGGAATTGGTGAGTCGTATGGCAGTTGAGGAACTGCTAGTCTGTTTTCCAAAAACGCTGCTCCATTTTACCTTTCCACCCACAATGAATGAGGGTTCTGATTTCTCCAAATCCTCACCAACACTGGTTGTTACCTGTCTTTTTTATTCTAGCCATATCCTAGTGGGTATAAAGTAGTATTTTATTGTGTTTTTGATTAGCACTTCCCTAATTAGTGATTAATAATGTTAAACATCTTTTCAGGTGCTTATTGGCCATTTGCGTATCTTCTCTGGAGAACTGTCTACCCAAATATTGCCCATTTTGAAACCTGGTTGTCTTTTTGCTGTTAAATTGTAAGAATTTTTCATATATCTGGTTACTAGACCCTTGTCAGATATATGATTTGCAAATAATTCTCCCATTCTCTGGATTTTCTTTTCATTTCCTTGATACTTTCTTTTAGAGCACAAAGTTCTTAATTTTGAGGCTGTACAATTTTTTAATTGCTTGTGCTTTTAGCGTCATAGCTAAGGAACCATTGCCTAATCCAAGGTCACAAAAATTTACCTCTATGTTTTCTTCTAAGAGTTTTATAGTTTATATAGACTTTTATTTATAGAAATATTGAATACTGGCACTCTGAAAAATTTAAAAATTAAAAAAAGAATATATGTGTGTATAGAGAGTTTTATAATATAGCTCTTCCATTGAGGTCTTTGATCCATTTGGAGTTAATTTTTTTTTTTTTTGAGACAGAGTCTCCCTCTGTCACCCAGGCTAGAGTGCAATAGTGCCATCTTGGCTCACTGCAACATCCGCATCCCAGGTTCAAGCGACTCTCCTGCCTCAGCCTCCGGAGTAGCTGGGATTACAGGCACGCACCACACGCCTGGCTAATTTTTTGTATTTTTAGTAGAGACGGGGTTTCACCATGATGGCCAGGCTGGTCTTGAACTCCTAACCTCAGGTGATCCCCCTGCCTCAGCCTCCCAAAGTGCTAGGATTACAGGCGTGAGCCACCACGCCCAGGCTGGAGTTAATCTTTGTACATGGTATGAGGTAGGGATCCAAACTTACTCTTTTGCATGTGATTACGCAGTTGTCTGAGTCCATTTGCTGAAAAATTGTTCTTTCCATTTGAATGGTCTTGGTATCCTTGTCAAAAATCAATTGACCTTAAGTGTCTGGGTTTCTTTCTGAACTGCCAGTTATATTGCCTGGATCTCTATGTCTCTCTTTATGTCAGTACCACATGCAGTCTTTATTACTGTCAATTTGTAGGAAGTAAATTGGGGCATATGAGTTCTCCAAATTTGTCCTCCTTTTGCAAGATGGTTCTGGCTCTTCAGGGTTCATTGCAACAAGTTATTTTCTTAACATCCTCAGTAGTGGCAAACCATAGCCCTTTGATGATATGAGCTGTGAGTTGTGGAAACAGATAAAAGGCGTTTGGAGCCAAGCATGCTCAATCAGACTGGTCAGGAATAAAGGGGAGGATGGGAGGAATGAGACAGCTCCTGCCGGGTGTACGTGTCCTCCTGAGGGCGGTTTTCATACATCCATTCAATGCAACCACAGTATCTTTGGAATAGCTGCAGAGCTTCCTGCAATGATCTCTTCTTTCTCCCCTTCCTCCCTTCTTCCCTCTCTCCCCACCTCCTTTCCTTCCTTCCTCTCTCCCTTGCTCCCTCCTTTCCTCCTTCCGTCCTTTCCAAAAATGTTTCTTGAGTGCCTAGATGCTAAATATTAGGAAGACAGCAATGAACAAGACAGAAGATTCCTGCTCTATGGAGCTGGTATTCTAGTAAGAAGGCTGGGTAACAAAATGATTAAGATCATTATAAATCGAGCCAAGGGGTATAAAGGAGAGAGGATAGAGTGTTGTGATTGAGAATATCAGAAAAATGCTCTCAGAGGAGATGACCTAAAAGATTGAGAGGGAGGGACCTGGGCCAGGAACCGGATTGGGTGGGGGCTGCAGAAGTTTCCAGCCAGAGGGGTCGGTAGTATGCAGAGGCCCCAAGCCAGAAAGAACTTAGTGGAGTCAAAGAACTGAAAGGAGACCAGCATGTCCAAAGTGAAGATGAGGGTGGCCGACTCACTCAAGGACTTGAAGGACTGAATTTTATTCTCAGCATGTTTTAGAGCACAGGACAATTCTAACCGAGAGTGGTACTGGGAAACAGTTCAAAGTCATAGTTTAGAGTTTAATGATATGGGAATATGCTGCTGATTTAAAAAAATAGAGTATGTAACTGAATACTTGACATGTTCCCAATTTTGGTTTTAAAGACATGTGGAGATGAATTGCAGACTCACCAGAATGAAACTTACCTGCGTGTCAGCAGTAGCAGCCCCTGGGCGACCGGTGGTTTTCATTTTTCTCTTTGTACCTTTCAGCCCTTTCCATGTTTTCAGGAAAGGAAAGTAATATCCTTAAAATGCATGCTTCTGAGTGCGCTGACGGGTTGGAGCAGAGCAGAGAAGGGGGTGGGGAGGAAGCAGCAGCCGGCCTCAAGGTTGGGCCCCCTGGGGTGCCTTGACTGACTGAACCGCCTCCTTCTAGTTCGAGGGCTGCTCGAAGGCCTACTCCCGCCTGGAGAACCTGAAGACACACCTGCGGTCCCACACCGGGGAGAAGCCATATGTGTGTGAGCACGAGGGCTGCAACAAAGCCTTCTCCAACGCCTCGGACCGCGCCAAGCACCAGAATCGCACCCACTCCAACGAGGTACCTCTGCGGGGCATGCACTGGGCATGCACACTGGGGCCCCACTGACGCCCCATGGCTTCCAGGCATCTGTAGTCCAGTAGATAGCCAGGTGCCCCATGTCCCGCCCCCGCCACTGACCAGCTATACATCCTCAGATACAGACCAGGACTCTTTGAGACCTAGACAGACCGGTCTCTTTCTCTATGCCACATCCTTTCCTCTAAAAGATGCCCCGTGAGGTCCCATGGCATACTGACCCTCTCTGTGCCTCAATTTCCTTATCTCCATAATAAATATAATAGTGCCCTCCCCAAAGGCCATCATGAGGTCCTCGAGAGTTGAAGTTGAAGCAGGGAAGTGGCCCTTCTGATCTCGGAGTGTTTAACATGCATCTGCTCCCTATTACTTGGGGCTGCTGGGTGGGCTCTGCCTCCCCATCCTCTAGATGAGGAAACGAAGACTCAGAGATGAAGTGACTTTCCCCAGTGCCAGAGCAGTGATGATCCCTCTGCAGCTGTGAAAACATCCTGGGTCACTGCTCCCCACCCCCAAATTCCCTTTCCACCACAAGCAGGTGTTCCACTGGGGAGCAGCTGCCCCACTGCCTGAGGGAAGCAGAGCAGTGCTGTCTGAGCTTGGCGTTTGTTGGTAGCCCCCTGGCCTGTTGGCTTGGGCAGCCAGCAGTGACATGCTCCAGCTGTTAGCGCTGCCTGGGCCTGCCGTGGCTGTCAGCCCCAGCAGATGGGGCACAGAGCAGCCTCTGTCTCCCTGGGTAGGCAGAGCCCCTATCTGGGCTGAGAGAACCAGGGAGAAAGCAGGGCAAGAGCCGGTGGCATCCTGGCCCAGCCACACAATTACTGTCGCTCAGGCTTACTCGGAAATGTATGTTTTTAAAAGCTTAGACATATCCTGGACCCCAAAGGGACTTTGCTCCAATGCTTGTAAGAAGTTAGAGGAATTTTCAAAGGCATCTGAACCCCTCAGAGTCTCTATGGACAAGAGCCAGCCTTAGAGGGGAGTGTGTGTGCACATGTGTGTATGTGTGTTTGTAAGTGTATGTTTTTCTGTAGACGTGGTGTGTGGGGTGTGTGTGTGTGTGTGTGTGTGTGTGTGTGTGCATGTTTATGAGTCCAGGACTGAGGTTCGGAAATCCTGGGTTTTTTCACCCCATTACTGGATGACTTGGAACCTGTTCCTTTGCCTCCCTGATCCTGCCTTTCTTCATCAGAGAAATCAGGGGTGCTAGTGCTGTCAGAGGGTACACTGAGCTCGTACACTTGCTACTAGTACTAAAAACCCCACTGCCCTGTTCATTGAGAGGCAGCATTGTGATTACACGAGGCACATGTGTCCCCAGCTTCTTGTGGCAGGACCCCCCGTGGCCGTGTGCTTAACTGCATGAACAGGTGCAGACAAGCCAGGCTATGGCCAGGCTCCTGCATGGTGCCATCCACAGAGCACTGGCTGCAAATTTGACACAGCACCTACTGACGTTGCCAGCTGGGCTCTGCTGAGGGGCGTGGGTAGCTTCAGGAGAACAGGGAGAGCGCCCCTTCAGAGTTGATCCTCGTACCCCTATCCATGACACAGGCCTGCTTCTCTCCCCAGAAACCCTACATCTGCAAGATCCCAGGCTGCACCAAGAGATACACAGACCCCAGCTCTCTCCGGAAGCATGTGAAAACGGTCCACGGCCCAGATGCCCACGTCACCAAGAAGCAGCGCAATGACGTGCACCTCCGCACACCGCTGCTCAAAGAGAATGGGGACAGTGAGGCCGGCACGGAGCCTGGCGGCCCAGAGAGCACCGAGGCCAGCAGCACCAGCCAGGCCGTGGAGGACTGCCTGCACGTCAGAGCCATCAAGACCGAGAGCTCCGGGGTAAGCGGAGCTGGGCAGCCCAGCCACGCAAGGCGACTCCATAGCCGTGCCCAGGGCCACCCCTTGCCACGGTTGCGGGCTCTGCCCTAAGGCCCCCCTCTAGGGGCACAGCGATATCCCTCCTCTCTCCAACTTGGCTTTCCCCCTTCACCACCTTGGGCCTCACATGGAACCTATCTTGTCCAGGTCCCATTCTGCTCTGACCAGGCTCCTGCTGGGTGTGTGGCAGCACGCTGGGTGACAGGGATGCCGCCCTGTACGGTGGGCCTGCACAGGGCGGGGGTGGCCCCTGCAAGTCTGCCTTTCCAGCCAGCACCCAAGTGCCACTGCCAGCCCCCACTCCTCTGTCCTGTCTCTGCATCCCCACCCCTCTGGCGTCCACTCCTTTTGTTCTAACCACCTGTTCTTTGTCTCCATCTCTTTTTCCTGACTGTACCTCCCCTAAGGATAGACGGTACTGAGGTGAGCCAAGGAGCTGGGCATGTGTGGGTGGGCTGGGGGAGTGAGGGTGGCTGGGGAGCCGGTCCATGCTGCTGCCTGGCAGAGACTCACCTGTCAGTCTAGGCCTCCTAGGCCCAGGCAGGTGGGCCCGGACAGGCACACGGCAGGGCACTGCAGGTGGGGCCATTGGCCTTGGCAGCCGGAGTGGAACTGGCAGGTGTGGGGAGCAGGGGCGCCAGGCTGTATCAGGGACAGAGTGACAGGGAGGCATGCGTCTAGGCTACAGAAGGTCCTGAGGGTCAAACAGAAAAATGTGGGTGGCGCCATGGACAACACCTAGAAGGTCCCTGCTCCCATTAAGCCTGTGTCCTCATGGGAAGGAAGATCATGCCTTCCCAAGAAAGCTGGAATTTGGGGCCATTTGGCCTAACAATGAGCCCAGAGGTGGTGGTGCATCTGGTGCAAGCCTCATCTGGGCCCAGATCCGAGTTCTGTGGATGTCGTCCGAGTGGATGTTGTCCGAGTTCTGTGGCATTCTGCACTGTGTACATGTGCCATGAGCTCCCTGCCCCACTCTACCTAACCCAGAGGGAAGACTGTTTTGGGGTGGCCCTTTACACAAGGGCTGCATCCCACAGGTCCCCCTCCTGGTCATCCTTTCCCTTTCCCACAACCTGCCCCTGGCCTTTTGAGATCATCCTGTCTGGTTGAAGCCACCAAGTCAGCAGGCTTCATTCCTCACCTCATCAGGGTACATGGCTGTTGGTGGGAGTGTTTAAGTGCCTTCCTTTGTGCCATACTGGGTGCCTTCTGCACGCTGCGTGCTGTCCACCCACCCACTAACTCTGCACCGGAATCAGTTCAGGTCCATCTCATAGTTGGGGAAGCCAAGGTTAAGAGAAGTGAAGTGACTTGACCGTTTTAAGCAAACAGACTCATGACGCTTTACGTGCTCCTCCGCAAGGCAGCTTCCTTCCCTCACCCTCAGCCCCTCAGGGTGGGCGAGGGTGTGGTGCCTGTGCAGGCCTAGAGGCAGGACCAGGTGGAATCTGATACCCTCTGAGTCTGAGCCTTCTTGCCTCGTCCCCTGCAGCTGTGTCAGTCCAGCCCCGGGGCCCAGTCGTCCTGCAGCAGCGAGCCCTCTCCTCTGGGCAGTGCCCCCAACAATGACAGTGGCGTGGAGATGCCGGGGACGGGGCCCGGGAGCCTGGGAGACCTGACGGCACTGGATGACACACCCCCAGGGGCCGACACCTCAGCCCTGGCTGCCCCCTCCGCTGGTGGCCTCCAGCTGCGCAAACACATGACCACCATGCACCGGTTCGAGCAGCTCAAGAAGGAGAAGCTCAAGTCACTCAAGGATTCCTGCTCATGGGCCGGGCCGACTCCACACACGCGGAACACCAAGCTGCCTCCCCTCCCGGGAAGTGGTGAGTAAAGGCCTGGGGTTTGCAGATGGGGCAGAAGAGAGTCTGGGGCAGCACCAACTAGGCTGGCACCCACCAAGCACCAGTGCTATCTCACCGGATTCCTACAGGATCTTACCAGCCCAGTACAGAAAAGGAAACTGAGGCTCAGAGAGGTGAAATGCCTTACCCAAATCAATGGCAGGGGTGAGATTAGCCAAAGGCCATGCTCTTTCAACTGCACCATTCTGAGTCCTTATAACCCCCCAAAACAAGCAGACCCTGCGCACATCATCCTCTTCCTCACCCATTCATTCCTTCACTGATGAGGCACTTGCTGTGGGCACCATGGCAAAGGCCCTAGGCAGGAGAGCCATTTAATTCCAGTCCCAAAGGAGCGTATGGTTAGAAGGCTGTGCCACCAGATTCACACTCTACTGCAGAACGAGCCAGGTACCACCAAAGCCAGAGCTTAGGGTAGAGCTGTGCAGAGGAAGGAGAAAGCACATTGAGCTGGGGATGAGCAGGGAGGACTTCATGGCGGAGGCAGCACTGTGCTCAGTCTCAAGAGGTGTTGGCCAGGCTCTGAGATGGAAGGCGTCTTTAACGAGCATGTCTTGGGTACTGACTCTGTGCCTAGGATTGTGCCGGGCTGCCCACTGTGGTCAACACTGATGTACCACCTGCTCTCACTTGAAGGGAGGATTTGTTGTCCCAACTTGTGGGGACTACTGGCAAATGGCCTTGAACTCTCAGCCCCCTACAGGGATGTCCTGGGTTGCAGACAGATGCCCCACCCAAGGTCACCCCTTCCCAGCAGCCCCGCATGCAATGACTGGTCACTGCAGGAGTGTAAAGGCCCAGCCATCAAGATGAGGCTCAGAGAGGTGCCCAACTCAGGGCAGCACTGAAGAGCCATTGGGGGTCCTGGGCTCCCTGTGAGATCATCCTGGGCTCACGTCTCCTCTGCCCACTCTTGCAGCCTGTCTTTCCTTCCATGGGTATGGACCTCAGGGTACTCCCTGTAATAACCTGCTCCTTAAACTCCATCTCAGGGACGCCTAGGTGGCACCACCTCCACAGACTGTGAGGGTACTGTGCCAGGAGACCAACCTGGGCCTTCCTGAGCTGCTCATCCCCTCCTCTGCGTAACTCAGTCCTACGGAGAGGCACATTTATCTACAGCTAGAGAAACTGAGGGCCAGAGAAAGGAGAATTCAAGGCCAGACAGATAATGGTAAAGTGAAGATAGGGACTTAGGCCTCCTGGCTTCCCCTCGCCCACCCTTAGCAATAAGTGCCACCATTTGTTTACATATTGCTTTTTCCTTCCCCTTTTTAATTGAAAAACCATCTGCTCACTGGGCACGGTGGCCCACGTATGCCCTAGCTACTCCAGAGTCTGAGGAGGGAGGATCCCTTGAGCCCAGGAGTTCAAGGCCAGCCTGGGAAATCCTGTCTCTAAAAAGAGAAAGAGAGAAAGAAAGCATGCATCTCCTGAGTGCGCTGTGTTGCAAGCCCTCTTCTCGGGCTCCAGGCCCAGTGCGATGACTGAGCACGGTCAAAGCAAGCAGCCACCCACCCTTGTCCCGGTGCTGACCCCTCTGCTCTCCCGCAGGCTCCATCCTGGAAAACTTCAGTGGCAGTGGGGGCGGCGGGCCCGCGGGGCTGCTGCCGAACCCGCGGCTGTCGGAGCTGTCCGCGAGCGAGGTGACCATGCTGAGCCAGCTGCAGGAGCGCCGCGACAGCTCCACCAGCACGGTCAGCTCGGCCTACACCGTGAGCCGCCGCTCCTCCGGCATCTCCCCCTACTTCTCCAGCCGCCGCTCCAGCGAGGCCTCGCCCCTGGGCGCCGGCCGCCCGCACAACGCGAGCTCCGCTGACTCCTACGACCCCATCTCCACGGACGCGTCGCGGCGCTCGAGCGAGGCCAGCCAGTGCAGCGGCGGCTCCGGGCTGCTCAACCTCACGCCGGCGCAGCAGTACAGCCTGCGGGCCAAGTACGCGGCAGCCACTGGCGGCCCCCCGCCCACTCCGCTGCCGGGCCTGGAGCGCATGAGCCTGCGGACCAGGCTGGCGCTGCTGGACGCGCCCGAGCGCACGCTGCCCGCCGGCTGCCCACGCCCACTGGGGCCGCGGCGTGGCAGCGACGGGCCGACCTATGGCCACGGCCACGCGGGGGCTGCGCCCGCCTTCCCCCACGAGGCTCCAGGCGGCGGAGCCAGGCGGGCCAGCGACCCTGTGCGGCGGCCCGATGCCCTGTCCCTGCCGCGGGTGCAGCGCTTCCACAGCACCCACAACGTGAACCCCGGCCCGCTGCCGCCCTGTGCCGACAGGCGAGGCCTCCGCCTGCAGAGCCACCCGAGCACCGACGGCGGCCTGGCCCGCGGCGCCTACTCGCCCCGGCCGCCTAGCATCAGCGAGAACGTGGCGATGGAGGCCGTGGCGGCAGGAGTGGACGGCGCGGGGCCCGAGGCCGACCTGGGGCTGCCGGAGGACGACCTGGTGCTTCCAGACGACGTGGTGCAGTACATCAAGGCGCACGCCAGTGGCGCTCTGGACGAGGGCACCGGGCAGGTGTATCCCACGGAAAGCACTGGCTTCTCTGACAACCCCAGACTACCCAGCCCGGGGCTGCACGGCCAGCGCAGGATGGTGGCTGCGGACTCCAACGTGGGCCCCTCCGCCCCTATGCTGGGAGGATGCCAGTTAGGCTTTGGGGCGCCCTCCAGCCTGAACAAAAATAACATGCCTGTGCAGTGGAATGAGGTGAGCTCCGGCACCGTAGACGCCCTGGCCAGCCAGGTGAAGCCTCCACCCTTTCCTCAGGGCAACCTGGCGGTGGTGCAGCAGAAGCCTGCCTTTGGCCAGTACCCGGGCTACAGTCCGCAAGGCCTACAGGCTAGCCCTGGGGGCCTGGACAGCACGCAGCCACACCTGCAGCCCCGCAGCGGAGCCCCCTCCCAGGGCATCCCCAGGGTAAACTACATGCAGCAGCTGCGACAGCCAGTGGCAGGCAGCCAGTGTCCTGGCATGACTACCACTATGAGCCCCCATGCCTGCTATGGCCAAGTCCACCCCCAGCTGAGCCCCAGCACCATCAGTGGGGCCCTCAACCAGTTCCCCCAATCCTGCAGCAACATGCCAGCCAAGCCAGGGCATCTGGGGCACCCTCAGCAGACAGAAGTGGCACCTGACCCCACCACGATGGGCAATCGCCACAGGGAACTTGGGGTCCCCGATTCAGCCCTGGCTGGAGTGCCACCACCTCACCCAGTCCAGAGCTACCCACAGCAGAGCCATCACCTGGCAGCCTCCATGAGCCAGGAGGGCTACCACCAGGTCCCCAGCCTTCTGCCTGCCCGCCAGCCTGGCTTCATGGAGCCCCAAACAGGCCCGATGGGGGTGGCTACAGCAGGCTTTGGCCTAGTGCAGCCCCGGCCTCCCCTCGAGCCCAGCCCCACTGGCCGCCACCGTGGGGTACGTGCTGTGCAGCAGCAGCTGGCCTACGCCAGGGCCACAGGCCATGCCATGGCTGCCATGCCGTCCAGTCAGGAAACAGCAGAGGCTGTGCCCAAGGGAGCGATGGGCAACATGGGGTCGGTGCCTCCCCAGCCGCCTCCGCAGGACGCAGGTGGGGCCCCGGACCACAGCATGCTCTACTACTACGGCCAGATCCACATGTACGAACAGGATGGAGGCCTGGAGAACCTCGGGAGCTGCCAGGTCATGCGGTCCCAGCCACCACAGCCACAGGCCTGTCAGGACAGCATCCAGCCCCAGCCCTTGCCCTCACCAGGGGTCAACCAGGTGTCCAGCACTGTGGACTCCCAGCTCCTGGAGGCCCCCCAGATTGACTTCGATGCCATCATGGATGATGGCGATCACTCGAGTTTGTTCTCGGGTGCTCTGAGCCCCAGCCTCCTCCACAGCCTCTCCCAGAACTCCTCCCGCCTCACCACCCCCCGAAACTCCTTGACCCTGCCCTCCATCCCCGCAGGCATCAGCAACATGGCTGTCGGGGACATGAGCTCCATGCTCACCAGCCTCGCCGAGGAGAGCAAGTTCCTGAACATGATGACCTAGAGGCCCGAGCGCCTGGTGCTGAGTGCACCCGGAGGGGTCATCGCTGCCCAGAGCCTGGGGATTCCAGCTGTCTTGTCTTTTTCCAAAAAAGTGTTAAATAGGCTTGAGGGGTTGTTGCGCAATGGCCGCTTCAGATGACAGATGTTGTAAGAGAAGGTTTATGGGCATCCTCTCTGGTCTTTTGGATTATTCCTCAGAACAATGAAAAAAGTCTCCATAGGACAGGAAGGAATGCAAAACTCATTTACACAGTGCTTTCCAGCCTTTGGTGCTTACAGGACCGCGCTGTTCCGGCTTCTTCACGGCTGACATTCGGCTAACGAGGGATTACTTTGGCCAAAACCTTTCAAAGGATATGCAGAAAGATGGTAGGGAGCATTTGGGTTTGAATCTGAATGCTATACTGGATACTCTGCTCCGGAAAGATGAGCTTTTTATTCTACTACTTGGAAGGAAAAGGAATTCCTGGTCCACCTGAATTCCTCTATGAAGCCTAACTCTTGAGGTCTCTAACATACCTTGTCATAGAGGAAAAGCACAGATTATACCTGGATGATTCAGGAGCACATTCTGATTCCAGGTTTGGTAGAGCTGGCTCTTCTACTCCGTAAAGCCGAGTCTGGGACTGGCAGCCCATCCAAGTGTATATGAATGAATAAAGCATCCAAGTATATATGAATGAATAAAGTATGTAAGTATCACCAGAAAAAGGAAAGAAAAAATGTACTCCTTGGGGCAAGCCCAGAAGCTGCCCTGGCCTCTCCAGACCGTGTTTACAGTGTTTGCATGTAGAATGTAGCCCTTCCTGAAAAGAAGACTTGTTTCTAAATACCTCGGGGCTGCTGGAGCCGCTGTGGGTTAGGGATGGACTGAGGCCTCGAGGAGTGAGGGTGCACCCGGGGCCCAGCCTCAGGCTGCCCTAGGGATCTCTCAGTAGGAAGAGGAAGTTGCGTGTTTACCCAATCCTGTTTCTCCAATGCAACGTCCACCCACTTTACCACCAAAAACTCCAGGGCCTGACGGCAGCCCGGTCCCCCAGCACTCACCAGCAGCCCAGTGTTCTCCACCAAGCCACAGTGTGCATGCCTGGTATCCTCCGGATTCCCTTCCTTCTGCCCGCTGAGTCACTGGGCAGAGAATGATGACATGTGTAGGTGGTGTGGTTGGGGGTGGAAAGGGGAAGGGGTTGATCCTCAGGACTCTGAGGGAGCATCGTTGAATTTTCCTGTTCAGTGTGACCAAGACCCACCTGGAAATGGAATTTGGAACTGGCTTCAGGAGACATCATTCCTGAACACACTGTAGGGTGAATTGGTGCATCTTCCCCACCATACACACACACACACACACACACACACACACACACACACACACACCCCAAACCTTTTCATGGGGAATGTGTGGCAACCTTGCCAAACAGCACCACTCAGAGTGTGACTCTGACTGTGACCTTGGCCTTAATGAGGAACTTCTTAGGAGAGTTTGAGGACAAGGCCAACATCGTCATCTGGGCTCGCTGCGTCCCAGCACATCAAACTCTGTCCAGAGACAAGGCCAACTGCAAATGAAAGCCAGGGAACATTGCTAAGGGTCTGTGGCTCTGTGGTGGTGTTCATCGCCTTCCTGAGATAGGATTTCCCTTGCCAGTCCCAACCTGTATATATTCTGTACAGAAGACATCCCTGAATATACTGTAGGTGAGTCGTCCAGCCAAATTTATATCTCCAAAACATTTTTAGCTTTTTCTACATGCTATGAATTGAGATGACATGCTCAACTTGTAAATAAGTCTTTTTGTACATTAAAAAAGTAATTTTTTCATAATTTATCTTGTCTATCTGCTTCCCCCTTGACAGTAGTTAATGAGAACCTGGGCAGTAAATTTGGTGCATTCGAGCAGAAATTAGGCTGTATTTTTTCTTAACAGTGTCAAAATTGACTATCCCGCCTTTGCCAAGAAATGTTTAATGCTGAGGCATTTACTGGCTGTTTGTTTGTTGTCTCCTTGGGGCCGGGCAGGGTTTGACATTTCACAGTGAATATCTGACTGCTCTTCCGGTGAGCCACTCTGAACATCTATATGCATTGCAGACCGGGGTATAGACCCAAACACTCCTAGGGTCAGAACCCTCCCTTTGGTGGGCCCTCTGATGGAGCATATTTCATCAGGGTGGGGCGGGGTGAGATGGGCAAACCCCCAAGGCTCTGGTGCAGGTAGAAGGAGTCAGGGCAGGCAGGTGGCACCTCCAGGATGCCCAGCAGTTGGCCTTGGCAAAGGGGCCCATGGGGAGCAACCACGAGCAGGGGCTCTGAGCTCTAGGGGGCCGCCCAGCAGGTGGACAGGGAAAGCCTGGGTCCAGTGGGCAGACAGTCAGCTGTTGGCCCCTACAGTAAACCTCAGGGAGCCCTTGAATGAGTCATGAGGCCCCATCTGGGGGTAGGGCCAGAGACGGAGCAGGGAGCAGAGCCCCAGGACTGAACTAGAGGGGAAGAGGGCACTTTCTAAGGGCCAGGCACCCGGGCCTCTGAACACCGAGCCCAGAGCCCTTTACCCTCTCCTCTCCAGGAGAGAAGCCTTAGCACGCAGGCTGGGCAGTGTGGACACCAAAGACACATGGGACATCATCTTTGCCTGGAAGGCATGAGACACATGGACCGGGGAAGGGTTTTGTGGTCAGACACTTGCAGGAAACCCCCAAGGAGAATAGAATTGAGCAGATTTCCTTTCCGCAGGCATCCCACAGCCTCCACTGTGCATCAGGGAGCCACCACTTCTCTGGCCAACATTTCCTAGTGGAAAGGCCCCTCTCCTCCCCAAGGAGCAATGTCACTCGGCGAGCTCCCAGGGAGGAAGTAAGCATGCACAGCTCTGCCCTTCCCTCCTCTTCTTTCCAAAGCCCACCTTCGGGGCTCACACCTTCTCTGCTTCACCACTTGTTAAGCCTCTGGAAGCAGCTCTGCCCTACTTTGTGGAGAGGGTGAGGCCTAATGTTGTTCAGTGCCACCTGAGGTTGCACGAGCCACAGAATTAAGAGCCCACTGTGGCCATTCAGACGAGCCATCTCCTCTGTGTCAGGTAACGATGGCCACAGTCACGCTGCATAACAACATCCGTGAAACCTCAGCACCGTATAACAATAAGCATGTAGTTAGCTCATGAACCTGAAGGTCTGAAGGTTGGCTGCCCCGGGTCGGGCTTGCCTGGGCTGTCTCCAACTGTGGCTCAGCTGGGGTCATCTAGTCTAGGTGGCTTGGCCTCCCCCAGTGTGACACATCTTCCTCCCAGGACCAAGACACTAGCAATGACAGAAGCACAGGAGGGCAAGCCAGCAGCTGCAGGTCCCCAAAGCAAGTCACGTGGCCAGCACCCATGCAGTAGGGAAGGGTACTCCTGCGGAAGTGAGCAGGAGAGAGCAAATATTTCCCGACAGTAATCCAGTCTACCACAGCCTGCCTTCCTAGAGACAGTTATTCATGTTCCACATGCAGAATATACCCAATCAACACCCCCAGAAAAAAAGAAAAAACTCTCCAGTCAGACTTCCTCAGGCTTAAAGTCCAGGATCTTGTGGTCTATATCTGGGTGTGGTTCTTCTTGACCCAGAGTCTTACCAGCTAAAAAGACAAGTTTTCTGCCCGTCGCACCCTGCTCATACACCCAACATACAGTGGTGGACCAGGGCTAGAATAACACTAATGAGCACTCCCATCTAGAAAGGGAGACGGAGGCACACAGCAGTCCCTGGTTCAGGCATCTGAAGTCCTGCCGGGCAAATGTTGCAACGCCCCTGCTCTGGAGGTGGGGTGCTCCGAGCGGCCCCCAGGCCATCGTGCGCCACAGTTCTAGCTTCCACCGCTGGGGCCTTCTTCCTTTTCCATCGTCCTTTCAACTTCTGATGAGGATGTTGGAAAACAGTCCCTTTGGTAGCAGAGTAACTTTCAGCTTCTTCCTGCCTGTGGGAAGTTGGGAACCTAAGGTTCTTTAGGTTCAAACAGTCTCAGTTTCCTTGAGTCCTGGGCGATGCCTTTGCCCAGAGCGATCTCTCAAGCATCTCAGGAGTTTTCTATGTATTTGACTCCAGCCCACTGTGTGTCAGAAGCCACACCCAAATTCCTTTGGCAATATGCCTCTCTACGTCTGACAATGTGTACCCCCACATCAGGCTGCTGTAGGCCACACCTTGATAGTTTGTAGGCACCCTGTTGTTACTAAAAGGATATGCTTGATGTCACCTTATTCCTTGCAAGGACCTGATGACAAAGGGCATTACCATTAAGGGTACATCCCTGATGTCATCTCAACTCTGAGGCATGCTTCACCAACGTAGCTCTGGATCTGGTCTTTGCCTCCCAGGCCAGATATTAGATTGGTGCAAAAATAATTACTTTTATGCCACAATTATTTTGCACCAACCTAATATTAATTTGAGGACCTTTTACTGGCTGGAGAGCCCGGAGATGGGAAGTGATTTTGTTTTCTAAATTCTGCTTGTACACTGGCTAGTTCCTTTCCGAACTCGTCTCTTACTTGTAGAACCTTATCATTTGCAGCTCGAAAAGCTCATGTTTACAATATTCTGCCTGGAAACCGTCCTGCCCAACTCCACTAACTCATAGGTCCATTTTCTCCCTCCCAAAGTATCATAGGCAATAACTTTACCAGATGTCTCTCCACCACATAACACAGGTCACCATCTTTCTTGCCAGTTTTCCCAGCCGCCTCTGTATTTCCTCACTGCCCAGTTCCAAACCTCTGCTACATACTTTAGGAGCAGCAGCCTCCGATTCTAGGTACCAATTTCAGAATAAGTTAACTGCAGTCCAGTAGTGCTGTCTAATAAAAATGCTTACAGGCTGAGCGCAGTGGCTCACTTTGGGTGGCTGAGGCAGGCGAATCAGAAGGTCAGGAGTTCAAGAGCAGCCTGGCCAATATGGTGAAACCCTGTCTTTACTAAAAATACAGAAATTAGCTGGGTGTGGTGGCACACGCCTGTAGTCCCAGGTACTCCGGTGGCTGAGGCAGAAGAATCGCTTGAACTCAGGAGGCGGAGGTTGCAGTGAGTCGAGATCGCACCACTGTACTCCAGCCTGGGCGACAAAGCGAGACTTCGAAAAAAAAATGCTTACAACAGGAGGCATCTGTTCAGCTCCTAAGTCTGCGAGTTAGCTGAGGTGGACTTAGCGAGGCTGGGCTTGCTGGAGCAGCTCAGCTCTCCTCCTGTGCCACTCCTCTCCCTGGGACCAGAGGATTGTTCGGACATCTAGCAGTGATGGCAGAAGGACAAACGGGCAAGAAATAACACAGGAGCCTCTTTGGGCCTAGGCTAGGAACCGAAAGCAAAGCATATGGCTGAGCCCCAGGTCAGTGGAACTAAGAAGCTCACTTCTATACAGTGAGGGGAGACAGGTATCCGAGCAACAATCCAGACCAGGCATAGTGGCACAGGCCTGTAATCCCAGCACTTTGGAAGGCCAAAGGATTGCTTGAGCTCAAGAGTTCAAGATCAGCCTGGGCAAAATGGTGAAACCCTGTCTTTACAAAAAGAAAACAGCTGGGCATGGTGGCATGCACCTGCAGTCACAGCTACTTGGGAGGCTGAGGTGGGAGCATTACCTGAGCCCAGGGATGTGGGGACTGCAGTGAGCTGTGACGGCACCACTGCGATTCTAGCCTGGGCAACAGGGTGAGACCCTGTCTCAAAAAAACAAACAAACATCTAACCTACCACATCCTCAATCCAGCTTTTTTAACAGTAAGACCAACATTGCAACCTCCATCTGTCTGCTGAGTCTGTATTTTAGTTGGTTCTAAACCCAGAAGAAGCCAGGTGTAGTGGTATGTGCCTCTAGTCCCAGCTACTGGGGAGGCTGAGGCAGGAGGATTGCTTGAGCCCAGGAGTTCGTGGCTGCAGTGATTGGACCACTGTCCTCCAGCCTGGGCAACAGAGTAAGACCCCAGTTCTATAAAATAAAAAATAAATACAACCAGAAAAGGATAACAGTAGGGGGGTTCCTTTTTCTTCTTCTTTCTTCTTCTTTCTCCTTCTCCTTCTTCTTTCTTCTTCTTCGTCCTCTTTCTCCTCTTCCTCTTCTCCTCCTTCTCCTCCTTCCCCTCCCCCTCCTTCCCCTCCTCCTTCTCCTTTTCCTCCTCCTTCTCCTTCTTTTGCTTCTTCTTATTCTCTTCTTGTTGTTGTTCTTATTTCTTTTTCTCTCTCTCTCTCTCTGTTTCTCGTAGGAGGGAGTGAGCAACTAACGGGGAAGGGATGAAAGATAAGAATGATTTGAATAAGAAAAAATATCTGGCTGGGAGGAGGAGGAGGATCAGGAAAAATAACTGAAGGGTACTAGGCTTAATTGGGTGATTAAATAATCTGTACAACAAACCCCCATGACACAAGTTTACCTATGTAACAAACAAGCACTTGTACCCTTGAATTTAAAATAAAAGTTAAAAAAGAAAAAAGATCTGATTTAGATTTTGAAAGATTAATAGGAGTTCATCTGAGGGGACTGGAGATTTCTCATCAGAAACCATGAAAGCCAGGAGTAAGTGAAATATTTTTAAAGTGCTGAAAGAAAAGAACTGTCAACCCAGAACTCGTTATTCATGAAAATATCCTTGGTAAAATAGATACTGTGAGATAAATGGACATTCTCAGATAAAGGAAAACTATGAGGGTTCATTGCCCATAGACCTGCCCTAGAAGGCAGAAGGGAAGTGATCCCAGAAGGAAACGTGGAGCATCAGGACTGGAGGAAGAGCAGCGGAAGTGGTAAGTGTTTGCAGGAATACAGTAGACTACTCCTGCCTCCTGGGTTCTTTAAAATACGTTCAACAGTTAAGAGGAAAAAAGTACAACATTGTTTGATGGAGTTTTCCATGTATGTAGGTGTCACAAAGACAAGTATTACATAAGTGGAGAGGGTTAAGGACCTGTATGGGGTTCTAGAACTACATTCCACTTGAAGTGGGCAAGTATTCTTCTGCAGACTGTGCAAAGTTATATATATTCTAATCCCTAGTGCAATCAGAAAAAGACCAAACAAACTATACAAAAGGATGTAGGCAAAACCACAATAGAGACATCAAAATGGAATACTAAAAGCATGTTCAAATAACCCAAAAGAGGGCAAAAAAGAGTAACAGGAATAATAACAACAAAAAGAAGCAACAGAGAAAACAAAGAATGAAATGGTTGACCTAAATCCAAACATATAAATAATTACATAAAATGAAAACGGCCTAAAAGCCTCAATTAAAAGACACAATAAAGCACTCACACAACCTGCTTTTAAGATGTACTGTAAAGCTGGCATCATCAAGACAGGGTGGTATTGGTGATGGGAAGACACAGCTCAATGGAACAGAGCAGAGCAGGGTCATGCACTGTAGCCCAAAGGCAAAATCTGGCTGATATGGTTTGGCTGTGTCCCCACCCAAATCCCATCTTCAATTGTAGTTTCCACAGTCCCCACATGTTGTGGTAGGGACCCGGTGGTTCCCATAGAGCTAATATAAAATATAAAACCAAAACATTTTATGGTAATTGAATCATAGGAATGGTTATCCCCATGCCGTTCCCATGATAGTGAGTGAGTTCTTACAAGATCTGATGATTTTATAAGGGACTTTTCCCCCTTTGCTTGGCACTTCTCTCTCCTGCTGCCTTGTGAAGAAGGAAGTGCCTGCTTCCCCTTCCGCCATGAGTGTAAGTTTCCTGAGGCATCCCCAGCCATGCCGAACTGTGTATCAATTAAACCTCTTTCCTTTATAAATTACCCAGTCTAGGGTATCTCTTCATAGTAGCATGGGAATAGACTAATACACACTGGCCATGGTCTCTTTTTGTATGACCAATGAGCTAATAATGGTTTTTACATTTTTAAAGGGTTTTTTTAAATAATAAAAGCATATGAAGCAGAGATCATATGGCCCACAAAGCCTAAAACATTTACTATTTTACCCTTCACAGAAAACATTTGCCAACCCTTGGAATAGAGAATCCAGAAATAGACCCACAAAATATAACAATGGATTTTGAACAAAAGTGCCAAGGCAATTCAATAGGAAAAGAATTAAAACATATGATGTTGAAACAACTGGATATCCATAGGCAGAAAAAAATAATGAACCTTGACCTAAACCTCACACCTCACAAAAATTGCCTCAAAATAGACCATACAGCTAATATAAAATATAAAACCACAACATTTTTAGAAGCAACCATAGCAGAAAAAGTCTTTATGCCCTGAGGTTAGACAAAAAGTTTTTATACATGACACCAAAAAACATGGTCCATAAAAGGAGAAATTTGGGAAATTGGATTTCATAACATTTAAAAATATGTTCTCTGAAAGAGACAGGAGAATGAAAACACAAGCTACAGACTGGGAGAAAATATTATTTCATCACACATCCAATGAAGGACTTGTATCCAGACTATATAAAGAACTCTCACAATCAATGGTAAGAAAACAAACCAGCTTAAAAATGGGGAAAAAAACTTGGACAGATGCTTCACTAAAGAGGATATATGGAGGCACATGAGCACAGGAAAGGCTGCTCACCATCCTTAGCCACTAGGGCAATACGAATTTAAGCACAGTTAGATTCAGCCACCAGGCATCTGCGTGGCAGCAACTCTTCCCTACACTGTGAAGATAAATCTTCACTTCCTTACAGAGCTCCAGGCCTGGCCTATGAGAACTGACAAGGGGCCTTGAACCCCACTGTCCTCATCTGTGATATAGGTTTGATAAATTGCCCATCCCAAAAAGCTTTCAAGGATGAAATGAGACAAAATATGTAATATTCCTCAGCCTTAGTGGGTGTTCAACAAGCTTCCCCTCTTTGTGCCAAGAGACATCATCATCACAGAAATATTCCTTTGGCTAATAGATTTGGAGCAGAAATACCCCTGGAAAAGATTACCCTCAGTCCCACCACTGCAAGAACTCATTTCATCAGTAACTTCATTCCTAAAAATTGGTCTGAAGGTATTTTTGAGGCCCAGTAACTTTGCAACATGTCAACTTGGCTGAGCTGATCCATGCTTCTCAGAATTCCTGCTCCTGGGTGTTTCCGTTAGGTTGGATTACAAGAGAGATTCTTGCGGGAGACTTGGTGGGTGGGGGCAGAGGGATGCAGCAGGCATTTCACAGCCCATTTGTGGAGTCGATTACCTGCGGGCTCTGCCCATCTTTGTGGGGCAGCCATCTGGGCCTCCACCTTCCCTGGCTCCTCCTTCCGCTGCCCCACCTCCATAGGCCAGGTGTGTATGTTTAGTGCCATGGTGGGGGCCTTGGCTTCAGAAAGACATTCATACCACCAAGGCCAGAAGCAACAAGCACTGACAGCTCTCAGTCTGTCCTCGTGGGCTCCAGCTTGTCCTTGCTCCCCCAGTCTATAGGTATCTTCTCTTCCTGACCACCTGCCTGTGGGCTTCGAGTTCCAGCATCAGACACAGCAAAAAGGCCTTACAGAGACTGCTTGACCAGCCCTCATGACTGTGAAAGGCCAGGTCCTTGCAGCAGATCCATTTCTCTATCTATCTATCTATCTATCTATCTATCTATCTATCTATCTATCCATCCATCTGTCTACCTATCTACCTGCCCACCTATCTATCTACCTATTATCTAGCTAGCTAGTATGATCTCTGTATCATCTATCTATCTATCTATCTATCTATCTATCTATCTATCTATCTATCATCTATCATGATTTCTTTGTCTGACATCTATCTATCCATCCATCCATTCATCCATCCATCCATCCATCCATCTATCCATCACAGTGGTCCTGTGTCCCTGCTTAAGCTGTGGCTGATAACATGACCATGGAAGGAAGGCAGCTCTGCAGGTCTGGCAAGGATGTCAAGGGCCAGCCTGGTGACCTGCCGCAGCTACTGTGGACAGGGAGCTACCCTCAGTGTTTGCTCTGTCCCAAGCACTATACCATACACGTTACTTCTCTTGGGCAGGTTATATTGCTGCAATAATGTGGAGAAAAAGCATCCCAAAACTCACAGGCTTAAAGCAATGATCATTTGTTCTCACTGCTCCATGGGTTTCCCAAGAATGGGCTGACCTATGCCAGGCCAGGCTCAATGGCCCAGCTCCACATTTTGGAGTCCAGACTGAAGAGTCACCAGTGACCTCAGGGAGAGTCTTCTCGTGGTGATGGCAGAAGTTTAAGAGGACATAGGAATTTTCCAGACCCCCTAAGGCCTAGGTTCAGAACTGGTCCACTGCTACTTCCGTCCCTTTCTCTTGACCAAAGCAAGTGACATGGCCAGACCCAAAGTCACAGAGGCAAGGAATTTCATCCTACCCTTAAGGAGGCAAGGCCAGGGCATGGACTCCAGGCAAGGTGATGAACAGGGACCAATGATTGTGTCTACCACTCACAGTGTTTATTTACTCTGTGGCAGGCACTGTGATAGACAGTTTACATTAATGGAGTTCTGCAATCCTCACGACAACCCTACACAATAGGTAGGAACTATATTATCTCTAGTTAGGTTAACTTGTCCAAGATTACTTTGCCACTGAGTGGCAGATGGGGATTTAGACTCAGGACTTCTAACCCCTGTGCCCTCACCTCACTGTGTTGAGAGTGGTGAGCAAAACGAGGCTTGTCGACAATAAGGGAAAGTGGCATTAAGCAAATAAAGGAGAACTGCAGTTCTCAGGGCCATGAAGGCTCATGGTACTATGAGACAATATAATGGGCAGATTTGAGCAAGTCGGGAAGTTTGGAGAAGACACCTGAGAAAATGGCGACTGAGCCTTGGTCTGAGAGATGGCCATACAAAAAGGGCAGGGAGAGGTATTCCAGGAAAAGGGAAGAGTATCTGTAAAGGCCCTGAGGGAGGAGTGCAGAACATGGTGCCAGTGAGTAAGTAAAAAAAGCAGGCATGGCTGGCAGAGGGTAAGGGGCTGAAGGAGTGGGGAAGAAGGCCAGTAGTGCAAAGCTTTGTAGCCTAGGGTAAGCTCAAGCTTTCTCCTAAGAGCATCAGAAAGCATTAGAGCAGTTTTTGCATGGGAATGACATGATAAGACTTGCATGTTGCAAAGCTCTAACTGCAAGGCAGAGAAGGACTTGGCAGGATGTACAAGGGAACACCACCTGGCATGTGGCATCCAGGGAGGGATGGTGGAGAAATGGAGTCATGGTGGATTCAAGAGCCACTTAAGGCTCTTTTGCTCCCTCTTACCATGTGCTACAGGCTTCCTCTTTGCTTTCCTCAATGATTGTAAACTTCCTGAGGCCTCACCAGAAGCAAATGTTGGCATCATGCTGCTTGTACAGCCTGCAGAACTGTGAACAAAATAGGTCTCTTTTCTGTATGAATTGCCCAGTCTCAGGTATTCCCTTATATATTCCATTATATTCCATATAGCAAGGCAAAATGAACTAACACAGAAAATTGGTACCAAGGATTGGGGCATTGCTATAAAGACCTGAAGATGTGCAAGTGGCTTTGGGACTGGGTACAGGCAGAGTTTGGAAGAATTTGGAAGGCTCAGAAAAAGAAAGGAAGATGAGGGAAAGTTTGGAACTTCCTAGAGACTAGCCAAATGGTTGTGACCATAATGCTGACAGAAATATGGACAGTGAAGTCCAGTTTGATGAGATCCCAGATGGAAATGAGGAATTTATTGGAAGCTGAAGGTTACCCACGTTATGGCCTAGCAAAGAACTTGGCTGCATTGTGTCCACGCCCCAGGAATTTGTGAAAGTTTGAACTTAAAAGCGATGACTTAGGGTATGTGGTGGAAGAAACTTCTAAGCAGAAGTGTTCAAGAAGTAAATTGGCTGCTTCTAATGACCTATGATCAGATATAGGAGCAGAGAAATGACCCAAAGTTAGAATTTATTTTTAAAAGGGAAGCAGAGCATAAAGGAAAGTTTGAAGCCTGTCCATGTAGAGAAGGAAAAATCATTTTCAGGAGAGAAATATAAGGGAGCTGCAGAGCAACCACTTGCTAGAAAGATTTGCATGACTGAAAGAGTGACAAATGCTAATAGCCAAGACAACAACAGGAAAGGCCTTGAAGGTATTTCAGAAGTCTTAGGGCAGCCCCTCCCATCACAGGACCAGAAGTCTAGGAGGAAGGAAAAATTTGAGGGGGAGGGGGAGAGTGTTAGGCCCAGGGCCTTGCTGCCTTGCACAGCCTTGGGACACTGCTCTCAGTATCCTGGAAGCTCTGACTCCAGCCCAAAGAGCTCCATGTGCAGCTCAGGCCACTACATGCTGGCTTCCATGTAGTGTTAAGCCTGCAGGTACACAGAATGCGAATATAAAGGAGGCTTGGCAGCTTCCACCTAGATTTCAGAGGATGTATGAGAAAGCCTGGGTGCCCAGGCAGAAGTGTGCTGTGGGACAGAACCCTCATAGAGCACTTCTACTAGGGCAATGTGGAGGGGAAATGTGGGGTTGAAGCCCCCACAGAGTCTCCACCATGGTACTGCCTAGTGGAGCTGTGGGAAGGGGGCTGCTGCCCTTTAGACCTGAGAATGGTATATCCACTGGCAGTTTGCACCCTGAGCCTGGAAAAGCTGCAGGGACTCAACTTCAACCTGTGAGAGCAGCTATGGGGGATGTACCCTGCAAAGCCACAGATTTGGAAATGCCCAAGGCCTTAGGAGCCCACCCCTTGCACCAGTGTGCCCTGGATGCAGGACATGGAGTCAAGGATTATTTTGGAGCTTTAAGGTTTAATGTCTGCCCTGTTGGGTTCCAGACTTGCATGGGTCCTGTTGACCCTTTCTTTTGGTTGATTTCTCCTTTTTGGAGTGAGAACGTTTATCTAATGTCTGCACCACCATTGTATCTTGGAAGTAAGTAACTTGCTTTTGATTTTACAGGCTCAGCTGGAAGGAATTTGCCTTGAGTCTCAGACAAGACTTTGGACTTTGGACTTGGGACTTTTAAGTTGAGGCTCGAACAAGTTACGACTTCTAGGGACTATTGGGAAGAGATTATTGTATTTTGCAACGTGAGAAGAACATGAGATTTGGGGGACCAGGAGTGGGATGATATGGTTTGGATATGTGTCCCCTCCAAATCTCATGTCGAAATGTGATCCACAGTGTTAGTGGTGGGGCCTGGTCGGAGGTGTTTGGGTCATGGGGGCGGATCTCTCATGAGTGGCTTGGTGCCTTCCTCATAATGACGAGTGAGTTCTCCCTCTGCTAGTTCACATGAGAGGTTGTTTAAAGAAGGCTGGCACTTACCTTCTCTCTTTCTTGCTTGCTCTTGCCATGGGATATGGGCTTCCCCCTCGCCTTACACCATGATTGGAAATTTCCTGAGTCCTCACCAGAAGCAGATGCTGGCACCATGCTGCTTGTACAGCCTGAAGAACTGTGAGCCAAATAAACCTATTTTCTTTATAGATTTTTTTTAAAAAGAGCTACGTGAGGCATGTAAGCAACAAGACTCAGCAAGGGTTCCACACGAGGAATAAGAGAGAAGGAGGTGGTATGGAGCATGCCCTAGTCTCTGACTTGCCTGATGTGGTGATGAGGAGTGTTGGACGAGGGCCAGTGAGATTAGGTGGGGACGATATGGGGCAGGGTGGGTGGAGGGACATCGTGAGTTACAATTTGGATGCGTTGAGTCTGCTGTGCCTCTGAGATACCCAAGAGGAAAGGCCTGAGAGGCATTAGGTTTGGTGGGTCTGGAGTGAGCTCAGACAAGAGCCTGGGGTCCTGGTACTTACCTATGAGTTGGAGCATGGAAGAGATGCTGGGAGCTGTAGGTGAGCTCACGTGGGGCAAGGTGGAGCTCCAGAGAGGAGAAAGCCTGCTCAGGAGCCTTGGGAAATGCTAGCGATGAAGGGCCAGGACCAGAAGGATGCAGCTGCCAGGGAGTTTGAGAGGAAACCATAAGAAGAAGGGGAGAAGAACCCGGGGGGGTGCCCCAGGCTCCAGGGAGAGGGCCTTTCCAGGAGGGTTGGCAACAGTGGCTGGCCCCCGCATTGCCGTGCATTTCAGCAGCCTTGGGTCAGCCTTGCCCATTGCTTTCTCTCATATCCCACAGCCAGTCTGTCAAGAAATCCTTCTGGCTCTAACTTCAAAGAATATCCAGAGTCTATTCACTTTTCACCATAACCCTGTGGGCCTCCATGGCATGCTGGAGCCCGAAACCAAGAAATGATCAGATCAGGACTCTCTTTGCCCCTTCTGGGATAGGTGGTTTACCAGCACTCTGCTCCCCTGCTGTATCCCCCTCTTATCCTAAGCTCTTCACCAAGCCTCCTTATTGGTCCACATTTCCCCATCCTGGTCTCCTATTGCCTTTGCTCAGTCTCCAGTCGAAGCAGTTCTTCCAAGTCACGTCACTCCTCTGCTTAGCACTGATGCTGTGCTCCTGTCCCTCCCAGCACACGGGCTCCCTCAGCCCTCATTCCCCTTCCTCCCCCTATCACCTCCTGGTTTACTAGCGCTCTGCTCCACTGCTATGCTTCACGTCATCCACTTGGCTTCCTTGCTTCCCCAGGCATACTCCAGGCACACCCTGCCCCAGGGCCTCTGCACTGGCTGTTCCCCAGGTATCCACGTGACTCACACTTCACCTCCTTCAGGTCTTTGCTATCCTAACCACCCTACTTAAAATTAGAATACCACCCCCCAGCCCCATCTCTTTACCTACTGTATTTTTTTTCACAGCACAGATAAGCTTCAAAATCACTGTGTAATTCACGCTTGCCAAATGAGCTCATTGGTGACAGAAGCAGGTGCTGGGATGGCACATGATGGAGCAGTGTCAGGTAGGAGAGAGGCAGGGAGAGCCAGAAGTAGAATCGTCTAGCAACCACTCCTTCCAGAAGTTTGCCAGTGAAGGGGAAAGAGAAGAGAGAACAATAGCAGGAGAGGTTTTGTTTGTGATCATTTTTTAATGGGAAAGATTTGAGCATGTGGAGAGTCGCTGAGATGATCCAGCTCAGAGGGAGATGCCAAATGGATAGGGGGTGGAGGGTGAGATAACCAGAGTGTGTGGCGGGAGCAAAAACATGGGAAGGGATTGGGGAGGGTGGGCCTTAGACAGCAGGATGGAAAATGGCCCTACTGGAACAGGAGGGAAGGAAAGAGAAGAGGGATGATTGGAGCTTGCTTGTAGGTTTGGGACTGGGAAGAAAAGAGAGCTTCTATCCTAGCCCTTGATGTAGGCACCAAGGTGTTCTGCTGGGAGAGGGATAATCAGAGCCCCAAGAATGGTGGAGAAGGTCTGGGACAGTTGTTACTGGGGAGCGGCAGCAGCCTTAGGGAAACAGAAGAGGCTGAGGATCCAAGGACGTCACTGCCCTCTTATGTGGGCATTTGTGATTCCAGCGCCAGGTTGAGCATCAGAGATGGTGCCTCTTTCAAGGAGCTGCCTCTCTCCCTAAAAGAAATTGCTCTTGGGCGGGGGAGAAATAATGTCTAAATGTAATGCTTTACAAGGCAGGGAGGAGAACCCATTAGGCCTGCTGCCGGTGTCCCTGCAGCGTGGCCAGCTGCTGGAGCTAGAGGTAATTCCCCCGTGCCCTTTATTGCCTCCGCTCGGCGGGAGTGACACCGGGCCCTGCTTTACGAGCTGTCAATAAGGGCTGTGTTTTATATTATGGGCAGGACAATTTATGGGCCGCCCCAGCACTCTGCAGACAGCCATTTGGCCAGGGAGGAAAATGGCCTCATACTTAAGAAATTTGGAAGCCAGAAAACAGCCTGAGAGAGAGAGAGAGAGAGAGTGTGTGTGTGTGTGTGTGTGTGTGTGTGTGTGTGTGCGTGCATGCATGTGTGCACATGTGTATGTGTGTGTTGCATGCATGCACACATGTAACTATGTGTGTGCTCAGTTTCATCTGCCTGACTTGTTTTGAAAAACAAGAAAAGCTCCATTATAGGCTGACTACCAAAATGAAATGAAATAAAGTGACTCATTTCCTTCTGGATATGGCCTTTGCAACACATACTGACAATGAGGTTTTGGAGGAAGGGGCAGGTGACCAGGGGTGGTCAGTCCTGTCAAATCCACATGGATTCCTTTCTCCCTGGGTAGGTCTAGCTCTCAGCAGAACAAATGGTAACATCTCCCATGAGAGAATTTACAACATTTTACTGAAATGCCCGTTTTCAGTCTGACTTCCCTGTAGACTCTGTGCTCCTGGAGAGTGGGGCCATGTTTCATTTGACTGCATTCCTAGGCTACCTGACCTCAGCCGGCACCATGGCCAGACTCAGTCTCTGGTTGTGGAATGAATGCTTGAATAAGTGAGAGTTAGCTACCTGAGCACGGAAGGGGTCTGCCGAGAGTTCATCTCCCCGTTAGACCGGAAGTCTCTTGCTGGCAGGGCCCTGTCTTTGTTAGGTAGGCACTGAGGCACTGACACATAGGAGGGTCTTAGATATGTGTATTGGACTGGTGTGGACTGAGCAAGGCAGAGAACTAAGGTTAGATGACTGTATTTGTCCGTTCTCGCATTGCTACAAAGAACTACCTGAGGCTGGGTAATTTATAAGAAAAGAGGTCTCATTGGCTCATGGTTCTGCAGGCTGTACAGGAAGCATGGCTGGGGAGGCCTCAGGAAACTTACAAATATGGCAGAAGGGGAGGCAGGCACATAATACATGGCTGGAGCAGGAGGAAGACAGCGAAGGGAGAGGTGCTACACACTCTTAACCAGATCTCACTATCAGGAGAACAGCAAAGGGGAAATCCACCCCCATGATTTTATCGCCTCCCACCAGGCCCCTCCTCCAGCACTGGAGATTACAATTCCACATGAGATTTGGGCAGGGACACAGATCCAAACCATATCAATGACTGCCGAGGTAAGTAGATTTACAGCTAGTAGATCCCCCATCTCAGGCAGTGTTGAGACTGAGAATGGGTGAATGGGCTGGCTCAAGGCCACTTCTTTTGTGGTCCTGTTGCTGGCCCTCCCTCATCCCATTGCCCTCTGAGTGGTGGAGGCTCCCAGGCTCTGTCCTCAGCAGATCCTCCACATTCTCTCCCTGGGTGTGCCCATGCTATCCCAAGGCTTTAATACCACTATGTGCTGATCACTCTCAAATGCATACCTCCCCCGTGACCTTTAGGCTCTTATATTCAACTGCCTGTTTGACACTCCCTTGAAGGTCTCATCAGCACCTCCAATTTAATATTCATCCCCAAACCACCTTCTCCAGTCTCCCTCATCTTAGTAAATGGTACCACCATTTGGCGTTTGACTAAGGCAAGAACCCAAGAGCCAGTTGGGGTGAATATCTTAAGTGTCAACTTGACTAGGACGTGAGGTGTCCATATAGTTGGTTAAACATTATTCTGGGTGTGTCTGTGAGAGTTGGTTTCTGGGTGAGGCATTTGATTAACTGAATAAAGCAGATAGCCCTCTCCAATGTGGGTGGAGGTCATCCAAGCCATTGAAGGCCTGAATAGAACAAAAAGATGGAGTAGGAAAGAATTCTCATTCTCTACCTGACTGTCTGCAAGCTGGGACATCAGTCCTCTCCTGCTTTTGGATTTGGATTCGGACTGGAACTTGCACCATCAGCTCTCCTGGTTCTCAGACCTTCAGACTCAGATTGGAATGACACCATTGGCTCTCTCAGGTCTCTAGCTTGCCAAGTGCAGATCTTAGGACTTCTCCACCTCCATAATCCCATGAGCCAGTTCCTTATAATCAACCTCTCTCTCTCTCATATACATACATACATAGTAGTGCCCCTTATTTGCAGAGGATGCATTCCAAGACCCCGAGTGGGTACCTGAAACTGCAGATCTATCGAACCCTACATATGCTATGTTTTTTCCATACATACCATACACATATACATACCAATGATAAAGTTCAATTTATAAATTAGGCACAGTACTCTTGTGCTTTGGGGCCATTATTAAGCAAAATAAGGGTGACCTGAACACAAGCACTGCAATGCCCCAACCGTCAATGGGAGAACTGAGATGGCTACTAAGGGACCCAGCAGGAGAGCAGCACACACAGCATGGAGGTGCTAGACAAAGGGATCATTCATGTCCTGGGGATGATGGAGCAGACCGTGCAAGATTTCATCACACTATGTAGAGAAATATGCAATTTAAAATGTACAAATTGTTTGCTTCTGGGATATTTCATTTAATGTATTCAGATCGTGATTGACCATGAATGACTGAAACTGCAGAAAGTGAAACCATGGATAAAGGGAGACTACTGTACACTACTGTCCTGTTTTTCTGGAGAAAACAGATTAATACACCATCCTTTACTATTCTCTTTCAGTCCCGTTCTACAACCAATCCACCACTGAGTTCTGTCACCTATATCCCAAAAATATATACAAAATCTGATTGCCTCTCTTTGTCTCTAGGTCAAGACAACCCCAGCAGCCTTCTCACTAGTCTCCTTGCCTTTTCTTTTCCTCTCTACATCCCATTCTCCACAGAGCGACCTCCTAAGACACTGATCAGGTGGCATCATTGCCAGATGTGGCGCCCTCCTGTGGTGCGTCTTCACCCTCAAAGCAGACCCACACTCCTTGCCTGTGGATCCAGCCCCACCTGTACCGCTGGTTTCCTCTCCAGCAACCCTCAACCCCTTCACTCCCGCTAACTAAAATAACCTTTGTGTTTAACTTTTTCCATTGAACCAATTTTAGACTTACAGAAAAGTTGCAAAAATAGCACAGATTATTCTCTTCACCCCTACTTGTGACAACTCAAATAACCATAATACAATGATCAAGACCAAAAAATTAATACCAGTACAATGCTTTTAACTAAACAGCAGATCCTACTTGAATTCACTAGTTTTCCTCCTATGTCTTTTTGTTCTTTCAGGATCTCATCCAAGATCCCAAATTGCATTTGTGATTTCTCCTTTGTTTCCTCTAATCTGTCAGTCCCTTAGTCTCTCCTTGTCTTACATGACCTTGACACTTTTGAACGGTGTCCCTCTATTTGGGCATGTCTGATGTTTTCTCATGATTGGAATTAAATTATGCATTTTTGGCAAAATGACACAGCAGAAATTACGTGTCCCTCTCTCAGTGTGTCATATCAAGAGATTCATGATATTGACATGTCTTATTACTGGTCACGTTAACCTTGATCATTTGGTTATGCTGGCGTCTGCCAGGTTTTTCCACTGTAAAGTTAATATCTTTCCCTTTGTAATTATTATATTTGGAGATATACTTTGAGTTTATACAAACCCTCTTTTTCTTCAAACTTTAGTATCCATTGGTGGATCTTCTCTACAACTATTACTATACTTTATGCTTTTTCTTGGCTTCAGGCATTTAAAGAAATGCTATGAAAACATTGGTTAATCACTAAGGTAATGGAACACAAGTATCAGTGGCCACACATGACAAGGAATTCAGACTTTACAAAAATAGTTTAAAAAATATACTAAACAAGCACACAACAACCCACAACAAGCTGAAACAACTAATTCTGAGAATGGGGAGGAATCTGGTTTCCAGAATTAACCTATTATAATATTCAAAATGTCCAGTTTTCAAAAAACCTATAAGGCATTGAAAGTACAAGAAAGTATGGTACATTTATAGGAAAAAATAAATGTATAGAAACTGTCCATGAGAGGCCCAGGCATTAGACTTACTAGAAAAAGATTTTAAATGAGTATACTCAAAAAGCTAAAAGAAACCATGGAGACAGAACTAAAAGAAAGCAGGAGAGCGATGCTTCACCAGATAAAGAATATTGTTAAAGAGATAGAAATTATAAAAGGAATCAAGTAGAAATTTGGGTGCTGACTTTTGATGCTAGGGTTTGCTTTTCTCCCCCCAGTCATATCTTGTGATTTCCACAGTTGTCGTATTAGTGTTGAGTTTTCTGAGTTGGCATAAGCTGATCACATATTAGAGGTTTATTTTTACGATTCTATGTAAACGTGCACACGTAATTTAAAATCTGCATTGGGATTGGTTGGAATATTGTCCTAAATTAATTAAATCTTGCACTGTTTTGAATGCATCTGCTATTTATACATCTGCAAGTGGGTATGTCATAAGGAGTCAGATTATCTTTAATTTAAAATGAATAGTTTTTCCTTTTTGTTTAATTTTGTTTTGTTTTTATAAATGTTTTCAAGAGTATAGAAAATTTATTTCTAATTTTTCTTGCTATTACAACTGATGTAAATGATAGTTTCAGTTTTTGTGAGATTTAAAAAAATAAAGCACTTATTCTAAAAAAAATAGAAATTTGGGTGCTGAAAAGTACAAATGAAATGAAAAATTCTGCTAGATGGGGCCAACAGCAGATTTGAACAGGCAAATGATAGAATCAGTGAACTTGAAGTTAAGTCAATTGAGATTATTTAGGTTGAAGATCAGAAAGAAAAAAGAATGAAGAAAAATAAACAGAGACAGTCTAGGAGACCTGTAGGATACCACCAGTCTTACAAACATATCATAATGGGAGTTCCAAAAGGAGAAAAAAGAGACAGGAATAATATTAGAAGAAATAATGACTGAAAACTTCCCAAATTTGGTGAAAGACATAAATCTACACATCCAACATGTAGCTCAACAAACACCAAGCAAAATAAACTCAAAGAGATCCACATTGAGATGCACTATAGCAAGCTGACATAAGAGAAAGACAAAACATCTTGAAACAAGAGAGAAGAGACTCATCACAGACAAGAGATTCTCAATAAGATTAATAGCAATTTTCTCATCAGAAATCATGAAGGCCAGAAGATTATATATTTAAAGTACTGAGAGGGGGAAAAAAGAAAACCAATAATTCTGTATCCAGAAAATATTCTGAGAGCATAAAGGAGAAATTAAAATATTCCCACATAAACAAAAACTGAGGGAATTTGTCACTAGCAGATCTTCCCTAGAAGAAATGCTAAAGGGTGTCCTTCAGGTTGAAATGACACCAGACAGTAACCCAAAGCCACATGAAGAAATAAATGATACCAGTAAAGGTAGCTAGTTACATAGGTAAATATAGAAGTTAATAGTATTGCAATTTTGGTTTGTAGCTTCTCTTTTGTTCCATATGATTTAGAAGACAAATGCATAAGTCAATAATTATAAATTTATGTTAATGGGCACACAATGTATAAAAATTTGTGAAAATAACAACATGGGGTGGGGAGACAGAGCTGTGAAAGATCAGTTTTATGTACTATCAAAATTTAAAGTTGGTATTAGGGCAGGCGCAGTGGCTCACACTTGTAATCCCAGCACTTTGGGAGGCCAAGGCAGGCAGATCACCTGAGGTCGGGAGTTCAAGACCAGGCTGACCAAAATGGAGAAACCTCATCTCTACTAAAAAAACAAAATTAGCCAGGCATGATGGTGCATGCCTGTAATCACAAATACCCAGGAGGCTGAGGCAGGAGAATTGCTTGAAGCTGGGAAGCAGAGGTTGCGGTGAGCCAAGATTGCGCCATTGCACTCCAGTTTGGGCAACAAGAGAGAAATTCTGTCTCAAAAAAAAAAATGGTATTAATTCAAACTGGATTGTTATAAAGTTAAGATGGTAATTGTAATCTCCAGGGTAACTACTAGGAATAAGACTCAAAAACAGAGGTTGAGGCAGGAGGATTTGTTGAAGCCAGGAGTTCAAGACCAGCCTGGTCAATGTAGCAAGACCCCATCTTTACAAATATATATATATATTTTTTTAAATTAACCAGGCATGGTGGTGTGTGCCTGTTGTCCTAGCTACTCAGGAGGCTGAGACAGGAGGATCTCTTTAGCTCAGGAGTTTGAGGTTGCAGTGGGCTATGACTGCACCACTATACTCCAGCCTGGGCAACAGACTGAGACTCTAGCTCAAAAAAACAAGAAAAAAAAAAAACAAAACAAACATATATATATATGTGTGTATATATATGTGTGTGTGTATATATACATATATACATGTGTGTATATATATATACACGTGTATATATATATATACACACATACACATATATATAGTACACTAAAAATTAGTCACAAAAGAAGGTAGTAGTGGAAGAATTGAGAAACAAAAAGTTTAATACACCCAAAAAACAAATAGCAAAATTGCAGACATAAGTATTTTCTTAGTAGTAATTATTTACATGTAAATGAATTTAAAATTTCCAATGAAAAGCAAACTTTGGCAAAACAGATTTTTAAAATGATACAACTATATGCTCTCCACAAGAAACTCACTTTAAATCTAAAGACACTTATAGGTTGAAAATGAAAGGATGGGGAAAGGTATTACATAAAAATAGTAACCAAAAGAGAGCAAGGGTGGCTATACTTATATCAGACAAAATAGACTTTAAGATAAAAACTATTATGAGACAAAGAAAGAGATTATATATTGATAAAATAGTCAATCCATTATGAATATAAAACAATTATAAATATATATGCATCTAATAACAGAGCCCCAAAATATATGAAGCAAAAATCAACAAAATTGAGTGGAGAAACAGGCAGTTCTACAAAAATAGTTGGAGACTTCAATGCTGCACTTTCAGTAATGGGTAGAACAGCTAGACAGAAGATTAATGAGGAAATAGAGAACCTGAACAACACTATAAACCAATTAGACCCAACAAGCATATGTAGAACACTCCATCCAACAGCAACAGAATATACATTCTTCTCAAGTGCATATGGAACATTCTCCAGTAAAGTTAAAAAGATTAAAATCATACAAAGAATCTTTGTTGACTATAGTGGAATGAAACTAGAAATCAGTAAAGGAAAGAGAAATGGAAACTTCACAAGTACCTGGAAATTAAACGACACACTCTTAAACAACAAGTGAGTTAAAGAAGAAATTACAAGTTAAATCAGAAAATGAGATGAATGATAATTAAACAACACACCAAAACCTATCAGATGCAGTGAAAGCAGTGATAAGAGGGAAATCTATAGCTGTAAATGTATATATTCTATATATATGAAAAATTTATATATATAGTATATACATATATATTTTTAAGACCCTAAATCAATAACCTAATTTTATTAGCTTAAGGAAACATAGAAAGAAGATAAACTAAACTCTGAGGTACCAGAAGGAAAAAATAATAAAGATTAGAGACAAATGAAATAGAAAATAGTAAAACTATGGAAAATATGAAGGAAACTAAAAGTTGGTCCTTTGAAAATATCAACAAAATTGAAAAAAAAATTTAGTTAGACTGACCAAGAGAAAAGGAGAGAATACTCAAATTACTAAAATCAGAGGTACAAGTGGGGAAAAATAGAAAAGCTAATCCTATCACTCATATGAAATTGCAAGGCACCCTCAAATAGCTAAAACAATCTTGAAAAAGAAAAACAAGGTGGAGGACTCATATTTTCTGATTCAAAACGTATTACAAAGCTACAGTCATCAAAACAGTGTAGTACTGTAATAAAAATAAGCATATAGATCAATGGGATAGAAGTAAGGTCCAGAAATAAACAAATTTTCAACAAGGGTGCCAAGAGCATCAGATGGGGAAAGAATAGAGTCTTCAACATACATAAAACAATCAAGTTGGACCTCTACTTCACACCATACACAAAACTTAATACTAATGAATCAATCAAAGACCTGAATGGAAGAGCAAAAACTATAAAACTCTTAGAAGAAAACATAGCGGTGAATCTTCATAACCTTGGATTTGCCACTGGACCCTTAGATATGACACCTAAAGCATACACAACCAAAGAAAAAAATAAATTAAGCGTTATCAAAATTTAAAAAGTTTGTGCTTCAAGGGATACCATTAAAAAAGTGAAAAGACAACCTACAGAATGGGAAATATCTGCAAATCATATATCTGATAATATTCTATTATCCAGAATACATGAAGAACTCTTACAACTGAACAACAAAAAGACAAGCAACTCAATTTGTTTTTTTTGTTTTGTTTCATTTTGTTTTTTGTTTTTGCTTTTTTTTTTTTTTTTTTTTTTTTTTTTGACAGGGTCTGGCTCAGCCGCCCAGGCTGGAGTACAATGGTGTGATCTTGGTTCACTGCAACCTCGACCTCCCAGGCTCGAGCAATTCTCCTGCCTTAGGCTCCCATGTAGCTGGGACTACAGGTGTGTGCCACCACACACAGCTAATTTTTGTATTTTTAGTAGAAACAGGGTTTTGCCATGTTGCCCTTGCTGTTCTTGAACTCCTGAGCTTGAGGGATCTGCCTGCCTTGGCCTCCCAAAGTGCTAAGATTACAAGCTTGAGTCACTGTGCCTGGCCACAGCCCAATTTTTTAAATGGGTAAATAACTTGAATAGATATTTACCCAAAGAAGATATACAAATAGTCAACAAGCACATGAAAAGATGTTCAAAGTCATTAGTCATTAGGGAAACATAAATCAAAACCACAATGAGATACCACTTCATGCCCACTAGGACAACTAGAATAAAAAAGGCGGCCAATAACAAGTGTTGGCAAGGACATAGAAAAAGTGAAATCCTTGTACACTGCTAGTGGGAATGTAAAATGGGGAATTTGCTGTGGAAAACAGTTTGGCCGTTCCTCAAAAAGTGGAACAGAGTGTGACCAAGTGGCCCAGCAATTCCAATATTAGGCAAATAGACAAAACAACTGAAGACAGGTATTCAAAGAAACGCTTCTACGTGAATGTTCGCAGCAGCATTATTCACAATAGCCAAAAGGTGGAAGCAACCGAGATTTTTGTCTACAGATGAATGTGTAAAGAAAGTTGGCATACCCATACAATAGAATAGTATCTCACCATAAAAAGGACTGAAGCATCAATATATGCTACAAGGATGAACTTTGAAATCATTATGTTCAGCGAAAGAAGCCAGACACAAAAAGTCACACTGTATGGCTCCATTTATGTGAAATATTCAGAACTGGCAAATCCACAGAGATAGAAAGCAAATTAGTGGCTGCCTGGGACTAGGGGAAGGAGAGACAGAGTGACTGCTTAATGGGTATGGTTTTTTTTTAGGAGACGGAAATATTTTGGAACTAGTCAAAAGTGATGGCTGCACAACATTGTACATGTACTAAATGTGCACTATTTTCACGTTCTGTGAAACAACATAAAAATAGTTATTTTTAAAATAGTTTAAAATTGTTATTTTTATGTTACGTGAATTTTACCTCAATAGAAAAAGCCTGACTTTCAGTTCCCAGCTCACACCTGTGGAAGCAGATTCTCTAGCCTGGGAATCTGAGTGATTTGAAAGATCCCACGTGATTCCACTGGGCAGCCAGGTCTGGGCTGTGCTCCCTGCAGGGTCGCTGGGGCCCGGAGCACAGTGGGGAGAGCGGAGGTGGGTTTGGGAAGGCAGGGAGGGCCAGCATGTGGAAGTGGCTGGACTGTGTTCTTCAGCTGCCCTGGCTTCTCCTTCTCTCAGGGAACCAGATTCTCTTCCTCTCTGCTACTCCTCCAGTCCCTCAAAGTCTCCCATCACTCCTCAAGGGGCTGCTTCTCCCCACAAAGTGTGTGACGTACAGAAACCGACTTCTCTTGACTGCACACCAGCCGCGGGCCTGGGGCTGGGCTGGGTTGGGCTCTTGGCATGTGTTATTCTATTTAACCCTCCCCACAAACTTCAAAGAAAGTTATTACGATCTCCTCCTACAGCTGAGAAAACTGAGGCTCAGAAAGGATAAATATTTGCCCAAGGTCACCTGGTTAGAGAGTGAAGAAACCAGACCTGCCTTACGTCAAAACCCAAGCCCCACACCACAGCTCTCCTGCCAAGGCCTGGGTTCCTGTTTGTTACACTCGGCCAACTGGAGTTTGGAGACTGATCACCTAGGGGCTTCCAGCAGCCTTGTGAGTGCTCACACAGATCAACTGAGGCCCAGAAAAGTCCCTTGGCTTGCCCAAGTTCCCATGGTGAGCACAGCCTGATTGGCAAAGAAGTGCTGAGAGAATTGAGAGAACGGCAGGTCATTTATAACACACTCTCCCCTAAACAACACAGTCACTTTCAGGCCAGGAACACTGGCTCACGCCTGTAATCCCAGCACTTTGGGAAGCTGAGGCAGGTGAATCACTTGAGCCCGGGAGTTCAAGACCAGCCTGGGCAACATAGGGAGGCCTTGTCTCTACAAATAATTTAAAAAGTAGTCGGATGTAGTGGTGTGTGCCTAGGGTCCTAGCTACTCAGGAGGCTGAGGTGGGAGGATCGTTTGAACCTAGGAAGTTGAGGCTACAGTGAGCCAAGATCAAACCACTGCACTCCAGCCTGGGGAATTGAGCCTGTCTCAAAAAAAAAAAAAATCACTTTCAGTATGGAAAAATATTAACAGCCAGAAAAGAAACACCCCTAGTGAAAAACATATAATGTTCAATTATGATTATATATAATCATAGTATATAATATTTATATATTATTTGGTATGTTATATAATAATATACTAATATAATATATTAATATTAACTATATGTTTATATATAATATAATATTTATACATATGATCATTCAGGTAAAGACAATTTTTTAAAAAGTAAAAAGAAAGGAAAAGAAAACAAAAATTACAGTACCCAAAAGGAAAAAACTCAACTATTTATTCAATACTTTTTATAGCTACCCAACAGTTTGAACTTTAATCCTTTAGTTCCAGGTTGAGGTAATACTAACTTGTATAATGAATTGTCTCATAACTAATAAGTTAATTTTAACAAAACCAAAACATCTGCAAAGTGTACAATGTAGGCACGTACTAAATCACACAATGAGGTAGTGTTTTATTTTATTGACTTAATGAGTTTTAAAATAGCCAACTAACATAAAAATATACATTCGGATTTTAAAGACATTATTCAAATTCTGCCAAATAGTTCATGTATGAGCTAAAACCTGTGCTTACCAGACAAAAACATTACAGCCAGCAGTTTGCGCTGCTTCACTGTTCTCAGTTTTGAACACTAATTGACGCCTCAAGTTCTGCGTCAGTCTTTGCAGCCACCGTGTCTGAGCAGCGTATTGCAGCGGCAGCTGGAAACACAAATTGTGCCTGAAAGGAAGTCCAGTGATTCCAGGACATCTGAACATGGCTTGCAATGGGTGTAGCTGGGCCAGTGAGTGACAGAGGCCAATTGTATAACTTGGAGCCCTCAAATTGTCTTCTATGTAGAACCCAATGTTTATTAAAGGGTAATTAATAAAAGTGTGCTCATTTGAAGCTTACACATATGCATTATTAAAATTCAACCATAGCAATTATTTACAACTTAAACCAACAAAAGATTTTCTTCTCAGAGGAAAATCTTACTATTGACATAGTTTAGAATGGCTGATGCAGGTTATCAATAAAAGCAGACCAATTATTAGTCTGTTTTATTACTACTTTTATTTATTTATTTTTAAATTGAGACAGAGTCTCACTCTGTCGCCCAGGCTGGAGTGCAGTGGCATGATCTTGGTTCACTGCAACCTCCGCCTCCCGGGTTCAAGCGATCGAGCGATTCTCGTGCCTCAGAGCAATTCTCATGCCTCAGCTTCCTGAGTAGCTGGGATTACAGACACGCGCCACCACGCCTGGCTAATTTTTTTGTATTTTTAGTAGAGACGAGGTTTCACCATGTTGGCCAGGCTGGCCTCGAACTCCTAACCTCAGGTGATCCACCCGCCTTGGCCTCCCAAGGTGTTGGGATTACAGGGTGAGCCACCGCGCCCAGCCTTATTACTACTTTTAAATTTGCCATAGCTCCTGCACCTGCGTACTGCCTGCCCTGAGAGTGGACCCCTCTCGCCACCTGCCCGCGGTCCTGAGCTGGCCTCAAATGACCTTTCAGCGTCTTCTGCCCAGGGGGTAAGATGAAAGCAGGGGCCCTTCCTGGTCTTCTAGAAGCATCAGCTTTCTGAGACTCCTGCTCCCCAGCACAAACCATTCTCAGGACGCCTGGGCTGTCAGTTCAGCTCGTGGCCTCCTCCGCTATTTAAGACCCAGCTCACCTCCTACCTCCCCAAGATGCCTGACCACCTCCTCCGTCTCCACAACGGGGTGCGTAAGGCCCAGCCGCCTGTGTGCCTTCGAGTCCTGCTGGGCTCCTTGAGGGTCCTCACTGTCCAGCTCCGGGCCCATGACGGGCATCTTGGGAGGTGCTCGGCGTCTGGCTCTGTTCCCGCCATACCCAGCAGAACGCTGTGGTCCCTCAGGGCTGCTGAATGAGGGGGCGGAGGCAGCAGGAAGAACAGTCAGCCCTCAATGAGGGCCGCAACCAGGCGATAGGAGGCCACACGACAGCCAGACGCCCCATTGGCCTGGCGGCTGCAGTCCAGCCCTTCCGGGTGAGTGGGATTTGCTGCTCACGCCCGCAGCAGCCCCTGAGGCGGGGAGGCGCGGGAGGGACTGGAGCCTTCCGCCCGAGTGTTCCCCAGCCTCGTGGCTGGCCCTGCACGGGCATCGCCTCGCCTCAACCCCACAGCAGCCTTTCAGGCCGTCCTGTTTGGGTGGGTTCAGAGGCGCCTCGTCCTTCCAACCAGCCAGGCACTAAGGGGGCCTCGTAAGGAGGAGCGTAAGGCTCTCAGAACAAGCGGCCGCCCTCAAAGGGCCTGGAACTCCACAAAGGCAGTGCTTCAGAAGCCTAGCGGCCTCCTGCCAGCTCTTCTGCGGGGAATTCCCCTGCCCTGAGGCGCTCCAGCCTAGCCCAGTCTGCTTGCACCCTCTGCATATCCCCAGCACAGCTGTTCTGCCTCGAGGCCCCCAGCTAACCAGCAGCTTCTCCTACTGAGGGAATCTGACAGCAGCCCCTGCCCCCTCCACCCAGCCGTCTCCCTGGTTCACGCTCCTACTGTGCCCAGGCTGCTTGCTTCTAGGGGACTGGGGCCAGACTGGCACAGTAAAGGTCCCGTCTAATGCAGAGATCTCCTATTCTTCTTACGTCCTTCATTTTACAAATGAGGAGGCTGTGGAGAGGTCTAATGATGTGCACCAGGGCCTGCAGAAAGCGTTTCTGAGCACGGAGGCTGGGGAGTGAGACCCCTGGAAGGCAGTGGCCCCTTCCTGGCCCGTGCACTGGCCAACTGCTGGGATATACTGCCTGTGGCGAGACTTATTAAGCTATCTGAAGCCGTGAAGGGAAACCTGCTATGTGTAAATATCAACCATCTGGCAAAATACCTGGAGCGAGATTTTATTTCTGCTGGGCATTATTATGGGTATTGATTTGAGAATCTGAAAATTCAATAAAACAGATTAAACCTCCCAAGGAATGAGTATGTGGACCATCAACCCATGTCGCCCTGGGCGTGAAGTCTTCGTGGGTAGGAAGGAGTCGTCAGGCAGGCATCTGAGTGGGGCATGGGGAACTGGAGGCAGGCTGAGCCGAGCTCAGTGGGAAGCTCCTCCCCAAAGGGGCTGGCCTCCCAGCTCATCAGCCCAGGCCTGGTCTCTGGGGCCCCCAACACGCACTGAGGATATAGGGGTGACACAAACATGGTCCCTCCTTCTGCAGGACATCTGGCCTGGCTCCTCAGGAAGCCAGTAGCCTCAGAAAAAAGGGGGTGTTGTGTATTCTAGATACAAGAGATGAAAGAGACCCAGTGACCAAATGTCAACCTTGATTGAATCTTCGTTCAGAAGAAAAAAACAACTATCAAGGACAGTCCTGGGACAATCTGTGAAATTTGAATATGGCCTGAGTGTTAGAAGATATTAGAGAAACTATTAATTTTTTAGGTGTGACAATAGTTTTGTAGGAGAATGTCGTTATTATTAGGAGATGCACTCTGGCTGAAGTATTTAAGTGAAAAATGTCCTTATGTCTACCTCTTACTTTCAAAGGGTCAGTAAAAAAAAATCGATCTGTGTATATATGTTGTCAGAGCAAATAGGGCAAATTATGAACAATTGTTGAATCTAGATGGAAGGTTTGCAAGAGTCCATTGTACTATCAACTTTTTTTCTCTGTTTTTAATTTTTTTAATTTTATTTTTAGACAGGATCTCACTCTGTCATCCAAGCTGGAGTGCAGTGGCACCATCTTGGCTCACTGCAGCCTTGATCACCCTGGGCTCAAGTGATCTTCCACCTCCCTGGGCTCAAGACATCCTCCCACCTCAGCCTCCCAAGTAGCTGGGACTACAGGCACATGATACCACACCCGACTAATTTTTCTGTTTTTTTGCAGAGATGGGATTTCACCATGTTGCCCAGGCTAGGCTCAAACTCCTGGGCTCAAGCAATCCTCCAGCCTCAGCCTCCCGAAGTGCTGGGATGACAGGTGTGAGCCACTGCACCTGGCCTTTAATTTTTAATAATAAGAAGTTTGGGAAATAGAAAGATGGAATCCCTATCAAGAGACTCACAGTCTAGAGAGTTTAGTTAAACACACCTACACAAACCAGTAGGCTTTTCCCTAGGGACACTCTGGTGGAGAGGCCAGGAGCCCCTCCTATAGCAGCTCTCTCTGACTTCAGACACATGACTCCAAGTTTAGGATACCAAATAACAGCTTCTATGGGCTGGCTATTCTGTGCTATCTAATAGGCCAGGAGGAAGGGAAGGGACTGTCACCATGTGGCACCAAGGGAGATGCCACAGGGCAGAGGAGTCCTCTAATGTATAGGCTCTTCCCTATATCCAGGGTTGAGGGTGGCCCTGAGAGTCTTGGTACCAGCCCCTAAGGACCCAGGCCCTGGTTTAGTTGGCCCTTTGAAGGGCTCCGGGCAACAAGAGAGTAATAGGGTGAGTCCTTGCCCTTAGAACACTAAAAACATCAATTCCTCCCAAAATGCCCCCAGCCGGGAGAAAATGGCAGTAGACTGAAGTGGAAGGGGCAGGGCAGAGGCAGGGCGTGCTGGGGGCAGATGCGCACCGGGTGGGCTCAGGCTGCTGAGTGCAGGGGTGTTGGGCTGAGGCTCGTGCTAAATGGGTAGGTGCCTTTTCCATACAGTCTTAGGGGGCTGCTTCCCATTTTGAAGCCGGGAGCATTTTAACACGCTTGTTTTCATGGAGTTCTTTAAATCCACCCTGAAAAATAAACATTAAACTTGCAGCTTCCAAAAATATTACCAAGCATGATGGAAACAGACATTGGCTCACCCCCAGGCAGCAGCCTCTTGCCCACGCCCACCCACAAAACAGGGGACAGACGTGAACTGGAAACAGAACCAGACTCAGGGAGAGCCAGGGGAGAAGGGGAACTGTAAAGGTGAGGTGAGGTCAGAGCGCATAGCTCAGGGATCCCAGAACATTACTGGATGCAGCTGAAAACTCTCGATGCTACAGTTGGCCACAGCTTTGTTAATCAATCTGGGTCACAACAATGGTGTCAGGCTCCTTGGAGAGATGGCTGAGGTCAGGGCTTGGGCAGGAAAGCTGCACGCTGTGCCTGGATAACTTGCTATGGCAGCAAGTGAGAAAGGGCTCCAGAAAATGAAGGGGCAGGCCAAGGGGACACAGGAGTTTCCTGAAGGAGCTCCTGCTGGCCAGATTTGGGACAACTCGAGCGCTAAAGCAGTCACAAACCACTAGAAAAATATGAATCCTTGAGTCTATACCAGTGGCTGTCAACTGGAGACAACTTTGGCCCCCAGGGGAGATTTGGCCATGTCCATAGACATTTTTGGTTGTTAAGTGAGAGGAAGGTATGCTACTGGCATCCAGTGGGAAGAGCCCGGGGATGCTGCCAAACATGCTGCAGTGCACAGGACAGTCCCCACAACAGGGAATTCACTGGTCCAAAATGTCACTAGTGCCCAGGTTGAGAAACCCTCATTTACAGTAATGGTAAAACTATAAACAGATAAGTAACTAAGTGGGAGCTCTTGCTTACAGTAGAACACTGGGTATTGATTGGTAAACGTAGAGGGTGCACCTGAGTCGAAAATTATCATTTTGATGGGCATGGTGGCTCACACCTGTAATCCCAGCACTTTGGGAGGCCAAGGCAGGCAGATCACCTGAGGTCAGGAGTTCAAGACCAGCCTGGCCAACATGGCGAAACCCCGTCTCTACTAAAAATACAAAAATTAGTGGGGCATGGTGGTAGGTGCCTGTAATCTCAGCTACCCGGGAGGCTGAGGCAGGAGAATCGCTTGAACCCGGGAGGTGGAGGTTGCAATAAGCCAAGATCGTGCCACTGCACTCCAGCCTGGGTCTGAAAAAAAGAAAGAAAGAAAGAATGAAAGAACGAAAGAAAAAGAAAGAAAGAAAGAGAAAATTATCATTTTGCAGTTATCATCCTAGAGATTGGTTCAGGCAAGAATCATCTGGATCTGGATGCTAAATCCAGGGGATGGATTTGAGCGAGGAGGAGGCAAATGTGCATGTTCCAAAGTGTCTCCCGCAAAATGCTTATTTGTTGTGAGGGAGGAAAACTCTATAAAGGGGAGAATTGAGACCACATCTTAGGGTGATCAAAATTTATGTCACCATGAGAGGCATATGGACAACGTATCCTCCAGATGAAAAGTCCTGAGAAGGATACAAAGTTATTGGTGTAGTATTCTAGCCAGAGTTGCAGAAAGCTAATCCTAAAATGAGTACATTCTTTTTATTTAAAGTTCTGTACTTTTTTTTTTTTTTAATGTCAGCATCAGCCAGGTGCAGTGGCTCACTCGTATAATCCCAGCACTTTGGGAGATCGAGTTGGGGGGATTGCTTGAACCCAGAGTTTGAGATCAGCCTGGGCAACATAGTGAGACCCTGTCTCTACAAAAAGTAAAAAAAAATTAGCCAGGAATGGTGGTCCTTGACTGCAGTCTCAGCTACTCGGGGGTGCTGAGGTGGAAGGATCACTTGAGCCTGGGATGTCGAGGCTGCAGTGAGCTGAGATCATGCCACTGCACTCCAGCCTGGGTGACAGAGTAAGACCCAGTATCAAAAAAAAAAAAAAAAAAAAAGAAAAGAAAAAGAAAAATCAACTTTGCAATAGGCAAATAAAAGCTGAGGATATTTTCCAGATAAGAGATAAAGAGATGTGACAACTAAATGCCATATGTGATCCTAGGCAGGATCCTGTACTGAAGGAAACATGAAGCTATAAAGGGTGGCATTGGGTCAGCTAACAAAATTGGCACATCACAGTAGAGCAATAGGTTAAAGTATTGTATCTATTTAAAATTTCCTGATGTTTTTAACTATACTATAGTTATGTAAGAGAAAGCTCTTATTCTTAGGAAATACATGCTAAGGTTTTTAAGGGTAAAGGACATGATGTATGGAATTTACTCTCAAATGGTTCAGGGAAAAAAAACTACATGTGAGTATGTGTGTGTGTGTGTGTGTGTGTATACATTTGTATGTATACGTGTGTGAGTATATACGTGTATGCGTGTATATATGTGTGTATGTGTATGTATACGTGTGTGTATGTAATATAGTGTATGTGTGTATGTAGGCTAAAATATCCACATTCTAGTCCTCAAAACTTTTCATGTTACCTTATATGGCAAAAGGGACTTTGCAGATCTGATTAAGTTTAGGATCTTGAGATTGGGAGATTGGGAGGTTAGCCCGAATTATCCAGCTAGGTCCTAAGTGTCATCCCAAGGATCCTTCTCAAAGGGAGGCAGTAGATCAGAGTGAGCAGTAGGAGATGTGGCAAGCAAGATGTTGTAGTGATGGATGTGAGGGGCTACAAGCCAAGGCATGCAGGTGGCCCTCAGAAGCAGGACAAAGACAAGGAAATGGACCGTCTTCTGGAAGCTTCAGAAGGAACAAGGGCTGACACCTTGATGTTAGCCCAGTGAAGCTGATTTTGGACTTCTGGCCTCCAGAACTATAAGAGAGTAAAGTTGTGTTGTTTAATGCCACCAAGGCTCTGGTAATTTGTTATAGCAGTAATAAGAAATGAATGCTTATGCATATACCTGTATGTGTGTGTGTGTGTGTGTGTGTGTGTGTATACATATATATACACACACATGTATATATGGGAAACGAATACCTATGCATATACACATGTACATGTTGTACATGTATGCGCACATGTTGTACATGTATGCGCACATGTACTTGTACATGTATGCGCACATGTTGTACATGTATGCGCACATGTACTTGTACATGTGTGCGCACATGTGCATGTACAGGTGTGCGCACATGTGCATGTTGTACAGGTGTGCGCACATGTGCATGTTGTACAGGTGTGCGCACATGTGCATGTTGTACAGGTGTGCGCACATGTGCATGTTGTACAGGTGTGCGCACATGTGCATGTTGTACAGGTGTGCGCACATGTGCATGTTGTACAGGTGTGCGCACATGTGCATGTTGTACAGGTGTGCGCACATGTACAGGTATATGCATAGGTACTCATTTCCTACATATATATTTATGTGTGTGTGTGTGTGTGTGTGTATTCAGTAGTAGCATAGTAGTATATGGTAGTGGGGTAGTATGTACATACACACAGGCACACATAGAGTTGATCATCATTGTTCATGGATTCCATATTTGTAAATTTACCTCCTTGGTGAAATTTCTTTGTAACCCCAAAACCAATGCTCATGGTGCTTTTGTGGTCAATTTGCCAACATGTGCAGCAGTGGCAAAAAATTGAAGTCACCTGATGCACACATGCTCAGCTGAGGCAGAGCAAGATGACACTCCGCCTTCTTTCTTGTTTCAGCTCTCATCCTATAAACACGTGTCCTTATCGTGGTCTATTTAGTGCCATGTTTTTAACATTTTTCTGTGTTCTGTTGGTGATTTTGCTGTTTAAAATAGCCCCCAAACATAATGCCAACATGCTCTCTAATGTGCCGAAGCACAAGAAGGCTGTGATGTGCTTTACAGAGAAACTGTGTGTGTTAGGTAAGCTTTGTTCTGGCATGAGTTATAACGCTCTCAACCGTGAGTTCAGTGATCAATAATATGTATCAATGGATAAATAATACCTATCAAAAAGGTGTTTTTAAGCAGAAATAAGGTTATGTACAGATCAGTGGACAAAATATTGTGACCAGAAGCTTAGGGGAACCTAACTCAATATTTCACGTAGGAGCAATGGTTCTGTATGTGCCTTCAGAGGTCACGGTGAAGTTATAGGATGTCGCTACTGAGAATAAAGAGAATATATATGGAGAGAGAGAGCACAAGTGATAAAGAGAAAATGTGAGTCTGGGTTTAGGGCCTATGGGTGTTCTTTGTATTACTCATGGAACTTTTCTGTAAGTGTGAAGTTATTTTCAAATAAAATGTTGAGATAAAGAGTGGCTGTGTCAAGCACTTGCATCTGAATGTATCATATCAAGTTAATGGATCAGCGCTCCATGAGGTGCTGGTGTTAGGAAAAGGGCCTAGCTGGCTCAGGGCAGGCCCCAAGCAGGGAGTCGAGAGGTGGGAAAAGGTGGAGTGGTCTCCGTGGTGGCCACATTGTGAGTGGGCCAGCAGCAGCTGGTGAGAAGCAAAGGATCAGGGTACAGACCTGAGCACTGGGCTCCTGGTGGAGCCGGCAGCTGGCTGCCTAGAGCCCCATCTCAGCTGAAGGCAGCTGTAACACAGAGAAGTGGGAATGCCGCCCAGCAGTCACTGTCTGCATTCCCCTGGCTGGGAGAGGTAGGCAGATGCCCCAGGGAGAACCACATTACCCTCCATCTTTTTTTTTTTTTTTTTTTTTTTTTGAGACGGAGTCTCGCTCTGTCGCCCAGGCTGGAGTGCAATGGTGCGATCTCGGCTCACTGCAAGCTCCGCCTCCCGGGTTCACGCCATTCTCCTGCCTCAGCCTCCCGAGTAGCTGGGACTACAGGCGCCTGCCACCACGCCCGGCTAATTTTTTGTATTTTTAGTAGAGACGGGGTTTCACCGTGTTAGCCAGGATGGTATCTATCTACTGACCTCGTGATCCTCCTGCCTCGGCCTCCCAAAGTGCTGGGATTACAGGCGTGAGCCACCGCGCCCGGCCCACCCTCCTTCTTAAGTCCATCGAAGTGAAGGGCCCCTTCAGCCACACAGTCACCCAGGCCAGAAACTGGGCCCTCATCCTTGTCCCTACATCCAGTCACAAGCTCATCCCATCGTCCCCACAGGCAACTGCCTGGTTGACATTTTACTTGGCTATCTCATCTCAAATATGACATGTGCACAAGTGAATTCTTGGTTTCCCTCCAAACCTGGCTCCCTCCCAATTGTCCTCAGTGGTGTAAATAATACCATCACTCACCTAGATGCCTGTGCCCAAAAGTTGTGAATGATTGTCTGGCTTCTGTTTGGGTTTTTTTATTGTGGTGGCGGTGGTGGTGGTGGTAGTTTTAGTTTTGATATTTTGCTCTGTTTTGCTTCTAGTAAAATTCACTTACAGGAAATTGTAGCATTAAATGTTAAATTTGATATGTTTTGATACATGCATACACCTGTATAACTAACACCTCAGTCAATATATAGAATGTCTCTAACACCCCCATAGAGTTTTCTCGTCTTCCCTTCTAGACCCTTGTTTGATTTTTCAAATGTAACCAATCTTGCAGTCCTGGTTACATTACACTTAATGTGATTAAATAAATTACACTTAATTGTGATTATTACCTTTTAATATATTTTTGGCTTGAATTTGCTAATATTAAATATTCTATTAAGGACTGTGGTTATCTGAATAGTGACCCTGAATATGCTCATGTCCTAATGCCTTGAACCTGTGATTATGACTTTCTATGTCAAAAGAGACTTTGAAGATGTTATAAGTTGGAGAGCTTGAGATGGAGGGATAGTCCTGGATTATCCAGACAGAACCTAAATGTACTCACAAGTGTCCTTATCCTGGGGAACAGAGGGAGATCTGATGGCAGAAGAAGGCACCATGGTAACTGGAGCAAGATGCTTCAGCTGGGTAGCTTTGAAGATGGTGGGGTGAGCCCGGGGCTCCAGAAGCTGGGAAAGGAAAGGACACAGATTCTCTCCCTGGAATTTCAAGGAGTTCGGTCCTGCTGGCACTTTGATTTCAGCCCAGTGAAACTGATTTCCGACTTCGGACTTCTAGAATCACAAGAGAATAAAGCTGTATTGCTTTAAGCCACCAAATTTGCGATGATTTGTTACAGCAGCAATTAGAAACAGGTACAGGAATTTTTGTGTTTAAATTCATAAGAAATATTTTTCTGTGATTTTTCTTTTATTTTCATGCCAAAATGTCAGGTTTTGTATCAGGGAGATTCTGGCTTCAAAAAATAAGTTAGAAAATGTTTCCTGTCCCGTTTTCTGAAAGAGCTTGTGTCAAATTAGTATTATTTCTTTCACAATTATTTGATAGAATTCACCAGCAAAACCATCTTCACCTAGAGTCTTCCTTGTGGAGAGATTTTTAAATTATAAATGTAATTTAAAAAATAAACATAGGGCTATTTAGATTTTCTATTTCTCAGTCAGTCAGCTTTGATCAGGCATGTTATTTTAAGAAATTTGCCCATTTAATCTAAGTTATCTGAGTTTATTGGCATAATATTGTTTATACTATTTAGTTTTTATTTTGTTAATGTCTGTAAAATGTGCAGTGCTATTTCCCTTTTCATTTCTGATAATGATAAATGTTTTCATTATAATTCAGTTCAAAGAATGTGTAATTTCTCCTCATGATTTTTTTTTCTTTGACCTTTAGGCTATTGGATGTTTACAAGTATATTAACATCCAATACTTGGGGATTTTCTGGGTTTTTTATTCCTAAATAAATTTTATTGTTGTCAGAAAATATATTCTATAAGGTCTTAATCTCTTGAAGTCTATTGAGAGCTATTTCACAGCCTATCTTCATAAACACTTGATATGCATTTAGGAAGAACATGTGTTTTGCAGACTACCCAGACTTGAATCAATCCAGGCCTGCTGCTTACTAGCCATATGAGTTAAGCAAATAACATAATTTCTCTGAGCCTCAGTTTCCCTAAATGTAAAACAGGAATGAATGATATTATTGATCTAACAAGGTTGTGGTGAGAATGAAACAAAAATCTCTCAGCTTGTGGAAAGTCCATTCAGTGTTAGCTATTGTCCCTCTCCTCCTCTTCCTTCTTCTCATCCCTATTGTATCTGTTATGGCCACAGTCATTATTGTTTCCATTTTTGTTATTACATAGTTTTAAGCATCTTCAACTGAACTTCTGAGGTTGCTGTTAACTCCTGCCTGCCCCAGGAGGGGAGTTTCTAGTGGACTATTTTACAGTCAGTTACAGTTATTCTCACCATGATGTCTATTCTCCCCTGATAACTAAATTGCTTTACATTTCAGGCAGAGGCTCCCGTGGAGGAGGCACCAGCCCTGCCATATTCTTGAAGCCACAGTGGTGTGCCTGGTGCTGTTAGGCTTATTGAGCTGACAGCCTGGTGTTTGCTGATAACAAAACTTTCTTGAGTTCTTGACTTGAGTTCTTGACTGAGAAACAGAAAATCTAAATAGCCCTATGTTTATTTTTTAAATTACATTTATAATTTAAAAATCTCTCTGCAAGGAAGACTCTAGGTGAAGAGGGTTTTGCTGGTGAATTCTATCAAATAATTGTGAAAGACATAATAATTTGACACAAGCTCTCTCAGAGCTAATTTTGGGTTGGCCTAGAGAGTGTGTTTTCAGCAAACTATCTTCGTTAGGGCGCCCTCATTGGAGGTTCTGGAGCTCTTGAGAATCAGGACTCTTTCGGTTGAGAATCAGAAGGACCCTTTACTCCTGGCAGGTGATTGATCTGGGTGTGATGACTCGGGCTTTGCAACTTCTCCAAAATCACTTATTCGTGTCTTCATTGCCTTCTGGCATTTGAAGCAGCAGAAGAGAACTCTGAGGCTAGCCCAATTCTTGTTCCTTGAGATGTAACTGGTAATGCTTCTTTTTCTGCCTAGGTGCTTAAAATTTTTTTCTTTATAATGTAATCCCAAAAGTTTTGCAAAGTGTGAGCACAGATTGAGTATCCCTTATCCAAAATGCTTGGGACCAGAAGCGTTTTGGATTTTTGACTTTTTTGAATTTTGAATTGTTATTTCAAATACAACTGGTAATTATAAACAGGTCAGCATCCCTAATCGGAAAATTCAAGATCTGAAATGCTCCAATGAACCTTCCCTTTGAGCGTCATGTTGGTACTCAAAAAGTTTTGGATATTGGAGCACTTCAGATTTTGGATTTTCGGATTGGAGATACTCAATCTGTATAAATGTCTTTCTTGGTTGGTTTTTGTTTTCAGATTATCTTTTTTGATCCACATACTCTTTAGCTGAGAAATCGTTTTTTAATAATGTATCTGATTGCACTTCTACATGATTTCATTAATTCAAAATCGTTATTGAAAACCTCCATGCCAGGTACTGGGGATAGAGTAGTGAGCAAGAGAAAATTTCTGCCCTCAGGCAGCTTGCATATTAGTAAGGGAAATGGTCCATAAACAAGTGAAAACAATAAACTAGAACTCCGTAGCAGATGCTGTCAGAGCCCTGGAGAATAATAGAGCCATGTGAGGGGATGGAGAATGCAGTGGGTGGGGAGGACCTGACTTAGGGGTAGGGAGCGTTTTGGCAGTGGCCTCTTCCTTTCTCAGAAACACTTATTCTAGGTGTTTATGATGGAAGTGGATCTGTTCTCTGCCCTAAGTATACAGTATATTAATTTTCATCATTGGCATCTATTTTTTTTTTCGTTTTTCTCAGCAATCTGGGAACACATGCCAAGTATGTCCTCTACATCATCAATTTGATTTGTCACAGCCCATGGGACTCTTTACTGCTGTGGAGGACCTCATTTCTTCTCCTACAAGTGATTCCTTCATCATCCTCCCTCCCATTTCCCTTGTGCCTCTCTGGCTTTTCAGCCCAACTTCTTCCCCTCCGGGTCCTTGTTTCCTGGACGCCCTGTCTTCTTGCATCTTCTTCAGGTTGCCAGACAATTTTCTGAGGTTTCATCTGGACTCTTGCGATGAACCATTTTCGGGAATCTTTTTCTTCTGAGTCCTCAGAACGATCTACCTTCCTCTTGCTCTGCAGCATTTTCTGTAGGTTCCATGGAGAAGTTTGCTTTTCTCAATTCACCCTTGGGTGCGGTTATGAAGTCCCCTTGTGTAATAGTCAGTGGGCTGGATAGCAGCACTGGGCTGTAGCACTGGACAAACCCCCTTGGGATGACTTGCTATACCTGGATGCACAGGCACCAGAGCAGCTGTCTATCTGTCCATCTGTCTGGGATGCCATTGCTCTTCTCCACTGCCTCAGGCCCAGTCACACCACACAGAGGGAGTATCTGAAAACACCCAGCCTGGAAGGCACTGGCCACCACGGTTCCTACGTCTGCCCCTGCATCCAGTACTTGACTTGTGGCAGAGAATTTAGAGGAGTAGATAACTGCAAAAAAAAAAAACACAGACTGCTCTGCCTTGAAGTTCCTCTTTCCAGAGCTCCCAGAAGCCCCACAGCTGGATAGTTTGTTTATGTTAACCTGCTATTTAGAAATTAAGCTCCGATTTGGAAATTAGGGATTGTAATTTAGCATTAACCCAGATGTCAAGACGTAATGAGACACACTGTGGGGGAAATTGGATTCCATATTGCCAAAGACCCATTTTATTTATAATAACCAGCCACTCACATCATGCCAATATTGATGGATCATACGTTTAAATTTTTGATAGCTCATTCATTTCTATAATTACATTTATTTCAAATTAAATTAAATAAGTCTCACGCACCCTTGATATACAAAGAGACAAAATTAATTTGTGGATCAGAATTAACCTGCCATTCAACCCCGGGAACTGTCCTTTCTAGAGGCCCTTGGAGAGCGCCATTTTGCCATTTCAGAGAGGAAGGTTTGCCTGTGCATATAAACAGCTTTTAACCTGGGAAGGGCTCATCCTCGGGCTTGGAGGGCAGTGTCATCGCAAAGGTGATGGGGTAGGAGTGGAATTGCTCACCGATAGGTGCAGATACAGAGACCAGCCATCTGCCACCACAGCTGATCTTCCCCGAAAACTGCAGAGCAGTCACAGGGGCAGCAGCCTGGAGTTTCGGGAAACCGTGTAAGTGCTGGTATTTGTCTCCAGGACACTGGTTACTGATGAGTGACCTTGGGCAAGATTCATGCAGTTGCCTTTCCGGAGCAGGGTGGTAGAAATGCTCACTACTCCCTGCACACCCACATCCACTGCCAGGGCCCTGTCTCCTGGCTACTGCAGGCTTGTCCAAGAGTGCAGTCATGGGCAAATGTGGCCCACCAGATGGGTAGGGGAGCCAGAACAGCTGGGCCATGTGGGTGATGTGGAGGGGGTTGAAAGAACTTCCTTCCTGATCAACCAGAGTTGGCACCATGCATGTTATGGAAAAGCCTGTCCACAGAAAGAATGGAGCCGCGTTGCAGAGTCGGGTAGAAGTGGAGAGCCGGCAGTCCATTGCGGGAGGCAGGGAGCGGTGTTTGCCCTTGACCCTCTGGTGCCCTTGCCTTCTTGGTGCCCTGTGGTTGGCAGTGTAAGCTTGCCTCTGCATTTGCTCGGTATACCCTCTCACAAGCTGGGAAGCTGTGGCAGCTGGGGCTGAAAGAAGCGTAACCCCACAGGGCCTGGCAGGACAGCAGAATGCAGAAGAGCGGCAGGTGCCAAGTAGGTCTGAGAGGGCCACAGACAGCCCCAGAGGAGGTCCTGCCTGTGCAGTGGTGTGGCAGACCCTATACATTTTCATGGGCCTGGAGTGGGGAGCTGAGGTTGACTGCAGGAACAGGCCTGTGAGAGAACCGGGGGTCTTGGATCTGGAAATGTCCCAGAGACACTTGCCTGGGAGCCGGGATGGGGGTTCAGCTCTATCCAAGACTTTAGTGAATGGTCTAGTTGGGACCCACAGACAGTGGCAAGGCAGTGCTCCCCATGTCCTAAGCCGAGGCTGGATGGGACATTGCACGTGTTGGCTCTGTACAGGCCACGTGACCACTGAGAAGTGGAAACTCCCACTCAGGGCATTTGCCTAGCACCCGCTCCTCCTCCTCCACAATTATCTCTGTCCCAGGAGGTAGAGGATTGGAGGGGGGGGGTCTTCGGAATCGATGGTGTTTTAAGCCCACAGTGGCTAAGAAATCCCTGCATTTGACTCGGTTTACTTATAAGTATTAGGATTCTTCTTTGGTGTCAAACAGAAGAGGGGCTGAGCATCAGAAATTAAATCAAGTGACACCCAAAACAGAGATTTGCTTTTGCATATTTGAATCTGTAGGCATGAAGTGTAGCCCCTGGGACCTGCATTTCACAGCACCCCCCATCTCCTCCCCCCCAGGAAGATGGGGAGGGTCCTCAGACCACACTCGTGAACCGTACTTAGCAGGAGAACACAGCACAGAGGCATGGGGCTCTTCTGAGAGCTGAAGCGGCGGCATGTGGCAAAGGAAATAGGTGTTGCCTCTTCAGAGGATCCAGGTGTCAGCAGTTACAGGAGCCATCTTCAGCTCCGCTGAAAGAGGGGCTTCCTGACCACTGCGTTCTCCATCACTGGATGGATGTCCTGCCCCAGGATGGAGGGCCATGTGTCAGGGGTTGCAAAGAAGAAGGATGCCCTGTTAGAGTTAGAGGTTGAGCAAAGAGGCTTCTCATATCCTCTTCTAACTTAGAGATCAACAGCTACTTACACTGAGCTCCTGTTTGTGCATCTCTAGAATGAATAAGAATGAATAAATCTAAGACCCTGGGGGCTCCCAGTTACAGATATGAAAAAGTTAAAGTGACCCCCAGCCCTGAGCCCCTGCAGGAGGTGGGGATTAATAATCCCTAATTAGCCCATGCAATTACCACAACAGTCCAGATTTTGAAACTATTATCCTGATTTTACAGATGATGAAACAGATTCAATGACAGTAATTAACCTGCCCAAGGTTATGCAGTTAATAAGCAGCAGAATCAAAATTAAGTCCCGTCTCTCACGCCCTTCCCAAACATTCCAGTCCTCTTTAAATAATCTTTATTCTAAGAGGGAAATTTTCAGAAAATTGAACTTTTACAATCTTTCCATCACACTCTGTGGACGTCAAAGGGATTTCCATGTCAAAATCAGCTCCGATAAAGCTTCAACTGGTCACGTGCAAAAGTTCAATTGTTTCTGCGTATTTTTTTCCACATCTGGAATTCAGCTCTCTTTGCCTTTCCTCCCCAGAAGTCTCCTGCTCTTGTATTGTATAAATATTTCAGACAGTCTGGGTCTGCAGAAGGAAGAGGAACAGAGCCTCCTTCATGTGTTTCCCTGCACAAGTTCTGGGACTCCGTGGAAGGGACGCTGGGGACTTCTCACCAGAGCACACTGCCAGCCAAGAGAACAGTCTCAGTCAGCAATTGATCTGGGCCTCCTGCCCTGTCTCCTGGGGTGGCTCAGAAAGCACTGAGGTAGTCCACTGGGCTGAATCTGAATTGAGGGAGGCTTGCTTACCTGCTAAGGCCCTTTGAGGCTGTTACTTAGAGATGTCGTTTAAAATTCAGTGCTCACTGAGGACTCCATGTGCTGTAGACTCCCAATAAATGTTGCTTATGAATTCAGGAGGAGAAAGTGGCAGCATCCAGGAGGTATTGTCCACAGGAGTCTGATGCAGAGAGCCCTGGGAGGAGCCACGGGGCCATGAGAACGCTCTTCTGACACCGACCTGCCACCTAGCCACCTCTCTATCTAATGGGGCCACAGACCTGGGTGGTTTAAACAACGAACATTTATTTCTCACAGTTCTGGAGGTTGGAAATCCAAGATCAGGGTGCCAGCACGGTTCTAGATAAAGGCCCTCCTCCTGGTTTACAGACAGACATCTTCTTCTTGTATCTTCACATGATAGAGAGAGGAGAGAGAAGAGGCAAGCTCTCTCCTGTCTCTTCTTGCAAGGGTACTAATCCTTTCCATGAGAGCTTCACCTTCATGACCTCATCACCTCCCAAAGGCCCCACCTCCTAAAACCATCACCTTTGGGAGTTAGGGTTTCAGCATGTAGACTGATGGCGGAGGGGCACATTCAGTTCATAGCACCCAATAAGGTCACATTCTGAGGTGCCAGTGGATATGAATTTTGGGGGACACTGTTCCTCCAGTTGCCTGGAGGTACAGGATGGCCGCAGTGGCAAGTCAGGATGCACGTCCTGCCTGACATCCAAGTCTCTTTCCCGACTGTGGAAGAAAGCTCTAGGGTGGTTATTGTGGGTGTTCTACCTCACGCCCTTGGATCCTTTTTCCTGATTGTCTGTCCCTTTGCTTTTCACTGCCTGCATCTAACACTGTGTCTGGAGGATTGCCCTGAGGCCGCTGGAGAGGCTTATACAAAGAACTGGAAGTATCTGAAATCTTAATTCCCAGGATACTGTGCAGCCCTTACAGCACAGCTCCTGGAACTCCCCTATAGAACCAGCTACCCACTGCAGGACCTTACCTGAGATCACTCCCTGGGAGCACTTCCTTAATAAGGCCCTTGAATGGGAATCCCTGTTTCAGGGTCTGTGGGTAGGGTTGCCAGATTTAGTAAATAAAGACACAGTTAACAATGATACATAATAATAAAAATTAAAATTAAATAACAATAAACAAAAGCCTGGTTAAATTTGAATTTTACAGAAGCAACAAGTAATTTTCAGTATAACTATGTCCCATGCAATATTTGGGACATATTTATACTAAAAAATATTTGTGGTTTATCTGAAATTCAAATTTAATTGGACGGCATGTTTTTTGTTGTTGTTTTTGTTGTTGGTTTTTGGCAACTCTACCTCTAGGAAACCTAATTTAAGATGAACTTTACTCTGATTGGACCAACTTAGAGCACTTTTTCCTAAACACAGTGATGTGGCAAGTGGCTTAGGATAAGGATTTGATTAGATCAATCAAGGTCCAACCTTGGATCTGAAGGTGCCGTCAAGTCCACCCAAGCTTTTGCACTGGTTGCTTCACATGAGGAGGGTGGTGTGGATTTGGGGGAGACAACCACATGGTCTGTTACTAAATATAACCAACCACAGTTTATTCATGATACTCAGTAGTTGTCGTCTACAATGTCATGAGAGACACCAAATTAGTGCATACGGAGCCTTTGCCCCTCAGGGAAAATACAGGCTTAGATTCCTTTGAGCCTCTTGGTTACAACGTCTTCGCCAACTAATCAATATATAACCTTGTTCTTTGAGTGCTTCTGTTTAAAGACACTTTATTTAATACATATTGTTGATTCACTGACGTGGAACTCACAGCCAGTGGCACATAACTCATGTGTGAATGAAGCTTACCTAACATATAAATTTTCTCTGTAAGGCATATCACAGCCTTCTTGCACTTAGGAACACCAAACAGCACTTCAGCACTAGGTTTGGGGCAATTTTAAATGGCAAAGCCACCGACAACACACACACACACACACACACACACACACACACACACACACAATGTAGAAAATGTGGCACTAAATAGAGCTGGAACAAGAAAGCAGAGTGCCGCCTTGCTCGGCCCGGCTGGGAAAGGACACATCGGAGGACCCACGTTCTGCCGCCACGCGCATGTTTGCATGTGGCAGGAACAGCACTGTGTGTATGAGTTGGGAGTCACAAAGAGATGTTAGCAAGTAGTCAAACTCACAAGTACGAAATCTGCAAATTCAACCTGTAAAAACCAATTAATGGCTGTATTTGCAGAGCTGCCAGGGCTTGTTTCAAGTATACTCATATTACATTTACCTTTCAGAGAATCTCCTACTGCCAAAACACAGGGGCTAGCTAGCTAAATACAGAACTGAACAAACAGCCTCTTACAAGGAACTCTGTTTGCCTAGCTATCAACATGCAGCCTTTCCTTGCTATGTAACTATAGTAGCTAGTTATGTATTTACAGTGTTAACACAAATGACTTTGTACAAGACACCATATTTGCCTGGCTATTTCGTACCTGTATGACATGAAATTCCTGAATCAGCCCTCTAGCTGCGTAATCTGTAAATAGAGAGCTTGCTTTTTAAAGAAACTAGCAGAGGGAAAGGCCATGCACTAAACCACTTTACAAATTGCTGCTACTGTTTACACAGCCACCTGCTATCACACATCCATGGCCCTGCCATGGGACTGTTTAACCAAGGGTGGTTATTTAAAGTGTTTGGAAGGGATCATCCACCAAAGCCTTTCTTTATCTCTTGAAAGACACTTATCTCTTGCATGGATTGACTGTTTGCCCAAACAATCAAAACATCAAAAAGTTTTTTTTGTTTTTTGTGTTTTTTTGACTGGAGCTGGCAGCCTGTTCTGCGGACAGCTCTCAGCTGTCCATCTATTCTCCCAGGTGCAGGAAGATCGATTGGAAGAATTGCATGGGATGGAGGAGTGTTAGCATGATCTGATATTGTCATGGCAGGCCTCCTACAATATGACACTCACAATGTTTCATTTCCCCAACTTTTTGTTGTAATTAATTTTCTTGTTTTAGAATTAACTTTATTTACCAAAATTATACAGTGTATGCATACAGTTTTTGAATCAACTATTACTAAAAGGCTTATGCAGGAGCCCTGTCAGCCCCTTCCCTGCCAACATACACAAAGCAATGGCTTTTTTGTTTTCTTCAGACAGGTTCTCTCTCTGTTGCCCAGGCTGGAGTGTGGTGATGCGATCATAGCTCGCTGCAGCCTCCAACTCCTGGGCTCAAGCAGTCCTCTCTCCTCAGCCTCCCAAGTAGCTGGACTACTGGTACTCACCACAATATCTGGCAAATTTTTTAAATTTTTAGTAGAGATGGGGTCTCACTATGTTGCCCATGCTCATCTTGAACTCCTGGCCTCAAGTGATCCTCCCGCCTCGGCCTTCCAAGGTGCTAGAATTACAGGCATTAGCCACCACTCCTGGCCCTGGATTTGTTTTTGATTCTTGACTCTTTTAGCTGTTTCTTCTTGTGCTGACCCTTGCTGTGGAGTAATATGTTAATGTCTACTTTATCGATTTATCCATTTTAGCATTACCTATTGATTTCTTGTTAGGATGGCTGAGTTTTTAGCTCTCTTCCACCCTCATCCTCCCCTCCCTCTCTTCCTTTCATGATTCCTCATGATGCCCCCATTGGTTCTCAGAGTGATAGCCACCCAGTGGCATCATGACAAGGCCCTGCATGGCCTGGCCCCTGCCAGCCTCTCCAACTTCCCTCCCATCCAACCATCTCCAGTCACGTTGTCCTTCTTGTAGTTCCTGGGATGCCCTGAGCTCTTTCTACCTGGGGCCTTTGCCCATGCTGTCCCTCTGCCCAGGGGCCCTCATTCCAAGTCCTCCACCCAGGCCACCTGCTCATCTTGCACTCTCAGTCCAGAGGTTACCTCCTCAGGCTGTGCCCATCGTATATTCTCACAATGTGCTATGCATTTCCACAGCATTGATCACAGCTAGGAATTACATATTTATTATACATTTCCATATTAACTATGTATGTTAACAGCTATCTCCTCCATCAAGTCTACTCATGAGGACAGAGATAGTCTCCATTGGCTGGTCATCATTTCCAAGAGCCTAGCACAGTCCCTGACCCCCTAGGTGGTACTTGATACAAGTTTATTAAAAGAATAAAAGAACGTCCCTGGGTGAGTCTCTCAACATCTCTGAGATCCAGGTGTTTCAGAAGGAAAGTGAGGCTGATGACATCCACCTTGCAGGGCTGCCATGAAGCGGGAGGGTCCTGGGCCCGTGTGTGGCCTGCAGTGGGTGCACAGGGGCCCAGCAGGTGCTGCTGGCGGTTGCCCATGGGCAGACCGCACAGGCTGCAGGCGCCCTGCGCTAGGGTCCTGCCTTTCTGCTGCTGAAAGGGTCTGCAGGCCTCTTTGTCTCCATCCCTTGTCTATAAAGCTTCTCACACATGAGTTCTGTCCCTTCATCATTTCCCCATGTCCATCATGGGTGTGGGGCTAGCACAGAAGAGACCCTCAGTGTCTTCGGCGGGGCTCCCCAGAAACAGGCCTGGGACAAGAGCCCCAGAGCAGGGGCTTTCCTGGCATTTCCCCATGAAGAAGCTGGACAAGGAAGGGTGGAAGGGGAGGGGGCCAAGCCAGACTGGAGCTTCAACCTCACCCATGAGGACTCTGGTCATGGGGGACTCTGGAGAGTAAGCAGTGCCTCACACTTGCCTCCCCTACAGCCGAAGAGCTGGGCTTTCCCTCCAACCATCCCTCAAGGGTGGAGGGCAGGGTAGGGAGTCAGTTCCAGGCACTTGATTCTCTGCACCTGGTGCCACCCCCCCCAAAAGAGCTGCAGTTATGAGGGTACACTCGAAAGTACATGGCAGGGCGCACAAAAGGCCTGGATCAAGCATCCTCATCCCCTACACTCAGCAAAGGCTCCTCAACTTTGTTCCAGAATCCAAGATGGGTTCTCCTGACGACAGCAGAGAAACAGCTCTATTGCTGGCATTTCTGCCGGGGTGGCTGGCAGGAAAAAAATCAGCTCTGCTTGGCAGTGAGTCAGCCTGGAGCCCTCTCAACCTCCTGTAGGGACATCTGCCAATTCCACTTGCCCCTGAGGCCCCACCTGGCCTCTGCTGGCTCCCTGGGTCCTGGCAGGTGGGCGGGGAGAAAGGCAGAGAAGCCCAGCCTTCCTCCTACAGCCTGGGAAGTACCCATGGCTGCTTAGGTTGGAGAGACCTTGGCAGGCCCTTCTCTAAGACACAGTGCGGAAAAAAACGATGGAAAATCCTGACTTGGCCAATTAATACGAGCAGCAGGAAAATCCCTAAATTGGTTCCATAACAACCAATCTCTGTTTTTAGGTCCACAGGAAGACAGAAAAAAAAATGGATCCCAGGTGAAGGAAAATTCAAGTGCAACCAAAAGTTCATCAATACTTTTCTGTCTTTCCCTCACCAGGTCCCGGCCAAAGCTGTTAGAACATGCCTGCCTCCCTGGTTAAGCGAGGTAATTTGATCTGGGCAATAATTGTCATAAATATTCATGGTTTTGCCTTAACATTAGGATAACATCTGTTTCCAAACATCTGCAATCTGTTTTCAATGCTTCAGTAAAATGTAAATTAGCTATAACTAATACAATAAAGCACTAATGAGGGCAGTGATAATGAAAGACGCCCATTAGGGCTGGGGTCCAGCTTCATCTCCAATGGCCAGTTTCCTGGAGTTCTCCAGAACTTTGCTTTCTACCACTTCAAACTTCCCCCTAACTGAAAGGGGCTTTGAAAAGCCTGCTCACCTCTTGGTTTGCAAGCATGTCACTAGACAGGGTCTCCTCCGTACCTCATCCTTCTCCAGAGGAGGCACACCAATCTTTCTAGAAGTCAGGGCCACCTGGGCAGGTCCCATGCATGGAACCTTCCACTTCCTGCAGAACGAAGTCCTTTCATTAACTCATTTGTCCTTTAAGGCTGGGTTATTGGCACTGTCCAGATGATGCCTGCAGCACAGTGTGGCTGAGACAAACTGGCCAATTAACAGACAGAGATGAGCAGGGCATTCATTCACAGAAGAAATGCTGATAGTCAAGGATTATTTGAGGAGTTTCACTCTCACTAGTCATATATACATATTTTAAGACAGGGTCTCACTCTGTCGTCCAGATGGGAGTGCAGTGGTGTAATCTCAGCTCACTGCAACCTCACCTCCCAGGCTCAAGTGGTTCTCCTGCCTCAACCTCCTGAGTAGCTGAGATTACAGGGGTGTGCCACTACTGCCTGGCTAATTTTTGTATTTTTAGTACAGACAGGGTTTCACCATGTTGGCCAGGCTGGTCTCGAACTCCTAACCTCAAATGATCCACCCACCTCAGCCTCCCAAAGTGTGGGATCACAGAAGTGAGCCACCGTGCCTGGTGCCTCCCTAGTCATAATTAAAAGACAAATTAAAGCAATGAAGAACAATAAATAATACTATAATTTTAACAGCAGAATAGCTAAATTGCAAAAACAAAAATTCGTGTAAGATGACACTACTCTTATTTGTTAAAAAATGCATACCTATTGGGAAAAATTCTGGAAAAAATATAGATGCACACCAAATTGTTAAGAGTTACCTTTTAGACACAGGATTAGAGAAGATGCCTTTTATTAACTGGATTTGTTACCAGGACTATGTCTTGTTTTTTGTTCGTTTGTTTGTTTCTTTTTAGGCTAGTCAAATGAAGCAGTGGGAGTGGAAAAGGACAAAGAAATCTGTAACTGGCTGTGATCAGTTAGTTGTAAACACCTCTGCCCTTGGACCAGCCTTTATTTTTTTTTAGTGCACCCACTGATTAATTTCAAGAGGGAGCTGGGCGCAGTAGCTCATGCCTGTAATCTCAGCACTTTGGGAGGCCGAGGCGGGTGGATCACCTGAGGTCAGGGGTTTGAGACCAGCCTGGCCAACATGGCAAAACCCCATCTCTACTAACAACACAAAAATTAGCCAGGCGTGGTGGCAGGCACCTGTAATCCCAGCTACTTGGGAGGCTGAGGCAGGAAAATTGCTTGAACCTGGAAGGTGGAGGTTGCAGTGAGCTGAGATCGCGCCACTGCACTCCAGCCTAAGTGACAGAGTGAGACTCTGTCTCAAAAAAAAAAAAAAAAAAAAAATTTCAAGGGGGAAACAGTAACTTTATAGTGGAAAACTCTGGAGGATACCATCTTAACCAAGTTATCAGAATGAACATTACCCTCAGCAGGACAAATGGATGCCCATGCCCCCTTATGAGATGTGCTGAGGAGGACGTACCTCCCTTGTGCGGGGTTCCTGACATCACCTGGATAGAACTCTGGGGAGACATCACTAAGCTCAGATCAGGGAACCTTCTACAAAATAACTGGCCTATACTCTACAAGGGTGAGAATGTCACAAAATGCAAAGACAGGCTGCATAACTCTTCCAGGTTAAAGAATACTACAGAGATGGGATATGTGGTCCTGGATTTGCATTTGCTTTGAGGGACATGATTGGAGCCAGTGGAGAAATCTGAATGAAGTCCACAGATTAGATAATAATATTATATCAATGTTTATTTCCTGATTGTGATCATTGTACCATGATTATGTAAAGGAATATTTTTGTTGTTAGTTGATGTATTTAGTTGTAGTTAGGTAGAGAGAGAGAGAAGGATATGGCAAATGTGGTTAAATGTTAGTATTTGGGGAATTTAGATGAGGCTGTATGAAATTTTTCTTGTTATTCTTGTGACTTTTCTTTAAGCCTGAGATTATGCCAAAATAAAACAAAAAAAAATTTTAGAATCAGCTTAAAAGTGTCCTCCTCCAGGAAGCCCTCCTTGACTCCCTCAGGAAGCCCAGCAGCAGCCTCATGTGCTGTAATTACCAGTTCACTCTTTTGTCTCCCCTTGCAGGCTGTGAGTTCTCTGAGAGGAGGAACTGGGTCTTTTCCATCTCATACCCAGAGTGCTGAGCACGGACAGCCTTTACAAAGCAAGTTTGTTGAATAAATGAAGGAGACCTACCAAGTTTATTCTTCCAGAATGTGGTAAATGTGACAGGCCACTGTGGAAGGGCCTGGGCTGGGTGCAGTTGGGGAGGACTTGGGTGTCACTGCTGCCTGTCACAGTCATTCCTGCTGGGATTTGAATGCAGCCAGGTGGAGGAGCTGTGCCTCTTCTCCAAGATACACACCTGCTCCCTGATGTTACTCAGGGAAGAAAGGGCATAGGAGCCTGACCCTTCTCCAAAGGCTTTTGATGAGGCAAAAACATGCCTGATTGACTAAGGTGGCTGTGCTCAAAGCCAGCTTCCAGGAACTGGCATGAAGCCTCGGAAGGAAACCCACCTTAGGGGAAAGAGGAGCCCAAGGTCTGCGGGTCGGGGGGGTCTGCTGGGGCTGGCCATGGGTCTGTGGGTGATTCTGGAAACTCCCAACCTTCCCATACCTCCTGCCGTAGGTTCTAGGAAAGCAGCTGCTTGAGTATAGACAGAAAGAGTTGAAACGCGTGGAGCCCTGAGTGTAACGCAGACGGAGAGAATATCCACTATGGCTCAGATTAACCAGTGGGCCATACCTGGGACCATGTCATGCCCTTGTCTCAGATAAACTAGTGGGCCACACCTTGGTGCCTGTGTCACCAAGCAGCATGCCTTCCTGCCAGGGGCAGCATCCGCCTGGGAGGCAGGGGCCTCAAACAGAAGAGGAACCTTCTGGAGAAGAGGATAGGATTTCTGCAAGAGAAGTGGAAGGGGCCTGGGGCCGCCACAACAGAGCCTACATGATGAAGCAAGGATGCCGACCTGGCCCAAAGGAGTGTCTGCATACATGGGAAGGCCTGTCTGTCACTAGGCCTGGGGGCCCACAGGTGGCCTCCCCTCCGGCCAGGTGAGGTGATGCTGGGAGGGTCCCTCTAGTAAAGACGAGTTGGGGGTGGAGGCTGGGATGCTGGCTGTGGGGTTTTATCCATAGGATGCTGCTTAAATCATGAGAACAGCAGTCATATAAATCAAAATCCTTTTTAAGTTATTGCACCCTGCCAGGAGTTGGGCAGAGTGACTGTTGTATGGGGGGCCATGGCTCTGCCTGGTCGGGCTCGCAGGACATTTCCAGAGCTGTCTATGGTGGGGATACCAAGGCCATAGGCTCACACTTCTCACACCCTCAGGTGTGTAACCTGCAGTGTGATTGGCTATGACACCCCCACCCCACCAGGTGAGTTGGATTCCAGGAGTCCGGGGGTCTAGGGAGAGAAAGACCCCAGATGACTGCCGAAGGGCAGGTTGGGAGGCAAGTGCAGTTGTGGCAAGCGTGTGCACATGCAGGCGAGTATGTGCCTGCAGCCCCAGAGGGGCCGGCCCTGGGCAGGCTGTGCTTCGCACTCCTCAGGGGTACCCTGGACATCGGCCATCCCACATTTGTATAGTGAGGCCATGAATTGAATTGTGTCCCTCCCAAAACTCCTATGTTGAAGCCCTAACCCCCAATGTGGCAATATTTGGAGATAGCACCTTTAAGGAGGTAATGAAGGTTGAACTAAGTTATAAGGCTGAGGTCCCAATCTGATAGAACTTGTGTCCTTCAAAGAAAAGGAGGAGACATCAGAACATTGATTTGCATTCCACCCCTCTCTTTCTCTGTACACACAGAGGTTAGAACACAGCAAGCAGGTGGCCATCTGCAAGCCAGGAAGGGAGCCCTCACCAGAAACCAACCCTGCTGGCACCTTGATCTTGGACTTCCAGCCTCCAGCACTGTGAGAAAATAAATCTGTGTTGTTTAAGCTTCCCTGTCTGTGGTATTTGTTACAGCAGCCTGAGCCAACCAATACAGTGAATGCTGCAACCTCCCCAAGCAGGTGGTGGTAAAGGACATAGGAAGAGTACTTTTTTTAAATTGGCCCAGACTGTTGCGGCTGGGAGAGAGACTGCCCCATGTGGGTTCCCCCACACAGCTTCAGTACCCAAATGGGAGGCTGGGGTTCCCAACACCCACCCACATCTCTCATACAAGTTAGTATATGCCTTTGATGAGAATGGCATCATCTTAGGTGTAAAGCCCTTGCGCAGTACACAACCAGAACATCTGTATGTGGTGGACTGCCCCATCACCACCACCACCACTAGGGGCTGAGGATGGAGCAAGTGCTTTTTTAGCCTCGGTGTTATGGTAGAGTGCAGCCACAGTCATGCAAGGCTGTCCAACTTGCAAGGCACACTTTCAACCCGACCAGAGCAGGCTCTGGGGAAGCCTCTGGGAGCCTGGGAAAGAGGGCTGAGCAGGAGACCCCAGAAAGGAAGAGGTATAAAGAGAGGCACCTTGGGAAGTGAGGAAGGGAAGAGGGAAGGGGCAGGGGCCAGGAAAGGGGCTTTCTAAGGGACAGCACCCCCAGGCCCCAGGAGTTCCAGGGCAGTGAGAGAGGCTTCCACACTTGCATAGCCCCAAAGAGAAAAGTTTGTAGCTTGGAATAGCCTTGGTTCTGCCACTCACACATTCCTTCCTTTGGGTCCACCAAGCACTGGCTTCTGGAAAAGGCTCAGAAAACACCCCGAACAGGAGGAGGAGGGGTGTACCCCCTGCCCAGGCACAGCAGGGCAGTAGCTGACCAGCCTCAGCTAGGAGCCCTCCCCACAGATGGCCCCATCATTGCCTGACTTCACCTCCCTTGCAGGTGGCTGGAGATACTACTCATGAGACAAGAAAGAAAGGGCGCCCCCTGCCATGCACAAATGCCCACGCCACACAGGCCCCGGTGAAGGAGGCACTGGGACATGGGAGCATCAACCCCCACGCAGGTAAGGATCTCATAGCGTCTGGAAAACAATAGTGCCTGGAAAAATTCGTTGTTCTTAGTGGATTGTTTGGGGAAGCTGTGTGGCATGGGAGCTAGTTTCCAAGGGGAGACTGGAAATACTTTCTTCTTGTCATTCTCTGATGGGAAGAGAGACTCTGTCACCTCCTGGCCAAGTGGGCTTCCTCTGTGTTGTCTTTGGGACAGGCCCCCAGGAGATGCCAGAGCTGCAGGCCCCCATCCCAGCCCTGAGTGTGCCACTGAGGGCTCTTCCAGCTGATTCTGTTACTGGAGGATCTATAGGACCAGACAAAGCCAAGGTCCCAACCGTGGGTGCCCACCTCTGCTTCCAGACCAATGTGGTAATGCACCATGGGCATAGCGGGGCCTCTTTTATGGCCCTGCTGCCAGGCCTGAGAAGTATTCCTGCCCCATAAATATTCTAGTTACACTTTAGAGGGGAGCACTGAGGCCACAGGGAATCCGCAATCCTTTGTCCCGGGACCTCCAAGCTCCACAGAGCTGTTTCTGTAACGTGGCCACCAACTTTCTGTGCCTGGATCTAACCTTTGAACAGTCAGGATTAAAACCAGTGAACACAAAAAGAAAACACCTGCTCAACCCACCAGACAGTGCTGTGGTGAGGGTTGCAGGGACCACAGCACCCAGGATACCAGGATGGACTCGAGGGCTGCCTTCCACCCCGTGGCCGGCCGGGTTTGGGGTGCTTTGTCCTCAGCTCTCTTGGTCGTCAGGCGCCAGGACCTCAGATTCATTCCTGAGTTAAAGGGCTTCCTGTGCGGTGGCTGCCCACTGGCAGAACATCCGGATCTCTGGGGAGCGCCAGGCCACTGGATCTGACTCCCCAGTGCTGGGACGCTGGTGTTCCTACTCTTCCCAAGCCTGGCATGGACAGAGTGGTGGTGCAAGGGCACGCTAGGCCACAGACCCCCTCTGCTCCCGACAGGACAGTGGAGAGCATGCACGCCCGGAGCAGAGTAGGGCTGGCCTCCCTGGCTTTTCATTTTCACCCTGTGGGGAGCTCAGGGCCCCACTGCATGGGGCTGCCTGAGATCCACTCTGCAAAATGGTAACCTAGATCCACCTTTCTGCACTGGAAAGTTCTGCTTCTGACTGTGGACATCCTTTTTCAGGCTCCCATGGGAGCACCGCCAATCGTCTGCAGAAAGTGCAGGGCACACGGGAGGTGGGGGAGACCTGGGCCATCACCCTATTACTCCTCCCACTGTCCTCGCCCTGACAGCTCTGCCAGGGGTTTCTGCTCTGACCCTGACACTGGGGAGCCTGTGGGTGGAGGGCATTGGCCAGCCACATTCTTCTAGGGCACAGCTGTAGTGAGGGTCCGCACCAGTGGGGGGCTGCTGAGCACACACATGTGAGGTGGAGCCTGGTTTTGGCCCTGGTGGCTGACTGAGGAGGGGCTAGTTCCTGAACGTCCTGTGCCCTGCTTTCCTCACAGGCTTACGTGAGTTTGGGTCTACCAAGGTGCCCAGCACAGTCCCTGGCACATTCAGGAACCTCCACAACCTTCTTTTCTGCCCCTTATCTCATCTCCTTCTCTGGTCTAGATTCCCCAACGCAACCCAAATAAGGATAGTGTTGAGTCAGTTGTGTTTGAAATTTTAACTGATTTAAATCGTTGTTAAAACTTTTACTCACTAAGGATAGTTGTTAAAATGGCAGAAGGATGTGGTTAAGTGCTGGTCATCATAGGCATGACTGAAACTGGCACGATTTTCAACAAGCCAGATGCCCACAGAACTAAAGCTTGAGAAACTTATGCACCCACTGCCTGTTAACCAATGCCTCTTCCCGGCTGCTCCCTCATTCCTATTTTCCTGCTTGTGGTTACGGTGAGATGCTAGGCTCCTCATTTGACCACCTGTTGCCTATTGACCAACTCCTCCTCCTTGGTCCTCCAGTTTTCCTTCCAGCTATATAAACCCTTCACTTTATTTTTTTAATTAATCTTTTTTGAGACAAAGTCTTGCTCTGTTGCCCAGGCTGCAGTGCAGTGATGTGGTCTCAGCTCACTGCAACCTCCGCCTCCCAGTTCAAGCAATTCTCCTGCCTCAGCCTCCCGAGTAGCTGGGATTACAGGCATGAGCCACCACGCCCGGCTAATATTTTGTATTTTTAGTAGAGATGGGGTTTCACCATGTTGGCCAGGCTGGTCTCAAATACCTGACCTCAAGTAATCCTCCCACCTCGGCCTCCCAAAGTGCTGGGATTACAGAAACCCTTAACTTTATTGGAGGGGAGGGACGATTTGAGGCTTGTCTTCCGTCTCTCTGGCTGCATCACCTGAATAAAGCCTTCTTTGGCCATACTCCCAGTGATTGGCTTTCTGTGTGGTGAGCTACAGGACCACAATCAAAGCCCTGACATTCGGTAACATTACCAGCATGTCAAGTGGTGCATAGGCCTAAGTCAGCCACGTTACCTACCTGACCCATAATGTCAGCCATTGTTTCTCTCCAGGTACAGGGTGGTGGGAATCTTGGTTCACTGTTCAGGCTATGAAAGAAACATAGCTGGACTCTCCTGTATCTAAACTCAACTTCCGTTTAGGGCCTCTACTCCACTGTGGTCATTTCAGTTTATGCAGAATCCCCCAGCTTTTTCCTGGGAACACGAAGCCGCCACAGGCCCACTCTGGCCTTGGCAGGGACACCCTCACTCTGGCTGCTGTTGGTTTGCTGGCCTGGCCTCTATCCAGCCCCTTCAAATCCCTTCTCCAATGCCACCTTGTCACCAGGGACCGGGAAACCCCCTGGGCTCACCCAAGGCTCGCTTGCCCCTGTGACCTCCTGAGTGGCTACTTCTTTCCTAGGCCTTGCCACCTCCCTGGAGCTCTGCCCAGGACCGGGGGCCATGGTGGTCTCTGGCTCTGATGGCCAAACATTTCCAATTATCCCTCCAGGCTCAGAGCACCATGGCTGAACCCCCTAAGAGTTCACTGTGGCCTGTGACTTGCTCTGGCCAGTGAAAAGAAACAAGTGACAAGGGGCATCTCTTGGCAGAGGCTTTGGAAGCCAGAGTGTGGTTTCTTTTGCCATGGCGATCAGTGTGAAGCTTTAGGTGGCGCCTGCTCTGTCAGCTGGGCTCCTGGAGTGAGGAGACAGCGTGGGGCCCTGCTGATTCACAATGGATGTGGAGTGACAGTGAGAAATTCACCTTACTTTGTTAAGCTGCTGCAAGGTGGGGTTGTTGGTTACTGCAGCCGAGTCTACCACCCTGACTGCTACAGAGACACGAGTTTCTTCTACTCTTGACCTTCCAGATCAACCTGAGGTCCAATATGCCCCATTGCTCAGCCAAGAAGCAGCAGAGTGGGAGACCCTCTTCTCGGGACACCTGCCCTCCCAACCAGGGGGAGTTTTCTTTGATGCAGGCCTGCCTCTTGCCATCAGTTTTCCATTCCTAGCCTGTTGTCCATTCGCTCAAGCCTGGGCTTCCAACACTTGAAAGGCAATAAATGACTCCACTTCTTCTACTGTCCTGCTGTCCTTCTCTGAGACAACTTCTGAAGGCTGACTGGGGCAGGGGAGGAAGAGAAATGCCAGGGGTAGCATGGGATGGAGAATGGGGAGTGGCTGGCTGGATAATAGCCCCCGAAGGATGACCATGTCCTGGGGCCTAATCCCCAGGACCTATGAATGTTACCTTACATGTCAAAAGGAACTTTTCAGATGTGACTTAATTAAGGATTTTGGCTGGGCACGGAGGCTGACACCTGTAATCCCAGCACTTTGGGAAGCCAAGGTAGGAGGATTGCTTGAGGCTAGGAGTTCGAGACCAACCTGGGCAACACAGTGAGACCTTGTTGCTGCCAAAAAATAAAAATAAAAAAAAAATTCACCATGCATGGTGCTATGCGCCTGTGGGCCCAGCCGCTGGGGAGGCTGAGGCAGGAGGATGGCTCAAGCCCAAGAGGTTGAAGCTGCAGTGAGCTGTGATGGCGCCACTGCACTCCAGCCTGGGCAACAGAGTGAGACCCTGTCTCAAAAAACAGAAAGAAAGAAAAGAAAAGAAAAAGAAAGAGAGGAAGGAAGGAAGGAAGGAAAGAAAGAAAAAGAAAAGAAAGAAAAGAAAGAAAGAGAGGGAGGGAAGGAAGGGAGAGAGAAAGAAAAGGAGAGAGAAAGAAAGGGAAAGAGAAAGAAAGAGAAAGAAAGAAAGAGAAAGAAAGAAAGAAAGAAAGAAAGAAAGAAAGAAAGAAAGAAAGGAAGAAAGAAAGAAATATATTTTTAATTAAGGAGTTTGAGATGGGAGATTATTCTAAATTACCACGCATCAGTGCATCATGCGGTCCAACCACGGGGGAGGTAGCAGGCAGGGTAAGAGAAGATGTGACGACGGGGCGGAGGTCACAGTGATGGGCTTTAAGGACGCACACAGAGACCACAGGCGAGGAATGCAGACCACCAGTGGGATGTGGAGAAGGCCAGAGAATGGATTCTCTTGCAGAGCCTCCAGAGGGAACACAGCCCTGCAGACGCCTTGCGCTCAGCCAAGTGAGATCCTTGTTGGCTTCTCACCTACAGAGCAGTAAGAGAATCCAATTGTGCTGGTTAAGCTGCCAAGTTTGTGGTCATTTGTGACAGCAGCAGTAGGAAACTGGCACTCTTAGTGACTAATTAAAGAGTTCACCTGTCACATCTGCAGGCCACCAGGGTGTGGCCTAATGTGAATCTTTTGTCCCCTCCCATTGCTGATGTCATACAGGTTTGACTGTGGGTCCCCCAGACTCTGCTCCTGCTATGCTCCAACCTCACTCTTCCCTGATTTCTCCTCCTGGCATTCCAGGCTCCTGGACCCCAGTATCTTCTTCAGACTGAGGATTTGACTTCTGCTTGGTCTCCTAGGGTGAGCCCTTGCCCCTGCATCTCTTTTAGTTCTAACACACCAGCCACTTCAGAGAAGCCCCTGACACCCCTGCCTTAGGAGTCCTGCTCCCTCTTCAGGTGGCTCTGCCGGTCTCTGCTGCTTTCTCTCCAGGCCCTACCAGATCCAGCCTCGAGCACAGCTGGGGAGTCAGGGTGCCTGGCCTCACCTTTCTGGACACCCCTCAGAGTGCACTGTCCAGTGTGCTAGCTACTACCCCATGAGACTAGGATGAGACTAAGTAAATTTAAATTTAAATTAATGAAAAGTAAACATTCGGTTACCCGGTCATACTAGCCATATGTCCAGTGCTTAGCAGCCACATAGGGCTAGTGACAACTGTATTGGATGACACTGACATGAACATTTCCATCATTGCAGAAAGTTCCATCAGACAGCTGTGCTCTAAGGCATTCTTCCATCCTTTGAATGCCCTTACAGCCCTGCCCAGCTTAGAGAAAGGAGCTCCTATGTGGAGTTCCACGTGGGTGTGAGGAGGCTGTAATCCTTGCATTCTCTCTCCTTGGAGCACGTCATGTATTTTATGCCTCCTCTCTGTCTAGGGAATGGCTATTTCTGGCCCATAACAAAGAAAGGGTCGTCAGCAGGACACAGCCATGAGCCTCGGCGTTTATTCCTTCCTCTCTGGAGTGCCTTCCCCTACTACAGAGATTTGAAAGCTTGAACTACATTTCCCACAGCCCTTTGCAGTCAGGGTCCTGGTTACAAAATCAGTTCTGTAAGAGAAGCACTTACATGACGTTAGAAGACAGAAGGCAAACAGGAAAGACCAGTGTCCAGCCTCCTGCTCCAGTCGCAGCAGTGGCTGGATTCAGCATCCCCATGGCCAGCCATCAGCTTTCTGTGTCAAAAGGCAGCTGTCTCTACGACTGAGGATTTAGGCCCACGGGCACTGGCAGCTCCCTAATCCCATCTTCCCGATTCCCTGGGTCACAGCTATGACAACGTGTTCCTGGAGTTAATTTCCTGTTCCTTGGTATTCTGGTAGTCATTCCTGGAGACCCAGACTGGAATTGAGCCATCAGCCTCTTCAGATGATTTTGTAAATCTTTAAGTGCCTGTATTAAATCCCTTCCTGCTTAAAGTACCTGGCATGGTTTCTGTTCCCTACACTCAACCTGGACTAGCAAGGAGTCAGTAACAGCTGGAGCAGGTAAATCCTAAATCAGAGCTACTGTCTGGGCATCTCTAAAATATAAATTGCCCCAAGGTCTAAGCGACTTGTCCTGGAAGTAGACGTTTTCGACCTCGATCACCACTGTCCTACAGAGCTGGACCAAGTGATACCTGCCTTCATTTTATGTGATGGTCTTTATACACCAGCTGTTCAGAATTCTTGAACCCCAGAATAAAGGGTTTAAGGAGCCCAGGTAATTTCAAATGCCACAGCTAACTAAAACAATAGCTTTTTATTAAGGCTGGCTTAAAAAAAAAATTGAGTTACAAGGTGAAATGTTATGTCCAAAGTGTGGCTGAACTGTCAAAGGTACACAAAATCAGCCACATGAAATTACAAAACACAAGCTGTTTTGTTCTGTGGAAGTGAAAAAAGGAAATTTTTTCATCAAGCTAGGAAAATGACAAAAATAACAGCACTAAGAACGCCACAGCAATAAGACTGTGAGTGTCATGGTCCCAAGCGTCTCCTGCCACCTCCACTCAGCCACATCCTGCTGTCCTGTCCTCAAAGTCAAGCGCTCGGGTTAATATGCGCATAGCATTGCTTCTCTTCATTCACGTGCACCTTACTCTCCACTCGTGATTCAATAATTCCAGCACAGCAAACTGTGGCTTCTTCCCAAGGAGTAGCAATTATTTGATATTATATCCCAAGAAGCTCATTTTTATCTCCTTGGCAATCTTCTCATAGCAAAGACTTGCCAAGAACAGAGCCTGTGCCCATCTGTCTCTCTCACTTGTTTACTAAATATTTATTGAGCACTGTTATGGGTTGAATGTTGTCCTTCCTTCAAAAAAGATATGTTGTAGTCCTAACCTAACAATACCTTAGAATGGGACCTTATTTGGAAATAGGGTCATTGCAGATATAATTAGTTAAGATGCGGCCATAATCTTAAGGTGGGCCCTTAATACAGTATGACCGGTGTCCTTATAAGAAGATCGCCATGCAAAGACAGGCACACAGGGAGAATGCCAGACAAATATGTAGGCAGAGATTGAGTGATGCCACTGTGAGCCAAAGAAGGCCAAAGATTGCTGGCCACACCAGAAGCTGGAAGAGGCAAGGAAGGATTCCCCCAAAGGTTTCAGAGGGAGTGGGGCCCTGCAGCCACCTTGATTTCAGACCTTTTTGCTTCCAGAACTGTAATAGAGTACATTTCTATTGTTTTAAGCCACCTAGTTGTTGGCACTTTCTTACAGCAGCCCTAGGAACTAACACAGGCACCGACTGCACCAAGCAGGATTCTGGAAGCTGAGGTTACAGTGGAGAAGGAAACAGGTATGTCCCTATCTGAAAAGTTCACAGCCTCCGCCAGCATACCCACCCCTCTCAGATGTCCTTCCCCCATCGTCCTGCAGCCTCCTTTCTCAACCTCTGGGGAATGACTGGGCTGGCGTTATCAGTGCCTCTGGGTTACGAAACCAACGAACAAACTAACCAATCGTGGCCAGCCAGCACTGTTGATTTGGGACCTTGGCCGCAGCGCCTGGCTCTTTAGCTAAGAGCATGATATTTTAGTTATGCTTTGATTCTAACCGAGGCAGCTAATTTTATATATGGGGAAACTGAGGCGTGGGGAACTGAAGAGATGCCCAAGATTGGGGTAGTTCATGCTAGAACCAGATCTAGTGCTGAAGTCCACAGATGTCCAGTCTCCATGTCCTGCCCTCTGAGGCCCAGCTAGAGCCAAAAGCAAAACCTCCCTCTTCCCAGGGAGCATTGGTCCTGGGTCAGTGGCTCAGTCTCCGGGGGACCCCTCTCTCAGAGCTGTGTCTCACCTGTGACAAGCCCCTCCTCGTTTCCATGTCCCCCACCCTGTCCCCACTGGCCCATGCAGCAGCTCCAAATGCATTGGTTTTCCCTGATCACTCACTCTGGGACTTCCATATGCTGAGCCAGGCCAGTCCCACCGGATGTGAGAGCTTGGGGGCTGGGCTCACAGGCCTATGTCAGGCACAGCACACAGTTGCACACTTGGGTGACGAGTGCCTTTGTTTATGCCTCCTCGAACCTGGTATGAACACCTGCATACAATACGTCAGTGTTTCCTGGCCAGGATGAGGTCACAGGCCCTGTAAAAATCTCATGAAGTTATAAATCCTCCCTTATAAAACTTACCATTCAGACTTACACAGAAAACTTTAAATAATTCTTCAGGGGGCTCATGGGCCACCAAAGCCTGTCTGTGTCCTGAGAGGCCCATAGACTCCAGATTAAAACTGCAGGCAAAAGGTACACAGGTTTGTGCATATAGATGCAAGCAAAACCTGCCAAAAGCTACATTAGTGTGTAAATGGTGTGGCATGCATTTCACGTGATTTATTTTGTTTGAATACCTGATGTCAAATATATGTAAGGTGATGTAAGTTGAGTGGAGTGGAAGAACACAGACTTTGGAGTTCCACAGATCTCTGTTAAATTTCTACTTTGCTACTATCCTAGCTGCATGACTTTGGGTATGAAGCTGCATGAATTTGCTTCTCAGCCTCAGTATCTTCATGCGTAAAATGTGGATATGCATGAAGCTATGAATAGAAAATATCTAGTAAAAGGGTAGCCGGCACTTCGAAATTTGACTAAAAAATTATTATATAGCAATCCCTTTTCTCCCTCTTTATCGTTTCCTGTCTATATATAATATGCCATGTCTATCTTAAAAGATGTTTATCCAAATGTTACTAGTGCAGGGGCTTGGATAGATGATTTAATGTATTTTTTTGTATTCAACAGATAACATTTATTCTTTTGGTATACAAAAGAAAACAACAAATTTTTAAAAAAATTAAATGCCTACTACAGTATTTTTTACAGAATAGTTGACCAATAAGTAACACTTACTGATACCTTTATGTATAACATAAAATATATTCCATATCACATATAATACAGCATTACAGAATCACTGGTGTTCATCTGATATAATTTGGATGTTTGTCCCCTCCAGATTTCATGCTGAGATGTCATCCTCGGTGTTGGAGATGGAACCTGGTGGGAGGTGTTTTGGTCTTGGGGGTGGATCTCTCAGGGCTTGTTGCTGTCCTTGAGATAGTGAGTGAGTTCTCGGGAGACCCTGTTGTTTAAAGTGTGTGGAACCTCCCCCACCCACTCTCTTGCTCCTGCTCTGGTCATGTGACCTGCCTGCTCCCACTTCACCTTCCTCCATGAGCAAAAGCTCCCTGAGGCCTCCCCAGAAGCCAAGCACATGCCGGCACTGTACTTCCTGTACAGCCTGCAGAAGCATGAGCCAATTAGACCTCTTTTCTTTATAAATGACCCAGCCTCAGGTATTTCTTTATGGCAGTACAAGAACAGCCTAACATACCACCCATCCCTAAAGCATCTGTGGAGTACCTATGACATGCATAGGCCATGACATAGGTGACCTACGACACCCAGGGGCCAGGGATTGCAGAGAGGAAGAGACTTGGCTTGTGCCCTCTGGAGGCTGATCCTGAGTGGGGAGTGGAGGCATTGTACCATTTCAGCTGGTCAAAGTTTTGAGGGGAGTTTTCCAAGGAGGAGATGAAATGGTAGAGGAGCTCCCGTGGGGAGAAGGTGCCAAGGGGACTTGGGGAACGGAGAGGGGCCAGGAGCTAGCAAAACCATCCAACTTGGAGACACAATGGATTGTGGGGAAGGGTGGCAGATGGCCATGAGTGTCAGGCCAATGCATTTAGACTTCACGTGGTGGAAGACAGGCGTCCCTGTGCTGCCTCTTGAGCAAGGAAGTGGCCTGATCAGAGTTTCAGTTTATGTTTTCAATTAGGACCAAGTAGCAGAAACTGGACTGCAGGGCCTCAACTAAATAGGGATTTTATTGTTTGTTTGTTTCACAGACCATGGAATCTGTGAAAGGAGGTAGAAAGTCCAGATCTGGCCGGGCACAGTGGCTCATGCCTGTAATACCAGCACTTTGGGAGGCTGAGGTGGGTGCATCACCTGAGGTCAGGAGTTCAAGACCAGCCTGGCCAATATGGCAAAACCCTGTCTCTACTAAAAATACAAAAATTAGCCGGGTGTGGTGCATGCATTGTAGTCCCAGCTACTCGGGAGGCTGAGACAGGAGAATTGGTTGAACCCTGGAGGGAGAGGTTGCAGTAAGCCAAGATCGTGCCACTATACTCCAGCCTGGTTGACAGAGCAAGACTCTGTCTCAAAAAAAAAAAAAAAAAAAAAAAAAAGAATGAATAAATATGCAAGATCCTCCAAAGGGAGGACTCTTTGTGGATTCCATGATGTTCACAGGGAGGGGTCTGTTTATGATGAGTAACCCAGGCAAGAAATGCCTTTGGCCCTTCCAAGTGCTCCAGATATTGAGATGGGGCCCCATCCCATCCAGTCCTGGGTCGGGGAGTTAGGGGGTCTGTACACATCTGGAATTGGGAATGAGGTAGTGCTCTGCACTGGCTGCTGGCAAGGATGCCCACGGACTGGAGGAAGGAGGTCCAGGCATCTGGATTTTCCATCAGGAAAGGCCAGGTTATGCTGCAATAACAAACAACCCCATTATGTCGGTGGCTTACAACATCAAGGGTTTGTTTCTTATTGCATCCGCTCCTGAGTCACTTGGGAACCCAAGCTGATAAAGAAGCCACCGTCTCCAACATCACTGCTCATGGTGGCAGATGGAAAGAGAGACTGAGAGTGAGGGAGGGGTCTCCCATCAGCAAATAAGGGTTCCAGCCCGAAGTGACACACCCGACTCCCACAGACAGCTCAGTGGCAGAATGGTTTGTATGGACCAGCCCAACCACTAACAGCTTCAGTGACACAGAGTCATTGTAAGCGAAGGTCTGAAGCCAGGGTGCTTGAGGGACCTAGCTAGAGAAAACTGGAAGCTTCTGAAATTGTGTCTGTCAATATGAAACTCTCACCTCCCGCAGCAGCAGGCAGTTGTGCACCCCACTCCTACCTGGCCGTGGCTTCCTGGGGCCTGGGGAGGGTTCCCTGGGGTCATCCCACAGCAGATCTCTCTCTCAGGCTGAGGAAGGGATGCTGAGACATGGATCCTGGGAAAACTATTTTTCCTATACAGGGCCCAGTGATTTCACTACAAGAGGTAGGTCTGAGACAACTGAAAATAGACATCCACCAGAACCAGACATCCATAGCAGCACTATTCATAATAGTCAAAAGGTGGAAATGATCGAAATGTCCACCAACAGACAAATGGAGAAGTAAAATGTGTTTTATCCATACAATGTTCAGCCATAAAAAGGAACCAACATGTTACATGTGATGAACCTTGAAAACATGGTGCTGACTGAAGGAAGCCACTCACAAAAGGGTGCATGCCATATGCCCTGCTCACATGAGTATCCATGCCAGGGGAAGCTAGAGAGATGGAAAGTAGGTTAGTGGTTGTCAGAGGCAGGGGGTTGGGGGAGAAAGGCTCCATAGAGGCGATAGTTAAAGGGTATAGGGGTTCTTTTTGAAACGAAGAAAACCTTCTCAAATTTGCTGTGGTGATAGTTGCACGTAGCTGTGCGTACACTAAAAACCATGGAGTTGTACATTTTAAAGGGATGAATTGCTTGGTGTGTGAATTACATCTCAGTAAAGGCCCTTGCTACTGTCTGGCAGGGGAGCAGCTGCTCTGTCCTATAAGGTGGCGTAAGTATGGAGAACAGGCCCAGACTCTTCCTAACAGCCCACGGGAGCCAGCAGGAGCCAGCAGGAGGCCAGTGGGGATGGAGAGAGGATGGCACAAAGGGACGGCAAGGTCCGGCAGGGGTTGGGAACACTGAGGCAGCCGCAGACTCTACAAGGTCTCCAGGTCCAGGTGAGATCCAGAGGCAGCCAGATGCCTGACTGAGCCCTGCTCCCACCTACCTCAACTGTGCTCCCATTGCCTGACAGCCATTCATTCATTCATTTGTTCATAAATTTGCCCATTCATTCAGTGATTTATTCACCTAGCAAATATCCATTTGATGTCTACTTTGTGCTTCCAAGATTTTCATTCACCATCCACGTAACTGTCCTCTCATGATTCTGTACACTCATTTCTCAGGTATTTAATGAGCATCTACTATGCACCACACACTGCAGTAGGTGCTGGGGTGCAGGTGGACAGCACAGACAAGAATCTCTGCCTGCTCAGCAATGGACACCTTAAAGGAAAAACATTCAAGTATCTTACATTGCAGTTATTATGTTTTTAAAATAGGGGAGCACCAAACAAGACATAAATTTTTTCTTACGGAATTATATAGCCCAGATGAGTTTACAAATGTAATCAAGTACAACCGTAAAATCAATGAAAATGTCAGTGTTCTGTGCCTATGTTCTGTCTTGCAGAGCGTGGACCCTCTGAAGTCAGTCCTTCCTCCACAGTTTCTGTCTGAAATCCTGCTCCACGTTGTGTTCGGCTTTCACGTGGCACACGCCTCTCCTTGCTGGACACGCCAGCCAGGCTTTGTCATTTCATCCTATCTTTTTTGTCAGCTCATGACAGTAACAGCAGTGTCACTCCAAAACAACCTTGGCATTCACACCAGCACCTATCTGGGCACCAAAATCTCGAGGTGACACTTGGCTTTGAGGCCAGCCTCCCACATCTTTCAGAGCATGCTCCATGAGTGACCTGAATCTGCCTGCTGACATCCTCAGGTGGAATATGCCACCAGGGTCCCTTCTCCAGCCCCACCACACTGCGGCCCACTCCTTCCAGGCACCCCGGAACACTGTCCGACAGCGCCGACCCACAGGATGTTCCAGGACCATGGAAGTGCTTTATGTCTGTGCTGTCTAATACAGGAGTTATTGAACATTAGAAATGTTGTTAGTGGGCTGGGGAACTGAACTTTTAATTGCATTTAGTTGTAGTTAATTTAAGTGTAAATCATCACTTGTGGCTCGTGGCTACCTTACTGGGTAGCTCTGGCTAGCTCTACGGGATCTAGGTCAGCCTTCTTAAAAAGATGGAAGAGGTTGGGTGTGATGGCTCACACCTGTAATCCCAGCACTTTGGGAGGCCGAGACAGGAGGATCACGAGGTCAGGAGTTCGAGACCAGCCTGGCCAACATGGAGAAACCCTGTCTCTAATAAAAATACAAAAATGAGCTGGGCGTGATGGTGGGTGCCTGTAATCCCAGTTACTTGGGAGGCTGAGGCAGAGAATTGCTTGAAACCGGGAGGCAGAGGTTGCAGTGAACCGAGATTGCGCCACTGCACTCCAGCCTGATGACAGAGGGAGACTCCATCTCAAAAAAAAAAAAAAAAAAAAAAAGAATCTCTTCAGCAAAATGAGTTCTTAATCATTTATACTGTTTTGTTTTGTTTTGTTTGAAGCCACGATTTATTCAGCACCCACCCTGTGCCAATCACTGTACAGGGTGCTGGGACCTGGGGATGACTAAGAGGATTTCTGCCTAAGTTCCTGGTTGGAATACTTACAGGGACTGACTCTCCCGGCCAAGGAGGGGTGGGGAACAGGAGGCCCGGAGCCAAGCCATGACCCTGGGTGGGTGCTGGCTTCCTTAGGTGGGTGCAGGGAGAAGGTGTCTGCTCGGGTCCAGAAGCACGCACATGTGAAACCACAGGGTGGGCTTAAGCAGCACGAAGGAGAGTGGAGGAGCCCGGTATGGCTGAGGCCAGGGAGGGTCTGGCAGCAGGATGAGGGTGGCAGGAGGCAGCCCCTGGAGGGCCCAAAACCCTGATTCTGTTTGGCTCCTGAGGAGCTTGGTCACTGTCCTATGGTGGCATGGAGTCCCGGAGTGTATGTGGAGGGCAAATGGGCAAGGTAGGAGGTTGTGGGTACCAGGCTGAGCACAGGAGAGAGGCCCGGGCTGGGACCGATCTGGGTGCCAACAGCGGGCATGGCAGAGCGGAGGGCAGTCGACGCAACAGGGGCTCCTGACAGATAACTGCCTGGCAGACGCGCCTCCCCGCAGCAGAGGAAAGGAGAGACAGAACCTCAGTGGTGTCAGAGGAGGACATGCAAGGCTGGAATGAGGCCCCTCCATGGTCGTGGAACTCTTGGGCCCCGACACCCCTATGGGCAGCCTTTGCTTGTTAGGCAGGGGCCTTGGGAGGAGGCGCAGACCCAGCTTCGGGGATGGGATCAGGCCCAGAAGAAACAGATGCCCACCTTCCCAGGCCTGTTTTTCATTCTGGTGCCACCATAAATTGCCTGGAGCAGCCCCCGCCCTCCCCCGGCCCCTGTTTTGCAGTCGGGGAGTATCAGTCATGATAAGACATTACTTAAAGCAGTGGTGACAGGGCCTAATCAGTCTTGTGAAATATAGACTTCTCCCCACACTGCGGGCAGGGCCAACATTAATACACATTTATGCAAAGCAAGAGCTGTAGCTGTCGGGTGCTAATCTTTACAAGTATGATAAATGATGTTTATTTTCAGTGATGGAACGAAACACCCCAGCCGACAGTAATTGTAATAAAAAGGACAGATCAACTTCTATAAAGTGATTGAATTACCCAACGATTACATTAATGTCCACACTCTGGTGTGTCACCAGCTTCCTCGAGGTTCTGAGGACAACGTGCAGGACAATTTCCCCTTCAAGTCACCACCTGCCCTTCACCCACCTGGGCTCCTGGGGCAGAGGTGGCTGCAGCTGGGAGTGATGCCATTGGTGGCCTCCAGACCAGACTGTTTTCATCTTGTGTGGAAGGAACCTAGGCTGGGCGGCTGGAAGTGGCCGGGCAGTAGGTGGGAGGGCTGGGGGGCGGCAGAGGGGGACCCTGCCTCGACCAGCCTTTTGGAACAGAAAATACATTCTTATGTCTAATTCTCCCCATAATGCTGAAGGCTAGCAGCTATTATTATACTCTTTTTGCAGGTCAGGAAGTGGAGGCTCAGGAAGGTTAAGTGGCTTGGCCAAGGTCACACAGCTAGTGTGTGTCCAAAGTCCAAAATGAGATTCCCTCCCGGAAGCATTTAATAGGGTGCTATGGAAGTGCCTGAGGGGACCCCTGGCTCCCAGCTCTTTCTCTGATGGTGACCAGGTGCCTGCCCAGCCCTGACAGTGGCCTGGAGGACCTGAGTACCAAGTGCCTCACTGTGGAGGCCTGCAGAGGTCTGGGTACCAGAAGGCCTGGACCAGAGACTCTGGGCATCCCCTTCCAACACCGCAGGCCAGCACAGTGTGCCGGGGGAAGTGCCTGGCCTTGGCAGGCTGATGGGCCTGGGTCTGAGTCTGTCTCTTGAGCCATTGGTCTCCTTATCTGTAAACTCAGGGTCAGAGAAGCAACTATCTCACAGAGGTGATGGCTGATCAGTGAGGGTTGGGGGGGTCCCTGCGAATCTCAGCTGGGTCCTCCCCAGGGTCAGACAGCTCTGGGAGGTGCAGTGGCCTTGTGGAGGTGGGGGGTGCCAGTGGGCCTGAACTAAGGGGATGACACTGGGAACTATAATATGATCCCCACAGAAACCAGAGGGATCTTCTTAGAAAGTAAATGGGCTCTTGTCGCTCACTCGCCTAAAGCCGAAAGCCTTCCAATGTCTCCTATCGTGTTCAGGATAAAATCCCAGCTTCTTAACCACACAAGTTTGTCCCAGTGTGTGTGCAACTTTGTTGAAGCTATGAAAATGGCAAATAATGGCTTCTATTTGTAGAGCCTCATTCTGGGTACTCCTCACTGCAGCCCTTTCCAGATGGGGGAACTGATACTTGGAGAGATAGAGACTTGCCCAGGGACAGACAGCTAGTTAGTGACAGAGCCAGGCTTCAAGCCCAGAGCAGGGCTCTAAAGCTGTTGGTCCCTCTGACCCCTGACACCTTTCCCCGGACCCCCTGCTGGCTAATTTGGCTTTGTGGGGGAAAGAGTGTCCACTCTGAACTAACAAGTGGTCTGACCCAAGGGAACATTTTTAAAATGACTCATTTTTACTACATTTAAGCTTAAATCACAACACATCCAAAATGTTTCTGAGCAGAGCCCTGCGAGGTACTGTGCTGGATGTGAATCTGCAGGTCCGGATGCTCTGTCATGAGCTGCACCCGTAGGTGAGCTCGGCAGGTGTCTGAGGTGTGTGGATGGAGGTGGTGGGGTGGACAGTGCACGCTAGGGGAGAGAAAGGGCCCTCCTGGCGCTTCAGTTCTGGTATTGTAGGGTGGTGGTTCCCAAGCTTGAGCGTGCATCAGAATCACCCGGAGGGCTGGTGAAAACACAGATTCGTGTGGTCTATACAACCCATAGACTATTATTCAGCCACACAAACGACTCCAGTGCTGATGCGGCTCCAACATGAGTGAACCCCAAAAACATGATGCTAAGAGAAAGAAGCCAGGCACAAAGGGCCACACAGTGCGTGATTCCATCTATAGGAAATGTCCAGAATAGGCAAATCCACACAGACAGCAAGCAGACTGCTGATTGTAGGGGGCTGGGGGTAGGGACCTGGGGAAGCCCCACTTAATAGGGATGGGTTTTCTTTTGGGGTGAGAATACTGTTTAGGTGCTAGAAAGCTGGTGGTTGTACAACATTGTGAGTTCACTAAATGGCACTGAATTGAACAATTTAAAATTGTTAATTTTATGTTATATGAATTTCACCTCAATTTTTTTTTTTTTTTTTTGAGATGGAGTTTCACTCTTGTTGCCCAGGTTGGAGTGCAATGATGTGATCTTGGTTCACTGCAACCTCCACCTCCCGGGTTCAAGCGATTCTCCTGCCTCAGCCTCCCAAGTAGCTGGGATTACAGACATGTGCCACCATGCCCGGCTAATTTTGCATTTTTAGTAGAGATGGGTTTTCTCCATGTTGGTCAGGCTGGTCTCCAACTCCTGACTGCAGGTGATCCTGAGGCCCACCTCGGCCTCTCAAAGTGCTGGGATTACAGGTGTGAGCCACCGCACCCGGCCAACTCGCCTCAATTTTTTAAAAAGCAAAACAAAACAAAACAATGAGAAAGTCCCACAGCTTGTTGGGCTCACCCCGAGCCTTGGATTTGGAATTCAAGTTTCTAACCAGTTCTTAGGTGCTGCTGCTGCTGCTGGTCCCGTGAACACACTTCAAGAACTCCCTAGGAGGTAACCAGAACCCCTGGGAGGCCCCGCCGGGATCAAGCCCAGGCTGGAGCCATCTGCCAGCGGGAGGCTGCAGGAGGGCTCTGGGACAGTATATTCGCGGGGAGGGGGTCGGCCACAGCCTCACATTCATACTTTTTGGCTATGTTTATTCCCCTTTCAAGTCCTCATTCCATGTTTCTGTTCATAGTTTGTTACTTATTTTGAATATCCTTCATATTTTGGCTTAAAAAGGGCCATCTCTTATGGAAGTGTTTTTTAAACAGGGTTGCTTGTTTTCAGAGCTGGTTTAGGATGTACTCCTCTCCCCCCGCTCTTTCTGGAGGTCAGAGGGAGGTGGGGACGGGGCTCACGGAGAGGTGGAGAGCAGGCGGGGAGTATGTGGTGCCCCCGGAGCGCAGCCCCCAGCACCCTCTCTCCATGAACCCCTCCTGCCTTCTTCCCAACCCCCAGCCTCAGCTCAAGATGCTGAGCAGCCCCACAGACCCCTGCCGTCCCTTATGGAAGTCAGCACGTCAGGGGACATCCCTGATGCTGCCTTTTCTGGAATCTCCCTGGTCAACCCATCCCCTAGTAAGGCAACGCCACTGCCTCTGTGCTTCTGACTGCCACCCTCGCCTCTCCCCAGAGCCAGGTAAAGAGCGCTCACTCACCCTCCACATCCACTCTTGGCCCTCCCATCGCTCTCTGCCCTACAGCCAGGAGATTCAATCATGCTTCCCATGCATCCACGACAAGGACCAGCAGTCACTTGTCACCCATGGGCCCCGGTGCTATGACCCCTGCGACCCCTCTGGTTCCTGTTTCACCACGCTGCCCATCCCACCGGCTTCTCCATTTCATGCGTCTCTAGCTGGCCCCAGGAGCTTTGCCCAGGCAGTCCTCTCATCCCAGAACCTCACTCCCTACTCCCACTGCCGCCCCTCCCCCGCCCACTCGGATAACCCGAGCGTCCTTCAGCTCTTACATCCAAAGTTAGTTTGTCAGAGATGGCCTTCCTTGACCCCAGACAAGGCCAGGCCCCTGCCCAGCTTTCCCGTCGCTCCGGCACTTTCCTCCGTGGCACTTGTCCTGGTTTCTAACGATACTTTGCTTTGTGTGCTTGTTTAAGGCCTCGTTCTCCCTCCACCCTGGAAGGTTCACAAAGACCCAGCCAGGGTACACTTTGCTCACAGTTGCACCAGCCCCTAGTCTGCTGCCCGGCCTGTGCAAATGCTCAGAGAACGCCTGCTAAGCCAATGAATGAACTTCTTCCTGTTCTCTAGGAGGACAGGTGCTTTGCCGCAGAATAATAGTGAGTGTTTAAAATGTTTTTAGTTCCAGAGTTCTTGCTATGTGTGTGTGTGCACGTGTGTGTACATGTGTGTGTGCATGCATGTGCTTCTACTGACCCTGGGATGGAGATGACACAGCCAGGACAAACACCCCTGGCATTGTCCCTCGCCACATGATCCCGCTGGGGAGGGGTGGTGACAGTTCGGGTCATTCTGGAATCCCAAGGGGGAAGGCGCTTTATTCGCCCAGGGCTAGCCTGGCCCCTTGTACCCTGCCAGACTTTTGAAAGCACCCTCATCTCCAAGTTCCTGGCTGCCTGCACGCAACAGAGCACCCTCTCTGGAATCTTCCCCACTTTCCTCCCTGTGGGGAGGAAAGGGAAGATTCAAACCCTTCCCCACTTCGATTGGGATATCCCAAGTGAAGAGGGAGCCCTGAACCCTATCCCACCACCTGCTGTCACTCAAAGACTGTGCAGATGGAGAAATTCTACAGAAAGCCTGGCTGCTCTACCCCCAGCCACACTGCTGCCCTGGCCTGGAGGGCTGGAAGATCATCAGCCTGCAACCGCAGCAGTCACCCTTGGGCTGTGGCCATCATCATGAGAGTATTAAGACTGGCTGTGTCTGTTGTGGGTAAAGCCAAGTGTGACTAATGTCTTCAGAGGGAGAGCATCAATGATTACCCTCCACCTCGTTAATTCTAGGAGCTCAGCTTAGATCCTGGGAACCTTTATCCAAAGGGAGAGAAGAAGAAGATGTTAAAATTCTGTTTATTTCTGAAATTCCTTCTTGGGCATCTTATAGCTCTCGTCACTCATTCAACAGACTCGTAATGAGGCCCACTCACTGCCTGGCACTGAGCTCAGCCCTGGGAGGCAGAGATGAGTGAGCCTGCACCTCTGAGACACACAAGTGAACAGCAACGAGAGCGCCATAGGAGCGGCTGCAAGGTAGGCTGTGGGAGCCCAAGGGAGGTGCCTACCAAGCTGCCCAGGGCTGCCAGGATAGGTGTCCAGAGGAGGGTGCCCAGAGCTGAGTATGGGAATACCGAGAGGTCTGGGCCACATGAACGGGTGGGTGGGAAGGAAGGACATCCCTGGGGTAAGGACAGCACGGACCCGAAGGCACAGACGAAGTTCCTTCATGCTTTTGGGAGTAGAGATGGACGTGGTTTTGGTTTCTGACTACACCACCTCTAAGCCACCTCTCCCAAAGTCCTTGAACTCCCAGGAAGCACCAGCAGATGTTCATTAGCGGGTGGGGAGAAAGGGGACTGGAGTCGCTTGCCAGGGCAGCATGCTCGGAATAAATGCCTGGGCGGTGCTGCAGAGCTTAGCACCTGGTCTGGAGCCAGTTTTGATGGGGCTGGAGTGATCGGGGGCAGTGGAAAGGAGCCTAATCATTGTTCTTAATTATTATGGTGACTTTTTATTAGGAATCCCGGCTGCCCAGACCATAAGGACGTGTGCCCCCCACCTCCGTTGGAGCATAATTAGGGGGAATATTTGGGGGAGACTAATGAGGTTGGCTTAGGTAAGGAATGGAAATAAACAGGAGAGGGCTGCTTGGCGCAGGGGGCTTTAGGGCCAAGCTTATATTTGAGGCAGCATATTGTTGCTAGCTGAGGTTCTTGTTAATGTGCCCAGCCGCTCTGGGCTTTGGGGGCTGAGACACTACAATTTGTTATGAGTATGAGGGCCATGATGTGGGGACACTGGAAATTTCCACCCTGATAATGAAGAAGGCAGCCATGCCACTCCTGGGGTCAGTTCCCATCCACTGTGCAGGATGATTGTGGCTGAGCCCCAGACCTTGATTCATACAAGACATCACCCTGCCCAGTCTAGCCATCCAGAGAAAAGAAATTATTTTTCTATATGAAGACTAGAGCAGCTATAGAACAAGACCCCTCTCTTAACTGGAAAGCCCAGCCCTACCACCTCCTACAGGAAGCCTTCCCTGATAAATATGCACATTAACATCCATTCTCCCTGTTCTATCTCTGTAACTGTTACTACTATTGCTCTTGGCATATGCTAGTATCCTTTACATGTCACATGCCAGTCCCTCTGGTTAGATGTGAGGACCCAGAAAGCAAGGACTGTGTCCTGGTCACCTTGACACTCCCAGTGCCCAGGACAGCTTGACATGCCAGATTTTCAGATGTTTGTTCAGTTGAGTTGACTTGAGCCTGGGTCCACTCACATACAGCTGATCACGACCAGTTGTCCACAGGTGGGTCACAGAGGCTAGGGGGCAGCAAAAGAAGAGACTGAGGGTCAGGCAGGCTTTCAGAGTGAGCACACGAGGCAATGGCCCAGGGACAGGTCCAGTGGTGGCAGAATTGGCCTCACCAGAGGTTGGCTCATGTACTTCTTCAGTGTGGCTGCAAGAGTTCTGTGACTTATCCCCAAGTCTATAGGACAAGGTCCCCAAAGGACACCAGAAGAAAGCTGAGGAGCCTCGGGGCCTGCTGCAAGCCACCAGCAGCCAAGGGGCGCTTCTCAAACCTGCTCTCCTGGTCTGGGTGGCAGTGGGGTTGCAGGGGAGAGACGGTGTTGGAGGTGGGATGGTGCGGAGGTGTGCCCAGCAGCCAGGTGGATGGGAAGCCATATTAGGGACATTGGCTGAAGACAGGGGCGAGGGCTCTGTGGAGAGAGGATGCTGGATTTGGGGCCAGCCACCTTGACCACACCAGAAACACTCTCTTGGCTTCTGAGTCCTCGTCCATCGCGTGGGAGGATGGCTTCTCCTTTCCCACTGCACAGGCCTGGCTCCCGCGGACGTCCCCTGCTGGGGAACTGCTTTTGAAGTCCAGAGGAAGGAACGATGACCTCTAACTGGGGCAGTACTGAGGACCCAGCAGAAAGGGCAATGTATGAGGCTTCGAGGAGGAGGTGGCTCCTGGGCTGGCTGGAAGGAGAAGTAGGTTTTGGCAAATGAAGCTGGCAGGACAGTCAGACAGGCAGACGGAACTTGGTGGCAAGAGCACGGTGGTATGGAACGGGTAGCACATTGACAGCCTGTCTGTGAGCCTGGCCTGTCCCTTCTGTCTCCTCTGTGGGGCCGAGCAGGGCATCCTGCTGTGGGCTGAAAGCTTCTGGTGGTGCCCACTTCCCCCAAGCCTTGCTCCACCCTGTGATATCTACTGCAAGAGGCTCTCCCGCCCTCCAGCTTTAGTGGGGCTCAGACAATGGGAGCACAGGCAGGTGAGGGAGAAGGAGGCCAGGGCACTTACTCCCTGACTCTGACCATTTGGGGCTGCTTTGGGGTTCACTGTGTCCCTCAGCCAGATGACTCTTTTCAAAGCAACTCTCTCCTTCTGGGATCCTTGCCCCTTTAGGCAGAGGGGTGGTAGCAGCAAAGCTAGTCACGGAGCACTGCACTGTCCCTCGCATCACCCCTCGCCTGCCAGTACCTGTGTGAAGTTGGTCCAGTCCTTTAACCTCCTCAAGTATCCCAATGTGAGAGTGCCAATACATCCCATGTGGCTGAATGGTAGGGGAATGGGATAGGGAAGAGAAAGAAGCGTAGGCCTGTGGGTTATAACCGGATATGAGATGGCCAACTTTGATCAGTCACGGGGTGCCTGATACCTTTGCTGAAAAGGACTTGGAAGCCACATCCTGGATTAGCAGGAGGAGTGTGCTGCCATTGATTAGTAATGTCTGCCCTGGAAGCGAGGGCTGGGAGTAGTACCGTAAGCCCCAGGCATTCCATTCTCCCAGGACTGATCACAGAGGCCTTCGGGCTGCAGGAAAGGGAACTTGAATCTGATCCTAGAAGCACTGATAGAAGGAAAATACCATCAAAGTCATTCTGAACAGAGAAGTTCAATCCCAGTACTTTTTCTTTCCTGGCGTGGCTTTGTGGGTGGTGGATGGAGAGGAGACAAGGAGACCAGCAAGGGGCCCACTGGAATGAACAAAAGGAAGGTCAGAGATAGGGAAACACAGGTGATGAAGAGGCTGGTGAGAGGGATTGTGAGGTCTAATTCTTAGGACTAAATGTCTTGTTGGCTAGCAGGAACAAATCTTGTAATCAAGACACTGGAAGGATGTGGATGACATTATGGGCAGGAGACCCTGAAGGAGAAGGGTGGAGAAGAGATGGGGCAGAGGAGTCTACAAGGGGTAAGATGTTCTATGTCTTCAGAAGAAACCTGGGGCTCGAACACACTTTGAAGAACAAGGCCTAGGCGGGGCTGGTGGGGGGTGCACAGCACAGCCCTTGGTGCCCCTCCACTGGGCAGTAATGGTGATGCCTCTATTTGGAAGCATGGTGGCAACACTGTCTGGCCTCCAGGAGTGAGTGACGGTGGGGAGGAGCAGCTGAGCAGTGGGGCAAGGAGTGTGCACATGCTACATGGGGCCCTGGGGTCTCTCTGCCCCTGGGGCCAGTGCAGAAGCCACACTGGGAACCTGGCCCTCCTGCAAAACCTCTCTGTCCTGGTCCCCCTAAGCCTGGCTTCACGAGAGCTAGTCTTTCTGACTAGTTTTGCTTTACTTTACTTTTCCTTTCCCTTCTAATTTTAGAATTCACATCTGCACATTGTAGAAAATTAGAAAAATATAGCTCATTATTAAGAAGAAAAGAAAAATTACCATCATGCCACCTGCAGAGAGAATTGCTAGTAAGGGTTGGTGCAATCCCTCCAGGCTCTTTTTTTTTTTTTTTTAGCACTTTTAATGGGGAGACCTCTCGGGCTACCAGCTTGGCCCTGTAGGAAGTAGCACGTCACTCTGGCCTGGAATCCATTGAGTGTGGGTTCTGAGCTTCCCCCCAACCCCTGGATGGTCCCTGGTTCTGAATCCCACACAGTGCCAAGGTGTGTTGGATGGGGAGGGATGTCAAGGGGTCCTGGGTCACCTGTCACTTGTGTTTGTCCACATAGGTGACTCGGGAGGAACCGCGGCTCTGCGGTGGTGTGTGTCTCTCTCAGGCATGGGAGTCTCAGGAGAATTTGGAAACTGGCATCTGCGGAGCAGCCCCCAGAGGCCCACTGACTCCCCTCTTCCCCAAGGCCAGCCCAGGCCCAGAGAAACCCCTGAAAGTTTGGGGGAGCCCTCCCCAGCACCTGCTTCTCCTGACATTCTACCTCTCCCTGCCATACTTGTCCTTCCCTAATGGACTTGGAACGCCACAAAATCCAGAGCCTGGGTCATTTGTAACCAGAAGCCGGCTCCTCCTACCCCAAGGGCAAAGAGGGCTAAGGCGAGAAACCCTCCCAAGGTGAAGGAAATTTTGTCAAAGAAGAAAAAGGACAAAAACCAACATCACCAAGAAAGCCCGGGGCAGTGGTATCCTCACAAACACAGACACACCTGCAGACTTCTCTCACCAAATCGAGATTACAAAGCACAGCTTCCACTGCTTCTTAGCTTTTCACTCTGTGTTATGCCAGGAGCATTTTCTCATGTCATTTGAAAATGGGATTTCTGAGGGTAGCTCCCAAGGGTGACTTAGTAAATGAACTGAAGCCAGGGGATGAAGTGGGTTAGAGACCAGTCGTGGATGGCACAGAGACTGGCATCTGTAACCTGTCTCTTTCATTTCTACCCCTTCCTCAGCCCATCCCTAGCCTTCCCTCACTCAAGAGGCTACCGTGGCTCCCCATTTTTATCACATCAAGTCTAAACTCCAGCTTTCAAACCACTCATAACCTGGCAGGCTCTTCTCCTCTCTGTCAGTGAATGCCCCCGACCCTCACCACGGTACCCATTCCTCTCTTCTGTCTCTTGAGGTGCCCCCACCCCACATAGTGCTCAATCCTGTGTCCTTGCCCTGCTGAGCAATTCCCTCCCTCCCTCCTCCTCTCCCCAGTCCCCCTCATCCCTGTCATCCATCCCCTACTCCTTGCAAGTGGCCTCTGTAGTCCTCTCTAGGGCCCTCTCTCATCTCCCTCTCTGCGGCGGGTCCTGGCACCTCCGTGGCAGGCGGGATTTGTTGCCATCCCAGGGGGAATACTGGGCTTCTCAGTGGGCAGGGCTTGAGGCTTCATCCCTCCTCTTCTGGAGCCCGCTGCATGGTGCAGCAGGGCTGGGAGGGCTGGGCCAGTGAACCTGTACTTCTCAGGAGGAAGGGCTTTGCCCACCACTGGCCTCCAGGTGCCCGGCTCTGGTCGGGACTGTTTTGCTGCTCAGTGCCAGCCAGCAGCCAGGCCCAGGCACAACCTGCCCCAGGGTTCTGGGATGGCAGAATGCAAAGCGCAGACTCCACCTCTAACTTCTCCCCTGAAAGGAGAATCTGCCAAATCCCCAGGAGTTCAGAGGACAGGCCAAGGAGAGCAGAGGAATTCTACAGACCCAGGTGGGCCCTGGCTCCACCCTTCTGCCAAGCTGTGCCATCCTAGGCGGCTCCCTTAACATCTCTAATCCGCAGGAGCTTCTCTCGGGGTGTGTAAAGCATGAGTGGACAGGAGGGAGGTACTCGATGAATAGTGACAGCCAAAACCCTGATAACAATGGGCGATGTCATTTAACATTCACCGTCATCTCATGGCGCAGTCACTATTATTCCCCCATTTCGCAGATGAGGAAACTGAGCTTCCAACTTGCTCCTGCAGGTCCTGCAGAGTTCAGTGATGAAGTTCAAGCTTCATTCGGTCATTGCGCCTCCAGGGCCAAGGTCATTTGCAAAACTCCTTCGCGTGACCATACTGTCAACCGCGAACACAGCCCCATGCCTTGGTGGAGGGGGTGGGGTACGCCCATCCCACGTTGGGAATCAGGAACCCACCCTCAGCCGCCCCTGTCCTTGTGCCCTGTCTGTGGTTCCGTGGTGGAGGGTAACTATGTTTTAGTTAGCATGGATCCTGCACATGTGCTGGAATATTCCATCTGCAAGCATTGAAGGGACAGGAAATCGAAGTCTGGGCCCCTCTCACACTGAGGGAAATTCACAGACATTGTGATTAAAAACAGTAGGATGGTAAATATGTGCCCAATTAATGCCTTTACTAAAATAGCAAGTCCCTAAAATATTTCCGAGCAGGAAGTAGAATGAAGAAGGCCCCCTGCCCCCACCTCGCACCCCATTCTGTCCCCCACTCCTGAGAGCAGCCCAATTTGTCCCCAAAACCCAGGAAATCTTTCACGGAAAATACTCTCCAACTCTGGCTCCGCTGGGGTTCGAGGCCAGCCAATGGGGCAGGGTGGAGGACAGGTGCCCTGGAATTCCTTTCATGCTTATTAAAACCAACAAATGTCAGGCCGGGCACGGTGGCTCACGCCTATAATCCCAGCACCTTGGGAGGCCAAGGTGGGTGGATCACTTGAGGTCAGGAGTTCAAGACCAGCCTGGCCAACATGGTGAAACTCCATCTCTACTAAAAACACAAAAATTAGCCGGGCCTGGTGGCGGGCGCCTGTAATCACAGCTACTTAGGAGGCTGAGGCAGGGGAATTGATTGAACCCAGGAGGCAGAGTTTGCAGTGAGCCGAAATCGCGCCACTGCACTCCAGCCTGGGTGACAGAATAAGACTCCGTCTCAAAAAAAAAAACCCAACAAATGTCAGAAGTCAGTATTGTGGGTCCAGTCCACAGGGATCCCAGAACCACCCTTGCCCCCACCCCCTGCCAGGATCTGGCTACTGGGTGAGACCCAGGCCTGGCCTTCAGCTGGGTGGCTGGCAGCTTCCTGAGTTAGTTCTGAATCCCAAAGTTAATGGTACATTGGTCACGCCTGTAATTCCAGCACTTTGGGAGACTGAGGTGGCGGGATCACTTGAACCCGGGAGTTTGAGACCAGCCTGGGCAATAAAGCAAGACCCTGTCTCTACAAAAAAAAAAAAAACCAAAAATTCAGTCGGGTACAGTGGTGTGCAAGCTACTTGGGAGGCTGAGGTGGGAAGATTGAGCCCAGAGGTTGAGGGTGCAGTAAGCAAACGTCACACACTCCAGCGTGGGTGACAGAGAAAGACCCTGTCTCAAGAAAAAGTGTATTGGATTTCTCAAAGAGACTGTTCCAAAATCTGTTTGAAAATGGACCCTACAAGGATGATTTTTAATTGGAAAAGAAAAGAAAAGAAAAAAAAGGACGGGGAGAGGTAGGAAAACAGAGTGCAAAAGCCCACCAGCGCCCCCTGGTGAAAGAAGGGCAGTGGTGCCCGGCGCCGACTGCCAGCCTAGGGCGGACGGCAGGAGGGGTCCCAGTCCCAGCACCACCTCCGCTCCCCTCAGGGCTTCCCCAAGACAGCCCAGGGGTTCCAGCCCGGAGGCGTCAAAGCCCTCACCCGCCCGTTTCCTGCTGATCAGCCTCAGCACTCCACATAGCGGGGAAAGCAGCTTGTCCCTGGTCACAGAGGCCTTTTCCGGAGGGAGCAGGCTGTTACTGTGACTGTGTGGCTGGATCACTCACCCTCCAGCCTGACAGAGACTGGGCTCTGGGAAGGGCCTTGCCCAGGCCACACTGCTAGACAGGCTGAAGGCACAGGCGCCCCACGTTGTAACACCTCAGAAGTTCTGGGTTTCCAACTGAGTACCCAAACATAGAAAGAGCCCTGGTGCCCATCAGCACCAGGTGGGTGCACAGCCCATTGTCCTACAGAGGCCAGAGGAGCTCCCTGGAATGTACATCAGGCACGTCCCCATGGCCACGGGGCTCTGCAGTCCAACCCACCTATGTCCCCAGGTCACCTTTTAGGGCCTCCTCTGCTCCTTCCGCTTTAGCCGACTGGGCCTTCTTTCCAAAGCATTGAGCTCACCTCCACCCCAGGGCCTTTGCATTCACTGTTTTCCTTCCCTAAAAACGTCTGCTTCCAAATGTCCAGATGCCTCCTCCTTCTCAGAGTTTAGGTCTCGACTCAAATGGCAACTGCTTTAAGAGGCTGTCCTTGTCTTCCTGGGCCAAGGGTCCCTGGTCCCCATCACTCCGCCCTCTCAGACTGCTGTGAGGGATCTTTATGGATGTTATTACCAGCATTACATTACACAGTGTACGAATACTATATATTAATATGTGCTAGGATGCCAAGCTCCAAGACGGGGGCAGGGGGGCTGTCTTGTTCAGCTCTGTGTCCCCAGCCCCATCCAGCCCTGCACATCCTAGGTGCTCAGTAGCTAGTTACTGCATGAAGGAATGAGTGGAATTTGAATACTTATAAGGGAGGATTGGTGGCTGCTTCCCCTGTTCTCCCCCAGTGCCTGCGTTGTGGCATTTATGGTGTCATCTTGTCATTTACCTCTGGGTCCATCTCTTTCAAGGTGGTGAGTCCCCAAGAGAGGGAGAGAGGCTCAGGGCCTGTGGCTCCTTGGAGCTCAGAGAAGGTGCTCCCCTGTGGGTAGTCTCGCCCCGGCACCACTTGCTCCTGATCTCTGCACAACGGGTGGCCTTGGCCCCACGTCCCCTTCCCCTGGCACTGCTGCTGGGCAGGCATCTGGAGACCTGGGCTCTCACCGGCTCTTGCAACTCACTGGGTGACCTTAGGCAGGGCCCATCCTCTCCCTGGGCTCCCATTTCCCTGAATGCACAATGGGGGTCTTCTGAGACTCCTGAAGGGTCGCTAGTTCAACCCCTTGGAGTTGGGGGAAGCCCAGCTACCCTTCTCTGGCTTTTTTTGCGGGAGCGGTCTCAGCACCAATGCTTGGAGTTTGGGAAAATACACAGCTCTCCAGAGTGATGGGGAGCAGGGCTTCCCCGACTTGGTGGGGGCCAGTGATACCAGCAGCCACTTTTTAACTTGATCAAGAGCACGACTGCTATAGCCCAGTCATTGTATCCTAAGGGACAGGCCGCTCCCGCCTGATTGTATCCCCAACAAGGAACTAGGCCAACGCCGTACAGCCCACGTCAATTCCGTCCCTAACCCCTGCCAGCCTGGAGTTCCTGGGGGCATCACCCTCTCTCATCTGCAGCAACCACGTGGTGCCTCCTGCAGGAAAGCCCAGCCTGGCTCCCACTGCCCATTGCCGGGCTGGGCTCCACTCAGGCAGCCGCTGCTTCCTCTGCAGACCTTTTCTCTTCTGGGCGGGACAGGAACCCACGGCTGCTCAGGCACTGTGCCCCACTACCCCCTGGTCTTTGCACATGCTGTTCCCTCTGCCAGGATCACTGTGTTCCACTTTCCCACGTAGTCTGCAGAACCCGACCTGACAGTTCCCATCCCACAAGGGTTTCCCATCTCCTCCCATTCCGTTCCTACAGGCTCTGCCACCTGCACCAGTCAGAGTTCAGAGAAGTGGAACATTGGGACGTGAGAGGACATGCACGCGCACACACACACAGACACACACACACACACAGACACACAGACACAGAGACACACACAGACACACACACAGACACACAGACACACACGCACAGACACAGAGACACACACACAGACACACACACACAGACACAGACACAAACACACAGAGACACACACGCACACACAGAAACACACAGACACACAAAGACACACACACATAGACACAAACACACACACAGAGACACACACATGCAGGAACATACAGAAACATACACAGACATACAGACATACACAGACACACACACGCACTACACGGACAGACACGCGGACACCAACACACAGACACAAACACACAGAGACACACACACGCAGACACCCACAGACACACAGACACAGACACACACGCAGACACACACAGACACACAGACACACGCAGACACAGACACGTATACACACAGACACACACACAGACACACAGACACACCCACAGACACACACACAGACACACACACATACATATATAGACACGCACACACACACAGATACGCACAGACACACACAGATACATAGACACGCACGCACACACAGATACACACAGACACATGCAGACACACAAACACGTAGACACACACACACAGACACACACAGACACACACACACACGACCTATTACAGGGACTTGGCCTTGTGAAACCTTGGGCACTGGCCACCCCGTCTAAGGGAACTGCTGCTTCTCCGGTGCGTGGAGCTGGCAGGGCGGGCGTGGGGAAAAGGGGATGACCATGAAGTGGGGTAGGAGGACAAACGGAACCTGACAGGCTGAGCTGGAACTCCCACCGGGAAGTGGCAGACCCCAAGTCAATCTGTCCCCTGCTCTAAGCCTCTACCTTCGAGGATGGGCACCCCGTGGAAGAAGCCGGCACTTTCATGAACTAAGCATATACCTGGCCTGGGAGTCAAGAAGGCCACAGGAGGCTCTGGCTGGGCTGGAAGAGCTATGCCCCAGCTGCCTGGACACCAAATCCATCTCCTGAGATCAGCAGCACCTGCGAGTCCCCTGTGTGTTGGGAGGCACTGGCCCCTCTCGCCTTCTGAGTGTAAAAGGAAGACATGACTGCTGCTCCCTCTGCCCCTCCCCTGGGGCCCCAGATAACCCAAGCCTGTGCAGGGAAGGGAGTTCTGGGTGCTGCAGTTCAGCTCAGCTAGGCTGACCGGACACACATCTGTCACACCACCCCAGAGCCTAACCCATGCCGGGTCCTGGAGCTACTCCCGGTGGTGGCCACACTTCCTGCCTCCAGGAAATCCATCATCTCCTGGGAAAGACAAGTCAAGAGACAAAAACACCATTGAATGTGCACGGTGAGGTGGGCAATAGCCATGCAGGCCTGACGGGGAGAATGTGTCCCGTACCAGGGGAAGACTGCAGTGGCCCCCAGGGATGGAGAGGGCCGAGGTCCCGGGGAGGGGGCAGCTGTGCCAGCTCCAGGGCCTTCACTTCTGGGCCTTGGGCTGATGATGCTCCCCTGGGGAGGGCAAAAGGGAGGACAGCGAGGAGCAGGCTTTGGGTGGGACCAGCTGGGAACAATACCTGTGTCTGCCTTGCCAAGCCTCACAATTCCTATCTAGAAAATGGGGTTGTTGGGAGAATTGAAGATAAAATATATACAAGTATTGCACTGGACCTGACTCTCCCCACCCCAAAGTTGACCATTCCCAAAATTGACAGTGTCGTTATCTAGGTCCTAAAAAATCCAAGGGAGAAATGAGATTTCCTGTGTCTTCCCAGAAGCTACGCCACTGCTCTTGAACTTGGGAATTGCCACGAAGTGCAGGGGGTGGGGTGGACACGGAGGTCTGTAGGGCCGAGGAAAAAAAACACGACACAACTGGGGCCTTCCAGGGTCTCCCCCGACCCCTGTTCATCCTGCCTGCAGCACCTCATTCCCAACGAGGGCCTGCAGCCAGCTCCTGCCATCTGCCATGAGTTATAGAAAACAGGCAGTGATTAATCAGCCAGTCAACGCCGCGTGCAGCTATCCTCTTTCATTTATCTGCCCCCTGACCCCCCCAGCACAGTCCACGCAGCAATAGGCAAGTGTATTAATCATACGCTTTAAAAATATTTAAAGGAGGAGCTGAGCCTGGAGCAGAGTCTCCTTTAATGGACTCATTTTCAGCTGAGGGTGAGTATGCTAATTAGGAGATAAAACAAACGGGCTGTTTGAAATGCAAATGAGCTGCTGGGAGCACTTCTGGTCCCTTCCTTCCCTGCCGCCTGTTTGGGAGGCTAAATCTTATTTCTCCCAGCCGCTTCCCGCCACCGATTTCTAACCAGAAAAGATAGTGGCTGATTCTAAAACTGAGAGGTACTAGGTCGTGTTTTCACCGCCCCCCCTCCCCGCCCCCCGCCTTTGCCCTGGATCAAGGAGCAGAGAGGACAAAAGTTGCCCCAACTCCAACTCCAGCATGAAAAAACCCCAGCCGGGAGGGGAGGCGTGGCTGCTCTCCCCCCATCTCCTGGCACCCACCCAGTCCTCCCCATCTCTTGCCAACCCTGCCCCCTCAGTTTCTCTCCTCTCCTTTTCCTCTGCCTCTGCCCAGCTTGGCGTTTCCCAGCTCGCCTCCCTGCCCACCTCCTTGCCCTCTCCATTCCGTCAGCTGCTAGCAGGAGCCTCGGGCACAAATCCAGAGCCTTCCTGGCTGCAGCCTTTCCTGGGGTCCCAGGCACCACTCCCACCTACCACCCAGTCTAAACCCCGCCTCCTGTCCCCGCTGCCCTGGGGCCCTCCCTGCCCCATCACAACCACACACCTGCTATTCCCTCCTCTGGGCTTGGGGAATCCTAGTGCCCCTGCTTGGAGCCTTCCCTCCCACCTCCCGTGGCTGGCTCCCCAGCCCTTCAGGACTCAGGGCGCATCACCTCCTCAGGGAAGCCCTCAGACCTCCTGGTGCCTTCGTGATTCCTGGATCTGGCACCTGTCTTGGGTGTGACAAAGCATGTATGTGTTTGTGGATTTGTCACCCCTCTTCCCAGGACCTAGGGCTCCTTGGCGCAGGAGCTGTTTTCTCCCCTGCCATGCGCCGTGCCTGCTGGCACATGGCTAGCATCTAGTGAGTGCACACTGAGTTGAGTTGATTGCTAGGAGGCCCATGAGCTCCCTGCATCCCCTGACAGGCACTGCACCAGCCTAGGGAGCCCTGGCAGCTCGGGATGACCACCTGCTCTAAGGCAGGTCTGGAGAGGCAGAGAGGAGCATTCAATCCAGGGGCCACCTCATTTAAGATACGCAGTGTTCCACCTGGAAAGACGGCTCCAAGTCCACCCCTGCCAGTGGGGCTTGTCCCAGTGCAGCGTCTGCTTATTCTAGGAGACGGGAAGAGTGACCTGCACTGTCAGGCAGGGTCAGACGCTGCCTCTTAACTTCGCCGGCTCAGACTCTTGGCTGGTTCAGGTGTGGAGCTTCCAGCCCCAGCCCTACCCAAGCAGTCCCCAGGCGTCTCTTCAAGATTCCCAGAACCCAGGTGATCACAGTCTGGCTTCCATCTGTCCTGGGCACAGCCGAGCAGGAGCCCAATCATAATATCGGGGCATTAAATATTTAAACATTGTCTTCAGGTAACCGCCCCCCGCCCCCCGCCCCCCGCAAGTCTGAACTCTCTCCCGACTCAGTCCAGTTCACTGGTATTCTCATTCTCCAACTCCTTATCAAACTGTGTCTCAGGTGGGATTGTCTGGGAAGCAGACGCTGAGACGGAGTGAGGGGTGCAATAGCGTAACGGGGAGCACCACCTGTAAGAGGAGAGGGAAGAAGCAAGGTGGGCGGGGCCGGCCATCCTGATGCATCCTCCCTGCACAACCTGCACCTGCCAGCAGAGGGCGCCGGAGCAAAGCGCGCCCGTCCCATCTCAGGAGGCCTGTGGCCGCGGAAGGGGCCGGGATGGGGATCATTGCCCTGCTCAGTCCTTGCTGGGGCCACCCCAGAATAGTGTGCCTTCAGCTCGGAAACAGGCAAAGCCAACAGCTGGACCCCAGTTCGCAGCTGGGCATCAGTACTTTCTTGAAGGGAAGTCTAAGCGGCCATCTCCTTGGGTCTTAGCTTGAGTTCCCCTGAGGAGAAAGCCTGACACAGGCAGCAGGGAAGAAAGCTAGGGGAGACCTTCCAGAGTCTGGGATGCATCTCAGAACCATCGGCCTGGGGATGAAGGAGGGAGTTTTGCCCAGCTGCTTCTGCCCCTGCCGCTCGAGGGTGGCCCCGTGGTGTGGCCCCACACTTCCAGATACACAGGCGTGGGTGCTGAGCAGTTTCACCATACCCCACATGGGCCAGGTGCAAGGTGCTGTCCACCCCAGCTGTGTGAGGTTGGCCAAAGCCACGTGGAACTGGTCATGCAGCAGACAGACATGGGAGACAGCAGGTTGAGGAGGAGTCGGGAACATTGAGAGTTTGTTTGGGGACCCCATTAAAGTTGAGGTCTTATATAAACATCCAATCGCAGAAGGATGCATAGTTACCAACCTGTAGCTCAGGGAGCTGCCGGGCTGGAAACATACACTTGGGAACCACCTGCTTATGGACAACATGAAAAGCCATGGCCTGGATGAGTTCACTTAGGGGCAGAAAAGAGAAGAGGTGTTTGGATGCAGCCCTGAGAACCCTCTTAAGATAGAGAGAAGGGAAGAACAAGTCAAGGAGGTCAAGGCGGTGCTGTGGGGATGGGAGGGAAACCAGGGGCATGGCAGATCATGGGATGGGCTAGAGTGCGGGGAAGGCCTCGGAAGGGAGCCTGGACGGTCTGTCCATCCCAACAGCAGGGAAGACGTGGCCCCTCCATGGACATATGTGCTCAGATTGCTCTTTCTCCAGTGTACTCGAAAGCAAGGCATCAGCCTGAGAGTTTGGAGAAAGAAGAGGCTGCCGTGCCTTTGTGGGGAGAGCGAAGATGAGGAAAAGTCTCCCAAAACACTACGGGGGCGTGTTGGGATCTTTTCCCTCAATCAGGCTGAGCATATGTTCTGGTGTCCCACCTGCTCAGGCACCCCCTGGCTCCCCAGGATGTACATGTGTCAGGGTGAGCAGCCAAGGCCTAGAGCACCGTCCAGGCTTGTGGTCAGGGCGGAGGTGGGGCATTATCATGAGGCTCAAGGGTAGCATTTTGTTCCAGAGTGAGCATCTAGGGTGACATTTAGATGTGACTGCACTTCGAAGTCACCGGGTAAACTTGGACAAGCCCCAACTCACCTCCAGATGTCCCTGTTTCCTGACCTGCAAGAGGCGTGTGTTGGGGTGGGTGAGTCTGTTTCCATCTTTACATGTCTAGGAGACTCTTCCTTAAGCTACAGGGACAGAATGCCCAGATACCACCCTAGTCTGATCATAAGCAATGCTGACTGCAGCCAGCTGCGGCTGCACAGGACCTATTCCTGTCATTTCAGACGCTTCCAGAAAAAACAGAATCTATTAGATTTTAGGGTGATTGTAGCTGCAAAGTTCCAATGTGTAGGGACTGACAAGACGCCACCACTGACAGTGGAGGCCGCAGCTTCCTGTGGCTCCTCATTGAATGTGTGTCCGGCTCCGAATGCAGCAGGTCCACAGGTCACAACTCACTGTCCTGGGGACGGCGGCCTGACTGGTCCTGCTTGGTGAGTGGTCTGTCTGATTAATTCTGGTAAAGAAAGAGACCGCTTCAGTTTGCACTTTGAATTTTCCCTCCTACTGGTTACAGCTCTGGTGGGACAATTAACCACGTGCTGTGTTTGCCGAAAGTCTCTGTGGCACGATGCCAGGCACATGCGGTAGGGGTTGGGTGCTCACTGGCTGCGTGGCTGAACAAGGGCAAGATGCCTGGGTGGTGACTCTGAGAAACTCCCTGTTTTGTCCCCCCCGCCTTTGCATTCTGGTTCCTGCAAGCCCATCCCTCCCCATAACTCTGATAAATGGCCAGGCCCCTTGAGCAGAAGGAGGGGCATTTTCAGTGCACTGCAGGGAGCTGTGTAGGGCCTTGTTCTGCCTGACACCTTTATTAATCGCTCAGCCAGGAAGATAAACAGATTGTTAATTAAATTTGCAGATGTTGCTAAATTGGGTGGTGTTCTGATCGTTCAGTCCCCGGAAGATAGAATGGTCCCACATCGGGCCTCCGAGAGATCAGGCTGGGCCGATGCTAGGCCACAGGTGCTTTAGTGCGTGGGTAATAGCAATGCACTGATTATGGCCAGCGTTTGTTGAGCATTTACTGTGAGCCCAGGAATCACAGGTCTGGATTTCAGCTACTCACATGCTGGGGGCTTTGAGCAAGAGTTTTGCCCTCTCTGGGCCTGGATTTGTTCATCCGTGCAAGATAGGGGTCCCTCACAGCTGTGGCATTCATGAGCTTCAGTGTTTGGGACCTTGCCAAGTGGAGGCAGGGGCCCTGTTTTCCATTTCAGAGGGTGATCAGCGCCCACTGTCCCCGCACTAAGCTCTACTCTTTTGGGAAGTAGAGAGAGTCTTGAGTCCCGGATCTTGGGGTGGGGGGATCTGGGGGATCTGAGGGGTCTGGGAAGGCCTGATGCCTGAGGATCTGTATCTGTGTGCAGAGTCCAGGGGTCTAGGACATTGAGGGGCTTTGGGGCTGTAATGGTTCCTAGGAGTGTAAAGAGTCTAGAAGGATCTGAAGACTGAGGGCAGTTTGTAGGGGTTTGTAGAGTCTAGGGGTCTGAGGGTCTGGAGGGTAGGAGGGATAAACGGTTTGGGGTCCAAGGACTAGGGTTTGGGAAGCTGGAGGTGTTGGGGCCTGGGGGATCTGGTTCTGAGAGTTTTGGAGGCTTGGAGGTTATGGAGTCTGGGGCTTTCTGGAATTCAGTCTTAAGGGTCTGGGACTCTGGGATGGTTTGAGGACTTAGAAATCTAGCATATGGAAAGTCACAGGGTGTGGGGGTGCAGAATTGGGAGATGAGGAGTCTAGGAGACAGGAGTTTGGGGAGAGTCTGGAGTCTCAGTCTTGGTGGTCTTGGGAAATCTGGAGCTGGAAGTTTGAAGGTCTGGGATCTGACGGAAGAGAGCCAGGAGCTGAAAGCTGAACGTGGCCAAATAGCGCCACCTAGTGTCCATTTCTCCACATTACAGCCAGAAAGGAGGTGGCCTAGGTGGGCATTTCTGGAAACCCTGAGGGCAGCTGTGCAGGGAGGGGGCTGAGCAGAATCTCTAGGCTTACAAACTTGCAGTGTTACGCCCGCTCCTGGCAGAGAGTGTGTCCATCTTGTTCACTGTGACCCAACATGTAGAATAGCACCTGACATGTCCTAGATGTGCAATACTCTCTTCTTAAGTGAGTAAGCAAGGGAAATTCAATTTGAAAGTAGTTCACCTGACAAGGGCAATGCTTAACGCACACCCCAGTGTGAGCATACAGACACGCATGCCCACCAACAGCCAGCATTCATGGAACACTTATATTGCCCCAAACAGCACTATGATGTAGGCACCGCTGCCATCACCCTTTCACTGAGGAGGAACCTGAGACTTCCCACGTGAACGCTGTGCCCTGTATCCAGGGGAATTACAGAAAGTCTAGACCTGCACTGTTCCAGACGGTGGCCACTGACCAGGTGCAGCCAACAGTGGCTAGTTCACATGGAGATAAGCTCAAAGTGTAAAATATGCACTGCATTTCAAAGACGGTATAAATACAAGTAAAGGACCACATTAATAAGTGTTTATGTTAAACGCACGTCTACATGATCATTTTTGGATATGTTCTGTTGAATAATCAGTTTCTTTTTCCTTTTAAAAATATGGCTCCTAGAAAATTTAAAATGACATCGATTGCTGGCGCCCTACGTCTCAGATAGCGCTGGTTTAAAGTGAGTCACTGATCACTGGTGAATAAGACTCAAGTCTTGGTGGTGGGTGGGTGGGGACAAATTTCTCCAGGGGTGCCTGGAGGTAATGGGGGAAGCCTGACTGGTGGATCTGCGTGTGGGGGAGAAATTAGTCTAGGAGACAAGTTTAGCCAAGGAATGTCCCACAGAGTAGAGTCCTTGAGGGACCAGATGTCAAGTGCCTCTTGAGGGGCTAGAACGTAGGTCATCAATACAATCTAACACTCCTACCCCCTACTTCCTCTCCCTCTCCCCTTACTTGGGCCTTAGGGATAGGTAGAGAGTTGGGCAAGGAAAACTCATTCCAGGCAAAGATGTTGGGTATGGGGAGGAAGGCATGTTGCTTAGAAGAGGGATGAGGATGCTGGGCAGCTCCAGTGAGTGGAGAGGGCGGGGTGAGTGGGGCAATGGGTGTGGCAGAGAACGAGAGGCTAGAATGCTGCGTAAAGAGGTCTGACTGGGGACAGATGTCAATGGTGAGCTGGGGCTGCATCTGTGGTCTGCAGGGCAGTGGGGCCACCTCATGTGTGCTTGACTCTACAGCACATGCTGTGCTAGAGCCCAAGCGGGTCCCCAGGGCACAGATCCACCAGGCAAGCTGGTCCTGGCTCCATCAGGCAGGGCTCTAGACGTCTGTTTCTGAAGTCAGGTGTTGCACAGTTGCTGAATGGGAAAGGGATATTGGAGACACTGCCCCAAGTAAGAACAGCACAGCGGTAATGCCCACTTCCACACCCCCCAGGCTGTTTGTGTCCAGCAGAGTTCAAGCCTGTGGCACCAGCGTGACTCACATGGTGCGTGTGGGGCTCCGCTGTGGCTTCCTGAGCACATCACCTTTGCAGGATCTGGGCCTCTGCCCTGCAAACTTCAGGATGAAGGCAGACCTTGGTCCTGTCTCCTGGGAGCTCACCTGCCAGCAGAGGAGACAGAACCTTCACTCACGACTACCCCCATGCCCCGCGTGACCTGGGCAGTAACACAATCACACTTAAGGCACACAGTTTGTCTTAGTCTGTTCAGCTGCTAGAACAAAACGCCATAGACCGGGTGTCTTATAAACAACAGAAGTTTCTTTATTACAGCTCTGGAAGCTGGAAGTCCAAAATCAAGATGGCAGCAGGTTTGGTGAGGGCCTGCTTCCTGGTTCACAGACGGCTCCTTCTTGCTGTGTCCCATGAGGTGGAAAGGACAAGGCAGCCTCTGGGGCCTCTATTATAATGACACAAATCCCACTCAGGAGGGTGGATCCCTCATGACATCATCACCTCTCCAGGGCCCCACCTCCTCATACCATTGCCTTGGGGTTAGTTCTCAACATATGAATTTCCAGGAGACACAAACTTTCAGACCATAGCACAGGTCCATTGGAAGAGAGGGGATCCAGGGAGATGTTCCCTGCAGAAGTGCAACAGCAAAGTGAGAATGTGAAGTTCAAAGAGAAGCTTGCCAGAGGTCCAGGGTGGGAAGGGGTAAGCTGGGACCCACAGGAAGCTTGGGGAGGGATGGAGAGACAGGGAGAGGCAGGGGCCAGGCTAGGGCTGGGGGGATGGTAGTCTGGAGGCCTAGGGTAGGGTAGGGTCAGGTTTGCCTCTCAGAGAGCTCCTTTAGAAAGCATCCTGTGGTTGCTGGGTGCAAAATGGACAAGAGGGAGGCTGGAGGCAGGGGCCAGCAGGGAGGCAGCAGCACTTACATGGAGACAGATTATGAAGACCTGATGATGATGAAGGAATCACATTAATAGAAATGCTGGCCAGGCATGGTGGCTCCCGCCTATAATCCCAGCACTTTGGGAGGCCGAGGCAGGCAGATCATGAGGAGTTCGAGACCAGCCTGGCCAGCATGGTGAAACCCCATCTCTACTAAAAATACAAAACATTAGCTGGGCATGGTGGCGCGCACTTGTAATCCCAGCTACTCGGGAGGCTGAGGCAGGAGAATCGTTTGAACCCGGGAGGCGGAGGTTGCAGTGAGCCGAGATTGCACCACTGCACTCCAGCCTGGGCAACAGAGTGAGACTCTGTCTCAAAAAAAAAAAAAAAAGAAATGCTAACAATTATTGAGCACTTACTGTGTTCAATGCATTAACTCCATTAACTCATTTAATACATTCAACAACCTGATGTTTTTTGTTTTGTTTTTGTTCTTGTTTTGAGACAGGGTCTCCACTCTGTCACCCAGACTGGAGTGCAGTGGCACGATCTTGGCTCACCACAACTTCCGCCACCCAGGCTCAAGTGATTCTCCTGCCTCAGCCTCCCTAGCAGCTGAGATTACAGGCACATGCCATCAGTGCCCGGCTAATTTTTGTATTCTTAGTAGAGACGGGGTTTCACCATGTTGGCCAGGCTAGTCTCGAACTACTGACCTCAAATGATCCACCCGCCTCGGCCTCCCAAAGTGCTGGGATTACAGGTGTGAGCCACCACGCCTGGCCATGATATTGTTGTATTGAAGGACAAAACAATTAAGTGACTTGTCCAAAGCTACCCAACTGTGGAGCAGGGTTGGACCCCCAGGCGCCTGGCTCCAGAGTCCACTGAGATGAAGCAGAGGGGCACTGGGGACACCTGGGGTTGCCTGATGGACACCAGTGCATGCTGCTAGTCTTCTCTTCCCTTGGTCATGCCTGCTGGCTGTAAGTTTCTACCTACCGACTGACTCCAGGGCTTGTATCCAGAGGCACACTTAGAAGGGTGCGCCCTCACCCTAGCCTGGCCAATATGGTGAAACCCGGTCTCTACAAAAAGTACAAAAATTAGCCAGGCATGGTGGCATCTGCCTGTAATCCCAGCTACTTAGGAGGCTGAGGCAGAAGAATCACTTGAACCCAGGAGGTGGAGGTTGCAGTGAGCCAAGACCGTGGCACTGCACTCCAGCCTGGGTGACAGAGTGAGACTCCGTCTCAAAAAAAAAAAGAAAAAAAAAAAAAGAAGGACCCACCCTCTGCTGAGGCCAAAGCCCCCCTCTTCTAGCCCCCTAGATTTGTAGGGAAGGCCATATTTTATAGACGGGAGTGGGGCCGGCAGCCATCTCTCTGTCATGCCAACAATTGGCGGATGATTAAATTTCTATAGGTGTGAAGTGTAAAGTGCAAGTTAATTTCCTCCAGGAAAGGAAATCCTTGACACTTCAGCCAAATGATGAGTGGGAGCTCTAAATCCCCGGGAGGAGAAGGGGGAGTGTGAGCTATGGGGGCGGTGGCACCGCCAAGGGGCACGCTGCTGCTGCCTCAGCACTTGGTCACGGCCCAAAACAGACTTTTCAAAACGGCCGCACGTGGTGGATGAGCCAATCCTCGTCCTCCCTGCCCTTCTTGAGACTGTCATCAACCCTCAGCAAAATGAAGTGACTTAGCCGGGGGCACATTGGCTCTAAATGGTGGAGAGGAAGCTGCTGGGTTTTCCAGTATGTAAGAAATTCGAGCTGTAACAGCAAGTCAATCTCACATGGAAATATTTGGGGAAAAAAATATCAATATTAAGATCTTGTTGGCCAGGTGCAGTGGCTCACACCTGTAATCCCTTCGCTTTGGGAGGTCAAGGTGGAAGGGTCACTTGAGGCCAGGAATTTGAGATGAGCCTAGGCGACAAAGCGAGACTCCCATCTCCACAAAAAAAAAAAAAAAGTTTTAAAAATAAGCTACGCGTGGTATGCATGCTTGTAGTCCTAGATACTTGGGAGGGAGGCAAGAGAATCCCTAGAGCCTGGGATTTTGAGGCTGCGGTGAGCCGTGATCGTGCCACTTACTGCACTCCAGCCTGGGCAAAAGAGAGAGAAAACAACAAAAAAAGAACTAGTCAATGCGCATGCATTGGAAATGTTTTAAAAATGGGCCTTCAAAGGAAAGCACATTATTTCCTTCATGTAGTATTGAATACAGTATTCCTAACTCCGGTAAGAAATCATGGTTTTTTGGACCGCAAACCATTGTTCAGACACTTCCAGGAGGAGGTGAAATGCTCCTTTTTGGGGTGGCTTGTGTTGCTGTGCCCTGCCACTAGAGGGTGGCATCAGCCAGGATAAATAACCATAATGTCTCACATTTCCGTCATTAGTGGGGGTGGCAGGGTATTGGGGGATCTTTGAAGGGAGGGACGTGGGTAAAGCATCTTGGATACCAGCTGTACTTCATCCGGGCACCAGAAGCTTTTTTTTTTTTTTTTTTTTTTTTTTGAGACGGAGTCTCAGTCTGTTGCCCAGGCTGGAGTGCAGTGGCGCGACCTCAGCTCACTGCAAGCTTCGCCTCCCGGGTTCACGCCATTCTCCTGCCTCAGCCTCCCAAGTAGCTGGGACTACAGGTGCCCACCACCATGCCTGGCTAATTTTTTTGTATTTTTAGTAGAGACGGGGTTTCACCATGTTAGCCAGGATGGTATCAATCTCCTGACCTCGTGATCTGCCCGCCTCGGCCTCCCAAAGTGCTGGGATTACAGGTGTGAGCCACCGCACCCGGCCCACCAGAAGCTTTAAAATCTCATTTAAGCATCCTTACAAGCCCATGAAGAAGGTATTTGGAGGCTCAGAGTAGTTCAGGGGTTTGCCCAAGGTCACTCAGCTAGTGACTGACAGAGCTGGGGTTTGAACCCAGGTCTATTGGACGCTGACCCTGGAGCTCTTCATTACCAGGACATTCTGCCTTCAGGGTCAAGGTCAAAGCGGAGATCTCACCCCAGGGCCCCTGACTCCAGGGCCCAGTTTGGCAGAACCAGCAGATCCCCAAGGACAGAGGAAAGCCACAGCAACATGCACCCTGTGGGCTGCTGCTCTCTGACCAAGGGAAGCAAATGCAGTTCCCGGGCTTTTCTCGTCCAGCAAGCCCACTGGAACTCTGCCAAAGTGCCACTGGCTTTGTGTGCAAGGATTTTAGACTGCGCTGTGCACTACATGTGGCAGTCGCCCTTGCCTTGCCTTTCCCCTCGTCAAGGATGAAGGCTGAGCCTCTTAAAGAAGGTGTCAGAAAAAGAGCAGGTGCAGCTCCCCCAGGAAATACTGAAATGACATCAGAGCCAGGGAATTCCCCTTTAAGGCTTCTTCTCAGAATTCTTCAAGGGGTCCCTGTTTCTGTTAAAAACAGCCTTGCCCCTCCAGCTGGGTCTGACCCACCTGGTGCCACAAGGTGAGGGGCAGAAGGAAGGGGGAGCTGGCAAAGTCGGGGGAGACGTTCAGCTCCCCTTCCACCCTGTTCTCCACTCCAGGCATCTTGGATTTGGATGAAGTTAGAAGGACTAGGGATTTCAGGAAAGGGAATGAATAAAAGGCAAGGAAGAGATGCCAGAGTGGAGGAGGAGGGTCCTGAAGAAGAGAACGTCCTGCTCCCCAGCATGTCAGCTACTGCTCGCCGACCCTCCGATGGCTGGTGGTGAGCTGGGCTCTGAGCTTGAGCTCCTCTCCCCAAAACCGTGTGATGTATTGCCCCCATTTTACAGATGGAGGGCCGAGACTCAGGAAGGGTTATTACCTGCTCAAGGTCACATAGCTGGCTGATGACACCAAAGCAGGGTTCATCTGTGTGCTGTAGCTCCCCGTCCCCCGTGGCCTGAGTGCATCCCCGCGGGTTCCTGCCTGAGGCAGCCCCCAGAATGGGCCGACTCCACAGTCACCAACAAAGCGTGGCTCACATGCCCCTCTCCCAGCCTGGGCACAGCCAGTGCCCTGCGGTACATGGACTTGGAATTTGGCCAGACCTGGTCACATCCTCATTTTGTCTTTTGCCAGTTGTGGCCTCTAAACCCAGCATTTCATTTCCCTGAGCTGCAGAGTTGTTATCAGAGTCATGGGAGGAAGAGGGGCCCTCCCCACAGGGTCAGGGATGTAGAGGGAAGATGGGTAAGGTGGCACAAAGCAGTGTTTCCCACACTTAGAGGGGCACCTGGCCCTTCACTGAGGCTCTGCTCAGTGATCTGGAGTGGGCCTGGGAAACTGAACGGTGCCATGTTCCCCAGGAGTTTCCTTGATGTGGCAGATCTGGGCCTCCTCCTCCTGTCCATCTGTCCATCTGTCTGTCCTGGCCCCCACCCCCAAGAGGTCACCTCTGTGGGCTGTTCTTCTGGCCAGAGCTGGGGCTGCCCCTGAAAAGGCACCACATCTTCCAACACCAGGCCCACATCACATGGCAACTCAGTGGGATGCCAGCTCCTGAAGCCACGTGGGAGGCCACACTCCAGGGCGTGGGCACGTGTGGGTGAGGTACCAGAGCCACCATGGGTGCTTGGAAGGATTGGCCGCCACTGACCACTCTCTCAGATGAGCGCACACAGGAGGGTCACAAGCGGGGTGACCTGGAGCTGTTGTCTCCCACTATCCTCTCCAATCTGCCCAGCCGGTTTTTCTCCAACCAAGCAAGGCCAGGGTGCTGTCTCTCCCCTTAGGGTCAGTTATTTCCCAGAAGAGTCCTCCATCTTTTATGCAAGTTGATTCTTGGTGGGGACAACCCATTCATACTTTAAACACCCCAGAACATCCCTAAGCCCAAGGAGGAGGGACATATAAGAAGCCAAAGCTGGGACTCCTGCCACAAATCTCTCTCCACTTATCCTAGCTGCTCCCGGCAGGGCTGACCCCATCACAAAACCCAAACTGCTTCCTGCTCAGGTGTGAGCTGCCCCAAGGGCTGCACCCACAGCCCAGGCAACCCCAAGGTCTAACAAGCCCCATTCTGAGGCTAAGGGAGGGTGGGCTGGAGGAGTGGTGGCAGTGGAGAGGGGCTCAGAGGGGCTTGGGCACTGGGACCACGGTCCCATTATCACCTTCATGGGCTCCAGGCACTTTAAGTAGCAAATATCACATTTTATGACTGTATTGGTGTAAATACAAATATAACTAAGCTGGATTCAGTTACACATATTCATTACCATATTCTTTTTTCCTTTGATTTTAAAATATATTAAAATTAAAACACTTAGGCCGGACACGGTGGCTCACACCCGTAATCCCAGCACTTTGGGAGGCCAAGGCAGGCCGATCACGAGGTCAGGAGTTTGAGATCAGCCTGGCCAACATGGTGAAACCTGGTCTTTACTAAAAATACAAAAATTAGCCAGGCATGGTGGAGAGGGCCTGTAGAGCCAGCTACTTGGGAGGTTGAGGCAGGAGAATTGCTTGAACCCGGGAGGCGGAGGTTTCAGTGAGCCGAGATCATACCACTGCACTCCAGCCTGAGAGACAGAGTGACACTCCTTCTAGGGAAAAAAAATAAACAAATAAAACACTTTTGGGGCCCCTAGAGGGGTCACAGTCCTAGGCCTATGTGCCTAGCTGGCCAGGCCCTACGTTGTGAAGGACGGGAACAGAGGCAGGGGTGATGAGCGCGGCCGGGGCCCTGGAGACCAGGCTGGGTGGGAGCCCCGCGGCACCTCCCGTCAGCTGTGCAGGGTGGGCACTTCACTTACCTCTCAGAGCCTCCCATTTTGTGAAAGCCGCGTCAGTGTGCCTACAGGACAGATAAGTGGTGGAAGGGATGGGCAGGGGCTGAGCACAGGGTCCTCAATGCCTTCCAGGATCCATGTTCTGTCCCCAGGAGAGGAGGAAAAAGGCCGGAGCCGAGAACATCCTTTCCCGGCACAATGCTGCGAGCTTGGGTGAGGCCGGTGAGCTCCTGGCAGGGGGAATGGCACACACCACGGCCCATCAGGCTCCCTCCTCCTGCCTCCCTGAGCCTGCCTGGGCCCCGCCCTCCCCGCCCCCCGACAGATGTCTGGGCAGCTGTTTGCAACTTTTGGCCACCCCCCAGGAACTCCCAAGGGGCTCCTTGGAGTCTGCCCAACTCTTAGCCTGATTTCAGCCGGCTGTAGCTTCATTCATCATGCCACTCCATGATGCAGGCTCGGGGCTGTCCAGGCCAGAGGCCCCCGGTGCAGGCTGCTGTGGGAGACTGAGGGGAGGGGAGGGCTTGAGCGTTGCCTTCAGAGGCCCAGGCTCAGGGAACCGCTGACCTAACTCCAGTGAGCTGCCCATAGCTGCCTGTGTCTATCCTGCAGTCAGGAGTCCTCCACCCCCTTGACAGAAGCCTGGAGCCTGAAGCCCGGGCAGAGCCGTGCAGACAGCCCTGCCGAGAAGGCAGGTGGGGCAGAGACTGGGGAAGGACGTGTTGGCGGTCCTGCCAGATGCTGCGGTGAGGCCTGAGTGAGGAGGCACCTCCAGGAAGCCACTGGAGCGCGTCCCTGCAGGCGCAGGCTCTGGCCCAGAGTGGGACACGGTGGGCACCTCCCCTGCCCCAGAACTGCCTCTGAGTCAGCCCACTTGGCAATACCCAGGGAGGCCTCTGCAGCAGGCATGGAGATGGGCCCTGGGTGCATACGGCAGGGTCATTGCTCATAAGAAGTTTACATGCAGGAAAAAGTAGAGGACAGAACGAATCAGTTGGTTAGAAAGCAGCGATCAAATAGAGGGTCCAGACAGCCAGTGAACTGACAGTAAGAAGAATCACTGCTCCATCTTCATCATGCGCCGTGTGCCAGACAGTGTGACCAGTGGAAGGTATCCAAGTTCCCCGCGGCGAATCCGTACAGGTCTGCCGCAACCTCAATTCTTGCCTCCTCAGAAGAAAGAAGTCAACTGAGGGGCACGAGACAGAAAAAGAGACTGAGGCAAGTTTCAAAGCAGGAGTGGAAGTTTACTTTAAAATACTTTAGAGGCCAGGTGCAGTGGCTCACGCCTGTAATCCCAGCACTTTGGGAGGCCGAGTCAGGTGGATCGCCTGAGGTCAGGAGTGTGAAACCGGCCTGGCCAACATGGTGAAACCCTGCCTCTACTGAAAAAATACAAAAACTAGCTACGTGTGGAGGCGAGTGCCTGTAATCCCAGTTAATCGGGAAGCTGAGGCAGGAGAATCATTTGCACGTGGGAGGTGGAGTTGCAGTGAGCCGAGATTGCACCATTACAATCCAGCCTGGGCAACAAGAGAGTAACTCCGTCTCAAAAAAAAAAAAAAAAAAAGGCTTTAGAGCAGGAGAGAAAAGAAAGTGCGCTTGGAAGAGACTCAAGCAGGCACCGAGGTCAAGTGCAACTTTTAACCTTGACCCTAGAACTTTATAGACTGGCCCCTTTCCCATGATTCTTCCCTTAGGGTGGGCTGCCTGCATGCACAGTGCCCTCCTTTCCCTTGGGAGGTGTACGCATGCCTATCTGAGGCTTTCTTCCCTCTTCCGGTGGCGTGCCCCCGGAAGCTCATACTCTGCCATTTTGTCTCTTAATGTGCATGCCTGGGAAGTTGCCTCCAGAGCCTCTACATTTAATTAATGCTTTAGTGCAACAGGTGTGGACCATCAGGAAATGGCCTCTCCCTGGCACCGGCTGCCAATTTGTCAGTTTTAGAGAGGCAATGTGATCATCGTGGAACGATTACCCGACATTCCTGGGGGGTGGGGAGAGCCCTCTCCTGCCCCGCTCATGCCTGTCTAACTACCTGTAACAGCAGTGCATCGCGCACGCCTCGCTTTTGCCCTCATTATATCCTGATCGTAGCCCTCTGAGGAGGAAGCTGGGTGGGGAGAGGCAGAGAGAAGGGGGAAGGACCAGGAGATCGCAGTGGCCACACGTGAGCAGTGCTGCCAAGAGACCAAGAGGGCCAACTGCAGTGTCTGCAAGGGCACTGGTGTCCCCGTTAATCCTCCATGACCAGCCTCAAAGTCGGGGTAGGCAAGTCCAGGTGGAGGAATCTCACTAACAATGGCATGGGGTCTACAAAGTTCTCAAGGGTGAAGAGGGCCAGAGCACTTCCCATTCAAAAATGCTGCACCAGGCCAGGCACAGTGGCTCACGCCTGGAATCTCAGTACTTTGGGAGGCTGAGGCAGGCAGATCCCTCTAGCCCAGGAGTTCAACACCAGCCTGGGCAACATGACAAGACCCTGTCTTTACAAAAATATATATATACAAAAATCAGCTGGGTGTGGTGGCACATGCCTGTAGTCCCAGCTACTCGGGAGGTTGAGGTGGGAGGATCGCTTGAGCCTGGGAGGTCGAGGCTGCAGTGAGCTGCAAGTGTGCCACTGTACTCCAGCCTGGGTGACAGAGTGAGACCCTGTCTCAAAACAAAACAAAACAAAGCAACAAACAAAAAAGCTGCACCATAGCTAGAGGACGGGAGGATGAGCAAAAGACAAGTAAACACCACATCAGAAGAGGAACCTCCCAGTGACCCCTGGGAAACAGAGTAAAGGAGAAATCAGATACATAGTAGTTCATATTTAAAACCAGGAAAGATAACATGGCTCCTTAGGGGAGGAGGCTTAAAGTAGATATGAAAGAGATTGGAGCAGAGATATAAGATTACATCCCAAAGAGGGGGAAGGTGAGCGAGAAGAGCTCAGGAAAGGAAAAGAAGAGAGGGGCTGGGGGAATGGCTCATGCCTGCAATCCCAGTACTTGGGAGGCCAGAGGCAGGAGGACTGCTTGAGGCCAGGAGTTGAAAACCAGCCTGGACAACATAGACCCCATCTCTTTAAAAAAAAAAAAAAAAGGCTGCTGATCATAGGATGCACACCTGTGGTGGCAGCTACTCAAGAGGCTGAGGTGGGAGGATGGCTTGAGCCTGAGAGCTCGAGGCTGCAGTGAGCTATAATTGTGTCACTGCACTCCAGCCTGGGGTAGAGTGAATACCCTTTCTCTTTTTTTTTTTTTTTTAATTTAACCAAAGAAGTGAATCAAAATGAAGAACTCTAGAATAGAGAAGCTTGACAAAATACTATAGTCTGGTGGTGACTCACACATGTAATCCCACCACTTTGGGAGGCTGAGACAGGTGGATCACTTGAGCCTAGGAGTTTGAGACCAGCCTGGACAACACGGCGAAACCACGTCTCTACCAAAAATGCAAAAATCAGCTGGGCATGGTGGTGCGCCTGTAGTCCCAGCTGCTAGGGAGGCTGAGGTGAGAGGATCCATTAAGCCCAGGGAGGTCAAGGCTGTAGTGAGCCACTGCACTCCAGCCTGGTGACAGAGACTCTGTCTCAAAACAAAGCAAAACAAAAGCCAACCAAATAAAAAAAGCAAAAAAACTCCTGTGATATGTAGTAAATAATTTCACCTTGTCCAAAAAGAGGTCTGGCTTTTGCTTTCAGCTTGTGGGAGGGAATCCCTAAGCTCTAAGACTATCAGGCCTGATAGGAGTGTCTTTGTTTGCTGTGGGTCACATTGAATAGCTAACAATGTGATTGCGGGTAGGGACTGGTCAAACCGGAAAGTCCAACAATGTAAGGTGGTGGCTTTGAGTCACTCCCAGAGGGGCTGCAGGCTAGAGATGGAGACCAGCCTGTGCACCATCTGCCATGCTTACTCAATGAGGCCCAAGAAAAACTCTGGACACTGAGGCTCATGTGAGCCTCCCTGGTTGCCAGCACTCCTATGTTCTGCTACACATGGATGCTGGGAACAGGAGGCTGACCCAACAGGGAGGACCACAGCAGCTGTGCATGGGGTAGTCCCCAGACACCCCCTGTGGGCATCCTCCCTTGGCTGATGCTCATCTGCACCCAGAAGTATAAGATGAGTCTTGCTGGGTGTGGCGGCTCACACCTGTAATCCCAGCACTTTGGGAAGCTGAGGTGGGTGGATCGTGAGGTCAGGAGTTCGAGACCAGCCTGGCCAATATGGTGAAACCCTGTCTCTACTAAAAATACAAAAATTAGCTGGGTGTGGTGGCATGCACCTGTAGTCCCAGCTACTTGGGAGGCTGAGGCAGAAGAATCACTTGAACCCAGGAGGCAGAGAGGTTACAGTGAGCCGAGATCGCACCACTGCACTCTAGCCTGGGTGACAGAGCGAGACTCCATCTCAAAAAAAAAAAAAAAAAGGATGAGTCTAACAGCTTCCAGTTAGCTCTGTGAGTCTTTCTAGCAAGTTATCAAAACTGAGAGTGGTTGGGGGAACTAGTCTTTCCAACTTTGCAATTGGTATCAGAAGAGGTGGTCTTGGGAACCCCTAAAACTTGTAATTGGTGTTGGAAGTGAGCACGGTTTTCTGTGTGGGCTGTGTTCCCTCCAACTTCACAGTTGGTTAAACTCTTCACATGTGGCAAACATCTGAATATTTAAATATAAAATTAGGACTTCCACTTCTAGGCTAGATGTTCTGGGGAAAAAATAAACTCCACTACAAATACCTAGACCTGTTGATTGAAACTAAACAAACATCTTTTAAATGACTACCTGATTGTATAAGAAAGTAAGGAAACTCACAAAGGCCAAAACCGAAGAAGAGGCTGAAACCAGAATGAGAAATGACCCCTGATGCTGTGGGCTGCCCTAGAAGCACCTGGAAATATCTGAAACCTATAGTCACTGGTTTTAACAGCCATACAAAAGAGAGAAGGCAGGGCCCTGGGCCCATGCAGGCAAGATGGAGTGTCAGGACTTAGACTCTTGGAAAAGCTAGAATCCTTGAAGAGCTAACTCTTGGTAAAAAGGTGACATAGAAAAAGAAGCTAACAAGAAAGTGTGTCTATCCTGGCTTCAGCTTTGGGTTAAAAAAAGAGAAAGAGAGAAGGAGGAGGAGGAGGAGAAGGGGGAAGAGAAGGAAGAGGAAAAAGAAGAGAGATATTTCACTCTTCCTTCCCCCTGAAAATGTAAAGGCCATCCTCACGTGGATTTCGGGTCTGGATTTACACTCCCTGAAGAATATCCAAGCTGAGAAATATTTTAATATGTTTCCAAGATGGAAACAAGCACTCCAGGCCTCCTGACAGATCTCTCCAGAGGACTAACCCTCAGCCTAGGCCTGTCAGGATTCCCACAGACTGAGATCTGCAAAACATGAGTTCACCATAAAAATTGAGCCTGCACAAGAGAAACAATCCATCATGAGCAAGTGTCAGCAGGAGCAGCAGATGTCAGAATTAGACCACCAAAGATGTCACATTATGGGATTATCAGGAACAGGATTCAAAGTCATGTTTTCAATGTTTATGGGAGTAAAAGGGGAAATTAAACACACATGCAGGGAACATAAAAGTATCCAAGATGACCTAACAGATTTGACACCAAATACATCTCAAAATGAAATATATAATTATTAAACTTTTTTAAAGTAAAAAATGGCATAAACATCAGATTAGGCACATTTGCAAAGGAATTCATAAATTGAAAAAAAAAAGTTGAGAGAATCATCCATAAATGTAGCTCAGAAAGATAAAGAGATGGGAAATGAGTCAGAATTCCTCTCCTGCCCTTCTGGAGAAGAGCCGTGAGCTGGATCATGTCCCGCAGGCAGATATGGATGGAAGAACAGACACTGAGCTGGAGGAGGCAAGAGTGCTCCCTCTGCCCAAATGATGCCTCCCTCTGCCCAGCCCGTATCCTTGAGAGGGAATAGGGGATAATGGGGTTGGGGTGGGGGGCACAAGGCTGTTCTCTGGGATTTCAATATCATGCTTCCCCTTAAAATTCTCAGAATGGGCCAGGCACAGTGGCTCACACCTGTAATCTCAGCACTTTCAGAGGCCAAGTTGGGCGGATCACGAGGTCAGGAGTTTGAGACAAGCCTGACCAACATGGTGAAACCCCGTCTCTACTAAAAATACAAAAATAAGCAGGGGGTGGTGGCGCGTGCCTATAATCTCAGCTACTCAGGAGGCTGAGACAGGAGAATCGCTTGAACCCGGGAGGTAGAGGTTGCAGTGAGCCGAGATCGCACCACTGCACTCCAGCCTGGGCGACAGAGCAAGACTCCGTCTAAAAAAAAAAAAAAAATTCTCAGAACGTCCATCAGCCAGGAATTTTCCTCACCCTAAGCCTTTTGGGAAGAGATTCTGTTTCCAGTTTGTTCCCTGTGGGCAAAGCCTTTCCCCCTCTTGGATTCATCTGTGCAATAGCTGGATCTCTAAGGCCACTGCCAACTCTAATATTCTATTCTGTTATGACATCCTGCGGTGACAGGTACGATATGTGCCCCACTGACTCACCTCTATACTCAGGGCAAGTCAGAGATCCCGGGATGCTTAGGAAGAGCCCTGCCTGTCCAAAACACAGTTTCAGTGCACAGCCTGAAACTCCACAATTACAGAGTCATTTATCTGGAGGTAAACATCATCCTAATTAGATTCCAAATTGTTTTTTTCTCAGAGGGGCTGGGTAAAGGATAAAATTAAAGTCATCATCAGTCACAACACCTCCATGTGAGTTATTTTAACAGTCTTTTCAAAAACAAAGTCACAGCATGCGAGATGGATTTGACAGGAGGAGCAGAGGGGAAATGTGGTAGGTCAGTCACACCCCCAGGGACTGGGCCCTAGTCCCGAGCGTAGGAGAGGCGGAGCTGGAAGGTGAACCTTCCACAGCCTCGACCGTCCGTCCTCCCTCCAGCCTCTCCACAATTCAACACCTGCTGGCCAGCAGGCGGCAGTGCACGGACGAAAATGCGCATCTCTGCTGGATTTCCCAGGAGCTCCTGGAGTTCAAATGGCTTCTTTTTCTGGTAGCCTCAGTGCTCAGTGTGGAGAGGCAGGCTGCAGACAGCAGGGACAGTGGGATGTGGGATGCACTGCCCAAGCCTTTGTAAGTCCGACCCTGGTGGTGGCCCCAGAAGCCAGGCTGCTGGACTGGGAGGGCTGCCTGGAAGATGGGGCACCTTCAAGGCTTGTCCTGCCTGACTAAGGGTGAGGGGACATTTGAGGATGAAATGAGACGTCTGGAAGTGTCCCTAACCTTCCTGGGGCTGCCCCCCGTGAAGGTCAATGCTCGATGCGGGGGCTGGAGGGGGCAGACAGCTTCATGTGTCAGAGACCCTGGAGTGCAGGTGTAGCCCCTGAGCTCTGTCTGGGCACAGTGGCATGCTCATTGAGTGGAGAGGTGGCGTGGGTCCAGCTCAGCCTGGGGAACCAGTCTGAGGCCGGGTGACAGAGCCCTTCACTCTCTAAGCCTTGCTTCTCAGACCTGTTGAATGGCTGTGAGCACTCCCGGGGGGCTGATCCCCAGCCACTGTACTCTGCAGAGGTGAGCTTGAAATTCAGAGGGGCAAGGCTGCATGCATCCCATTCCAGAGTCCTCCCATCCTATTTGAAGTCCTCTCATCCCTTCCTATTTGGGGGGCTTGTTAATGCTTCCAGGGTGCTGCAGGGCAATGGGTAGCCTGGCTCTGTACCAACACACGCAACAGCGCCCTGACTCAATGCCCCTTCCCTTGCCTTCATCTGGCCCAGGTAACCCTCTTGGGCGAGGGAGAAAAGTGAGCTGCTCAAAGAAGATACTTCCATCAGATACAGGCAAGCAGACACTTTCTATTTCTGCAGGAATGGGACTCCATCGATTCAGGAAGCCCACAGAGGCCAAGCCCACGGACTGCACATGCAACCCTCTGACTCCATCGCAGGGGTGAGGGACGTGCTCCCCCACATTGCCTTCCTATGGATTCCCCATGCCCACCCTGCTGCAAGGAATGATGCGGCAACACTGTGATCTACCGCAGTGTCTGCCAAACTCTCAGCTCACGGGGATCTCTGGGCGCTTGTTAACATTCACATTCTCATTCCAGGGGAGAGCTGGGAACCAGTGTCTGGCAAGCACCCTACATGACTCTTACACTTAGGTCAGTTTGGGGCCATGTCCACCTAGAAGATGAAGGAAGAGAGGGAGCCTAGAGCCGTGAGGATTTTATTTCCACATAACCTAACCAGAGGCTGCCAATGGAGACTCAGAGCCAGCCCAGGAAGGAAGGAGGTAGGTCTTGGTGGACAACGAGCCAGTCTCAGTCCCACAGCCCCTGCCTGAACGGGCACGCTCTCTCCCTGCCTCTTCCCACGACCTGAGAGACCAAGCTTGCCAAGCTCCAAGGACTCTGATGGGCCCTATGGTCAGGTTGCTTGCCTGAGGCCTTTTTTCCTAACCCACAGGGTGATTGTGGTAGGAAGAATAATGGCCCCCAAAGCTATCCCTGTCAGAATCCCTAGGTCCTGGCATATGTTACTTTGCAGGGCAAAAGGGACTTTGCAGGTGTGATTAGATTAAGGACCTGGGGATGGGGGGGTTATCCTGGATTGTTCAAGTGGGCCCAATCTAATCACAAGAGTCCTTATAAGAGGGAGGCAGGAGGGTCAGAGAAGGAGTTGAGGACATCACGCTGCTGGATTTGAAGATGGAGGAAGGAGCTGTGAGCCAAGGGATATGGCCTTTCTTGCCCCCTAGAAGCCGGCACAGCCAGAGCCAAGGAAATGCATTGTCCCCCAGAGCCTTCAGGAGGAACCAGCTCTGCCAACACCTTTGTTAGGGAAGCAGAAGCATAGGAGAGCCAGAGTGCCACCATTTTAAAATCAACTCCATCTTGGCTGGGTGCAGTGGCTCACGCCTGTAATCCCAGCACTTTGGGAGGCTGGGGTGGGTGGATCATTTGAGGTCAGGAGTTCAAGACCAGCCTGGTCAACATGGTGAAACTCCCTCCCTACTAAAAGTACAAAAATTAGTCGGGTGGTGGTGGCGTGCGCCTGTAATCCCAGCTACTCTGGAGGCTGAGGCGGGAAAATCGCTTGAGCCTGGGAGATGGAGGTTGCAGTGAGCCGAGATTGCGCCACTGCTCTCCAGTTGGGGCGACAGAGTGAGACCCTGTCTCAAAAATAAATACATATAAATAAAATCAACTCCATGTTAAAACTAGCAAGGCACATTCCTTGCCAGCCACTACCCATGGTCCTAAGATGTTTACATTTAAGGAAGCAGTTTGGTAATGCCTGTAAGGACACACTCCTCCAACAACAGAAAGTCCAGATGTCCCAATACCCTTAACAGTATAGGTTTTCAAAATAATTATAATTATGCTCTCATGTGCTGATGTAGGAACATGTCAAGGATAGCTTCCTTTAAATCAGTAGAGTAATAAACGTCATGCTGTCAGCCCACTGGCAGTTAGGCACAGCTTTGGTTTAGTCTTTACAGAGACAAGATCCCTATATAAGAAAAACTTAAAGCAAAGATGGTGCGTGCCTCTGCTTGCTTCCTGAGGGCACTCTACTTTGTAATGGAGCAGTTTCTAATAAACTTGCTTCTTTCCCTGCACTTTTCCACTCACCTTGAATTCCTTTCCTGCACAAAATCCAGGAACCCTCTCTTGGGGTCTGGATGGAGACCCCTTTTTCCAGTAACACCTTGATTTCATCCCATTCAGACTTCTGACCCAAAGAACTGTACGATAATAAATGTGTGTGGTTTAAAGCTAGTGAGTTGGTGGTGATGTGTCAAATCAACAACCGGAAACTCATATGGTGACTTGGTTGGAAAAAGTTGCTCTCGTTATCGTCCCTGCCGAGTATGTGAACACTGGGAGGCAGCAACAATAGCAGCCGCTTAGAAGCCACAGGTCCCCCTAGCTCACACCCTTCTCCCTGTGTGACTTCAAGCAAGTCCTTCTCCTCTCTGAACCTCCATTTCCCCATCTGTAAAATGGAGATGGTCACTGCATCCACATGACACCCTGTGTCTGGGAATTAAGTGGTTTGCCCAGAGAACTTCTTTCACCTGAAACTCATTTTTCACCCACCTGAGACCCAAAGTGCCCTGAAGAGAGACATAAGGAAGACAGGGCTTCCTAAGACCTCAGACCCAGCACACAGCCTCGGTCCCAACCTTGCCCAGGGGTGCACTAGGGGCATGTTGATGGAGCTGCCCTTGGATTTCCTACTGTGGCAGCCCATCTGCAGGATCATCACATCTGCCACCCACATCCTGGTGGTCCAGCGTTCGCTCTCGGGGAACAGTGGATCACAGCATCAAACCGTGGTTTCATGGAGCCATGGTTTCCAACATTAACCCGGTGCCTCCATTGCACACGATGTTCTGGGAATCATTTACATTTTTTCCTTGTTCCAGAGCTAAGAAACCTCTGAATGGAGAGGAAGGTGACTCTATTCAGAGGCTTTCTGGGCTGGGAGCAGGATGGCATTGTCAGGGAGGTTCAGTCCTTTGGTTATAAGACGGCCTCTGGAGAGGAGGGCATGGGCGGAGGCTGGGAGAGGGGCTGGGGACAGGCTGGCAGACAGGCCCCACTGCATCCTTTCAGAGGGCCTACTACCCTCTCTGGGGAGCCTGCCGTCTAAGACACACCATTTATAATCGGATAGAACAGTAGTGCACCTCTGAAGTCAGGCCGATCAGGGCGCAAACCCTGTTGGTGTCACCTAGCAGCTGGATGGTGTCAGGCGAGTGGCTTAAACTCTCTGAGCCTCCACTTTCTCAGTTGCAATTTTGTATAAATACACACAAGTCCCTCTGTTTCCTGTTCCAAAAAGAACTGGAAATTGAGACCTGCCCTCCATGAAAGGGCTTCTGATCTCAGAGGGAGGTTTGTGCAAGGTAGCAGGGACCGCTCTCTGAGGGATGGCTCCAGCCAGGCGGCTCCCTGTTCCGTCTGCAGGTGAGGCTGGCTGGGGGCAGCATCCCTGCAGCACTGAGGCCAGGACATCTCGCAGCTCCTCCCTGGCTCCTGGTGCCCTCTGCTGGCATCATCAGGAAAGAAGAAGGCAGGTTGGCAGTTCAGGGTCAAAGGAGAGTTCCTGAGGCTTGACATGGCCAGCTCTTTTCCCCTGGGACAGAAGCCTGCGATAGACAATTGGGGTAAGAAATAGGGACTGAGACTCCAACAGCACACACAACATCCTTCCCTGCCAAAGCAGGAATCCTGCCCTCTCCCTACAGCCACCCATTCAGCCTGCCCTGACATCTCTCCAAATCTACAGATTCTTAACCTGGTTTCTAGAAATATGCATACTGGGAGTAGGGTGTGGAAAGGGTGGGGTGAGCCCCTTCCCTCCCTCCAATCTCACTGTCCCAAAATCACTAGGCCGAGTCCATGGGTGTGACCAAGTATTGGGATGCTGCTCTTGGGGGAGGCTATTGCTCAGAGGGAAGTGATTTGAAAATCAAATTGGTGAGGCCAGAACATTCCATTCTTCAGCTAAGCAGTTTCCAACCAGGGCATGCAAATGAGCCATCTGAGGCATAAAAGCCCTGGAGGGTTGGTCTGAGGGCCCTTGGCAGGGGCACTGTCCTAACACTTGCTAGTTGTCACCAGAAGTGAAGCTAGCCAGGCCTCTTCTGCTCAGCCGGAAGGGAGCAAGTGTTTATGGAGCACTGGCTGTGTGCTCAGCACCTTCCTGTGTATTATGTCAGTTACTCTTGCTGACCAGCCTGTGACTGAGGTATTCATAGCTCTGTTTTGTCGATGAGTAAATGAGGCTCAGGGAGGTTAAGTTAATGGTCCAAGTTTCCGCAGTCTGGGTCAAGTGTAGGACATCTGACTCTGACTAGCATCCTTCAGCTCCCCACGCGTGTCCATCACCCTACCCTGCCTCTGTCCCTCTCAGCATCATCCTGCTATCTCAACACCACACTGCCCTCCCTTTCCAACAACACCGGGCTCTCCTTTCTCTCTCTCTCCCTCTTTCTCTTCTCTCTTCTCTCTCGTTGTCTGTCTCTGTCAATCCTAATCTCACTTTCTCTCACTCTTAAGCCGCCTGCCCCAAATTCAAACACAGCAAAGCCTCCTTGAAAGGTGGGCATGGCTGAGATACTTTCTAGCTCTAAATTTATACAAATCCCCCTCACACTCTCTCTCAGCTTGGCCCCGCTACATGTGCAGTCTTGGGAAAGTGCTCTTGCTGTCCCCTGAGCCCCTGTTTGCTCCTCCATAGGTGGCTGCAATGATACCTACCTCGCAGGACAGTCACCAGGAGCAATGAACATGAAGCCCCAGCTCCAGCCGTGCATCTCAGGGGCTCAGCAAACACTGGCTCCTTGTCCTGAGGGAGTCATGGTGGCAGCTGGGTGGGGGGCTGGGGCCACAGCAGGCAGGGCAACATCTGTGGATGAGGAGCTCTCACCCTCCACCCGATCTCCAGCAGGTGCATTCACCTGTGCTCTCCAACAGCCATGCGTACCCAGACAGTGACAGGCGGTGTTTGGGATGTAAAGTTGGTGCTGCCTCCAGGGAACTCACACACAGCCATCTATTCCCATGGCGGTGGCTCCCACAGAGAGGCCCAGGGACACCAGGACCTGGTTTGTAGGCATTTCTCTGACCCTACCAGCACTGCAGTGTGGAGGGTCTGTGGAACTGAGACCCTGTAGAAGCTGTGCCTGGAGATTCACAGGGCAAACTGAGGAGAAGCTCAGTTTTTCTAACAGATGTCCAGCCCAGGCTTCTTCCTTCTTTTATGCCCTCGCCCCATCTGCCACGGGCTCAGGCCCCTGTAAATGTTCACTCCCAGGCCCTGGTCAACCCTGAGGGAATAATCAGGGATTATCATCCCTGAACAAAGCTGTTTACCATTGTTTTATTTCCCAGTATGAAAAAGGGGAAACCAGCTACGGTGCAGAGGGCTGGGGAGAGCTAACACCAGTCACTTTGCGTTCTGGGACATGCTGGACGGAAGGGTCGGCTGGTGCATGAGGGGTGGACTCTCTGGGCATCCCAGGGTGGGGAGAGCTCCAGCCGAGGTGCAGCTGGATGCATTGTGGGGCTACGGGCCAGGAACGTCTGCTTGGATTTGTCATTTGCCACCACCTCCCAGAAAGCAGAGAGAAAAAGTCAAGGATATGCTGAGGAGCTGCAGCACCAACCGTCTCTGCTTACTTGGTTTATCCAGGTTTTCCTGCATCTGTTCAGTATCACTGATGAGGTGGAATAGAGCGGGTAGCACATCTCTCAAGACTTTCTTACGGACTCTGGTCACAGACACAAAGGTAGACACAGGATGTGGTGGAGAAGGAATTGATTCCAGGAGCTGGTGGAGAAGGTTGGGATGAGGAAGGGTAGAAATGGCCTCTGCCCTGCTTGCTGGTCACTATGCTGCCCACAGCTGCAGCTTTTGTTTTCTTTCTGCAGCTCTGTGAGGTTTGACCACATGGTCTTTAAGGTTTCTGCCAGCCGTAAAGTTCTGTGACTTGGGGAATCACTGAGAAGCAGATAGAAAGAAGGTGAGCCAAGAATCACACAGGAGCACAACTGATGCAAGAGCAATCAAAATTCTCAGGTTTCCCCAGAGCCTGGGAAGATACCCTGAGCTGTGTGCTCTACAAAAAGCCATGCAATGAGACCTTCTGGTTGGGGATTTTTCCATATGCCTTATCTTGGAAGCTGGAAATAGCATCTGTACCTGGAAGCGAATGGTTTGTGGGTGGACTTGGCTCCTACAAGGTCCTGTTGCTGTTCTCTGGCAGGTGGCTGAAGTGTGAGCTACCCTGGTCATGTGTAAGGGGCAGGACTGGAGGATGCAGGGTAAGGGGGTGAGGTCTTCAGGCTCAGAGAGTTTCCTAGGGCTTGAAACCCATGAATAAACACATCTCTAATCATCTAGAATCTAATCATTCCAGACCTTTTAGTGAAAAAAGAAACCAAAAACCAAAAACCAAACAAACAAAAAAACATGCATAATGTAAAGAGCTTTAGCCAAGATTCAGTTTGAACACCTAGGCCATCTTCAAAGCCCCTGCTCAGCTGCTGTGCTGAGTCAAGTATTTTCCATGTGGTTGTGTGACAATCTCTTTGTGACACTCTTCCACCGATACTGTCTTCCAGCAGTCTGTCCATGATGAATCATACACACCAGCAGCACCAAGATGGGTGATGGCCTGAATGATCCCTGTTGAGTGTACTCAATCGCTGTGATCTCCTTCCTACCTAAATTACCTAATGATTAAATTCACTGTGAGAAATTTATTACTTTCTTTAACAAGCGAAACGTTGGCAAAGAAAATTACCCATGATATCTCATAACATTTGCAAAAAAGTGTCCTGAAAGGGTGCTTTGGCCATAATTAGGTATAAGCAAAACTGGACGTATTAATCAACACTTAGACTATGCCATTCTACATTCTTTGGTGAAGGACAACCTGGGTCTACTCCCTCTTTCTTTTTGATCCTTCTTATTCCAAAAATAATGGTGAGATTTGCTTGCAGCTTTGGGAGCACGTTTCTCTCTCATTCAGTGTGTGCATATGTGTGTATGCATGTGGGGATGTGTGTTCAGACTCCTTCCTGATTCTAAGTCATGGACCATTAATAATGTCTGACTGCAAAACTAAGGAGCCACTAAATATTCTGCTATTTATAAGTAATCTGTTGCCTAAGGCATTGCGCTACTTAATGAAACCTTGAATTAATGTGTAACTTAAGAAATAGATCATTCTACAAATATAGGCTACCAGAAGCATAATTTAAGCTGTTCTATTTACTTCACTACTTGTTGGGGATAAGAGAAGGAGCAACTGAATACAAATAATAATACATAAAATACATTGAGCCAAGCACTGTGCAAATTACATCTTATGCATTATCTCCTGTGGTTATCATAATAAACCAATACAACTAATAAACCCATACGATTATTACTATTGCTATTCCCATTTTATAGATAAAGAAACTGAGGCTTAGAAAGATTTACATAGCTAGCCCAAGGTCATGCGGTGGAATTCAAGTCTAAGTGCATGTGGCTCTTAGAACCACTGGATACTGCATCTTTGGGGTAGAGAGAATGAGGGGAAGGGTGGACCCCTGTGCTAGGGTAGCAATCCATTTGCCCAATGCAAATGTGGTTTGTTTGCTTGATGGGCTAATGCTGATTGGCTGGAAAATGCAGTGGGTAAAGGTGAAACAGAACTATGCCGGATTTATGGCAAGGACCTTGGGAGACAGAGGTGAACAGCCGAGTGCTAAGTGGGCTGCTGCCAATGACTGGTAGCTGAGAAGACCTGTTCAAAAACTCGAGGGCCATGGAGAGAGCCCAGTTTGGGGGATTCTAGGTGGATGTGTGGCTTTTAAAGGGTGCCCAAACCAGGCATATGAAGACTGTCTTGAACTTTTATTCAGGGAGATCCTCTCAGTTCATCTGGGCTGACCCTCGAGGGCCACCTGATGAGTGTCATCCTGTGTAGCCATTGAGGGACAGCTGAGCCCCACCCACATTCAACCCCAGAGCCTGAGGCGAAAGACAGAGCTCTGTTCTGTGGGCCTCAAACGCTTCCTGGTCACTCTGGGAGATCTATGAGCATGTACAGAGCCTGGGAGTGAACTCTGCCTAACTGCCTCCTACTGCATGATGTAAGGCGTTAAAGCTGCAAGAGGCAGAGATGATGTCAGGAACATGCTGGGGGGATGGGTAGGTGGTCAGGCGAGGATTCAGGGGAGGAGCATATGAAAGGGAAGGGTGCAGGAGTGGGCGAGAGGAAGGCTGGCATTCAACTTGAAGCCAAACCAGGCTGCAGAAATGTGTCATTTAGAAGCTCTGGTCTCTGTGCCTTGTTCTTCTGCAGATCAGACTCATCCTGGAAGAGTTGGCACAGACCTTCAAGATGTAGTCCCCTGGAGGAAACTGAAGCCCATGATCATTACCCTCCTGGCTCATGCCCCTGGCCGGTGATGGCTCTCATAATTCCTGGCATCTGATCATTCCCCTTCTTCTTGGATGTATTCAGCCAAGCACCTGCCCTGTGGCTAACACCATCATTTTATTCCATGGGCTTAAGAGCTGAGCTCAGGCACCCCCAAAGACAGAGGAGTTCAGTCAGGGGAGGGCCCAGAGGCCCTTGTTTATTTAGGACCAGGTCCTGCAGACTAACTTCAGGATTCTGGAGCCCATGGGGCCTCATGTTGTAGGGGCCTTGGGTTCTAGACTGAGAGGTTCTAGGATCTCATGTCTGAAGGGAGGGAGGAAACTCAGGTGAAGGGGGCTGGCTCCCAGGATTGGGGATGTTCCACTCTGCCTCTGTCTTGGGGACGATGTACCCGCCCTCCTCTTAGCTGCCAGGGCCCCCGTAAGAGCCTGGGAACTGTCCAGCCAGCAGTCTGCTGAACTGCAGGGGTGGCCACCATGAGTCAGCCGGCTGGAGAAGGCCTGTGGCTGGTCAGTGGAGATCTGCACCCGGAGAAGGAGCAGCAGGAGGAGCAGCAGGCCGGGGGCCCAGGGGAGATCCGCTGCCCATTGCCGTGCTTGACCTGTTAGCACTTGCATTCCTGAAGTCGTGGTTGGTTAATTAAAAATAAGCCCCAGGGCCTGAGGAGGCCCACAGTGGGGTGGGAACGTCTCCTTGATGCAAAGAGATTCCAAGTTTCTGACTAAAGTAATATAAAAGGGTGAAAGGGACAGGTTGTTCAAACACCTCCTGTTGTTGATGGGAGCTGGGAGGCCCTGAAAGGCATTGGGGCTAACCATGGTCACCAAGCTGGTTAAGAGTATGGCCAAGGGTCAGATCTCGTCCTTATGGTAGCCCACTCTCTACGGACAGTGGTTAGTCCAGATGTAGATGTAAACATTTTTACCACCAGTGGCCGATGGGTAGGACCTTTCTGTATCTTTTTCTCATTTTAATGTTATTAAGTGCTGAATCTGTGCTGGCGCCTGTTCTAGGTGCCTTATGTGTATTATCTAACTTATTTCATCCTCTCAAAAATCCCTGAGGCAGGAATTTTTACCATCCCCATTTCCCAGATGAGAAAATGGAGGCGCAAGGGGTTATGTGATTTCTCCTCAGCTGGTCAGTGGCAGAGCTGAGACCTAGACTCGGGCAGTCTGACTCTAAGGGCCCCCTCTTGACCACTGCACTGTTTGGCCTCTTCAGAAATCTTTGTTTGAAAGGCCAGGGTGCACACTGAAGCTTTTGTTATTTTTGAGAAGGAGTCCCACTCTGTCGCCCAGGCTGGAATGCAGTGGCACAATCTCGGCTCACTGCAACCTCCGCCTCCTGGGTTCAAGTGGTTCGCCTGCCTCAGCCTCCTGAGTAGCTGGGACTACAGATATGCACCACCATGCCTGGCTAATTTTTGTATTTTCAGTAGAGACGGGGTTTTACCATGCTGGCCAGGCTGGTCTCAAACTCTTGACTTTGTGATCTGCCTGCCTTGGCCTCCCAAAGTGCTGAGATTACAGGCATGAGCCACTGCGCCTGGCCCCACTTGAGCTTTTATATTTCCAGAGAGTAAAAAGAATGAAGGCAGGAAAGAATTTTGTGAAGGCAAAGGTGGTGGATGGTTTCAAGTGTCCACCTGGAAACATTTAGCTTTTGACCCTTGTATGAGTCCATTTTCACACTGCTATAAAGAAATAAATACCCAAGACTGGGTAATTTATAAACAAAGGAGGTTTAATTGACTCACAGTTCCGCATGGCTGGGGAGGCTTCAGGAAACTTACAATCCTGGTGGAAGGGGAAGTAGGCACCTTCTTCACAAGGTGGCAGGAGAGAGAAGCGAGCAAAAGCAGAGAAAACTGCCTTATAAAACCGCCAGATCTCATGAGAACTCATTCACTATCACCACAACAGCATGGGGAAACCACCCCCATTATCCAACTACCTCCCTCCCTCGACACATGGGGATTACAATTCAAGATGAGATTTGGGTGAGGACACAGGGCCAAACCATATCAATCCTCTTAGTGAGAGAGTCCTTGAAAAACAAACAGCACCCCACCCCAAAGAGGAGAAACGCATTAGCTCAGTAGACCCTGAGAACTTGGGGCTCAGCTGCTCTTAGCTGCCAGGCTCTCAGGCCCCTTACCCTGATAGTGAAAGATTCTCAAGTGTGCCTGTGCTGGCTGCCCTCCCAGGACAATCCTTCTGTAGCTGCCGGGAGACTTCCAGGATAGCAAGAGGCTACCCTGTTCCTGCAGATAAAAATCAGCCATTTATTAGTAACTGTTTCACTTGAGAGATGGCTACATCGGGTTCATTTACTATTCTCTCTACTTTTCTATATCTTTGAAATGTTCTATCATAAAAGGTTTTTTAAAATATAAATAAAAGAAGACTGGGCACGGGGGTTCATGCTTGTAATCCCAGCACTCTGGGAGCCCAAGGCAGGTGGATCACCTGAGGTCAGGAGTTCAAGACCAGCCTGGCCAATGGGCAAAACCTGTCTCTACTAAAAATACAAAAATTAGCCAGGTATGGTGGTGCATGCCTGTAATCCCAGCTACTTGGGAGGCTGAGGCAGGAGAATTGCTTGAACCTGGGAGGCGGAGGTTGTAGTGAGCCGAGATCGCGCCACTGCACTCCAGCCTGGGTGACACAGCAAGACCCCATCTCAAAAAAATATATATATATATATATTTATAATATATATGTATAAATATATGTATATATATTTATAATATATATGTATAAATATATGTATATATTTATATTTAAATATATGTATATATATTTATATTTAAATATACGTATATATATTTATATTTAAATATACGTGTATATATTTATATTTAAATATACGTGTATATATTTATATTTAAATATACGTGTATATATTTATATTTAAATATACGTGTATATATTTATATTTAAATATACGTGTATATATTTATATTTAAATATACGTGTATATATTTATATTTAAATATACGTGTATATATTTATATTTAAATATACGTGTATATTTATATTTAAATATACGTGTATATTTATATTTAAATATATGTATGTATTTATAAATATATATTTAAAGTATATATTTATAAATGTATACATGTATATATAAATATATATATTTTAAATATATATTTATATATATATTTATATATTTATATAAGTATATATATATTTAAATATATGTATATATTTATATATTTATATAAGTATATATATTTAAATATATGTATATATTTATAATATATATTTTAAATATATATTTATATATTTATTATATATGTATATATATTTTATATATATATATATTTTATATATATATATATATATATGATGTCTTGTCCTCAGAAAAAATGCCAAGGAGTTGACTATAGTTCGGGAGTAGGAAGGTCTGCAAGACTGGCAGTTCAAGAAGATGATTTGGGCAGTTCAAGTTAGGATTCTTTCTGGTGCAAGGCAGGAAAAATTCTCTTGCCTGAAATCTACTTAACCAACCAATGTCCTCCATTTCCACCACCAAAACAAGCAGTGGATGCCCAGGGCACATCAAATGTCATAGCTGATAGGTCACTCTCTAGAGGAGGGGTCATCAAACTCCCACCCCTGGTTAGCCCACAGGCCAAATTTGGTTTTCTTGGACTCAGTTACATATGGCCCGTGACTGCTTTCTCACCACCGTGAGAGTGAAGTCTTTGTTATGAAGACCACAGGACCTACAAAAGCCAAAAATATGTACTACATGACCCTCAGAAAAAGTGTCCTGGTCTGCTCTAGAATATCACATCCTTCTGCTCCTACCCACTTAGGTCTATGATTACTAACTACCTGAGGAGCTGTATGTCTCCAAGCCTGGTTGTGCCAATTGTATTTATTATTGCAAGTATATGATTTAATTAATTAGCGTTTAGGTCAATGAAATAAGAGTGTAACAAGTAAGTGTTATTTCTATGAAAATTAGATTGCCCTAGAAAAGCTCAGTAAACACAAGTCACTAAAAATCATTGCCATTAAACTGAGTATGGGCAAGAGAGATATATAGGCTTGGGCTGGGAGGCATTGTGCAAATCTAGAGTAACTTTGCATTCAGAGAATTTGTAAACGTCTTTAACGATCATGCTGAGGAAATATAACTGGAAGTTGTATACAATGTCCAATAAGTGTGGTCTGTGTATGAAAGATGATATAAAACTTCACAACAGGCTGGGTGCGGTGGCTGGCGCCTGTAATCCCAGCACTTTGGGAGGCCGAGGTGGGCAGATCACGAGGTCAGGAGATCGAGACCAGACTGGCCAACATGGTGAAACCCCGTCTCTACTAAAACTACTACAAAAATTAGCTGGGCGTGGCGGCGCATGCCTGTAATCCCAGCTACTCAGGAGGCTGAGGCGGGAGAATCACTTGAACCCAGTAGGCGGAGGTTGCAGTGAGCCAAGATCGTGCCACTGCACTCCAGCCTGGCGACAGAGCAAGACTCCATCTCAAAAAAAAAAAAAAAAAAAAACCTACATAACAGACCCACGTCAAGAAAAGGCCTTAGCCCTACTTCAGAATATTAAGAAATAAAGGTACAACTGTATTTTGAAAGTTAAATAAAAGATTTAAAGAATACACACATGCACGTGGTTTTCGAGCCATGTTTTATGAATCCCTACTTGAGACAGCTTTTAAAAAATGTCCCAGTTACTAATCCCAATAGTGTCAGATACAAGGGCTATGCTATAACAGAAAGCCGATCCTAAAATTGTTTTGTAAAAAGCAGGCCTGCTGGCTGGGCGCGGTGGCTCACGCCTATAATCCCAGCACTTCGGGAGGCCGAGGCGGGTGGATCACAAGGTCAGGAGATTGAGACCATCCTGGCTAACATGGTGAAACCCCGTCTCTACTAAAAATACAAAAAAAAAAAAAAAAAAAAAAAAAAATTAGCCAGGCGTAGTGGCAGGCGCCTGTAGTCCCAGCTACTCGGGAGGCTGAGGCAGGAGAAGGGCGTGAACCCAGGAGGCGGAGCTTGCAGTGAGCTGAGATCGCGCCACTGCACTCCAGCCTGGGCGACAGAGCGAGACTCCCTCTCAAAAAAAAAAAAAAAAAAAAAAAGAGGCCTGCCTTCGCATCATTATCTTCTTTCCCATATCCGTTTCCTTCCCCTAGAAGCGTGGAGACGTCTGTACCTGCGAAAGCTGAGCAGGAGGCAGGGGGCCTGCCTTGGCCTCAGCATTCCCTGAGCTCTGAGGACCTGGGGCAGAGGTGACAGGTTTTGAAGGCTGTGTTACCTGAGCAAACAGTGAATCGATTAAGCAAATAAGTAAATATGCTGAAGATAATGGGAGCCAGTTTTCTTACTGTCTGAAGAGGCATTTAGAAACATGGGATTCGGGAAGGCTGGAAGGAATGGTGAGGGCTTGGAATGGCATTGGAAGGGTCAGATGAACTCCTGGGTATTTAAATACATTGACACAGATAGATATAGAAACGGTCAGAGATACATGCGTAGGTGCATTCTGCTTTGTGCGTATGTTCCCTGAGAGAACTGAGAAGCAATGACATCCAGGAGCAGTGAGCACAACCTACCAAAGTAGGTTCAAAGTTCAACCTACCAAATAAAATAGGCATCCATGAGTCCACACTGATACAAATACATATGTACATGAACAAAATGGGAGGCAAGGTATTCTTTATAAGAGAAGGCAACTAACAAAGTAGAAGGACCGACAAAATTACGCACTCACATTTGGCAGCCATTACACCGGTAGTTGGTATCAGCAGGAGCCATAAGGCTGATGGGCACAAGTTTGATGAGGAACAGAATATTTGCATAATATCAGACTATCTTCCTACAAAATACTAATCAAATATGGAGGAGAAATGATGACTTCATTGTGGAGAAACCTGGCAGGCACCGATGTGACCAGGAGACGAAAGTGAGCATCACCTGGCTTGGGATGGGAGGACATAAAGCACTCTGGGGAGGCACTGAGCAGGCATTGAGAAGGGCGTGGCATTGCCTCCGTAGCCGCCTTCTAGACCAGACAGCCAGAGTCTGGGTACGAGTGAACACAGGGGGGTCTGTGGGTGAGATCGACCTACGGAATGAACGACCTCGGTTCTCTAAAACTCTCCAGACAAGGGACACAGGGAAAGGGTGAGGAATTATTCCAGATGGAAGGAGACTGAGGAGACAGGGCAACTAAACACAATGTGAGATTCTGAAACAGATCCTGACCCAACCCTTGCCCTCAAGAGACATTTATGGGAGAGTTGATGGAATTTGAATGAGATTTCTGGATTGGATGGGAGATTTGTATCAATGTTAATTTCCTGATACGGAGGAATCATTTTAATGTAAGGAACCATCTTTATGTTGGGAGAGCTACACCTTGGAGTATCTAGGGATTATGTGGGGGGTGGGGGCGGGGAGAGAGAGAGAGGTGGAACAATGAAGCATTGCAGTAAAATGTTAACAACTGGGAGATCTGAATATAGATTATGAAGGAGTTCTTTGTACCTTTTATGAAGGTCTAAGACTTTTGAAATAAAAAAGTTACTTAGTTACCAAAACATTAAAATAAAATAAAAGAGATTTATTGGCTAGCAAAAACCAAAATTCCAGAATCACACAGGCTTCAGGCATGGTTTGATCAGGGCTCCAGCTTGCTATTTTTGCCATACTCTCAGCTCTGCTCTTTTCTATTGATGTTATCCTCAGGCTGATTTCCTCTTGATGTCAAGGTGACTGCCAACAACAGGGACTATGGGCCTTCAAACTTTAGCAGGGGGAATGAGTTGCACTGATTGGATTAACCCAGTCTGGGCCCATCCTGATGCTGGATGTGTTTGAATCCCACCCAAACCATGAAGTTGTTACATCATGGTGAACAGTAGCTTCTCAAAGGAAATTATGCATGTATTGGGCAAGAGGGAACTAACCTAGGCACTTAACCAATGAAAGTCTAGCACACTGTGATTTAGAGAGTAGGTAAATGCCAAAGAAGGTGAATTGGTGGTGCAGGTTCAGAGGAGGTGAGAAAACAATTCCACCAAAGGAATTGGAATTATTTTCCAGGGAAATATAAATTATTCAAGAGAATAAGAAGACAAGCCATAGACCAGAAAAAAATTTTGGAAAAAAAAACATATCTGGTAAAAGATTGTTATCCAACATATACAAAAAAACCTCTTAAAACTCAACAATAAAAAAATGAACAACCAGATTTTAAGATGGACAAAAGAAGCTAGGTGCAATAAGGTGCGGCTATAGTCCCAGCTGCTCAGGAGGCTAAGTTGGGAGGACCACTTCAGCCTAGGAGTTTGAATCCCATCTGGGCAACAGAGTGAAATCCCAATCTCTTTAAAAAATGGGCAGAAGATCTGAAAAGACACTTCACCAAAAATATACGGGCAGCAAATAAGCATATGAAAAGATGGTCAACATATGTCATTAGGGAATTGGGAATTACAAATTAAAACAAGCGGATACCAATACACACCTGCTAGCATGTTTAAAATCACTGACAACACCAAATGTTGGCAAGGTTGTGGAGCAACAGGAACTCTAATTCATTCTTGGTGGAATACAGAATGGTATAGACACTTTGGAAGACAGTTTAATAGTTTCTCACAAAACAAAACATACTCTTACCATATGCTCCAGTAATCACACTCCTTGGTATTTACCCAAAAGAGCTGAAAACTTATGTCCATGCAAAAACCTGCATATGCATGTTTATAGCAGCTTTATTCATAAGTGCCAAAACTTGGAAGCAACCAAGATGCCCTTCAGTAAGTGAATGGATGAATAAACTGTGGTACATCAGAGAGTGAAACGTTATTCAGCACTAAAAGAAATGAGCCACCAAACCTTGAAAAAAACATGGAAGACACTTAAATGCATATTACTAAGTTTTAAAAGCCAATTTGAAAAGGCTACATACTGTACGATTTCAACTCTATGGCGTCTGGAAAAGACTAAACTATGGAAACGGTAAAAAGATCAGTGGTTGCCAGGGGTTGGGGTTGGGGAGGAGGAGGGATGAAAAGATAGAGCACAAAAGACTTTTAGGGCAGTGAAACCATAACTGCACCAGTGTTCAACCTTTAAGTAACAAAGTTGTGAGTTGTTTCTCAGTAGCCATAAACCATCCCCAGGTCACGTTAACTGGAGCAAGCCCAGATGAACCAAGCAGGCAACATGAGTGGAACTTAAGTTAAGTTAAGAAGTGGACACAACATGGCAGGATCCAGGATCCAATCAGATGGAGCCCTGGCATCACCCTGTGGCAGGATCCAGTGAGAACACACCCCCTGGCATCACCTCATTGCAAGATCCAATCAGATCACACCTCATTACACTCTGACTATAAAACCTGCCCCATCCCCCAGCTCAGGGAGCTAGATTTGAGTGTTTCCTTCTGTCTCCTTGCCAGTTGACTCACAATAAACCTCTTTCACCGCAGAAACATGGTGTTTCACTGTTTGGCTTTCTGTTGCACAAAACTACTCTGTTTACTTTTTTTTTTTTTTTTTTTGAGACGGAGTCTCACTCTGTCACCCAGGCTGGTGCGATCTCGGCTCACTGCAACCTCCATCTCCCGGGTTCATGCCATTCTCCTGCCTTAGCCTCCTGAGTAGCTGCGACTACAGGTGCCCGCCATCACGCCTGGCTAATTTTTAGGTATTTTCAGTAGATACGGGGTTTCACCGTGTTAGCCAGGATGGTCTCGATCTCCTGACCTCGTGATCTGCCCGCCTCGGCCTCCCAAAGTGCTGAGATTACAGGCGTGAGCCACCAAGCCTGGCCTCTGTTTACTATTATGGTGAATCCATAGCATTATCCATTTGTCCAAAGCCACAGAATGTACAACACCAAGAGTGAACCCCAGAGTAAATTACAGACTCTGGGTGATAATGATGTGTCAATGTAGGTTCCATTATAACAAATGTAACACTCTGCTGCAGAATGTTGATAATAGGGGAGGTTATTGCGTGGTGACGGGACAGGAACCCTCTGTACTTTCCATTCAATTCTGCTGTGAACCTAAAACTGCTCTAAAAAAATACAGTATATAGCTGGGCATGGTGGCTCACGCCTGTAAACCCAGCACTTTGGGAGGCTGAGGTGGGCGGATCACCTGAGGTCAGAAGTTCAAGAACAGCCTGACCAACATGGAGAAACCCTGTCTTTACAAAAATACAAAATTAGCTGGCGTGGTGGTGCATGCCTGTAATCCCAGCTACTCAGGAGGCTGAGACAGGAGAATAGCTTGAACCCAGGAGGCGGAAGTTGCAGTGAGCCGAGATCACGTCACTGCACTCTAGCCTGGGCAACAAAAGCGAAACTCCGTTTCAAAAAAAAAAAAAACATACAGTATATAGATAGATAGATAGATATGGATATATAATTGTATGTATATACCATATATATATAAATATACATATATATGTAATTGTAAAGATAGTCAAAGATCTATACCTCAAAAGACAGCAAGCCCAGGCAGCCATAGAGGCAAATTCTTCTAAGCTTTCAAGGAAGATACAATGCCTGTGTAATACAAACTGTTCCACAATTTAACAAAGATAAAACTCTTCCTGCCTCTTTTTATAATCCTGACATGCAAAGATCTTAAATTACACATTAGCATAGTGAATTGACTATTAAATTAAAAGAATATATTGTGACCAAAAGAATTTTTCCCAGAAATGCAAGGAATGTACAAGATTGATATAAAGGAAACTCTAAAACTAGATTGAATGATATAAAAGTCCTGAATAAATGGAGAGACATTCAATGTTCTAGGATAGGAAAACTCAATAGGGTAAAATTGTTTCTTCCCAAATCAATCTGTAAGTCTATGAATGTAATTCCAATCAAAACACCAACAGGATAATTAGAGAAACTTCACAAAGTTACTCTTAAGGTTCATCTGTATTAGAAAATGCATGAGAACAAAATCAATTTTGAAAAAGAATAATAATCAGTATGTATATGAACTACCATATATCAAAACACATTTTAAAACTAAGGAACTCGGCTGGGCACGGTAGCTCACACCTGTGATGCCAACTCTTTGGAAGGTCAAGGTGGGCAGATTGCTCGAGCTCGGGAGTTTGAGACCAGCCTGGGCAACGTGGTGAAACCCCATCTCTACAAAACACACAAAAATTAGCTGGGCATGATGGTATGTGCCTGTAGTTCCAGCTACTCGGGAGGCTGAGGTGGGAGGGTAGCTTCAACCTGGAAGTCAAGGCTGCAATGAACAATGATTGTGCCACTGCATTCCAGCCTGGTCAACAGAGTGAACTCTGTCTCTAAAAATACATAAATAAATAAATAAAATAAGGAACTAAAATACTGAGGTCTTGGTGCAACGCAGTCAAATCAGTGAAACAGAATAAAGTATAGAAATAAACCTGATTATTAAAATATTTATTCATCCAACAGATATTTATTTAGTTAGTTATTCAGTTTGAGACAGTCTCACTGTGTCTCCCAAGCTGGAGTGCAGTGGTGCAATCTTGGCTCCCTGCAACTTCTGCCTCCCAGGCTCAAGCAATTCTCCCACCTCAGCCTCCCGAGTAGCTGGAATTACAGGCACACACCGCCACGCCCGGCTAATGTTTGTATTTTTAGTAGAGATGGGGTTTCACCATGTTGGCCAGGCTGGTCTCAAATTCCTGACCTCATGATCTGCCTGCTTCAGCCTCCCAAAGTGCTGGGATTACAGGCTTGAGCCACCGTGCCCAGCCCCCAACAAATATTTATTGAACACCTACTGTGTATCAGCACTGTTCCAGATGCAGATGATATAATAAACAAAACATAATGTCTTCACTGTCTTGAAACTTATATTCTAATTGTGGGAGACAAATGAATGAACACACAAATAATGTTATAATACAGCAGATGGTGCTAGGTGCAGCTCCAACCAGGGCGTCAGCAGCAGAGGGAGTGAGGAGTCTGATTCAGAATATGGTTTGATGGTAGAGCTAGCAGAATTTGCTCATTGATCTTGATGGAGGGTGTGAGTGTGAGAGAAATCAAGAGTGACATCCAGGTTTAGGAGTTAGCCACCAGAAGAGCAGAGGTTTTGTCTACTGAGACGTAGAAGACTTTGGGAAGAGCAGATGGGAGGGAGTTCACGAGTCTGGTCTTGTTCCTTTGGTTGGAGATGCCTACCAGACATCCAGCAGGGTACGTCCAATAGGTAGTTGGGTATACGGGTTTGAAATTAGGTGAGAAAATTGGGCTAGAGACATTAACTTGGATGTCAGTCAGTGTATTAGGCCATTCTTGCATTGCTATAAAGGAATACCTGAGACAGGGTAATTTATAAAGAAAAGAGGTTTCATTGGCTCACAGTTCTACAGGTTGTACAGGAAGCATAGCACCAGCGTCTGCTTCTGGGGAGGCCTCTAGAAGCTTCTAATCATGGCAGAAGGCAAAGCTGGAGCTTGCACATCACATGGCGAAAACAGGAGCAAGATAGAGAGGGAGGGGGTTTCACACACTTTTAAACAACTAGATCTCACAAGAATTCACTCACTATCATGGGGACAGCACCAAGGGGATGGTACTAAACCAAGAGAAACCCACCCCCATGAGCCAATCACCTCCCACCAAGCCCCACTTTCAACATTCAAGAGAAACCCACCCCCATGAGCCAATCACCTCCCACCAGGCCCCACTTTCAACACTGAGGATTACATTTCAACATGAGATTTGGGCAGGGGCACAACTCCATACTATATCAGTCAGCATGTAAATGCTATTTAAACCCATAGACTGGATGAGATCACCGAGAGAGGCTAGACAGAGATGAGCATGACTGAGTATTGGGTCCTCCACGAGTAAGCCATCCAGAAGATGAGGGGTAATAAGTGAGAGGGGCTGAGAAGGGGTGGCCAGGGAAGTAGGAGGAAATCCAGGCAGGTTGGAGGCCTGGGAGCAAGGCAAGGGGTTATCCCAAGGAAGATGGAGTGGTCCACTCTGTCAAGCCCTGCTAAGCTGCCAGGGACTACTGGATCCAGCACAGGGTTTATGATCCATGCAAACATGCTCATGCAGTGAGCGACCCACTGCAATTTCAGGATCATGCGGGAAAGAGAGGACAAACTAATGGTTGGGGTTAGCTTTTTACATCACATTCTCTTTCCTTTCTTATTAAGCAAAACAGAGCTCTGAAGCAAATATGGTAAAATTTATTTACTATTAATCTGGGTATTGGGTTCGGAAGTATTAGTTATATCATTTCCTTCATTTTCCTATATATTTAAAATGTAGCATAATAAAAAAGCAAAATAGTTTATTCTATGTAAATATTTGAAACAACTCTGCATAAAATATTTTTAGAATGGCTCCCAAGAAGGTAGAAACTGACTGGCCCTGGCAGGTTGCATGCGTTGTGGCTTCATAGGCCCTGAGTACTTTTACCTCCATCAAAAAATACTTCAAATGATACTTTATAACTGCCTTGTCTAAAGTCAAATGTGATCCAGACTGGACACATTATTATATGTTCATTATGGTTATATTTATTTTTCCTTTTGATTTTATTTTATTTGTTGATTTTAATTTTAATTTTTGGAGACAGAGTCTCACTCTGTTGTCAGGCCAGAGTGCAGTGATGCACTCTTGTCTCACTGCAACCTCCACCTCCCAGGTTCAAGTGATTCTCCTGCCTCAGCCTCCTGAGTAGCTGGGACCACAAGTGTGCGCCACCACACACCCGGCTAAATTTTTGTATTTTAGTAGAGATGGGGTTTCACCATGTTGGCCAGGCTGGTCTTGAACTCCTGACCTCAGGTGATCCACCCGCCTTGGCCTTTCAAAGTGCTTGGATTACAGGTGTGAGCCACCGTGCACAGCCTTTCCTTCTGATTTTAAAATAAATTAAAATGAAAACATTTTCAGAGGCCCCTGACAGTGCCGTGTCCATATGCCAGTGGAGATTTTGGGCAGTTGCAGCAAACTCGGGCAGGGCGGAGGGCTCCTTTTTACTCTCGACTCAGCACGTAGATGAACGACCATGTAGCAAAACACATTTTAAAACTGAGGAACTAGGCTGGGCTCAGTAGCTCACACCTGTAATGTCAGTACTTTGGGAGGCAGAGGTGGGCAGATTGCTTGAGCTCAGGAGTTCGAGACCAGCCTGGGCAATGTGGCGAAACCCATCTTGTTTTATTTGAATTTTTAACAATGTGTACACTGATCCCTTTTTTTTTCTAAAGGGGACAAAACTTCCAAATGAATAATGAACCTAATAGAAGATCGGACAAGGATGGAAAGAGAAAATCCACAGTGAGTAAATACGAATGGCCCGAAGCCACGAAAAGATGCTCAATGGTAGGATACTCAGGGAAATGTCACTCATGCCACAAAGAGTTTTTAACTGGCAAAAATGAAAAATACTGCTATTGTGGGGTGTTGACATGGGCATGGGGAAATGCACTCTCGCAACTTGGAAAGAGTGGTAACTGGTTAGTCTTTCGGAAGGGCAATTTATCGGTGCTTATTCACACATATAATGCAAACAGCCTTTCACTGGACAGTGTTATTCCAAGATACCTGACAAGTAGAAATACTCTCACATAAGCAAAAAGATGCTCGCACAGATATATGCATTGCACCATTGTTTGAGTGGGGAATTAAAAATAACCTAGATGTCCATCATAGGGGAATTAATAAAGTACGGTGTACACATTCTGCAAAAAATGTGAATTAGTTGTTAAATGCAATGAAATAGATTGACATGCGGCAACAGAATGTCTACCACACTGTTATGTGAAAGAAGCCAGTTACAGAGCAGTAAGTATGGCCCTGTCTGTCCACAGATGTGTGTGTGTGTAATAGAAGCCATCCTTCTCTGGACAATGCTTATCTCTGGAGGAGAGACTGATTGAGGTGAAAATATAGTGGGTGGGGAAGGGGATTTCTCTTTTTTTTTATTTTTATTTTTGTTTTGAGACTGACTCTTGCTCTGTAGCCCAGGCTGGAGTGCAGTGGCACGATCTTGGCTCACTGCAACCTCTGCCTTCCAGGTTCAAGCAATTCTCCTATCTCAGCCTCCTGAGTAACTGGGACTATAGGCACACACCACCACGCCCGGCTAATTTTTTTGTATTTTTAGCAGAGACAGGGTTTTGCCATGTTGGCTAGACTGGTCTGGAATTCCTGATGTCAGGTGATCCACCCACTTTGGCCTCCCAAAGTGCTGGGATTACAGGCGTGAGCCACTGCACCCAGCCAGGAAAGGGATTTCTTACTCTAGATTTTATATGCTTCTGTAGTGCTTTATTTTCTTACAGAGAGAATGTGTTTCATATAATACTTGCATAATTTTTTTAACAAGTCGAATAGTTTAACAAGCGAGGCTGGAGATAGCTCTTGCTGACCAGCTCTTGCTGGGAGAAGCGAGGTTCACTGGGCCTGCGGACAGCTGCAGTTTGGGATTTAGGAGCTTCAAGGTTTCTGAACTGGAAAAGTCCTGGGGTCCTTTGTCTGTGCAAAGATCCATCTCGAACACATCGGCCACTGCCTGCTGTGGCCCAGCCTGCACCAGGCAGTTTCATGGATACAGGACGGTATCATTTTCAACCCCACCCTGTGAGGGAAGTGTTTTCATTCCCACTTTTGTGACAGAAGCCCTGAGCCATAGGGAGCTCACCCAGCGGGAAGTGGTAGCATCGGCTTGGAGCCCAGTCCCAGGCTGGGAGGAGAGAAAAGCTGTGAACCTCCCAGAACACTGGCTTTCGCATTGAAGGAGCTCTCAGGAGAGGCCTCGCCAAGCCCTAGGGCAAACAGGAACAGGCTGAAAGGCATAAGGGGAAGGGTCAAGGAGAGACACTGGCTAGGCTGGTCCCATGGGCCTAGGAAAGCAGTCACAGTCCTGTCCAGATCCCCCCAGGGCACAGCCTATGCCTAGAGTCCCTCCTTCCACTAACCCTTGATGGTTGCCGGTCCACCCTCGCCCTGCTCAGTCCTCCCTCATCTGAGAATGACAGGCTTGGCTGGGGAATCTTGTCCTCATTGTGCCAGCAGCCTGGGGACCTGAAAAAGAAAGGTCTCACCTCCTTGGGCCCATCTCCCTCCCTCCAGTCACTGCCATCCACTCCACCATTGCTGCGGCCAACTCCTGGTGGGGACCACGTGGGCTTCTCTGCTGCCATCCTCACATCTCTCAGGGGCTCCACCACACCCACTGACAGAGGAGCATGCTGCAGCTCCAAGGGTTTAGTGGATTGAATAGTGGCCCCCAAAAATCCATGTCCAAGTCTGAACACCCCAGTATCTGTGAACGTGCACTTATTTGGAAATAGGTCTTTATCAATGGAATTGAGGTAAGGATCTCCAGATGGGATCATCCTGAATTTAGGGAGGCCCTAAACCCAATGACTGGCATTCCTGTAAGAGAAAGGAGGGGGAAATTTGTGACCCAGACACAGTGGAAAGACAGAGAGTGGAATATCGCAGCCCCAAGCCAAGGGACATCTGGGTGGCCGGTAAGTGCCAGAAGCCAGAAGAGTGGCATGGAGCAGACTGTCCCTTGGAGCTTCCAGAAGGAACCACCCTGCCCTACTGTATTAGTCCATTTTCACACTGCTGATAAAGACTCAGCCAATGCTGGGAAGAAAAAGAGGTTTAATGGACTCACAGTTCCATGTGGCTGGGGAGGCCTCACAATCATGGTGGAAGGCAAGGAGGAACAAGTCACATCTTACATGGATGGCAGCAGACAAAGAGATTTCATGCAGGGAAACCCTCCCTTATAAAACCATCAGATCTCATGAGACTTGTTCACTATCGTGAGAACAGCACAGGAGAGACCTCCCCCATGATTCAGTTGTCTCCCACCAGGTTCCTCCCACAACACATGGGAATGATGGGAGCTACAATTCAAGACAAGGTTTGAGTGAGGACACAGCCAAACCATATCACCCACCTTGATTTCAGATTCTGGCGTCCATCACTGTGAGAGAATATATATCTGTTGCTTGAAGCCACCTGGTTTGTGGTCCTTGGACAGAAGCCCTAGGAAGCTAACATGGAAGATTATGAGGTTTTCCCGGGGTCACTCAGCTGGAAAGTGGGGGGCTGTGAACGGAGGTCCCTCCTGGCTGTTCACGACTATGATACACTGATGCTAGGCGGTGACAAAGGCCCTCTTTTGGCCAAACTCTAGCTAGGCTCCTCTGAACCCTTTCTCAGCCGGGCGTCCTCTGTGGCCTGTAAGAACTTGAACAGAACACTGTGGTGCTGAGGCACCCCCGCACCTTGGGGGGCTGCAAGAGAAGGGAACACCCCCCAGGACATTAGTGAGAATGACCAAGAATGCTGTATTTTTCCTGTTCCAACTCTAAGAAGTCATAAAACTACACAAATGGAGCCAGTTTCTGAGTAAAAGAGAAGTGAGTGGTGGGGTGGTTTTGTTTTGGTTGTTACTGAATTTTTTATTAAAACAGCCCCTGTAGGGTGCCACTGAGAAGCACAGTCCCCTACCCACCATGCTCCCTCCCCCAGTTCTCCCCACAGACAACCCGTTTCCGGTCTTAGTTCTTCGAGCCATTCCCTCCTGGGCTGAGTTTTCTCCACATGCCCTCCGGGCCCCATCTCTGACTTTGCCCCTGCTCTCTGCCCCAGGTGGCCAAGCAGGCTGAACGCTGAGGTCTGCAGCAGGGCCGGCCCTGTGCCCTCTGGCTTCCCACGGGACTGTGGAAGGGGAGGGCAGGGGGATGGAGGTTTATTTTCCTGGCACCTTCCTGCCAGGCCCAGGTACGGACAGAGGCTGTGTGGCCATAACTCCTGCTGGGTGGACCCTCTGCCCAGCACCAGCTCCCTGCCAGGCTTCTGAGAAGCTGTTCCCTGGGCCTCCTGCCCTTTGCTGGCCCCTTAGCCCTGCCCACACCTCTGCCACACCTCTAGGAAATGTACTTCTAAACTTAGTATGAGATGAGATTCCTTCTCACCCCCATCTCGGCCCTGCTCCCATGGCCCAAGGGGACATTTCGAACCCTCTCGTCTTCTGGAGACATCAAAATATAGCTGTTAAAGAGGCAAATACTCTCTGGACCCATTAACAATTAATGCAATGGAAAAAGTCACACTCATCTGATTTTGCATCTTTGGGCAAAATCAGATTTTGTGTGACTTTGGGCAAGTCACATAACCTCTCTGAGTCTCTGTTTTCTCCTTGTGAGATGAGGATACTTCTTGTTGAAGTTGCATCTCCAACAGCAACTTCTTGGAGCATTGCAAAGCATTGAACCGGACCAGCACCATGCCCTGCACATGGTAGACGCGAGGAGCAGAACTCTAGGGAGTCTAGCATCTCCCCGAGCCCTCATGACCCCCTACAGGGGCGGGCAGGCACTGTTGCCCCCATCTGACAGAGCAAGTGAGCCGAAGAGCATGTTCATGCAGCAGTGAGGGGCCTGAGCAGGATTAGGACTCAGGTCTCCCAACACCCAGGCCAGGGGCCTCTTGGGTATGCCGAAGACCACTTCCAGTGCTTTTAAAAATGCTTTTGATATTTATGGGCAAAACAATTGGATATCTGGGATTGACTGTAAAATACTCCAGCAAAAACCAAAAAAGTTGGTGGGAAGAAGAATAGGTAAAACAGACTATTGGTAGACGGGTGGACCCTGGTGCTGGTGACAGGTTCTGTGTATTCTTTACATGGCTCTCTTTCCCTTTGGGTATGTTTTCAGTTTTCCACAATAAAACCTTAACCTCTTTATGAATCATCTCTAATGACTGGTGAAATCGTTAATAAGAAAAGCAAAATGCAGAATTGTGTAACTCCCAATTGTGTGTGTGTGTGTGTGTGTGTGTCTGTGTCTGTGTCTACCCACATAGGTGTGAAAAGATCCCTAACGAATGTGTTAATTCAATGTTTATTTCTGGGTGATGGATTGATTATTTTTGTTTCCTTCTTTTATTTGTAAGTATTTTCCAAGGTTTCTAAAGTGAGTACTTGTTACTTTTTTTTCTTTTTCTTTTTCTTTTTTTTTTTGAGACATGGTCTCGCTTTGTTGCCCAAGCTGGAGCACAGTGGTGTGATCATAGTTCATTACAGCCTCAAATTCCTGGGCTCATGTGATCCTCCCACCTCAGCCTCCTGAGTAGCTAGGACTACAGGAGAAGGCCACCACGATTGGCTATTTTTTTTTTTCTTTTTGGTAGAGATGAGGTCTCACTTCACTATGTTGCCCAGGCTGGTCTCAAACTCCTGGCCTCAAACAATCCACCCACCTTGGCCTCTACAAGTGCTGGAATTACAGGTGTGGGCCACCACACCTACCCTATGTATTACTTTTGTGTGTTGGGGGGTGAGGGGGACAGGGTCTCACTTTGTTGCCCAGGCTGGAGTGCAGTGGCATGATCTAGGCTCACTGCAACCTCCCCTTCCAGGGCTCAGCAATTCTCCTACCTCAGCCCCCTGAGTAGCTGGGACTACAGGCATGTGCCACCACACCCAGCTAATTCTGCTTTTGTTGTAGAAACAGGGTCTCACCATGTTGCCCAGGCTGTTCTCAAACTCCTGGGCTCAAGTGATTCACCTGCCTCAGCCTCCCAAAGTGCTGGCATTACAGGCATGACCCACACCTCCCGACTATGTTATTTTATAATCAGAAAAACAGCCACTAGTAAAACGTTTAAAGTATAACTTTGCCAAATTGAGCCATTGGGGCAGGAGATGCTGGGAGCACAGAGCAGGAGATACAGTGTGGCTGGGGGTCCCCACAGCTGCCTAACTGAGCCTCGCCAGGCAAGATGGGGATGGGGATGGGAAAGGCAGGTGCTCTTGCTTCCTCAGAGACAAGGGGGTGGTCAGGCAGGTCCCCCTGCACCTTGAGGCTTCTCAGATTCCTCTCCCACCAGTGGGTGCCAGTCCCAGGAGGCCTAGCCATCACACATGCTGCCCAGCCCGGCCCTGCCCGGTCGCCCTGGCCTTGCCTCAAGGGCTGGGTACCAGGGGAGGTGAGCCGGGTGCCAGGGCCACAGCCTGCATCTGGGGGTGGCGTGGCAGAGAGGCACGTCGTCCTTCTTCTCAGAGATGGGCTTTAGTTTCATCATCTGATCCCACCAACGGAGGGCAGCAGGACAGCGGAGTATGAAAGGTGGTGCCAACCAGGCCCAGCCAGTGTGATGCCAGACCCCTCCCTGGCTTAGCGGGCAGACACAGAGACTGCCCCTGTTACTGAGGACCTACCACGTGCCAGGCATATCCCACGACCTGGAGAAGCAGGAATTGCTGTGCCCATTTCACAGATGAGAGAGGGGAGACTAAGAGCTCCACTCACCTAGTTGAAACCCTCCAGCATTTCCTCATTGCCCTCAGGCCGGGTCTTAGCACCCCCACCCTTGTTTCTGCCACTCTGAAATATATATTGTGCACCTGCTTGCCTCCAGTCCTGTGCTTAGGGTCTCCCTTGCTGTATCGGCTCTCTCCTCATTCTGTCATCATCATGTCTCAGTGGCAATGCCACCTCCTCCAGGAAACCTCCCCTGATAGGCTCAGGCTACTGGGACAACTCTCCCTCTCTCAGTGTTCCTCCGCATAGCCTTATCGTGCTGTGCTGCAGGCATACTTCCCTGTCACTTCTCCCTGTGGCCCCTGACCATGGACTCCCTGAGGACGGGGACAGAGTCAGGGCCACCATACAGAATCACCTCTCCAGAGGGCTGCTGTACCATGCCACTCCAGGGTAACGGTTCCATGAGTGTTCCCTTGACTGGTGTCCTTGTGCAAGATGCAACCTGCACAACTGCACACAGCAGCCCTGGCTTGGGCCTTACTCATCTCTGGGCTGACAAGAGGTTTGTGTAAGTGGAATGAGTGAATGAATGAATGAATGAATGAGCAAGTGGGTGGGTGAGGGAGTTTCCCAGGTCTCCCAGTGGCACAGTTAAGGTTCCATCCTTGGCTGGAGACACTCTAGATCTCCTGCTTTGCATGCCTGCTGGAGGACTGGAGAGCTTGGGACCTGCCCAGGCACTGGGCTGAAGCTGGTCCAGAGCCCTGAGCCATACCCAAGAAGGGCCTCTGGCTGAGGCAGACCCCTGGGGCCTCCCTGGGATGGGCACCCCAGTGGGAGGGATGTGCTGCTGGAGAAGCCAGATGGGCCAGGTAAGGCTGATGCCCACAGGACATGTGGAAGCTGATAACCTGAGACAGACACTGTCCTGGTAGGTCTGGGGACTCTTTGCTCAGGAAGTGGCCTATAGCCTTGGAGTGGAGCCTACCTGTACCATGAGGGCTTCTCCAGGGAGCAGACAAAACCGAGTAGAGAATTCAACACAAATCTAGTGAAGGTCTATTATGTGTGGGATTCTGTGCTGTGTCCTGGGGCCCCAAATGCTAAGCATAGTCCCTGCCATCAGGCTGCTCACAGCCCACAGGCAGATATGAGAGCATCATCTCCCCTTCCCCAGGTCCAGGGTGTCTCCTGACTCAGGGAGCCTGGACCTAATTTTCCCACAGAAGGTGCAGAGGCGATGGAAGGGGAGACAGGGCAGGAGGTTGGGACACCAGAGGAGGACCCTGCATGGCAGCTCACAGTTACCCTTTAGAAGCTGGGTTCATGGCCGGGAGCGGTGGTTCATGCCTGTAATCCCAGCACTTTGGGAGGCGAAGGTGGGTAGATCCCTTGAGCCCAGGAGTTCAAGACTAGCCTGGGCAACATGGCAAAAGCCTGTCTCTACAAAACATGCAAAAAACTAGGTGGGCATGGTGGTGTGCACCTGCAGTTCCAGCTACTCAGGAGGCTGAGGTGGGAGGAGGCTGTCCTGGGTGCTCCCACGGCAGCCATAGCTTATCCATCTGAGCCTGGGAGACAGAGGTTGCAGTGAGCCGAGATCATGCCACTGCATTGCCTGGACGACAAAGTGAGACCCTGCCTCAAAAAAGATAAAAATAAAAGAGGAAGAAGAAGAAGGAGAAGGAGAAAAAGGAGAAGGAGAAGGAGAAAAAAAAGGAGGACGAGGAGGAGAAGGGGAAGGGGAAGGAGAAGAGGAAGAGGAAGAAGGAGAAGGAGAAGAAGGAAGGAGGAGAAGAGGAAGAGGAAGAGGAGGAGGAGGAAGAAGAGGAAGAGGAAGAAGAAGAAGGAGAAGAGGAAGAGGAAGAGGAGGAGAAGGAAGAAGAGGAAGAGGAAGAAGAAGAAGAAGGAGGAGGAGGATGAGGAGGAGAAGGAGAAGAAGAAGAAGAAGAAGAAATAATCAGTAGCAGCAGCAGCTGGATTCATGCTTAGGCTGTTCTTAGATGCAGTGATGGAATAGAAAGGAGGTGGGCTTTGGGCCGGGCGTGGTGGCTCACACCTGTAATCCCAGCACTCTGGGAGGCCTAGGTGGGCGGATCACGAGGTCAGGAGATCGAGACCATCCTGGCTAACATGGTGAAACCCCGTCTCTACTAAACAAAAAAAAATAGCTGGGCGTGGTAGCGGGCACCTGTAGTCCTAGCTACTTGGGAGGCTGAGGTAGGAGAATGGCGTGAACCCAGGAGGCGGAGCTTGCAGTGAGCAGAGATCGCGCCGCTGCACTCCAGCCTGGGAGACACAGTGAGACTCCATCTCAAAAAAAAAAAAAAAAAAAAAGGAGATGGGCTTTGTGGCCAACAGAGTTGAGATCAAATTCTGGCTCTACCACTTCGTGGGTTTGTGACATTGCAAATTACTTAGCACCTGTGACGCCCAGTGTCTGCAAAACGGGAATAATGGTCAGACCTGTTGGTGCAGGCTGCCACATCAATGAGTCTCGGGGTGATTACGCCCAGGGAAAGAAGGCAGGCAAAAAAAGAATAACTACAGTATTGATTCTCTACCTGGACCCATTACCAATTAATGCAATGGAAAAAGTCACACACATCTGATTTTGCATCCTGTGTGACTTTGGGCAAGTGTTCCCAAGGGCAGAGCAATCACACTGGGAGAAGGCAGGTCAGCAGTTGTGGAGGATAGGGGTAAGGTGTGAGGATGAATGAAAGGATGACAAAGGGCCACTTGGAAGCTTCTGGAGGTGAGAGACATGTTCATTATCTTAACTGTGATGATGGTTCCATGGGAGTATATGGATGTTAAAAATTAAGTAGTACACTTTAAATCTGTGCAGCTTATTGTATGTCAATTATATTCCAGTAGAGCAGTTTTAAAAGAGAAATCCCCTTAATTCTAAAATGTTTTAAAATTCAGCGCCTTCTTCCTGAGGACTGTGTCACAGGTTGAAGTGACTATGTTGAGCGCCTTGTTGGTGTCTGGATGTAGCACATTTCGTGACGGTTAGATCCTTCCCCATCCTTAGGTGATCAAGTTGATTATTGCCCGATGCATTTGTTGAAAGCACATCTAGTGAGTTCCAACAAGGTGACGGACATGTACTGAGTGCTGGGGCCAGAAGAGCTAAGTCCTGCCCTCCAGGAGCTTCATGCCAAGGGGCCAGGAAAGACCTCCAAGCAGGGACCACATAGCGTGGTTAGGCCTGTCTGGAGAGGAGCCCAGGGCAGCCCCCTGAAGAGGCCAGGGGGCCCAGAACCCCAGCTGGCAATGATCAGTTTCTTCTGTTCAGACTCCTCTGTCAGGACCCACTGCTCACCCAGTCTGGTGGACCTTGTTGGCCACCGGAAGAAGGGCAGGCTTTGGGGCACACTGCCGGCACTTCCTGACTGTTCATATGTACCTGAGTTTGGCGAACCTTGGGCTTTTCAACCTTTAATGCATGTATAAGCAAGTATTGCCTTCAGATTTGGGTTGCTGTTTTTCTGGTTTTCTTTTTAGTTTTGATTCCTTTTTAGCCAATTAGTCCTTTTCTGAGCTATAATAGCAAAAAAATTCAAAACAAAAATGTCCAGCAATATGGATTTTGTTTAATAAATTAGACTGAGCTTCAAAACAGCAGGTAGGATGTTCTGGGGTGGTGTGGTGATGTGTGTGTGCATGCACACTCAGGAGCCATGAGGTGTGAATAATAATTTCTCTTTTGTACTCTTTTGCTAGTTGACATTTTCTATGCTTGGAAATGATCATGTACCACTCTAGTATTAAGAGGAAAATACTGAAATAAATCACACACAGAAAGAAGTCCATGGAACCATATCTGTCCACCCCCAGCTCAGATCACCATCATCTCCTCCATGACCTGCTGCTGCCCTGGCCTCCCAAATGCACCCCCTCCTACCCCCTATCTCTAGGCCTGTTCTGTACCCCGAGAGATCTTCACAAAATGCAAATCTGATCACATCCGTCTTCTGCTTTAACGCTCTCTTCTGGCTCCTCTGGCCGCAGAAGAGTCTCCTCCATTTGTGTGGTAGACCAAGCCCTATGGACCATCCCTTCCCATGTCCAAGCTCAGACCTCACAGCTCCCCTGAAACCAGGCTCTGCCTGGAACATCCCAGCCTCTTTCTGCCATATGTGTTGAGTGCTGAGGACATTTGGGGTTTGCTCTGCTGGAGCTGTTTTCCTGACCTCGCCCTCCCTCTGTTCTCAGCAACCAGTTCCTTGCCCTGCAGCTCTGAGTCGAGGTCACTTTCCTTTGGCGAAGCTGCCCCTTCTGTCCTGGGTGCGCCCATGGCCACCATAGCCCATCCACCTGAGTGTGCGACCTCTACCTGTACTTCCTGCCTCCTTGCCTGGTGCCTCCACTGGCCTGGGAGGGTCTCACTCGTCCTTCCACATGCTGCTGCCTAGGGGATGGGGCTTATTCACTGCTGTCTCCCTGCACCAAGCACAGCTCCTGAACTAGAGAAGGTGGCCAACAAGGTGCTCCTGGGGAATGAATGAATAAGGAACCCCTAAGAATGCATTCGTGTGAATCCTACTCCAATCAAGTCCTCTGCTTTGAAGAGTTGTTTTTGTTTTTTATTCTGTTTAACTCTTTAATCCCCTGGTGATATTGCCCTCTCCTAAACTTCTGTAGGATCTGCTGAGATACTGCTTATTTGACCCTTTCCCTATACAGGTGATTTTAAAAAGCTGTGTGAGCAAGAAAGTAAATGAATGGGGGAGAAGGAGAAATGAAAATTTAAGCTGAAAACAGGGCACAGTCAATACATAAAAACATGCATTATAATGCTAGAAGTGGGCTACTTATGTGATCCTGAGCTTCCTACTGGTCAAAGAGGGAAAATGGCCAGCCTCAGGGTGCTCAGATTCTATAAGATATAAACAAGCCAGTTATTTCAAAACATAGACTTTCCTGAATCTGAAATCTGAAAGTAATTTCTCTTGTGGTTTCAAATAAAGGTGGTCTAATGGGATGAGGGACAATGTCTTGACCACATGGTGAATTTCTGTAGCTCCTTCTTAAATAGCATCTTCAAAGCACTTGGTTGGCATTGTGGCAAAATGTAGCAGCAAACTCACCCATCCAGGCAGGGGTCAGTCTAGGCAATACTGGCTTATCAGAAACAAGGTGTGGTAAAAGCAATGAGCTCACAGACCCATACGGAAGCTCCTTCTCAAAGAAAATCCAGGAAGTTGCTGACAGCAACGATGACAGGCGCCGCTGGAGGCAGTATTGCCCATCTCTAGAGGGGAGATGCCTGGGAGGAAGGGCAGTAGGCATTTGGATGAGAAGGTTCTATTGTGTTTATTTTCTTAAAGGAAGGTCTTAGTTTATGATGCTGTGTCTTGTGTCTGGGCAGGTGCCTGTTCTGCAAGTACAGAATTCCAGCACTGCAACTTTGCGGCTTGGGCAAGCTACATTGCCACTATGAACCTCAGTCTCCTCCTCTGGAATAGAGACTGGTAAAAATTCTCGCTATACAGGTTGGCTGGGAAATGCTAAGTCTTACCCTCATGAAAAGACAAGAAATTGCAACATGAATCTGATGGTGAAACCCTGGCGCATGTCTCTGGCATGGACATGGGATGCTCTCTCTGAACCAGCATCCCAAGCGCAGTCCCCATGATTCTTCAAGCCCTCCTGGGCCCCAGGTAGGAAACCAGACATGCAGGCTTCCCTGAGCAGGTCAGGGGCCTGCCTGCCTTGACTGGCAAGCCTGGAAAGGAATTTTAATCGAAGTTCATTAACATTTTTCTCCTACTTCTTGAGGATTTGCTGTGTGAGTTTAGAGGAATGTTATCTCTGATAAGATGAAGACAGGGCCTGTGGACAACAGCTCCCTTGCTCTCAGGGATCCCCTGTTAGATGCTAAGCATGTACAACCCCCGCCCCTCCGCCGCCACCAGCTAGTCCCTGCACCCACTTTCTGGCCCAAGCTATTGGGGCTGTTAGTTCAGGCCTCCTAAGAGCTGTCCCCTTGGCACTTCTGTGAGCTAGAAGGGTGGGAACCGCAGTGCTGGATCTGTCTGCAGCCGCCTGTGGCTATGGAGCCACATTTGTTCAACTCCTGATCCATCTGCTAGCAGTGAACCTGCTGGACACCACCTGGGCACTTATTCAGGGTCACAGCCCCGTGAGGTCAGCACTGTGCTTTCCTGGATTTTTCAGAGGAGGGAACTGGGGCCTGTCTGTGGCCCAGACCTCAAGCCCAGCAGGTGACTGGAGGCCCCGCTGGCACAGCCACTCATCCTCATGCTGGCAGCCGTGGGGTGGCCTGTGGGGTACACTCACATGGGCACAGATGGGTCACAGCCATCAAGCAGATGAGCTGGCACTCGAGCCCAGAGCTCAGGCCCTGTGCCTCCAGGCTGCTGGGCTGTGTCTAGAGCTGCACCAGCCAGTGTGGCAGCTGCTAGACTACACACTAGCCCTATTCCCAGCCCTCTGTAGCCACATCTGGCTACCATGTCCTACAGTGCAGATGTAGAACATGTATGCCCATGATGGCAGGAAGTTCCAGTGCACAGTGCTGAGTAGAGTGCCTTTCCACTTGTTGGGGGAGGTTGGGGGAGGATAAGGGGCTTGGTGACCAAGGTATCGGGGGTAGGGAGTGGCACACACCTGTGGATGCATCACCAGGTCAAGGCTGCTGGACCCTGGGCCTATCTGGACCTACCCAGCCTGCCTCAGCCTTGCTCCCCTGAGCCAGGATCACCCCCAAAGCCCTGTGCTTGCCCCCTGCCCTCAGGAAGGTTGGGGTTGAGCAACTGCTTCCAGTGATACAAGGTCAGCAGTTTCTAGCCAAGCAGGTCTGGGCTGGCCCTCCTGTTTGCAGAGCTTAGCACCCCTGTGGTCCCATGGCCAGCTGGGCCTTCACCCTCCAGATGCAATCAGGCACCGCGGCCCAGCGCCCTGACTCCATCTGCACATTTGGGACCCTCCTCCCACCTCTCAGCCAGAGACAGGCAGCTGATAATGAGGACAGATCACAGAGAGCCTGGCAGAGCCCCCTGCTTCTGTCAGGGATGGCCCTGGTCATGGCTTTCATCTTCCACAAGCATGTGTGTATGCATGTGTATGTGTGTGTGTGTGTGTGTGTGTGTGTGTCTGTGTATGTCTATGTCTATGTTTGTGTGTGCATGTGTCTGCGTGTATCTCTGTGCATATGCATATGTGTGAGTGTTCCTGTGTGCATGTGTGTGTGTGCATGTGTGTCTCTGTGCCTGTCCTGGGCAGGGTTTGTGGGCTGAGGACACTCTCTCTCATTCCCCTTCAGTATGTGTTACGGGCAGGGGAGCCTTTGCATCCCAGTCTGTCCTGCAAGCAAGGGCTAGGGCTTTAAAGAGTTCCTGCACAGGCCGGGCACAGTGGTTCACACCTGTAATCCCAGCACTTTGGGAGGCCAAGGCAAGAAGGTCACTTGAGTCCAGGAGTTTGAGACCAGCCTGGTGAACACAGTGAGACCCAGCCTCTACAAAAAATAAAAAATAAATAAATTAAAAAAAAAAATTAAATAAATAAATAAATTAGCTGGGCACTGTGATGTGTCCCTGTAGTCCCAGCTACTCAGGAGGCTGAGGCAGTAGGATGGCTTGAGCCTGGGAGGTAAAGCCTGCAGTGAGCTGAGATCATGCCACTGTATTCCAGCCTGGGTGATAGAGAAAGACCCTGTCTCAGAAAAAAAGAGTTCATGAAGTAACCTCCAGTATGTGAAAGATGATAATCCTGGCCTCAGGTCCAGGTAGGCCACATAGTAAAATGGTGACAGTAAAGATGCCTATTGCATAGCCCCACTAGGGGATGTAAAGCGCTTGCATAGCGCTTGGCGCATGCTCCGTAAATCTTGGCTAGTGTTGTATTTTAAGATCTCCCATCATTAAATGCCACTAGGAGCTGGAATTCTGCAAAACACTTTATACACATTCTCTCCTCTAATCCTGCCTGCACCGTAAGAGGTGCGTGTTATGACTGCCTTGGTCCCATTGCCATAGGCTGATTCCTCACCCTCGGCACTCCCGGATTCCCAGGGAACATCCGTGGCCCCGTGGGAAGAAACTTGAACGCTGGGCAAGGAGAGGGAGCTCAGGGGTCTTCGTTTCTCAGTTCTGTGACCACCACGCAGCACCTACTGGGTACCAGGCCTCCGGGGCTGTGTGCAGGAGTGGAGGAAGAGTAAGATTCCAAGAGAATGATCCCAGAGAGGTCCCTGCTGAGAAAAGAAGGCAGCAGGGAGCCGGCCAGGGCCACCCTGGCCACAAAGGCCAAGACCAAGGACTGCTGGGTCAACCTAGTAAGGGGAGCAGCTGGGGCTTTGGGGCCGGGCTGGGCAGAGTGTGTGCTTATATGACGCTAGGGCTCCAAATACCCTTCCTCTCTGAAAAATCCCCTACCTGTCAGCTGCCCAGGGCCCAAATTCCACCCCTTAAAATGCATCCCCCTTTAAGGCTGGGGAATTCTGTCTCCAGATAGCGCCTGTCTCTGTAGAAGGCAGCTGTCTTAAATTGGAGGGAGCTCCCAGCAAGCGGCAATGCCATCCGTCGTGGGGAAGAGAAGGAGACCCTGCTGGATGGCGTTGATGAGCTGAGGGAGAGAAAAGGGTGGTGATGCCAGGGTGTGGGGCTGATCCCCGAGTGGGACCCGGTGAGACGGCCACAGTGCGCCCCAGGAGCTGCCCTTCAGACACTGGGGACTCAGTGCTGGCAGGTGGCAGCAGCCACAGCACAATGACTTCATTTTCAGATTATTATTATTTAAACACGGAAAAACTAAGAAAGACAAAAGAAGTTTGTTTTGGCAACTTGACTTTAAGCTTCAGGAAAGTCAGCGGCCTGGGTCTGGGGCTGGCTGCCTCAGGGACCTGGCTGTCTGTGGGGGTTGGGGGTGCAGGGGGGGATGGGGCCACGTGGGATTGGATGCAAAGGGCAGGATGCAGTCACACGGCCACTTGTTTTGCCCACAAGATACTAAATGACTGGGATGACTGATTCTCTTTTTTTTTTTTGTAACTTCACTAGCTGGTGGACTGAAATATTGTTTTGGGTGTTTTTTTTTTCTTTTTTTTTGCTTTGGTTTTGCTTTGTTTGCTGTGATTCCTGGTGGAAGAATGCTGGTTCTAGCTTTGGCTCTGCCATCCCCGTGTAGTGTGGCAGGAAGCAATGCATTTCCCTTTCTGGGCCTCGTCTCCTGCCCTGTGCACGTGGAGGGCTATATTACAGACTCTCAGTCTGTTACTGCAGGATCCACCCAGGCTCAGCCACCCCCACCCCAGCTATCAGGAGGCGCCCTCATCTAAAAGGCCCATTCTCCCACCTCCTCACCTTCGATTCCGATGAACACATGTTCCAAGGTTTTCCCCAAGTCCTCCCTTCCTCAGAGAGCTGGCCTGGACCCTTCCAGCTACTCACCATCCGGATCACTCCATTCCCTGCCTCCACATTTCACAAGCAGCAGAGGAGAGGGTTGGAATCCAGACCCTGTCTCTTACCTGCTGTGTGATCCAAGGCAAGTCACTTGCCCTCTCTTAGCATCAGTCTCTGCAGCTGAAGACTGGGGCCGTGTTATCACCATGAAGGTGTGTGACCTGGGTATGTCCCTGGTGCACCATCAACCTGAAAATGTCAGCTCCTGGGAGCTTCATCCCCCACCTGCCTCTCCTTTCTCAGCTGCCCTGCTCTGCCCTGCAACTCAGGTAGAAGCTCCAGGGCAGCAACAGTGTCTCTACAAAGGGGTCAGTGAGAATTCTTGATGAGCGTCTGGGCAGGGCCAGGACTTGGCAAGGCAAGGGAGGGGCCCTGGGCGTAACATTGAAGGAGGCGCCCACTCTGGGGCTCTTGCAAGGGCAGGGTCAGCTTACCTACCTCACTTAACGCGGCCCTGCATGTGGGACCAGAAAAGGAGATGCAGCCATCTGCCACGGTCACTCATCATGGCTCTGCCCTGAGGAATGGGGGTGGGGGCGCCAGAGCCCCTGGCTCCAGCTGGATGGACTCATCTGCTCGTCTATCCGTGGCTAGCCTGTTGGACCTTTGAGAGCAGGCGCCCATGGTCTGGCTCTCCACTGCATGGCGGAGGCTGGAGCAGAGCCTGCACATAGTAGGTGCACAATGAACAGAGGCTGAGCCCATGGGTGGATGAGTGCGCACTTACTGTTCTCAGGCGCATCTGTCCATCCACCCACCTGGTCAGCCACAGCACGTGCCATAAAGGCCCTACTGTGTGCTAAGCACTGTGCTAAGTGCTAGGCAGACACAGAGAGAATATAAGGCAGACTTGCCCCCTGGACCCTTCACAGCAGAGAGAGAGAGTGTGTGTGTGTGAGCTGTGAGTGTGTGTGTGAGACAGAGAGCTGTGAGTGTGGTGTGAGTGTGTGTGTGGTGATAGTGTGAGAGTGTGTGCATGAGAGATAGGGCTGTGAGTGTGGTGTATGTGTGTGTTTGAGAGTGTAAGTGTGTGGTGTGTGAGTGTGCATGGGCGTGCGGGTGGGATATCTGGGAGTGTGTGTGGTGTCTGTGTGTGGTGTGTGTGTGAGAGAGTGTGTGGTGTGTGGTGTGTGTGTGTGAAAGACTGTGTGGTGTGTGTGGTGTCTGTGTGTGTGTGATTGTGTGTGTGGTGTGTGGTGTAAGTATGTGTGTGGTGTGTGTGTGTGGTTGTGTGTGTGGTGTCTGTGAGTATGTGTGGTGTGTATGTGAAAGTATATGTGATGTGTGTGGGGTGTGTGTGTGAAAGTATGTGTGATGTGTGTGTGGTGTGTGGGGGGTGTTTGTGAAAGTATGTCTGGTGTGTGTGGGGGGTGTGTGTGAAAGTATGTGTGGTGTCTGTGTGTGTGGTGTGTGTGTGTGAAAGTATGTGTGATGTGTGTGTGGTGTGTGTGGTGTGTGTGAAAGTATGTGTGGTGTCTGTGTGTGTGGTGTGTGTGTGAAAGTATATGTGATGTGTGTGTGGTGTGTGTGTGTGAAAGTATGTGTGATGTGTGTGTGGTGTGTGTGTGGGGTGTGTGTGAAAGTATGTGTGGTGTGTGTGGTGTCTGAGTGTGTATGTGCCTTGCCCACCCCCACTGCCCCACACAAAGGTGACCTGAAGGCCAGGGGCCCTACCTCAGGCGGGTCCAGCAGGGAATGAACAAGGTCAGGCTGCAAGGTGGAATTTCTCTGTAAGTCAGGATAACCCGGGCAGTGGGCCGGGTCAGAGCCGGTTCTTTATCTGTCCAGAGCATCTGTGAGGAGGAGCTTCATGGGAGCAGATGATCTTCAGCCTCCCAGAACTAAGGGGCTGTGAGGAAGGCCCACGATGGCTGCTTCCCATGGGGTGGAGGAGAGGCGTGAGGGGCTTGAGCCTTCACCACTGTGGTCTTGGTCTCGGCAAAGCCAACACAGAGGCGGATGGCAGGCCACAGGGCCACCTCAGCCTGCAATGGGGACACACATCCACCCTCAGAATCCCCAGTTGCGAGGAAGCAAGAGACTGGTGTGGTCAGTCTGGAGCTTTCTGATAATAACAAATAATAGCATGAGCTACATAGATTGGGTGCTTACTATCAGCTATGGCCAAGGCTGAGTCTTGACCATACCATGTCTCATATAATCCAATAACCATATGACGCAGGTACTAGTCTCACCCCCATTTTACAGATGGAGAGACTGAGGCTTAGAGGGGCAGCCCCTCTCCTGAGAGCCTGGGCCTTCCCCACTGGAGGTGCTCCTCTTTTTACACCAGCAGGATGATCCTGAGCTGAGTGCTCACCCTCTCTGAGCCTCAGTTTCCTTGCTTGCAAAAAGAAGCAATGATATCTCCTCCAAGGGGCTAATGCAAGAGTCAGGGAGGATCTTCAAGCACTTGAAAATGCACTCAGTCCAGGGACTGTCATGAGGCCAGATAAGTCAAAGTTTCTTATGCAGGGAGTATTGGCTCAGTGCCAGACAGTGGCAATCTTCAACATCTCCCTTTGAGACAGGTACTGCTATGGTCTCCAGTTTCAGAGAAGGAAACTGAGGCTCAGAGGCTCTGAGTAACTTCCCCAGATCCCACAACTAGCAAGTGGCCAGCCAGGATTCAGCCTCACAAGAACTGCTGTGCCTAGGAATGCTGTTAATTGTTAGTGCTATGGTCTGTTTGTGTCTTCTCCAAATTTGTATGTGGAAATCCCAACCCCCAAGGTGATGGTGTTAGGAGGGTGGGGGCCTTTGGAAGGTAATTAGTTCATAAAAGTGGAGCCTTCATGATGGGACAAGTGTCCTTATAAAAGAGATACCATCAGGTAAGAAAGAAGCTATTAATTTGTATTTTAAAATGAAAAAGAAAACAGAATAAAAAGGTACCAGAGTGATGCAAGACAGGCAAGCCCCCAAACTGGGACTTAGCCTGGGAGGGTTCTTGGCTTTGCCTAGGAAAAATTCAAGGAGAAGCAGGTGGTGTTAGCAACTTGTATTGAAGCGGCAGTGCACGGCAGCAGCAGAGGTGCTGCTCCTTGTGGAGCAGGGCTACCCCAGAGGCAGTGTGCCCAGGGCTACCCCAGAGGCAGTGTGCCCAGAGCAGCAGCTCAGAGGCAGTTCTGCACTCACTCACATTTATACTCACTTTTAATTATATGCAAATTAACTGGCAGTTTATGCAGGGGCAATTCCTAGAATGAGGGTAGTAACTTCCAGATTGCTGGTGGGTGGTTGCCATGGAAAGGGGCGGTTACTTCTGGGTGTTGCCATGGCAATGGCAAACTGACATGGCCCACGGGTGGGTGTGACTTGTCATGGGGGCAGGTGCTCCTGCCCCAGACCTGTTTTAGCTAGTCCTCAATTTGGTCCAGCATCTAAGCCACACCTCCAGAGTAGAGTTCTGCCTCCTACCTCCAGGGCTCCCTCTGCCTTTCCACCTTGTGGGCCACAGCAAGAAGGCACCATCTGTGAACAAGGAAGTGGGCCCTCGCCAGATACTAAATTCACAGCACTTTGACCTTGGACTTCCCAGCCTCCAGAACAGTGAGAAATAAATTGTTGTTTTTAAGACACCCATTCTATGGTCCTTAGTTCTAGCAGTCCAAACAGAGTAAGACAGTGAGAATTGGTGTGTGGCAGAGGGTGGGGGAGGTAGGGGGAGAGTGCAGCATTTGGAATAAGACAGCTCTGAGTTCAAATGCCGCCTCTTCCACTTACTACCTATAGGACAGCAAGGAGGGGACCTTGCTTCAGTTTCCTCATCCGTCAAATGGGGCTCAGAATGTGACCCTTGAGGAGAGCCGTGAGGACAGAGTAAAATAACAGGGCACAGGTCCCTGCACAGGAATCTGTTAGCACTGCATTCAGCTGCGTGAAGCAGAGACCCAATTAAGTGGCTTAGCTGAATGGATTTTATTTTTTTTCTCACTTATTAACAAGTCCAGAGGTGAGCCATCCAGGGCCAGCACAGTGACCCCAGCACCTGCGGAATGCAAGCCCCTGTGCTATTCCCCTCTGCCCTCCCAAGCCTCTGGCATTCTCCCTCATCCAGGTGTGGCATCTGGCTGCACATAGGATAACTGGGGAGGCTGAGGAATTAATGTGTGTGGAGCAGCTGGCACTGTTCTTTGCGTCAATTTCTCCTCTGGCAGGAGCCTGGTTACTATGAACATCTAAGGTTGGCAGTCTCGGTTGGTCCTGATTTTCACTCAGAAAATGCCTGTTTTCCCACAACTTACACACGTGGGAAACCCACATGGTCAGAACACACTCCCTTTCATGAAAGTGTTCTGATTGTCACATAAATGGTGTTTGGTTTTTCACAAATGTCAAGGACCTTCCTTCACACACTGGACTCCTGAATGTTCCTCTATCTCCTGACACTCAGAATCTCCTGACTCCCACATTTAAGTCCTTTAAACCTGAGGACTTGCAAAAGATTGAGGATCCTTCTGAATAGCCAAGAAAGGCTACAGTCATCACAATGGCAAAATCTTGCATCCTGGACTTCTTAGCCGTTAACAAACCTCTTTCATTGCAGTCACCATCTTTCAGGCCCGGGGGTCTGAGTTGTGTAGGGAAACAGATGTGGGCTTCAGATACCAGGCTCGACTCAGGGCATTTCATCCAACCACAAAAGGGCTGCTTTGAGGATACCGAGGCTCGGAGAGGTGAAAACACTGTCACAACTGCTTTGGTAGGAAATGGCAGAGCCAGGATTCAAACCCAGGTTGAGCAACACAAATCCCGTTACCCCTCTGCCCGTAAAACCCTCTGAGCATCTGGATCAACCCTCACATTGGACAGATGAAGAGACTGATGAAGAGACTGGAGGTGGGAGGTGACTTAGCCAGATATGAGTTCTACTTGACAAAAGTTTTTGGGTAAAAGAACTTTGATAGGGGCCTCTTGGTTTTAATAATCTCAATTGGTTTTTTAAAAGAAAAGAGAAGAGGCAAGAGAGGAGGAGGAGATTCGTTCCGAATCTTGCATAATACTGCCAGATGGAAAGAAGGCTTGCTGGTTCTTCTGCATGGATTGTACTTCTTCCACACCTTCACACGCTCGCTTCTTCATGTCCTTCCGTCACTGTTCAAACACCACCCCCCGGCATTTACCTCCTGAAATGGCTGCCCACTGCAAGACGTTCTCTGTTTATTTTCTTCTTAGCACCTATAAATAACATTTTTTTAGTTATATAATTTTAATTTATAAGATTTCATTATAATTTTAGTTACACCATTCTATTATATATTGGAGTATTTATATGTTTACCATTTTCTCTCCCACTAGAATGAGGGCTCTGTGAGGCGGGGACATTGTTTTGCTGTCCACCATCTCCCTAGTTCGTAGAACATTGCCTGGCCCATAGCAGACCCTCAAAAAATATTTGTTAAATGACCAAAGTGGAATTTTGCCAACCCATGGAAAATCCTGTGCCTTCACTGGAATAATTGATGACCACCACGATGATGTCTGCAGATCACCGAATTTCCCCCTACTGGTCTTTGGTTGTAAAACTAGGCACAGAATATCCCCAAACTTCCAAGTTATACTTAGCTGTATATATATATATGTGTGTGTGTGTATATATATATATATACACACACACACACATATATATACACATATGTGTATCTACATATATACACATATATACACACATATGTGTATATACAGAGAGAGAGACAGAGAGAGACAGAGAGAGAGAGAGACAGAGAGAGAGAGTTAAGCTGTTTCGATACAATGTGTGGTTTCTCTTCTCTTCAATTAAATTTCTGCACTTCAGACACGCTTCTAAGAACTGTGGTAGGATGTGCCCCATAGGCTCTTCACTTTACATCAGTAGTTCTTAGTTGGGGGTGATTTGGCAACATCTGGAGACATTTTTGGTTGTTGCCCCTGGAGAGGGATGCCACTGGCCTCTAGTGGGTAGAGCCTAGCAACACCGCCAAACATCCTTAATGCCCCACAACAAAGAATTACCTGGTCCAAGATGTCAGTAGTGCAGTAGTTAAGAAACCTGCTCCGCATTAACTCATAGCAGTTTTATTGAAACTTTGGTGAAAAAAACTGACTCAGTCATGCTCACGAACGAATGCATGAACATTTATTTAACTCTGTCTCTATGCCAGGAATTGTGCTAGGCATTGGGAAGACACCGTAAAAGAATAATACACAGTCTTACCCTGGAGAAATTCACCAACTCCCTATCTGGCCAGAGATCTGAAGTCAGATCTTCCTATTTCTACATGAGATTTCTGTTTGGGTAGGGCAGTTATATCTTGCTTTTTAGATAAAACAGCCCCAATGTTTTTCTTTTAAAAAGCTTTCCACATGCACTCATTTATGAGCTGTGTCTGATATCCATCATACCTCTGCCATCTTGGAAAATGGCAGTTACAATGGTTAATATCCCAGTGTAGCTCTAATGCATTGTATCATTGTTCCCAATTTTCCACACCTCCCTATACCCATCCTCTTTGCCGCGTGACTTGTGCTCATTCCCTCCACAGAAAGGATATCTTTCCCCACCCTATTAATGTTGGGCTTGGCCAGGTGCTTTGGCCAGTGGCACGTTAGCATATGTGATGCAAGCAGAAGCTTGAAATGTGTTTGTGAAATTGGGTTTGTTCTCTTGTACTTCTGCCATTTCCATGATGTGCTGGCCCAGGAATTATGGGAGACCAATACAGAAGACCTAAACTCCACCCTCAGCTTAGAGCCAAGCCCAGGCAGCCCGCAGCCTGGAGCAGAGCCACGCAGCCAACCTCAGCCTAAGTCAGCCGAACCTCAGTCAACTGCAGAATTGTAGCCATGAGAATAAGTACTTGTTGCTATAAGCCACTGAGTTTTGAAGTGGTTTGTTACACAGCATTGCTGTGGTGAGAACTGACTAATACAGTAGCTGTATTCACCCAAGGTACTGTGCACTTTTGTGGGTCAGAAACACAAACAAATGTCCAGATTATCTGAGCAGCTTTTCTGGGATAGTAAGCATAACTTACATTCATAGAACACAGTGTAGTTATTTTTACATGACATGTTATTGGTTTGCACCAAACACCCACAAGACAGGTAATATTTCCTCTATTTTACAGATGAAGATCATATTGTTCTTAGAAGATACATTACTTGCTTGAGATCACAAAGCTTTGCTTCCTTGCAAAAGGGACAGGTATAAGAAGAAGACTTGCATCCTCTTTCCACTTTTTCCTGGAGCTGAAGCAACCCCATTGCAACCATTAGATAGGTATCAGTTAGCTACTGCTGTGTAACAAACAACCTCAAAATTTGTTAGCTTGTAACAATAACCATTTATTATTGGTCACATGTCTATGTGTGAATTGTGGGTTCTGCTGACATGGTAGGCTCAGCTGATCTTGATTGGGCTCACTTATGCATCTGTGGTCAGCTGGCAAGTTGACCAGAAGCTGGCTGACTTAGAATGGGTGCACTCACATGTCTGGTGGCTGGCTGGCTGACAAATGGGACAACAATGAGTGACTTGGCCACTCCTCTGTCATCATTCAGCAGGCCAGCCCAGATTTTGTCCCATGGCCTAGGTTCCAAAAATAAGAGTGGAAGCACACAAAGACTCTCAAAGCCTGAGTTCCAGAACTCCCCATCAATGTCACCACATTCTATTGGCCAAAGCAAATCGTAAGACCAACCAGGATCCCAGAGATAGAATAATAGACTCCACCTCTCAATGGGAAGAGCCACTAGGTCATATTACAAAGGGCTGAATGAAGGAGGGGTGGAGGCCTGAGGTCATTTTTGTGGTCAGTTAATCTGTGATGAGGTGTCAAGCATAAGCAGGAAATGCCAGCAGGTGAAGGCTGGTGGCACATAGAGACAAGAAGAGTCTTTGTGAGTGACCTGAGACTTCCCGCTCCATTCCTTAAGTGTGTAATCAATAAGTGTCCTAGTGGATTCAACTTCTGCAGGATGGGTTTCGTGTAACCTGGAGCCAAAAGTTTTCCTAACTGACAGAGTGAGGCATGTGGTAAAGGAATGAGGAAGCAGGAATTACACAGGATTCAAATCTTATCTCCACCACGTATTAATTAGCTGTATGACCCCTAGCCCGTTATTTGACCTCTATGACCTTCAGTGTCCTCATCTATAGAGGGACATGGAAATACCTAGCAGATGCTTGCTGGAGGGACTAGAGATCAGGTGTGCAATATATTCTTAAGAGTAGTAATAGTGGCTTAGCCCTGGGCAAAGCCAAGCATGTGTTATACATTTTAACATTTAATTCCTTTATTACCTCATTAATACCTTTATTACCTCATTACCAACTCCACTTTTTTCCTACAAGAAATATGAAAATTAAAGAGTGAGTAAGTACAAAAGGATTTTAACCCAAATGGTTTGACTCCAGAGCCCCGTCTCCTACCCACGTTTCAATACTGCCTGCCACAACTGGGTCCTGCTGATTTACAGTTAAAAAACAGCTATCTAAACAATGTCCAAACAAACTGTCCAAAACAGTGGCTAAAATCAAATAAACCTGACCCTTCCAACTGCTGGCAAAGATAAAGAGAAACCGGAATTCTCCAGTAATTATGGTGGGAATGCAAAAAGGTACAGATACCATGGAAAACAGTTTGGTGCTTTCTCGAAAAGTTAAACATGCACTTAACTCTATGACCAGTAGTCATCTTTCTGGGCACTGAGCCTAGAGAAATGAAACGATGTCCACCCAAAAACCTATTTGGTACACACAAATGTTGAATAGCAGCTGTATTCATAGTCACCAAAGGCTGGAAATGACCTAAATGCCCCTCAAGAGGTGAAGGACAACCTGGTGCAACCACTCAAGGAAATACTACTCAGCAATACACAAGAACACAGAAACATGGATGGATCTTAAGAGCATGATGCTAGAGAAAGAAGCCAGGGGCAAAAGGCCACATGCTGGACGGCTCCATTGACATGGCATTCTGCGAAAGGCAAAATTATAGGGCCAGAAATCAGAAGGGTTGGTAGGGGCTAAGGGTAGGGGGAGGGTTTGACTACTGAGGGGCATGAGGGAACTTTTAGGGGAGATGGAAATATTCTATATCTTGATTGTGGTGGTGGTGGTTATATAAAACTCATAGCACTGCACCCGAAAGAGTGAATTTTACTGAATATAAGTTATATCTCAGTTAAAAATAATAACTTCACACATGTCCCATTCAAATACCAAGGGTTCTATGAGTCCACTGCTGTAGCTTTGGATTCAGTAGCTAAGGAAAGGAAGCTCAGCTGGCCATGGGTGAGACTGGAGCCCAGGTCTCTGGCTCCAGGGCAGAGCTTGCTGCCCTGCCCTGCTCTGCAGTGAGTCTCAGTGTCAGCAGCCATAGTCATCAGGCTCTGTGCCTAGGCCAAGAGAAGATCCACAGGTCAGCAGAGCAGTCCCTGCCTGCACCCAGGATGGGTCTGACCTGCCACATCAGACCTGGTCAAGGAGATGGACTGAGCTTCTGCTGCCCAGACAACCCCACCAGAGCCCTGGAATTGGGACCTGGGACCCCCGTCACAGCTGTACCCTGCAGTTGGTGGGAGGGGATGGCCCATCTGTCCCCTTGTCCACCAGCTCTCTCAAGAGGCTCTCTCATCCACTCAAGAGGAGGCTTGTTTTGAGTCCTAAAAGCAGCATTCTTAAGCCTGGTGCGGGCAGCTCCTTTAAACACTGTATTTACTATCAACAGTGGCCCTGCACAGACAGAGCTAGCTCCGCATTTCTCCACCTGAGCAGGAGGGCCCCAGATGCCAGGCCCAGATAGCACAACAAAGAAATGGAAACACAATGGGCTCCAGGTCTGAAAACAAATACAACGGTGACACAGCAATGTCACCTGGAAAAGCTGTTGGGAGTTGCTATAAATGTAATAAAACGCTTTAAAGAGCAGATGACAGATTATCGAGCCATAGATACATTTGGGGCGATGGTGTGGCACAGGTTTGGGCCCTGTCAGGCCTGGTGGCATCTGAGCCTGGTTGTGCTGATTGGCATTTGCTTCCTTCTCTGGATGGGGGTAAACACCATGGCTCTGAGGAATACATGCGACGGCACATCGGGAGGGCCCAGCACACCCTGGCACAGCGTAGGTGCTCAACAAACACTCATTTATCTAACAGGTATTTATGGACAGTCTACTGTGTGCCAGACACTCATCTGGGGGTGTCAACACATTCATGAGCAAAACATCGGGGAGTTCATATTTTAATGGGAAGAGTGAGTTGATGAAAATCAGTTAAATAAAGCTCAGGTGGAGATGAATGATGAGGGCAAGGGGAGGGAGAGTGGTGGGGAAGGTGGTGTTTCAGATGAGGTGGTCAGAGAAGGTGGACCATGATGACATTTGGGCCCAACTGTCAAGAGATGAGGCCGAAGAGGAGGCCCAATATAACATTTGGGATGTACCCTGAATGAAGCCAAGAATCTTGCTGTGTGAATATCTGGAATGGAATATCTCCATTCCAGACTAACAGAACAGGAGACACCGAGGCTGGGGCGTGCTGGGTGTGTGTGAGGATCAACAGGGTACAGTGAGGCTGGAGCAGAGAGGGTGACGGAAGAGCGGTGGGGGTGAGGTCACAGGTCATAGTGGACCTTGTAGATCACAGAAAGGTTTTGCATTTTAAGCCAAGTAATCTTGGAAGTCACAAGAGAGTTTCGAGCAGAGAAAAACAACACTCTTGCCACTGTGTGGCAATGAGATACGGGGCCCAGGCCGCTGAACCTCGGTGCTGTTGATGCCTTTGCTGGGGGGCTGTCCTGCGCATTGCAGGATGTTTAGCAGCATCTCTGGGCTCTACCCAATGGGTGTCAGTAGCGCCCTCCACCCAGCTGTGACAACCAAAACTGTCTCCAGACATTGCCCAGTGGCCCTCAGCACAGAATCATCCCAGTTAAGAACCACTGCAATATAGGGACAAAGTGGGAAACAGGAGCCCAGGAAAGGGTGTCCACAACTGTACACACAGGAGGAGGCCACGGCTTAGACTACGGAAGGAGTTGGGGAGGCGGTAAGAAGCGATAGAGTCTGGGTTTATTCTAAGGGTAGTTCAAACCAACAGGATTTGTTCCTTTTCTCTTTCCTTTGACCAAAGAGTATAGCTCCTGAGAATTTCGCCTGAGGCAATGATTCAACAGAACAAAAAGCTAAGTTCACTGAGAATGCAGGGTCGTGTATCCACAGTCAATTACTGGAATCCATCCCTGACTCCAGCAAGTGCACTGGGGCAGGCCTGAGAGGCAGAAGAGCTGACCGTGCAGCTACAGCTCAAAAGGCATCTGCTAGAGAAAATGCTCTTGCTCAGGGAGGTTGCTCTTCCTCTACCCAGGCCTTCAACTGACTGGATGAGTGCCACACATGTTGAGGGCAACCTCCTTACACAAGGCACACTGATTTCAGTGCTGATCTCATCCCAAACAGCCCCCAAGTTGACACAGAATAAACCATCACACCATAGATCTGTCCGAGTCTCCACTTTCAACCATTTGTGTGTATATACCTAGACATGGAGTTGCTAGATCAGATGGTAATTCTATGTTTAATTTTTAGGAACCACCATACTGTTTTCCATAGCAGCTGCACCATTTTACATTCCCACCAGAATGCTCAAAGGTTCCAGTTTCTCCAAATCCTTGCCAACACCTTCTATTTTCCTTTTTTAAAATTTATTTTAATTATAGCTATTCTAATGAGTGAGAAACAGTCTCTCATCGTGGTTTGGGTTTGCATTTCCCTAATGACTAGTGATGTCGAGCATCTTTTCATGTGCTTACTGGCCATCTGTATATCTTCTTGGAGAAATGTGTATTCAAGTCCTTTGCCCAGTTTTTTTGTTTTGTTTTGTTTTGTTTTTTGAGACAGAGTCTCACTCTGTTGCCCAGGCTGGAGGGCAGTGGTGTGATCTCGGCTCACTGCAACCTCTGCCTCCTGGGTTCAAGTGATTCTCTTGCCTCAGCCTCCCAAGTAGCTGGAATTATGGGTGCCTGCCATGACGCCGGGCTAATTTTTGTATTTTTAGTGGAGACAGGGTTTCACTATGTTGACCAGGCTCGTCTTGAACTCCTGACCTCAGGTGATCCATCTGCCTCAGCCTCCCAAAGTGCTGGGATTACAGGCGTGAGCCACCGTGCCCAGCTTTTGCCCAGTTTTTAATTAAGTTGTTTGTTTTTTTGTTGTTGAGTTGTAGAATTTTAAAAATATATTCTGGATATTAATCGTTTATCAGATATATGATTTGCAAATATTTTCTCCCATTCTGTGGGTTGCCTTTTCACTCTGCTGATTGTGTCCTTCAATGTACAAAGCATTTTAATGTTGACGAAGTCTAATTAATCTATTTTTCCTTTCTTACCTGTGCTTTTGGTGTCATATCCAAGAAATCATTGGCAAATCTAATGTCATGAAGTTTTACCCTATGTTTTCTTCTAAGAGTTTTATAGTTTCAACTCTTAAGTTTAGGTCTTTGGTCTATTTTCAATTAAATATTGTATGTGGTATAAGGCAAGGCTTCACCTACAATTTTTTTTTCATGTGGATATCCTGTTTTCTCAACACCATTTGTGGAAAACTGTTTTTTCCCCATTGAGTAGTCTTGGCATCATTGTTGGAAATCATTTGACCATGTGAGGGTTTATTTCTGGGCCCTGTATTGGATCGCATTTGAGTATATGTCTGTCTTTATGCCAGTACCATACTGTTTTGATTACTGTAGCTTTGTAGCAAATTATCAAGAAGTATGAGACCTTCAACTTTGTTCTTCTTTTTTCACTTTTGTTTTGGCTATCTAGAGTCAAATCGATCTTTTTTTAATTTTTTAAATAAAATGCATTTAAAAGAAATACAATGCTTCTGCACATTAGAATATGTTATATTTCGTAATCAGACAAATACATAATTATGTGTTTTTTTTACTTTAGTAAAACCTTTTCTTCTTTTTGTAAAATGCCACTTTATGTTTTAACTCTAATTTTGGAGAGAGCTGATGCAAGTAAACGTTATCTACATGTCTTGGCCTGATGGTCACAGGCCTTTTCAGTAGAAAAAAAGACAGCTGCAAATCATCCCAAGAAACTTTTGGCAAGGATGTTGGCATGTAGAAGTAAGAATGTCAGTTTCCCCAAATTATTTATAGTTTTAAAGCAAATTCAATATTCCTCCCAAGATTTTTTTGTAACTATAGACAAGCTTCTTCTAAAATTTATATGGAAAGATAAAAGAATTAGAATGACCAAAACTGTTTTGTTTGTTTGTTTATTTGTTTTTGACACAGGGTCTCACTCTGTCACCCAGGCTGGAGTGCAGTGGTGCAGTCTCAGCTCAGTGCATCCTCAACTTCCCAGGCTCAGATGATCCTCCTGCCTCAGTCTCCCAAGTAGTTGGAACCACCATGCCCCATTAATTTTTAAGTCATTTGTAGATACAGGATATTCCTATGTTGCCCAGGCTGGTCTTGAACTCCTGGGCTCAAGCGATCCTCCTGCTTCGGCCTCTCAAAGTGCTGGGATTATAGACATGAGCCGCCATGCCTGGCCTAAAACCATATTTGGGAAAAAGAAAAGGATAAAGTGGAAGAAATCCCTCTACCTAATTTTAAGGCTTACTACATAGCAGTGCTAATCAAGGTAGTGTGCTATTGGCAGAGGGACAGATACAAAGACCAGTGGCGCAGGGCAGAGAATCTAGAAATAGACCCACACAAGCACAGCCAACTGTTTTGACAAAGTTGTAAAAGTCCAACAGCGATAATCTTTCCAACAAATGGCACTACAGCAACTGGACATGGAAAGTATGAAACTTGACCCAAATCTCACACCCTAGACAATAATCAAAAAGGGACACTGAACTGAAGTGTAAAACTGTAAAACTTCTAAAAGAAAATAGGAGGAAATCTTTGAGACTTCAGGCTGGCCAAGGACCTCCTAGATATACAAAAAGCATGATCCATAAAAGAAAAAAATTGACAAATTGGACCTTATGTTTTTAAAGTAAAAACCCTTGTTCTGCTGGCAATGCTACCACTACTATTAGCCCCTTTTCTGCCAGAACAAACCCCTGGAGCACATTTTAAGGAATATAATGAATCACATACCCAACTTGTATCCAGAATACATAAAGGACTCTCTAGACTCAGCTGTAAGAAACCAAAGAAACTGGGCCAGGCGCGGTGGCTCACACCTGTGACCCCAGCACCTTGGGAGGCCGAGGTGGGCAGATCATGAGGTCAGGATATCGAGACCATTCTGGCTAATATGCTGAAACCCTGTCTCTACTAAAAATACAAAAAATTAGCGGGGCGTGGTGGCACGTGACTGTAGTCCCAGCTACTTGGGAGGTTGAGGCAGGAGAATTGCTTGAACCTGGGAAGCGAGGTTGCAGCGAGCTGAGATCATGCCACTGCACTCCAGCCTGGGCAACAGAGCAAGACTACATCTCAAAAAAAAAAAAAAGAAAGAAAAAGAAAAAAGAAACCAAATAATCCAATTGGAAAATGGGCAAAAGACACGAAAAGATGCTTCACCAAATACACACAAATGGCAAGAAAACATATGAAAAGATGTTCAGTATCACTAACCATTAGGGAAATGCAAATGAATGCCACAATAAAATACCATGATACACCTATTGGAATGACTAAAAAACAATTCTGGCAAGCAGGTAGAAACACTGGCTGTCTCATACATTGTTGGTGGGAATGTAAAATGGTACAGGCAGTCTGGAAATCAGCTTGGCAGTTTTTCAAATAGTTAAATATATACTGACCACACAGCCCAGCAATCACACTCCTGAGCATTTATCCCAGGGAAGTGAAAAAAATGTTCATAAAAACACCTGCACACAATTGTTCATAGCAGCTTCATTTGTAATAGCCCCAAACCGGAAACAACCCAAATGTCCTTCAATGGGTGAATGGTTAAACAAACTAGTTACATACATTCCTTGGAATACCACTTAACTCCAAAAAGGAATGAGGTATGGATACACACAATACGTGGGATGGATCTTGTGATGGTTAATTTTATATGTCAACCTGCTTAGTCTACAATACCCAGATATGTGGTCAAACACCAGTCTAGATGTCACTGTGCAGATATTTTTACATGAGATTAACATTTAAATCAGTAGATTTGAATAGCAGATCAGCCAGGCATGGTGGCTCACACCTGTAATCCCGGCACTTTGGGAGGCTGAGGCGGGTGGATCACCTGATCAGGGGTTCAAGACCAGCCTGGCCAACATACTGAAACATGGTTTCTACTGAAAATACAAAAAATTAGCCGGGCGTGCGTGGTGGCACTCGCCTGTAATCCCAGCTTCTCAGGAGGCTGAGGCAGAAGAATCACTTGAACCCGGGAGGCAGTGGTTGCAGTGAGCCAAGATCACTCCCATTGCACTGTAGCCTGGGCAACAAGAGCAAAACTCTGTCTCAAAAATAAATAAATAAATAATAAAAAATGAAGAAAGTAGATCACCTTCCTTAATCTGCTGGGTAGGTGGGCCTCATCCAATCAGTTGATGGCTTTCAGAGAAAAAGACTGAAGTCCCCCAAGGAAGAAGGAATTCTGTTTCCAGGCAGCCTTTGGACTCGTTGCAAATCAACTCTTCCCTGGGTCTGAAGCCTGCAGCCTGCCTTGCAGATATTAGACTTGCCTATTCCTGCAATTGTGTGAGCCAATTCTTTAAAATGATTCTCTCTCTCATACGTGTACATATACAAACATGTTTGTATACATACATACATATATATGCCTATACAAACACACACACACACACACCTGTTGTTTCTGTGCCTCTGGAGGACCCTAACACAGATCTCAAGTTCGCCATGCTAAGTAAGAAAAGACAGTCTCTAAAGGTTACAAACTGTATGATTCCATTCATATAAGATTTCCAAAATGGCAAAGTTATAGTGAAGGAGAGCAGATTTGTGGCTGCCAGGGGTCAGGGACACAGGGAGAGGGAGGCAGATGAGTGAATGATGGAGAGGTGATGGGATAGTACTGATCTTGGTGGTGGTTATGCAAATCTACACTTGTGATGAAATTGCATACACACACATACTCATAGACACAAGAGTACACAAAAATAGTGAAATCTGAATAGGTCAGTGAATTGTGCCAATGCGGATATTCTCCTTTTGATATCATTCTAAACCCATGTAAGATGTTGCCATTAGAGAAAACTGGGTGAAAAGTACAAGATGTCTCTGTACTATTTTTGCAGCTTCCTACAAATCTATGATTATTTCATAATGAAAAGTTTTTAAAGGGTGATGGGAAAGGTCTTTCAAGAGAGAAATCTTGTATCGTTGATTGGATGGGAGCTCCCAGAGGACAGAAACCTTACAAGAAACCCTGACTTCCCAGGGCCTCCCCTGGGGCTGGCCACACCGCTGAGGCCGGTCACTCCGGGAGGAGATCCCAGCTGAATTCACAGGACAGCAACATGCAGATGTCCTCAGTCAATGAAGCTGGACTGGTAGACAGTGGGGATGGGGAGGGAATCAAGTGAAATAAAATATGTGGGCCCAATACCTCTGAAATATGCATGTAACTGATGACTGTGCTTCTATGTTAACAGCCAAGGGTGATTTTTTGGCAATAGTTGCTCAGTTCCAGTCAGAAGAGCCAAAGCGAATGTGGGTGAATTTCAGAGCAATGATAAAGGTGAACAGTGACTGGCACTTCCCCACAGAGGCCAAGGGCCATGCAGCCATGAGGGTTGTAGGTGCAGCTGGGACTCCCAGAAGATGAGCAAGAGGTGTGGGGAGGACAGGGCACCCTGCAAGTGGTCAGCTGTTGCTGTGCCGTGGACTCCCCACTCAACTCTCTTCCCATGCTCAGGAAGTAAAGTGCAGGTAAAGACACAGAGGGAGGGGCTAGGAATCAGGATGACCCTGGCCCACCCCTTGGGGCTGGCTCTCTGTGCCCTCTTCCAAGGTGGCAAGGAGAGCTGGGAGAAAAGCCAGCAGGGAAGGAGATCAGCTATAAAAAGGACAGACAGGAGAGCAGGGCTGCTGCCCCCTGTCACCCGGGGGGACTGCAGAGGCCCCCGAGCTTCTGTGCAGGGGAAGAGAGCAGAGAGCACTGTCAGCCACATCCTTGCAGCTCGGCAGCTCTGGCAGTGGGAAGAGAGGGTGGTAGACCGTCGGCCACCCTAGACCTCCTGAAGTGATGCTGGATTTCCAGTGATCTTCAGGGAAGTAGGTGTTCACAAGCCTTGGAGAGAAAGCTGCAGTAACCACTGTTACAGCCACGGCTGCCTCACCTCCCAGCCTGGTACCTCTGTAAGCAGCTCCATCTATGTCCCACCAACCTTTCCCTGTGTGCTTTCATGGCGCACTGACCCTGTGCTGGACTGGACTGTGCTCGAGTCAGGGCACACATGCTGCCTTTGAGCCCTCATGCCATCCCTGTGAAGCAGGAGCCATGGCTTGCCCACTGTACAGAAGAGGACCCTACATACTCTGGAAGGAAAAGCGACCTGCACATCTTCCCGCAGCCAGTTCTCAGTGGCCAGGATTTCAGCACAGGTTCACCTGATTCAGCCTCTGGGCTTTAACCACCCAGAACCCCTCTGCACCACCCTCCCTCATCAGGGAATGTGATACCAGAGCTCAGAAGTATCCAAGTGTGGATCTGCACCTTCAGGCCCCTGTCACACTGTACCACGGCTGGGGCTACTTTCCAATTTGTCCCATCCTTCCACGTCAGGCTCAGTCCCAACTCCTCCAGGAAGCCTTCCTTGATTGTTCTAGCTCAGGTGACCTCACCCTTCTCACGTCTCCAGAATGCATGTTCCTGTGGCCCCCACACCTAATGCCTTACTTTGTTAGAGAGGCAGGATATGACGGGGGTAAGGGCTGTCCCCAGAGCTAGTTTGCCTAAGTCAGAGGGGGTAATGCCAGGGGCAACTAAGCACAGTACCTGGCAGAGGACGGACTCAATCAACACCAGGCATTAGTTGTAATTCTTAATGTGTACACACATTATATATACACACGCACATATATATATACACACATATACATATGACATGCACATAAAATATATATCGTACATTAACATGAAAGCAGGAATTAGGTTAGAAAATAACATTTTGGTATATGTGACTCTTTCACACTTCTCTGTATTTTTCTAATTATCAAACCAAACATAGTACTTTGATGTTCTGGAAAAAAAATGAAGTAAAGGAGCATTAACAATTTTCAGCTCAGCCGGGTGCAGTGGCTCACGCCTATAATCCCAGCACTTTGGGAGGCCAGGGCGGGTGATCGCTTGAGCTCAGGATTTTCAGACCAGCCTGGAAAACATGGTGAAATCCCATCTCTAAAAAATATACAAAACAAATTAGCCAGATGCAGTAGAGCATGCCTGTGGTCGCAGCTACTTGGGAGGCCGAGGCACGAGAATTAATGGAGCCTGGGAGGGCGGAGGTTGCAGTGAACTGAGATCGTGCCACTGCACTCCAGCCTGGTGACAGAGTGAGACCCCATCACAAAAACAAAAATAAAGAAAAAAGAAAAATTTCAGCTCATCTAGGTACCAAAAAAAAAAAAAAAAGAAAGAAAGAAAGAAAGAAATTAAAGAAATATACACTTTGAAGCAAACAAAATGATTTGGTAAGAAATGCACGCATGCTCATTGAGCACCTTCTGTGTGCTCCTGGTGAGGTGCTGGCAACCCAGAAAGCAATAAGGCCTGGCCTCACCCAGCAAGCCCCGGGTGTGTGGGGGAGCACCTTGCCAGACCAGTCTCTGAGTCTGTTTCTTGAAGGCCACACCCTGCAAGGTGTGCTGAGAGCCCCAGGGAGTGCGAAGGTTTCTAAAACTCATTCCTTGCTCTAAACACATTTGCGATTGAGTAACATCTTAAAACTACATTGCCAATCCTCAGAGCAGTCCAGGACCCTAACGGGGTACCAGAAAACACCACAAACACTCTGTCCCCAGCTCAGCCTCACAGCAGCCCTTAGTTCTCACTACTTAAACCTTTATTAAGCACCTATTATTAGCCCAGTACGCGGCTAAGCCCTCTATGCTCTTTTCGTGCACCTTTGTAACAGAATTTGCCCCCCTGACAGCTGTCCCCGAGACTCAGAGAGGCATCAAGAGCAGAAATGCGGCTGAAATGCATGCACAATCATGTATATACTAAGTGTCTGTGATGAGAGCTAAAGTTTGGGGGGTACTTAGCACAGGCCAGGGCTGCTCTACGTGTGTGACCTTTAGAAACTCATTTAGTAGCCGGGTGCAGTGGCTCACGCCTGTAATCCCAACACTTTGGGAGGCCGAGGTGGGTGGATCACCTCAGGTCAGGAGTTTGAGACCAGCCTGGCCAAGATGGTGAAATCCCGTCTTTAATAAAAATACAAAAATTAGTTGGGCGTGGTGGCAGGCGCCTGTAATCCCAGCTACTTGGGAGGCTGAGACATGAGAATAGCTTGAACCCAGGAGGTGGAGCTTGCAGTGAGCTGAAATCTCACCATTGCACTCCAGCCTGGGCAACAGAACGAGACTCCATCTCAAAACGGAAAAACAACAACAACAAAAGAAACTCATTTAGTAATCACAGCAATCCTATGAAGTAGATGTGATCTTTCCCATTTTACGGATGAGAACTCTGAGGCAGAGAGAGATAGGGCACTTGCCTGAAGTCACAGAGCTCACGTAGTCTGATGCTGTGGATACTCTGCCTCTGCTCAGGGATAGCAGCTGCCCCCACCTCTCCACCTGCCGCCCTCCTTCCAGGTGCACGTCACTGTTCCTGCTGTTTAGGCCTCCTCTGTGCTCCCACCACCCTTGTGCTGCTGGTGCGTTTGGGGTCTTTGTCTCCCACTAGACCACACACTCCTGGAGGCTGGGGCCATGTCTTGATGACTCTGTGTCCCTCGCGGCCCCAGGCCTGGGCATAAGTGGTGAGTTCTGGAGTGGTCTCAGGAGGTGTCCTGGAGATGGGACAGGAGGGAATGGATGTCTCTGGCGTGGTCCTCATGGAGGTTTTCTGGGGGAAGCAGGGCTGTGGGGCAATCCTAAAGTCCCATCTTGGCCTGGTGCGTTGGCTTACACCTGTGATCCCAGCACTTAGGGAGGCTGAGTTGGGAGGATCACTTGAGCCCAGGAGTTTGAGTCCAGCATGGGCAGCATAGTGAGACCCCAGCTCTACAAAAAATGAACATTAAAAAAAAGCCCCATCTCCTCTTCATCTCTATGGGGACAGCTGCCCAGGTATTGTCCCTACCCTGGCAATGGAGTCAGGGGTCCCAGGTGAGACTGGCAGTGCTATCGATAAGCAGCACACTGCCTGGGAGTCAGGGCCCTGCTCTGTAGCTCTGGGTAACTCGCTGCCCTCTCTGAGCATAGTGAATGCTCACAGGGAGGTGATCGCCAAGGGCCCCTCACCAGAAAGACTGGGCCAATTCCTTGTGAAGATCAGCTCTGGGGTCGTTGGACTGTCCGGTTATTGTCCACTCAAAGGCACAGGGGCATGAGGGCAAAGGGACGGTGTTGACACAGGTGGCATTGGAGGAGGTCAGTGAGGGGGTCCTGGAGGGAGTGGACCTTGAGCTGACTTTTGAAGAATCAGGTTGAAAACGCCATGTGGAGAGGAGAGGGTGGGGCCTTCTTACCATAGGGACAGCTTATGTGAACCTAGAGAGGGGACAGAGAAGCACCTCTGCTGTGTGAAGTGGGGGCAACCAAGGCCTGTGTTCCAGGGAGAGGAGCTTGGGCTTCCTTCTGGGGCCAGTGGGCAGCTCTGGAGGGGCCTGGGCGGGTGACACCGTCTGATTCCCCGGCCGCCCTGGCTAAACAGCCGCCTCTCCTCCACCCTCTCTGGGCCTTCCTCTGCTTCATCCCCTTGGATCACATTAAACTCACATACAGCCATATCTCATTCATTCATCATCTTTATCCCTTGCCATCCTTCCTAGAACGGGACACCCATGAGGGCAGGACTTTTGTCTGCTTTGTTCTCTGCAGTAGCCCCTGTGCTCAGAAGGGTGTGTGGCACATAGTAGGTGTTCAACAAACACTTGCCGAATGAATGAACAAAACACATCAGAAAGCTCACCCTCAGCCTTGTGAAGCCTCAGTGCAGGGTGGCCTAGGAAGCAGGGGGAATCTGAGGGGCAGAATCATCCCCCTTCTCATGGTTATGGAACACTGAGGAGCCCCGACCTGCAAACGACTTCAGTATGGCCACATAGAGCTTTCTTTTTAAGCATCATCTCACTTAATTTCTTTAAATTCCTTTAAAAGGATTCGCTCTCAGCTACAAAAACCTCATGCACAAGTTAATCGAATAATGAAATTTAAGTTTCAAAAAGGAAACACTCAGACCTCTCCCCGTGTCCCCAGCCCAGGGCCAGGACCCTAGACAGAGTCCCAGGAGAGCGTACTAAGATCCCCTCAGATGGGGAAGGTGCGGCTCAGAGAAGGGCAGGGCTTGACAGAGGACACACAGCAAGGAGGGAGGACACCCAGAGTCACAGGCCTGAGCCCACTCCTCCCCTCTCTCTGGGACCTCAGAGGCCCGGGTCCCTCTCTCTATCGCTGTTGATCCGCTGGGTGGCCATGGCCAGGGCGCCACCTCACCACACATTCCCCTTTATTGGAAAATGACAAGATGGCACCAGCTCCTTCCCCAGGTTCCTCAAATTCCAAAGTGAAAGCCATCAGCAGGGACGCCTCCTAGTGCAGAAAATAGGGGAGCTTGGAGGCTGTTGGACTAGGGCTGCCACTTAAGGGTGGGGTAACTTCTCTGACCCTCAGTTTCCTTATTTGCTAAAAGGGACAATGGGATCAATTTTGTAGGACTGTTGCCAGAGCTAAATATTATATTGCAGGTAAAATGGTTGGCATGGCAGTAAATGGCAACCTTTGGAATAAAAATAGTAATTATTATGTATTTATTTTTACCATTGCAGGTGATGGGGTGGGCAAGGTCAAAGGACAGGAACTGGAAACTCTTATGGACATTTTTCCTCCAAGCCCACTTCTAGCACTGGGTCCCCCACACCCCCAGGCCCCTCCCCAGCTGGCTGGGTCCACAGTTCCCAGGGGACGACCCTGCCCAGTACCTCTTGTTTGTGAGCCAAAATAAGCTGTTTTCTGAAAGAAATATCACCCTTTATTGTTCAAATAAACCTGCCTGGGCTTGGAGAGGAGACAGAGGTCAGGGGTGGGAGGCAGAGATGCAAACAGAGACAGAGCCAGAGCTTGGCCGAAAATGGCCACAGAGGAACAGAAAGGAGACAGAGAGGAAGAAAGGGGCAACGTGGGCAGCAGAGAGGGAAGAGAGAGAAAGAAGGGCAGGGAAAGAGACAGATGGGACAGCCAGAGACAGAAGGAAGGGGAAGACAGGGCAGAGAAAGCCCGGGACAGAAACGCAGCAAGCCCGAGAGGAGGAGGACAGGGCGGGTGTGGCAAGCAAGCAGGTGCCCTGTGCACACAGGACAGCTGGGTCCAGCCAGGCCCCACTGGCCCCCCTCCCTCTCAGTCCTGGGAGCCTCTGCAGGTGAGTTGAGTAGGTTTTCCTACTGGGAACAAACACCCTTTCAGGCAGCCTGTTCTCTGAGTGTGGCATGAAGTGGGGGTGGAGGCGCAGGTCTGCCCAAGCCATAGGGCGGGGTTCTGTGGAAGCTCTGCCAACCCAGAATGCTCCCTGTGAGAAGGACTGGGTCCCCAGCCAGGTTCAGGGCCCAGAGCAGCCTCTGTCATCAAAGCTGGAGAGGGGCCAGCCCGGGATGGGGTGAAAGATGTGGGCTGGTCCCTGATGGGTGTGAGCCTCCACCAGGAGCCGGCATGGCCAGGCAGTCAGAGGGACAAAGCCACAGCACCCGGTCACCTGCCCAGTGCCCAACGGTGGCCCGGGCCTTTAGCTCATTGCCCTGACTTATGCGCTCACATTGGAAGGGCAGGACCATGTCTGTGTTGAATCACTGAAGAAAACATCCTAGTCTGAAAAGAATGTGGGCACTTCTCTCTTGGACAGCAGAAGATACTTTGACAAACAGCCCTAAAAACCCGCATTCTGTGCTAGTGGGTTTCCAAGACCCTCCCCAAGTTATCTGCAATTTCCCAGAAGGTTTGCCTTCTCCAGGTCACCTGTGGCTCCAAACGCCTGCTCCCACCATGTCACTACTGTTTTGGGATCATCTTCATGCATCATGATCATCATCATGTCTCTATGTAGTGCACGAGGACCTGAGGACCCAAGTTCAGGCTTGACCCAGCCCCAGCTGAATGGGAAAGGCTCTCTTGTACTAAAGAGCCTGTAGGTGGAGAGAAGGGGTGAGCGATGAGGAAGCTGTAGTCGTGTCACAGGGAACGTTGGACAGTCATTTTTCCAGGAGTCTGCCGGCCCCCTTCCCCACCAAGAGTATCCTGTAGCCACTTCCTCCCACTCTGGCCTCAGGCTTACACCCCAGCCCCTTTCATCTCTTCCCCTGTCCATCTGCCCTCCGAGCCCCTTTCCTCCTGGACTTTCCTGCCTGTCCCCCCAAACCCACCTTTGTCCTGGTCTTTCAGGGAGGTTTCATCTCCCCTGAGTTCCTCCCTCACCCCCACCATCCCCTGCTTGGCATGTGCTGCCCACGCAGTCCTCAGCCCAGCAGAAGACACCTCCCTTCATCACCATCCACCTCTTTTGGAAAGAAGCTGGGGTTTTAAATAGCAAAAACCTCCTTCTCCAGAATTCTGAACAGGGCCAGATCTACAGTCTTCACATCCAACTCCATAATACGGTGGGTAATTCAGAGGCGAGCCCTTGAAGAAGGAGCCAGTTTGCTCATCCCCAGATTCCCAGCCAGGGTGTGCACATCTGTCTGTAAAATGTATTAAGAAAATGCCTAGGCCAGGCATGGTGGTTCACATCTGTAATTCCAACACTTTGGGGGGCTGAGGCAGGAGGATCACTTGAGGCCAGGAGTTCAAGACCAGCCTGGGCAACATAGCAAGACTCTGTCTCTATAAAACATTTTTTAAAATAAGCCAGACTTGGTGGCACACCCCAGTTCCAGCTACTTGGAAGGCTGAGGTGGGAGGATTGCTTGAGCCTGGGTGGTCTAGATGTGAGGACGTGAGATTTGGGAAAGGCCAGGAGCAGAATTATATGGTTTGGCTTTTTGTCCCCACCCAAATCTCATCTTGAATTGTAATTCCCATGTATTGAGGGAGGGACCTGGTGGGAGGTGATTGGATCATGGGGGCAGTTTCCCACCTGCTGTTCTCATGATAGTGAGTGAGTTCTCATGAGATCTGATGGCTTTATAAGGGGCTTTTCCCCATTCGTTCCCTCTTCCTCTCTTCTGGTGCCTTGTGAAAAAGGTACCTGCTTCCCTTTTGCCTTCTGCCATGATTGTAAGTTTCCTGAGGCCTCCTCAGCCATGCAGAACTGTGAGTCAATTAAACCTCTTTCCTTTATAAATTACCCAGTCTCTGGTATTTCTTTATAGCAGTGTGAGAATGGATTAATACAGGAAATTGGTACCAGGAGTGGGGTTCAAACCCATGCAGACAGATGTCCATTATGGACATGCTTGTCTTTCCCAGTAAATCATGAGCACTGGGCAGATACAGCAAACTGAGAAAAAACATAACATCAGCCACAGATGGAGTGAGAAAGAGACCAGAAAATGGGACAGTGGGAGTTGAGCCTGAAGCCAGCACTCCCGTGTTGATTCTTTCTTGTTGCCTTTAAGATTTGTTATTTGCCTTTAGTTTTCAAGAGTTTGCTCATGATGTGTCTTGGTATGAATGAGTTTCTCCTCTTAGGAGTTAACTCAGCTTCTTGAATATGCAGGTTTATGTCTTTTTGCCAAATTTGGGAGAATTTCAACCACTGCTTCTTTGAATATTTTTTCAGCCCCACATTCTTAGTCCTGTCCTTCTGAGACTCTCATGACATGAATGTTAGGTCTTTTGTTGTGCCCTACAGGCCTCAAGCTTCTGTTCTTTTTTTCAGTCTCTTTCTCTCTCTTGCTTAGATTGGGTGATTTCTGTTGCTTTATCTTCAAGTTTCCTGATTGTTTTCTCTGTCCTTTCCATTCTACTGTTGAATCCATTCAATGAGTCTTTCAGTTATTTTTAACTTCTAAAATTACCATTTGGCTCTTCTTTATATCACTATTTTTTTTGCTAAGACTTCCTATGTTTTCATTTGTTTTCAGTGTGTTCAGAATTGCTCACTGAAGCATTTTCATGATGGCTGCTTTAAAGTCCTTGTGGGATAATTCCAATATCTCTGTCATCTCAGTTTTGATCGTTTTTTCTTATTTGAGGTGAGAGTCTCCTGGTTTTTGGAATAGAAAGTGGTGTTTCCCTGTACCTTTGTCATTTTAGGCATTATGCTATGAGACCCTACTTCTTATTTACATTTTCTGGCCTCCTTCTTCCACGGAGGAATGAAAGTCCCTGCTCCCCCACTCACCTCATTTGCTGTCACCCCAGCAGGGGACGGCTTCTAGCCTGGATGAAAGTCTCAGCTCCCACTTGGCCTTTGCTGAAGATGTTGGGGGTGGAGGCCACATTTTTTGTGTGTGTTTGACTGGAGTCAGGTGATTATCTTCTAAAAGTTTTCTCTCCACTAGGCTGCCTCTCTTCTGGTCCTTTGGCTAGAGAGAACAGGCTTTTGTTGGGGCTCTCTTTGGTCTGTGCTTCCTGGCTTTTTGGGTTGCTGGCAATGCCAACATCATCCAGGGTATATTAGGCAAACAAACAATCCTGGGACATTCGCCTCTGAGGTCCTTAGCCAGGCTGCTTTCTTCTTCCCCCTCCAGGGTCTTCTCAGGTTGTTTTGTGTATAATGCCCAGAATTTCTAGCTGTGCTTGGTGGGAGCCCTAGGAAGAAGCAGCTAGCTGGGAATATATTCCATGTGCCACACAACATCTTGCTTGCTGAGTCCCAGCCTTTCTGCATCATTAAATACTTTCCATGCCCCTTTGTCACTCTCCACCTTGACACATTCCCTTGCCTCATCATTCCTCAGAGGAGTTGACGTTGGGAGGCAGAGACAGGAAGATATGACTACAGTTTGTTTTTAAGAAGAAAAAATGGTACCAGTCCCCAAACACCTCAGCCTTTCAGAGCCTCCAAGTTTCCTGGGAGAAAAATCCCAGAACCACATGGGTGGGAGCTCCATGACATGCATTTGGTTTTGCTTCAGAATTCACTGGCCAAGGCACTGTGAAAATCCAAAAGTCATTGGCCTGCTCTAAGCCGTAGGGTGTGCAGAAACCTCTGAAGGCTTCATTAAGTCTTGAAGAAAATAGGCCAATGGAAAGGCCTGCATTGGCATCCTCAGACGAACCCTTGGCCTAGCTGGCTTTTCATAGGCAGGGGCCTTTGGACCAGCCAGTGCAGAGAAGCGGACGTGGCTGTGGACAAGTGTCTCCCAGCTTATCTTCTGGCCTCTGGCTGGCCCAGCTGGGCAGTCCACAGAGCAGGTCCTCAGGGTCTGCTCGAACCCCTCAGTGCTCCACTGCTTGTCTCAGCATGGCTCAGGGTAGGGAGGAGAGGGTTCGGTTTGATTTCAGTCTGTCTTGGGTGTAAACCCCATTGAAGCACTCAATAGCTAATGTAACTTTGGCCACATTCCCTAAACTTTCTAAATATCTGTTACTTCCTCTATAAAATGAGAATGACAGAAACTAATTCATGGGATTGTTGTAAGGAACAGAAACAAGTATGTGAAGTTTCTGGCACGTAATTTCCATTCATTCTGTCAGGCATTATCATCACAGTTAAAGAATTCCAGGGTAAATAAAAGGTCTCCAGTGTAAATATTGCAGACATCATGAGAAGTGTGTATATGTGTGTATGAATGGTTATATTTCTTTAGTTGGGGGCGCTGGAGTTCACCTTGCATGTTAACTCCATGGAGGTCCTACTTACTCTACCCCAGCTACTTATTTCACCCCCAGCTCCTGCCACGAAGCCTTGAGCCAGTTTATTGACAAGGTTATATTGTCCTTATTTTTTCCACATTACATATTTAAGATGCTTAAAATTTCCTATGCCAAAGGAACATTCTAATCTCACAGCTCATAGCCAACCCCTGAGACACAGGAACGTGTTAAAAGGACTTCTTCAAGCTAGGGGTAAGTTTGTGTAGTGCAGTTCTTAGCTAATCATGGATTAGAAAGTGTGAGGTGAGGATTAGCACATAAATAAAAGACTTCTTTGTCTTTATGCTCACTTTAATATCGCACTTTCCATTCACTTTTCTTAGGGGAGCTGTAGGGCTCCTGGACACAACCATTCAGACTACACGGTTAATCTGAGTTTCATTGTTCATAGCTCTTGGATTCCACGTCATTTGGCCCTAAGAGAATTGAAGAATTCAGGCATACCCACAAGTCTAGGGGTGGTAAATAGTCTCATCCCACACTCTCATTCCAATTGATTGGAATGGCTGCCTTGAGTTCACTGAGACAGATTCTGTGGCCCAGTCGAAGCCCAGCTCAGAAAGACAGTTGTGATGGATTAGCCATGTCTGCAAGGGACTAAAATATGGGAGACTGCTGTGTATGCTGGGTATTTGCCTGCTTACCCTGGAGCAGGAGTTGAAAAACTTTTCTATGAAAGGTAAAAATAGTAAAGTGAATTTTTTAGGCTTTATGAGCTAAATCCTTTCCCTATCACATCACCTTCTTCCTTCTCCTCCGCCTCTTCTTCCTCTTTTTATAACATAAATATTAGGGAATCAATGTCAGCAAGAAACAGATAAAATCACGGAGCAAGACTGAAAGAAATGTTGCCCTCACACACCAATACCATCCCATTCATGTAAGCCCATTTCTCTGTGTATGTATGTTGTGTCTCTCTTCCTTTGATGCAAAAAACAAGCACACACACAAAAAACAACTGCATACTCTTTCAGTCTTCTGGCTTTGGGCCTCCACAGTGGACCCTGGCTGATTTCTGGCTGCCTCTTGACATCTCCTTTGACATCTAACTTGCTTAAAACTTCCTGTGCCAAAGGAACTGCCATGAATGTTTGTGTGCAACAATTTGCTACAGGAGACATCATTTGAAAAGCTCCATTTGACTCAAAGATCGAGTTCTTCCAAAGAGAGGCTTGTCTTTCTGTTTTCTTTCCCCTCATCATTAACACGGCAAAAAAGACTCTATGGTTTGGGGGTAGCTCACAACTTATAATTCTCCATGGCTCTCATTTTTGAATAGCCATGATAAAAATTATATAACTGTGTAATTTATATCTTATGTAAATAATTTCTCAGCTGAGCAAATTACTGGATAGAAAGCAAACCCATTGTTTCCTCTCTGAGCTGCTCCCTATTCACCCTTAACCTGATTTGTGCTCAAACTCTGAGCTACAGAGAGAGATGTCTGGGTGAGTTACATCCAAGCAGTATGATTTACCCCCCCACCCCCAAAATTTCTGCCACAAATTGTAGGTGAAGCTTTTTTTGCATTTTCATGTTGAAGTATAAATAAGCCTTTCCAGTTTTTTAAAGTGAATTCTGGAAAGTAGAACTGAGCCGTGGAGGTCCTTGTATACTTGGTGAGGAGACTGAACTGTATCTAAGGGCAGTGGGAGCCCACAAGGATTTTTTTAAAAATAGCTTTCTTGAGATGTAATCAATGTACAATAATCTTCACATATTTAAAGTGATAATTGTGATAATCAATTCAAGACATAATTATACTTATGTTTTTACTTGTATGTCCTCAGAAAGCATCACCAATCAAGTGCACAAACACATCCATCACCCGCAGATGTTGGCTTCTGTCCCTCGGTAACCCTTTCTTTTTGCCCCTCCCCTCCCACAGCAACCACGGATCTGCTCCCCATCAATACAAATTAGTTTGCATTTTCTAAAGTTTTTCATGGATGGAATTATACAGTATGTATCCATTTTTTCTGGCTCCTTTCATTCAATATAATTACTTCGAGATTTATCTGTGTTGTAGCATGCTATCAGTATTTCATATTTTATTGCTGGGTAGTATTTCATTATATGAATACATCACAATTTATCTGTCTATTCACCTTTTGCTGGAAGTTTGTTTGCAGTTTTTGGCTTTTACAAATAGGCTGGGCATGGTGGTTCATGCCTGTAATCCCAGTACTTTGGGAGGCTGAGGTGGGTGGATCACTTGAGGTCAGGAGTTCGAGACCAGCCTGTCCAACATGGTGAAATCCCATCTCTACTAAAAATACAAAAATTAGCCAGGAGTGGTGGTGGGCGCTTGCAATCCCAGCTACTCAGGAGGCTTTGGCACAAGAATTACTTGAACCTAGGAGACGGAGGTTGCAGTAAGCTAAGATCACGCCACTGCACTCCAGCATGGGCGATAGAGCAAGACTCAGTCTCCAAAAAAATAAAAAATAAAAGAACAAAGTAAACCGCCATGAATGTTTGTGTACAAATCTTTGTATGGATATGTTCCCTCTTTTTTTTTTTTTTTTTTTTTGAGACAGGGTCTCACTCTGTCACCTAGGCTGGAGTGCAGTGGCACAATCTCAGCCCACTGCAGCCTCAACCTCCCAGGTGTAAGCAATCCTCCTGCCTCAGCTCCCCAAGTAGCTGAGACTACAGGTGGGCAACACCACACCCAGCTAATTTTTTTGTATTTTTGGTAGAGTAGGAGTTTTGCCATGTTGCCCAGGCTAGTCTTGAACTCCTGAGTTCAAGCTATCCTCCCACCTCAGCCTCCCAAAGTGCTGGGATTACAGGCATGAGCCACCGGGCCCTACCAGACATGATTCCTTTCTTTCCTCCTAAACACCTAAGGGGTTGAATGGCTGGATCATAAGGTAGGTATATATTTAAGTTTTTAGGCAACTGTCAAACTGTTTTCAGAAGTGGATCTGTGATTTGTCATTCTCCCCTAGATATGTGTAAGAATTGCCTTTCCTCCACATCCTCACCAACACTTGGTATGATCAGTCTTTCTAAAGTTTAGTCATTCTAATAGGTATGAAGTGGTATCTCATTGTGGTTTTAATCTCCATTTCCCTAATGACTAATGAGAATCTTTTCATGTGATTTTTCTGCCATTATATATTTTTTGGAATGAAGTCTCTGTTCAAATCTTTTGCTCATCTTTTAAAATTGGGCTGTTTTCTTATTACTGAGTTTCAACAGTTCTTTTTATATTCTGGGTACAAGTTCTTCACAGATACATGTTTTTGCAAAGATTTTCTCCTACTCTGTGGCTTATCTTTTAACTCTCTGAACAGTGTCTTATGAAGAGCAGAACTTCCAGCTCTCAGGGCCCATCTCACCACAGCTTTCAATTTGGGCTGAGTCCAATATATTAATTTTTTTTTCAATGAATTATACTTCTGGTGTGATATCAAAAAATATTGTTTAACCCAATGTCACAAAGATTTTTCTCTTGTGGCTTCTTCTAGAACTTCTATAGTTTTAATAGTTTCATATTTTGGTCTATAATCCATCATGAGTTCCTTTTTTTTTTTTTTTTTTTTTTTTGAGACGGAGTTTCGCTCTGTCGCCCAGGCTGGAGTGCAGTGGCGCGATCTCGACTCACTGCAAGCTCCGCCTCCCGGGTTCACGCCATTCTCCTGCCTCAGCCTCCCGTGTAGCTGGGACTACAGGCGCGTGCCACCATGCCCGGCTAATTTTTGTATTTTTAGTAGAGACGGGGTTTCACCGTGTTAGCCAGGATGGTCTCGATCTCCTGACCTCGTGATCCGCCCGTCTCGGCCTCCCAAAGTGCTGGGATTACAGGCGTGAGCCACCGCGCCCGGCCCATGAGTTCCTTTTAAATATGGCTTAGGAATATCACTTATCAAAGTTAATTTCTTATATAGTGTAAGGTATGGGTCAAAGCTTATTTCTTGACATACAACTATCTAGTGCCATTTGATGAAAAACTATCCTTTCTGCACTGAATTGCCTTTACATAATTGTCAAAAATCCATTTTCCATATGTGTAGGTACATTTATGTACCTTCTTTGCTGTTCCATTCATCTATTTGTCTGTCCTGATAACAATACCACATTGTCTTGATCAGAGGTCTGCAAATGACAGCCCTTAAGCCCACTGCCAGTTGTGTAAATAAAGTTTTATTGAGCCAGGCATGGTGGCTCATACCTGTAGTCCCAGCACATTGGGAGGCCGAGGTGAAAGGATGGCTTGAGCTCAGGAGTTCAAGACCAGCCTTGGCAACATGGGGAAATCCTGTCTCTACAAAAAATACAAAACTTAGGCATGAGGATGCATGCCTGAGGTGGGAGGGTCACCTGAGCTTAAGAAGTCGTGGCTGCGGTGAGCAGTGATTGCACCAGTTCACTCTATCCTGGGCAACAGAGTGAGACCCCATCTCAAAAAAGAAAGTTTTATTGAACAGAGACACACCTATTCAGTTATATACTGTCTGTGGCTGCTTGTGCACTACAATGGTGGAATCGAGTGGTTGTGACAGAAACCACAGGGCCTGCAATCCTAAGATATTTACTATTTGGCCCTTTCAGAAAATGTGTGCTGATCCCTGGTCTTGATTACTACGGCTTTATAAGTCTTGAAATCTGATAGTGTTAGTACTCTAAATTTATTCTTATTTTCCAAAGTTATTTTGGCTATTCTGGGTCCTTAGCATTTTCGTATGAATTTTAGAACCAGCCTGCCAATTTCTACAAAAATAGTCTGCTGGGTTTTTTGTTTTTGTTTTTTAAATTAAAAAAGTTTTTTTAGAGGCAAGGTCTCACTCTCATTCAGGCTGGAGTGCAGGGTATCATCATAGGTCACTGTAACCTCAATGTCCTGGGCTCAAGTGATCCTCCTGCCTCAGCCTCTCAAATAGCTGGGACTACAGGCACATACCACCTCACCCAGCTAATTTTATTTAATAGGTGGGGTCTCACTATGTTGCCCAGGCTGGTCTTGAACTCCTAGCCTCAAGCAATTGTCCCACCTCAACCTCCCAAAGTATTGAGTTTACAGGTATGAGCCATGGTGCTTGGCCTCTGCTGAGGTTTTGATTGGGACTGCATTGAATTCATAAATCAATTTGCAGGAGAATTGGCATCATAACAATACAGAGCTTTCCAATCAATGAATGAGTTATGACATCATTTATTTAGGTCTTTAATTTCTCTTGGCAATATTTTGTAGTCTTCAGTGCAGAGATTTTTACATGTCTTTTCATTTCAGTTTCTGATTGTTTATTGCTGACATATAGAAATGCAGTTGATTTGTGTATATTGATCTTGCACCCTGCAACCTTGCTCATTAGTTCTAGTAACTTTTCATAGATTTCATCAGATTTTCTACATAAACAATCATGTCAACGGCAAATAAAGAAATGGACACTTTTACTTCTTCCTTTCCAAAAGGGATGGCTTTGTTTTATTTTTGCCTTATTGCACTGGTTAGAACCTCCAGTTGAATAGATATGATGAGAGTAGATACCACTTTCTTGTTCCCGATTTTACGGTGAAAGCATCAGCCTTTCATGATGAAGTATGGTGTTTGCTATGGGATTTTTGTAGATGCCTTTTATCAGTTTGAGGAAGTTTTTTTGTATTCCTAATTTGCTGAAAATTTTTTATCAGAAAAAAATGGTAGTTTTTTTTTCAATACTTTCACTGCATCTGTTTAAATGACCATGTTTTTCTTTTTAAATTTGTTAATATGATGGATTACACTGGTTGATTCTGAATGTTAAATCAACCTTGAATTCCTAGGACAAACCCTACTTGCATTATCTGTTTTATATATTGTTGGATTCACTTTGCTAATTTTTTGTTTAAAATTTTTGTATATATACTTATGAAAGATACTGGTCTGTAACTTTCTTTCATTAGGAAAAATAAAATGGGCCGGATGCAGTGGCTCATGCCTGTAATCTCAGCACTTTGGGAGGCCGAGGCAGGCAACCACCTGAGGTCAGGAGATCGAGACCAGCCTGGCCAACACGGTGAAACCCCAATCTCCACTAAAAATACAAAATTAGCCGAGCATGATGGCACATGCCTGTAATCCCAGATATTTGGGAGGCTGATGCAGGAGAATCGCTTGAACCCAGGAGGCGGAGGTTGCAGTGAGCCGAGATCGTGCCATTGCAATCCAGCCTGGGCAACAAGGGCAAAATTCAGTCTCAAAAAAAAGAAAAAAGAAAAAGAAAAAAAGGAATGTAACATTATTTCATTTATTTGTTTTTGTTTTTGTTTTCTTTTATTGACTTATTTTTTGAGACAGGATCTCACTTTGTCACCCAAGCTGAAGTGCAGTGGTGCAATGTCAGCTTCCTGCAGCCTCGATCCCCCAGGTTCAAATCAGCCCCCAAGTAGCTGGGACTACAGGCACGTGCCACCACACCCAGCTAATTGTTTTTTTAATCAGGATAATGCTGGCCTTGTAGAAAGCATTGGTAGGTATTCCCTCTTCTTCAGTTTCTTGGAGTAGTTTATGAATTGGTATTATTTCTTCCGTAAATATTTGATAGAACTCACCAGTGAAACCACTTGGACCTAATGGGTATCCTGTGGGTAGATTTTTAACCAAAAATTCAAATTATTTTATAGATATAAGGTTATTCTGGTTATCTGTTTCTTCTTGGGTGAGCTGCGGTCATGTGTGTCTTTGAAGGAATTCATCCAGCTCACCTAAGCTGTTTAATTTATTGGCATAAAGTTGCTGATAATATACCCCTTTATCTTTTTAATATCTGTGGAAACTGCAATGATGGCACCTCACCTCTGTCATTCCTGATATCGGTAATAGGTATATTCTTTTATTCCTGATCAGTTCAGCTGGAAGTTTATCAATTTTATTGATTTTCTCAACAAACCATCTTTTGGTTTCCTTCATCTGCTTTTCATTTCATTGATTTTTGTTTTGGTCCTTACTATTACCTTTATTTTTTCTTTCTCTGGGTTTAATTTGTTCGTCTTTGTCTAGTTTTTTTGTTTGTTTGTGTTTGTTTTGTTTTGTTTTGTTTTGTTTTGAGACGGAGTCTCGCTCTGTCTCCCAGGCTGGCGTGCAGTGGCGCGATCTCGGCTCACTGCAAGCTCCGCCTCCCGGGTTCACGCCATTCTCCTGCCTCGGCCTCCCGAGTTTTTCTAGTTTTTTAAGACAAGAGCTGAGGTTATTGATTTGGTACCTTTCTTCTTTTCTAACATGAGTGTTTAGTGCTGTAAATTTCCCTCTCCATACTACTTTAGTGGAATCCCACAAACTTTGATATTTTGTTTTCATTTTCATTCAATTAAAAATACTTCCTAAAATTCCTTTTTATTTTTTCTTTGATCCATTAATTATATTATTTAGTTTCCAAACATTTGAGGATTGTCTATTTGGTTTCTAATTTAATTCTAACATACTCGTATACTATTAGCTTTCTAGGGTTGCTATGACAAATTACCACAAATGCAGTGACTTAAAACAACACAGATGTTTTACCTCACAGTTCTGTAACAGTTCAGCAGTCAGACACGGACGTCACTGGGCTAAAATTGAAGTGTCAGCAAGGCTGTGCTCCTTCTGGAGGATGAGGAGAATCTACATCCTTGCTCTTCCCAGCTTCTAGAGGCTGCCTGCATTTCTTGGCTCATGACCCTTTTCCCCGACCTTCAAAACCAGAAATATCAGGTTGAGTTCTTCTCATGCTACAGCTCTCTGCCATCCCCTCCTTCTTCCACTTATGAGTACCCTCGTAATTACATTGGGCCAGGATAATCTCCCCATCTCAAGATTAGTTGATTAGCAACCATAATTCTCCTTTTTCATGTAACCTAATATGTTCAAAGATTCCAGGGATTCGAACATGACATCTTTGGGAGGCCATTGTTCTGCCTACCACACATGACTTGAATCCTTTTAAATTTATTGAGACCAATGGCAAAAAACATGGTCTGTAAGTTGTATCAAGTTGGTTGTTAGTGTTCATTAGAATTTCATAACCCTACTGATTTTTTGGTCTACTTTTGCTATACATTATTGAGAGAGCAACATGGTGAAATCCCATCTCTACTAAAACTACAAAAATTAGCCAGGCTTGGTGGTGTACACCTGTAGTCCCAGCTGCTCGGGAGGCTGAGGCAGGAGAATCGCTTGAACTCAGGAGGCGGAGGTTGCAGTGAGCCGAGATCGCGCCACTGCACTATAGCCTGGTGACAGAGCGAGACTCCGTCTCAAAAAAAAATAAAAAAATAAAAAATAAAAAAACTCTGACAATAATTATGGATTTGTCTATTTCTCCTTGCAGTTTATCAGTTTTTGCTTCATGTGTTTTGTTCTCTTACGAGAAGCTCAAACATTTGGACTGTAATGTCTTCATGTTGAATTGACACCTTCATCATTATGAAGTGACCTTCTTTATCCATGGCAATGTTCTTTGCTCTGAAATCTATGATCCCTGATATTATAATCTAATGATCCCTGATATTATCATATAGCCACTCCAGGTTTCTTTAACCTAGTGTTAGTATGGCATACCTTTTTCCATCCTTTTACTTTTAACCTATTTGTGTTTTTAAGTTTAAAATGTTTTTATATGCAACATACATTTGTCTTCCTTTTTTACACAACCTGATCATGTCTGTCTTTTAATTGGAATGTTTAAACCACTTACGTTTAATGCTATTATTAATGTGTTTTGCTTACATGTAACATTTTATTATTTCTATTTGTCATAATATTTTTGTTCCTTTTGATTATTTTTCTGATTCTTTAATGTTAATTATTAATAAAATGATTTCATTTTATCTCTTTTGTTGGCTTAGTAGCAATAATTATCTGTATTTGTTATTTTTGTGGTTGTTTCAGGGCTTATAACATGCATTTTTAACTTAAAAAAATCTAGCTTCAAGGGACATTATACTACTTCACATATAGCATAAGAATCTTATGATAAAGTTATTTCTCTCCTCCCAGACTTTATGCTATTATTGGCATGTATTTTACTCCTACATATGTTATGAACCCTACAATACAGCTGGGCACGGTGGCTCACACCTGTAATCCCAGCACTTTGGGAGGCCGAGGTCGGCAGATCATGAGGTCAGGAGTTCAAGACCAGCCTAGCCAACATGGTGAAACTCTGTCTCTACTAAAAATACAAAAATTAGCTGGGTGTGGTGGTGGGTGCCGGTAATCTCAGCTACTCAGGAGGCTGAGGCAGGAGAATTGTTTGAACCCAGGAGACAGAGGTTGCAGTGAGCCAGGATCGCACCACTGTATTCCAGCCTAGGAGACAGAGTGAGACTCCATCTCAAAAATAAAGTAAAATAAAAATATCCTTTTGTTGGCTTTTTTTTCTCTTAAGAAATCTGCTGTAGCACTTACCCTTGTTCATATGTAGCATGACTTATTTCCCTGGTCACTTTTAAGATTTTCTTTTTATTAATGGTTTTGAACAATTTGATTATGATGCACTTTGGTGTGGCCTTATTCATATTTCTTGTGTTTGAGGTTCATTGAGATTCTTAGTTTGATGAGTTTATAGCTTTAATCAAAATTTCAAAATCTCTGGCTATTATATGTTCAAATATGTTTTTCATTCTCTTCTCCCCTCTCGGAAACTTCAGTTACACTTATATTAGACTACTTGAAGTTGTCCCACAAATCACTGATGTTCTTTTCAAAAAAAATTTTTTTTTTTTTTTTTTTTTTTCAGACAGGGTCTCACTCTGTTATCCAGGCTGGAGTGCAGTGGTGTGATCTCAGCTCACTGCAGACTCTGCCTCCCACATTCAAGCAATTCTTCCACCTCAACCACCCGAGTAGCTGGGAGTACAGGCGCGTGCCATCATGCCCGGCTAATTGTTGTATTTTTAGTAGAGACGGGGTTTCACCATGATGGCCAGGTTGGTCTCAAACTTCTGACCTCAAGTGATCCATCTGCCTCGGCCTCCCAAAGTGCTGGAATTACAGGCATGAGCCACTGCACCCGGCCGCTCTTTTCAGTTTTTTATTCTTTTTTCTCTGTGTTTCATTTTACATAATTTCTATTGCTATGTCTTCAAGTTTACTAATCCTTTTTTTCTGCAATGTCTGCTCTGTTGCCAGTTCTATCCACTGTATTGTTTATCTCAGACATTGCAATTTCATTTCTAGAAGCTCAGTTTAGGTCTCTTTATATCTTCCATATCTCTACTTAGCTTTTCAAACATATTGAAAACAGTTATAATAACTGTTTTGGGGGAGGTGGTGAGGGTGTTTTTTTTCTTTCTTTTTTTTTTTTTTTTTTGAGATAGAGTCTCACTCCGTTGGCCAGGCTGGAGTGCAGTAGCACAATGAGGGCTGACTACAGCCTCCACCTCCCAGGCCCAAGTGATCCCCTCACTTCAGCCTCCTGAGTAGCTGGGGACCACAGGCACACACCACCATGCCTGGCTAATTTTTCTATTTTTTGTAGAGATGGGGTTTCGCCATGTTGTCCAGGCTGGGATCAACCTCCTGGGCTTAAGCTATCTGCCCACCTCAGCCTCCCAAAATATATAATAACTGTTTCAATGTCTTTGACTGCTAATTCTAACATCTGTGTCAGTTTTAGGTTGATTTCAATTGATTAATATGTCCCTTCATTACGAGTTGTATTTTTCTGCTGCTTTGAATGTCTAGTAATCTTTGGTTGACTGCTAGACAATGCTAACTTTGCCTTGTTGGGTGCTGGATTTTTAGTATTCCTGTAAAGATTCTTGGGATGTATTCTGAGATGTAGTTTAGTTACTTGGGAACAGTTTGAATCTTTAAGGTCTTGCTTTCATGAGTTTTAGATGGAGTCCTGTCTAATTTAAAAGCTAATTGTTCCCCACTACTGAGGCAAGTCCCTCCTGAGTGTACCCAATGAGCTGTGAATTATGTTTTCCCACCTGCCTAATAGGTGCACGCATGATTCCTGACTTTGCATGCATGCTGGGCACTGTTAGCTCGAACTCTTTTCTATCCTTGGATAGTTTCTTCACTATCATTCATTTCTCTGGTTCATACTCCAGGAGGACCCTCTGCAGATCTCTGGGGTTCTGTTTCTGTGCAGCTCTCATCTCTCTGACACTCAGTCCTGTGAACTCTAGGGGTCTTAACCTCCCTGTACCCTCAGCCCCATCTCAACTCAGGGAGTCCCAGGGTCTCTCTAGGTCTCCTCTCTGCATCATGGCCTGGAAACTTGTAAGCTGGGGCAGTTGTAGGACTTTATTTGTTTCCCATTTCTCAGAGATCACTAAACTGCATTGCTTGATATTCATTGTCTTTAAAACTGTTGTTTCAAATACTGCCTTTTTAGGTAATTTGGTAAGTCTGGGCCCTGTTACTTTGCCTGGTCAGAAACAGAAGAAACTCCACATCTTCTTCTTGAGCAGAAGAATGGTGTGATAAATACGATCTTTGAAAAATTTCAGCTGGTGACTCTGTGTAGGATACCCAAAAAAGGAGCATAGAATAGAAAGGGAGAGAGGGGAACCTTCAGAATCATAAACTGTTGATGTTTTAAAGTCATTCTGCTCCCTCTGGGGTCCTCCCACCTATGCTTCTGAGGAGTCATGGCACACTTACTAAAAGCAAGTGGTTTCTGTGGTTTCGGTCTGCTCTGACTCTGGGCCCTTCACTCGGGTAAAACTCACCATGTATGACGAGGCCATACCCCAAAGAAGGACCCTATTGGTGAATGAAGGCTTAGTCCCTTCTGCCACCTCCCTACGCAGCATAGTCCTGCACCCACATCTTGGACCATATTCATCCTTTGTGGTGAGCGCCACTGTTGCCTCCACCAGGGAGCCCTCTGTGACCTACAGCTGCATGAGGAGCCCCTCCTCTCTGCCCCCACAGTTCCTGTGTCTCACTTGATCATGGCACTTATCACATATTATTGTATGATCATTATCTGTGAGCACGTCTGCGTCACCACCCAGACACAGAACTCTATGATAATGGTAACAGGGCTTCATGGCCTCCACCCCTGGCATGTAGCCAGCCCAGAAAAGGCAGCAGGAAGGATTTACTGGATGGCTTCGTAAAAGAATGGGTGAAGAAATCAACGAGGGAGCTTGGCCTCTGGGTCTCCTTGAAAACTCTTTTGCTCTACCCTCTGGCTCCATCAACTCCCGTGGCTCAGGGTAACTTACCTGACTGATCTAACCAAGCCCCTGGGACCTGATCCAGCCCCTAAGGTGGAAGGGAAAACCAAACAATCCCTAATTTCAGGAAGGTGACTGAGTCCTAGCTGACTTTCTCCCTGATAAGATCCTCCTGGAAAAGTTGAGGCAGAAATATCCTGGCTGTCGATTCTCTTCTTTCCCCTCCCCTTCCAAGCCTGAAGGTTCAATAATGATAGAAAAAAGGACATATGATTTGTTCCCATCTGAAACAAGAAGAGAGGAATAACTTCTGTGGCCACAGGCTTGTGTCTTCCCAGCCATGTGTTTTGTGGCCACTGTCTCATTCTGTCCCAGCACCCCAACAAGCAGGTAAGAATAAGAAAACCACAGCTCACAGCAGTCAAGTCACTTGCCAAGGGGCACATGGAAGTTCAGGAAGGGATGTCACTAGAACCCTCCAATCTGCAGCTCCAGGCTCCCGGCCTATGGGCCATGGACCTGGGGGTGTAGCAGTGTAGGGTGCATACCCAGGCTCTCCTTGTGGCAGGGGAACTGAGACTAATTGCAATTGGCCTATGAATCCATATTTGCTCCAGCAATTGTCTCTACTCTGAACAAATAACATCACACACATCTACTTGTTGCCATCTTTTTCCAACCAAAGTAGTCGAATGCTACTTAAGTACAAATACGTTTAAAAGTATAATTACATACATGCTTTTTTAAATTTCATTATAGATTCTATCAAATCACGTGTACAAAGAGCCCAGCTGCTGTCATGGCTCTTGACATTTTGTTGATGTTCTTAGTGGGGATTTACCTACTTAAATTTGGAATCTTCTGAGCTCCAGACCTGAGTGGTGCTCTGGGATTCGAGGTCTGGTTTTATTTAATCATGTCTGCAGCAGAAGTACGGGAAGTAAGAGGGAGTGCAGCCACTCCTGGGTTTGCCCTCTAGGATGGGGGCAGAGTGAGACACAAGGGCACGGGGTGGGTAAGAAGTGGGGAGCTGCCATCCCTTCCCTGGGGCTCAGACTGACTATGCAGGCACTGTCCCCTCCCCACCCCCAGGTTGTTCAGCTGCATCCTCAGCCCTGTCCATTCATGCATCAGGAAAACCACAGACTTGAGTCTCTTCCATTTTCTGGTGGTTTGGGTGCCTTGGCTAAGGGCCTATTCTCCCAGCTTTCTCCGTTTCACCAGGCTGTCATCGAACACCTGGGAAGCTGTCAGGATGCATCACACTTGATACTCTGACTCTTCCTGCAGAAATTCCTGACCCTGTGTCCAGGAGGTGAAGGGTTAAGAATGGATCAAGTCCAGGCCTGAAGAGACCATTCATAGACTGTCCCAGGAACCACATGGAGTCCTGTTGCCACTCCCTTCCTGATCTGGACCCTCTGGGGCACCAGGATCTACACTTAGGCCATAGGATATGGCAGTGGGGGAAGGGTTTGGGGTTCTGATAGAATCCTCACTGTGCTGAGGGGGATGTATCCCTTAACCTCACTGAACCTGTTTTTTTCATCTGTAAAATGGGGATAACAACATATCTACTTTAATGGGTCATGGTAAGGACTGAAGAAAAGCATGTCAAGTGCCTGGCTCTACGTCTGCCGTGTGACTGCCTCTTATCTGATGTCTGTTTGCTGTGTCTTCCTTTGCAGAATGTATCCTGAACTTGTGTTGATGTACTGGGTCCACTCAGCCAATCGTCTGCTAGTGAAGGGAGGGACACGAAAGGGGAGCAGGGAGATAGAGGTGGCTGCTGAGTGGGAAATGAGGATGACTGTGATTGTGTATGCAAGTGTGCATGCATGCACATTACATGTGTGCACGGAGGAACCAGGCCGACAGGATACGAATCAAAGGGCTCAAGAGACTTTTTGCTTCATTTAATGCCTCAGATTCCACGTTGCTACATAAGCCTCCTAGAACCTAAACACAGCCCTAGAAAAAGACAATTATCCTAAACTAACTGTGATCCATTACGCCTTTCGTCTCCCAGTGAATTGAGTCTCAAAGTAGAAATCAATGTGAATTATAGAAAATTCAAGTTCTTTTTTTTTTTTTGAGACAGAGTCTCGCTCTGTCACCCAGGCTGGAGTGCAGTGGCGCAAACTCGGCTCACTGCAACCTCCGCCTCCCGGGTTTAAGCGATTCTCCCACCTCAGCCTCCTGAATAGCTGGGATTACAGGCATGCACCACCATGCCCGGCTAATATTTGTATTTTTAGTAGAGATGAGGTTTCGCCATGTTGGCCAGGCTGGTCACGAACTCCTGACCTCAGGTGATTCACCCACCTCGGCCTCCCAAAGTGTTGGGATTACAGGCATGAGCCACCACGCCCGGCCAACCTGAAGCTCTATTTTTTACGAATCTGGGATTGAGGATATGAACTCCATGCCTGTCCCATTTTCTTACTCAGCTATGGGCTGTATCTTGCACTTGACCCTAAGTTCACTAAGTGTGGCAAAGTTGTTCCCTTTATAAGCACTGTATTTCCACCACAAGCACCATGTCTGACACATACTATGCACTCAGTAAATATTTTCGGGGGTGGCTACACAAGATGGATGAGCAGCGGTGAGCTCCCCTGACTCACCCACTATAAGCCCACCACCCCAAAAATGGTCTCCTGTCCCTTGGCACAAGTATTCCTTCCTTCAGCACGTGAGACAGACATGCCCTAACCCCCACCCGACCCGCTTTCTGGGAAGCCGACACAGGGGCTTGGCCCCGGCCACGGTGCCTGAGGCCTCTGAGAGGCAGGTAATGGCTTGGGCTAAGCTGGTCTCTTTGTTCCCAGCATCAAGGCAGGCTGAGCAGATGCTTGGCAGTTACCACCGCCAGACTGGGCCTGCCAGAACAGGGGGTGAGGCCCAGCCAGGGAATGTGTCAGGAGAGATTCCAGGGCCGGGGGAACACAAAGAGGGCACTCTCAGGGCTCCGGGGAGCCTGCCCGGCCTCCGGGTCTGCCAGTGTCAGGCTGTGCTGCCCATTGAGGCAAGAGCTCCTACCAAGGGCAGGGAAGTGACAGAAGGAGGCTAAGTTGGCCCCAGTGCAGCCCCAGAAATGAGCAAAGAGGTCATAAAAGCAGACAGCACTTATACAAGGCTGGGTGGTGGAGTGGCGAGTGTGAAACTTGAGGCAAATGTCTTCAGCTCTCTGAGACTCCGTCTCTTTGATGCCAAAACCATGTTGCGAACCACGTTCCTACATTGCCAGCGGGCTCTATAGTAGTCTTAGCCAATAGGGGATGCTAACGGGAAGCTCAGTGCTGGGCCTGGAAGACGGGGTTTGGTCCTGCCAGTCTCCTTTCAGCTCAGGTGATTGTAGCTCCAGCCACACTCCTTCCCCTCGGCAGCAGCAGGTCCCTCCCGTAGCAGCAGCTGAATCTAGTCTGCAGTTTCCCAACCTTCACAGAACCAGCCTCATGGTGCTGCATCTCAGAGACACCAGCCCCAGAGCAGCGGAGCAGGAGAGTCTCCTTCTCCTACCCCCAGAGGTCTGAGTTTTGGCTCGAAGGGGGCTTCTCCTCCAAGCTCTTAAATTCTAACAGTTCTAATCTCTTCCCTAGTCCCCCAGCCTTGGGGGGTGGGAGCTGCTTCTAGCAGTTATTACCTCCACAACAACTCAGTTTTCTTTTCCTTTCTTTTTTTTTTCTTTCTTTTTTTGAGATGAAGTCTCGCTCTTGTCGCCCCAGGCTGGAGTGCGATGGCGCGACCTTGGCTCACTGCAACCTCCGCCTCCCGGGTACAAGTGATTCTCCTGCCTCAGCCTCCTGAGCAGCTGGGATTACAGGCATGTGCCACCACACCCGGCTAATTTTTGTATTTTTAGTAGAGACAGGGTTTCACCACATTGGCCAGGCTGGTCTCGAACTCCTGACCTCAGGTGATCCGCCCGCCTCGGCCTCCCGGAGTGCTGGGATTACAGGCTCGAGCCACTGCGCCCGGCCAACAACTCAGTTTTCTTTTTGCCTTTTCAGTTACCTAATTACCAACTTTATGCCTGGCTAATGCTATTTATATTAATGCTCTTTGTAAAAATAATGGGTGTGTTTTCTGTCTCCTGACTGGGTCCTGTCCGATCTTTCAGGCTAACAACATGTGCTTCTTACTGTTTTCTGAGGATGAAATTGTATGGTACCTGGCATGTCCAAAGCCTTCAATTTGTGTTCATCCTTTGCCTTCCCTCTGGAATACCCTTAGACTCCTATGGTACCAGCTTTTCCAAAAATCTCACATTTTTCCTACTGAGATGTTTAAGAGCACACATTTAGAGACAAAGCTGTGTTTGAATCCCAGTTTGGCTACTTAATAGCTGTACAGCCTTGCACAACTTGCTTCACCTCTTGAAGCCTCATCTATCAAGTGGAAATAATAACAGCACCTACTTCCCAGGGTTGCTGCAAGGATTACACGAGATAATATAGACAGACAGCATCTAGCAGCACTCAGAAAATATAGCTATTAACTCTTATTTGCTTATTATTTCATGGATACATCAGTGAAATCTTATAAAGTAAATCATGACTTACTTGAGAGTAAAGTTGTCACTCTTGCCTCAGAAGAAGGAAAAGGAAAAAAAAAGAAAGTGGCTGGGAGCAATGGCTCACGCCTGTAATCCCAGCACTTTGGGAGGCCGAGGTGGGTGGATCACCTGAGGTCAGGAGTTCGAGACCAGCCTGGCCAATGTGGTGAAACCCCATCTCTACTAAAAAATACAAAAATTAGCCAGGTATGGTAGCACTCGCCTGTAGTCACAGCTACTTGAGAGGCTGAGGCAGGATAATCTCTGGAATCCAGGAGGCAGAGGTTATACTGAGCCAAGATCATGCCACTACACTCCAGCCTGAGCAACAGAGCCAGACTCCATCTCAAAAAAAAAAAGAAAGAAAAGAAAAGGAAAGAAAGTGAAGTCTGTCATTTAGTTTTCTATAATCCCACAACCAACTTTAAGCCTCAACACCACCTAGTACAATGCTAGGCATCTCTTTCAAGCTTAATAACATTACTGGCTCCAAGGTGGGGAAAGTCCAAAGCTTGTCTTAGAGCTGCAGAGACTTTAGAGGTGATTAGTCTAACCCCACTGCTGTTGTGTCATCCTTAGGGTGTACCCATCAAGCATATGTACAGCCTCTAAGTGGAGGAAAAGTTTCTTCTTCAAGTAAAATGAATATGTGTCCCCCAGTGGTGTCCACCCATGGTTGAGGCTCTACTCTTTGGAGCCACACAGGCAAGGCTATTTGCTTTTCTCATTATCAAATATTCGAAGGTGATGGTCATTGTCACGCGTGTCCATGTGAAGAGACCACCAAACAGGCTTTGTGTGAGCAACAAGACTGTTTATTTCACCTGGGTGCAGGCGGGCTGAGTCAGAAAAGAGAGTCAGCAAACTGTGGTGGGATTATCATTAGTTCTTATAGGTTTGGGATAGGCGTACAAAATACATTCTTAAGGGCAGGGGAGAATATTACAATGTACCTTCTTAAGGGTGGGGGAGACTATCGTATCAGTTAGGGTGGGGCGGGAACAAATCGCAATGGTGGAATGTCATCAGTTAAGGCTATTTTTACTTCTTTTGTGGATCTTCAGTTGCTTCAGGCCATCTGGATGTATACATGCAGGTCACAGGGGATATGATGGCTTAGCTTGGGCTCAGAGGCCTGACAATCATATTGCCCCCTGAGATGTTCCAGTAGTTCCCTAGTAGTTTCTTACTAAAGCAGCAAGATTTCAAAAGGCCTCGACTTCCTAAACACACTTCACAAATGAGTGTCTGTTAAAATCATGGTGCTCAGAGCAAAATGCAGAGCTGTGCAGCACCCAAGGGCTGATGAGAGAAGAGTGGGTAGGATCATCACCTGCCATGGTTTAAATGCACTGCTGTCTTTGATGTGGGCTGAAATGACAGTCTTGTGACCTCTTTATATGGCAGCCATGCCCCCACTCCTTTTGTGATAGTCAATTAAACCTCTGTATCAGTCCAAGTTCTGACTTGTGAGCAGTAGAAAATATCTCTAGCTGAATTATGAAAAAAAAAAGTAAATGTACATTGGATTTCTGGTAAGATGATGGTGGAGTTTTAAATATTCTCAGATTATCCCATATAAACAAACAGAGTAACTAAGATAGCAAAACTAAAGACCGATGGACAACATCTACCACAAAACTAGGTAATACGGTTTCCCCAAGACTCTCCTAAAAGTGGGTGGGAACAAACCATTGGCAGCTAAAGGACCGCGTGGTCTTACGTCTGTGCAGTCAGAAGGTGCCTGGGCTTCTGATGACTGCAAGTGAAGTGGCTATAGTGTCCGGGGTATATACCCTGGGGTTCGTTGTTCCTGGCAGGAAAATTTAGGACACAGACACAAGAGGAGTTTAGGAGTGGAGGTCTAATAGGCAGAAGAGAAGAGAAAGAAAAACAGCCCTCTCTCTAGAGAGAGAGGGGTCTTCTGAGAAGAAAAGACCGGCTGATTGTGGATGCCCGGATTTTATAGCCCAGCTTGAGGAGGCAGTGTCCGATTTATGCAGGACTCACAGATTCGTTTGATCAGGTATGATGTTTATATAGCGCTGGAAGGCTAGTCACACACCCTGATCTTATTAGGCAAATGATCATGCCAGCATTTGCCTAATAAGCAATTGGCCAGCGACATGTTGTCTCTTCTTGGCCAGCGCCATGTTGTCTGCTCCTTACTGTACAAGTGGCTGGCAGAGAAGGGAGGATGGAGCCGCCATCTTGAACATGTCTAGTGCGGAGTTCCTGCCAGCATTCACCCGTGCAAGCTCCCAGCTTGCTTGTCTATGTCTGCGGCTCGACTTTGCAGGCTGCCCTTTGTTAGAAAATGATTTGGGCTGCTTTTCATTAAAGAGAAAAGCCTTACCGAGGACTCTCATGCCTTTCTATCTGCCTAAGTGATTGCTTCTTAACTCCTACATCCCAAGGATAGAACAACCCCAAAGTCACCAGTATGAACCAACTGGAATGCACCGTGGGCCAATCTGAGAAGAACAATAAAAACTGGGAAGGTTTTAAGAGATCCAGTACGTGGGTGAATGCAATGGGGCCATGATATGGTGGATCTGATGGTGCTGGAGTAGCGTGGGCCTTATAACCCCATGAAATGAACAAATCAAATCTCTTTCCCCAGACAAAGATCCACATTGAGAAGAAACAGATGGGAACAGAATCCAAACTGAGTAGGACAGGGACAATAGAAGCAATGAGAAAAGAAAGTTTGGATTAAAGTAGAGGAGGGGCGCAAAGTAGGCAGAGCTCAGAAAATAGGAGGCCACATTTTAAATTACTTTGTGAAGCCGGGCGCAGTGGCTCACGCCTGTAATCACAAAACTTTGGGAGGCTGAGGCAGGTGGATCACCTGAGGTCAGGAGTTGAAGACCAGCCTGATCAACATGGTGAAACCCCGTCCTGAACACTTGAACCCGGAAAGTGGAGGTTGCAGTGAGCCAAAATTGCGCCACTGCACTCCAGCCTGGGCTAGAGAGCGAGACTCAGTCTCAAAAATAAATAAGTAAGTAAATAAATAAATGTGTTAGAAAAACCTAAGAGGGAGCTTTGGCACGAAGCTTAAAAAGCTATCCTAGCACGCCTTTCCATCCTAGAAACAAAGAAAATTCATTGCATATGCAAAGTGAGCAACAGAAAATAATCACAGTCAAACGCCATAGGAAGTTTATCCTGAGGAAATAAAAGAATAGGGAGTACTATAGGAATATATAAGAATAAAACAATAGGCTGGGCACGGTGGCTCACACCTGTAATCCCAGCACTTTAGGAGGCAGAAGTGAGCAGGTCACTTGAGGTCAGGAGTTTGAGGCCAGCCTGGACAACATGGTGAAACCCACTCTCTACTTAAAATACAAAAATTAGCCCAGCGTGGTAGCACATGCCTGTAATCCCAGCTACTCGGGAGGCTGAGACAGGAGAATCACTTGAACCCAGGAGGCAGAGGTTGCAGTGAGCTGAGATTGCACCGCTGCACTGCAGCCTGGGCAACAGAGGGAGACTCCATCTCAAAAAATAAAATAAAATAAGAAGGACAATAAATATACCCAACATTGAAATACACAAGGCAACGAAACACATATGAAAGACATGTATGAAAGACATAAAAATTATCTAATTTTAAAAACAAGTAAAATATGTTATGAAAATGACAAAAATTATTAAAGAACAATATAAATTAAAACTTTAAAACCTTATAAATGAGGTGATTGGCGAATAGGAAGATTTGAGATGGGCAGAACTCAGGATATAATTAGAAAAAAGAGACTTTTTTAAAAATGAAGATTACATTAGAAGAAAACAAGAAAGAACAAGTACAGTGATGCCTTCAGATAAATAGAATGTAGAGAGGAAAATGTTTTTTAATATTTTAAAAGAGATACAAAGGATTCAAAGAAAGTAACTGATTGGCAATGAAGATTTAACATATGTAATAAGAGGCTCTCAAGAAGAACATGAGGAATGGAAGACAGCAAACACTAAAATCTGTAATTCAAGAAAATGTTCCTGAAATAAAATATTTTATAACTACATAGTGAAACAGCATTATCACATACCTAGGAAAAGTAAAATATATGGCCAATATCAAGATATATTCTAGTAAAATTATTGGACTTTATGAAAAAATTATTTTAGGCATCTCCACTAAAAGTTCAAATTGCTTAACTTGTCTACAGGGACATAAAGTAGAATAGTGGTTACCAGGGACTGGGAGTGGGAAATGGGGAGTGACCACTCAATGGGTACAGAGTTTTTTCTTGTAGTATGATGAAAATGTTCTTGAACATGATGATGGTCGTACATCACTGTGAATGTATTAAATACCACTGAATTGTACCCTTTACATAGTTAAAATGATGAATTTTGTGTTGTGTATATTTTGCCATAAAAAAGCAAGACCCAACTATAGCCTGTTGACCAGAATTGCACTCTAAATATAAAGACACAAATAAGTCAGAAGCAAAAGGATGAAAGAAGATATACCATGCTAACACAATCAAAAGAATACTAGAATGATCTATGAATATCAGAAAAAAATGGATTTCAAAGCAAATCATATTACTAAGGATGAAGAAGGCCATTATTTAAATGATAAAGGGCCCACTACTTCCAGATTACATTATCATTTTAAATATGCACCTAATAACAGAGCTTGAAAAAAACATAAATGAAAAACTGGTAGAACTTAAAGAATAGACCAATTCACAATTATCATTAGATATTTCAATATCTCTCTCTCAATAATTCATAGAACAAGTAGACAGGAAATCAGTAACTATACAGTGACTTGAACAACACTAGCAACTACACTAATTGAACGTTCCACCCAACAATGGCAACAAGAAAATATAATTTTTTCAAGTCCCCAAGAATCATTTACCAAAACAGACAATACTGTAATCCATAAAAGAAGTATCAATACATTTAAAAGTTTTCAAATCACACAAGGTATGTTTTCTGATCATAATGATATTAAATTAGGAATCTGTAATAGAAAATTTTCTGGAAAATACTCAAACATTTGGAAACCAAACAACACACTTCTAAATAACTCATGGGAAAGGGAGAGACCACAGATCAAATTAGGAAGTATTTTTAACTGAATGAAAGCATAGAGTATTAAAATTTGTGGGATGCGGCTAAAGTAAATAAAGTATATTCCCTTCACCTTGCCCACAGGGAGACTGAGTGATTTTATCACACATGCTAGTGAAGTTCAGCTATGCTTTGTCTTTTGTGTTTCTTTGCTTGCCAAAATACTTAAAGCCTCACCTGAGAAAGACAGGCTGGCAGAGGAAATTAAGAAGGAATGTCAGAGAATTCCTTCTTAGCTATTTCTCTTTTCTCTTCATCTAGGTATAAACCTGGACATCAGAACAGAAAAATTACCAGAACAAAGGCAAGGCCATAAATCAGGGGTGAACAAGTAGAAGAAATAAGTGGATGAGTAAGAGAATGAATGAACAATGAGTCTGGGCTGGGCTATGATCCCAACACTTTGGGAGGCCGAGGAGGGAGGATTGCTTGAGGCCAGGAGTTTGAGACTAGCCTGGGCAACACAGCAAAAGTGGCTCTACATAAATCTTAAAAGATAAAAGAAAAGAAAAAAGGGGGAAAAATTAGTCTGAACACTGCAAAATTGCCCCTAGGCCAGGTACATGGTGATGTTGGCTGTATCCTGGCGTAGTGACAATTTCTGTTGCTGTAGACATCCCAGGAAATTTTCTCCTCCTCTGCTCTTCAGGAAGTTTGACCACTCCACCACACGTGGGGACATTTCCAATGTCAAAAATTATAACCAACCATAAAACCTTTTTTAATCCAAGCAACAACCATCTCTGTTGTCTAAACATGCCAAGAGGGAAAACGATTTTGCCCAGGGACCATGGCTGTAAAACCCAGGGCCACACCCAGCTCTACCCAGTTCTGTTGCCTGCCCCAGCTCCCATGAAGTCCTTCAGCCTCCCCTGAACTAAGGCTTTGCAAGAGTGACTCAGATTCCCATCACTTGCCTCAAACCATCAGTGCTGAAAGATTGAAGTCCTCACCCTTGAACCCAACTGTGCCAAACTGCAAGAAATTATTTACCTACCCACTGCTGGGGAAATCCAAAAACAGCACGTTTCCTCACCTGCCATGTGCCACGTGCCGATGCTTTCTTTTTGCCCCAAACAAATGGGTGGAAGTCCAAACATAAGGAACAGCCATCTTCTGAATTAAGTAACTCAAGCTCCAAAGGGGTGTCCACCGCTGCAGCTCCATCTGACCCCTACACTGCCTCTGGTCACACCTTACACTCTGCAAGGCCTCCTACCTGTCTCTGAGTGTCCCCAGGATGCACAAGGCTTAACAATCCTGGACTCTGGCAGGCACCTGTTCCCCAACTCTGCCTCGTTTCTTAAAGATTTATTTCATATCTTCTTTACTTTTGCGGGTGTTTGAACATGTCCATTTAAAAGTGTGGTTTTTTAAAATTTCAGTCTAAGCACCTCCTCTTCCAGGAAGGCTTCCTGGACTTTCCTGGCCAATTCAGGTATTCCCTCCTCTGGGTTTCCTGAACAAGGAGTTTGTCTCTATCAAGGTAGCACAAAGCAGTGGTTAGGGCAATGGATTTGGGGGTCAGACACATCTGGGTTCAAACCTTGGCTCCACTATTTACTTGCTATTTGAACTTGGGCAGGCCCCTAAGCCTCAAATTCTACTTTTATACAATCAGGTTGATAATAACACCTACCTTCGAAGAGCTTTGTGACAATTCAATGAGAGAAGACATTTAGAGCACTTGTATGATACCTGGCTTAAGGGATAGGCTGAACAACAGAGTATATGCATTCCTAAATAATTATTTAAACACAGATGACTCTGTAATGACAGTAAATACCTACCTGTCTCCCCATTGTACCACGGGCTCAATTTTATCCCCAACTCCTGCCAGAGGCTGGGAACATACAAGGGAACTGAATTTCTACAGAATCTTCCTCCTCCAACAAGCCATCCCGTCAGCAAACATCCTTTTTGGAAAGTCCAGGCAGCATGAAACCTACTGACCCTGCAGAATTAGAATCTAATTAGTAAATATGTATTAAGTAACTGTATTAAGTAACTACAACGTACTAGGTGCTGTGAGGGTACAAAGATGAAAATACAAAGTCTTGTTCCTCAAAGAGCTCGTGTTTTGTTTCAGGAGAGGCAATATAAGCCTTTGGAAACTTCCATCAACAACTAAGATTTAAATAGCAAAGATGGCGAAGTGCAAATCTAACAATAAGAAAAATAGAATTAATTACCAGGCACCCTGCCTCTGCCCACCATAGGCCCTCAGACCCCCATCCTGGAGCCTCACCCCTGCCCCCATCCCAGTCCTCATTCCCAGACCAGTCCCAGCATGAGAGCTGGTTTACGAGCAGCCTAAATTCTGTTCTCTCTTCCCCACCAACCCCACCACCATCACAATACTCATGTCTACTTTCTTAAGTCAAGATCCTAGGAAGTAGGTGCCCATTTTATAGATGAGAAAACCAAGGCTCATGGAGAGTAAATAACTACTCAGAGCCCCAGTTTAGTAAATGATAGAACCTGGATCCTATCGCAGATGTGTTTGGCAGCCGAGTCCAAGCATCCCTCACCAGATGGCCTGCACCAGGAGGCACTTACTGGGTGATACACCACAGTGTAAGGCAGCATTTCTGCCCCCAGGGGGTGAAGTCCAGTGGGGAAGATTATTTGCTCACCTGGAACAGCTGGTGTTATGCAAAGGCAAACGTGCATGTTGGGTGTGCAAGCAACAGAAACCCAACGCTGGTGACTGAGGAGCTGAGAATTGACAGGAAGGTGGGAGAACGGGCTTAGGAAGTGGGCAGCCACCAAGGGAGGCCCAGGGGCAAAAGCTTGGCCATGGTCCCACCTGGAGGCCTGTGGGGAAGGCCCACCAGAAGCTCATGCTCCCGCCGTAGAGGGACACCAGGGCCACTGCTGCCACCTGTGGACACTGCTGCCACCTGTGGACACTGCCACAGGAAATGGCATCTCATTTTCCCTCCACTTAATGTCACCCACCTAAGTCTGAGTCCTGGATGGAAGTGTCCTTTTAGCCACATCTGGGTCCATTTGCCCAGGAACAAGGTGAGAGAATGCCTGCCCCTTCAGCTTCCACAGTGGGTGGCTTATCTCCTGCCAATACTCACATCATAGGGCCTTATTCTCAAATAAGAAGGGGGCAAACATACTGGGTAGCCCCCTCTCCATCCAATAGCAAATGTCCCCTGCCATGATTAAGAGCTAAAAAGAATGGAATAGGTGACATGGGATCTAGAAGCTTGGAGGAGGGGCCACAAGGAGGACTTGAAGAATTTAAGAGAGGTCCATGGAAGAGGTGGGTGTGCTGACTTTGGCCTTTAAGCACAGAGAGGATGTGGCCCCGGCTCTGTCCACGATGCTTGGCCTGACCTGGTCAGGCACTGTGCAAGGGGTCCTCTGAGCTCATTCAGTGCCTGGACCATGGCAGCCACATTATAATTCTCACGGCCATGGCACCGTGCTAAGACCCAGGCATGCAGCTGCAACTTTCCCAACAGTCCTGCAGGCTAACTTCTCTGACCCATAGCTGAGAGAGGTGATAGGCCTTGATGGAAAAGGCCAGCGCGTGAGCCCAGGCCTGTCCGACTGGGAAGCCCACGCTCCTTGCCCTAAGCTGGATGCCTCCCGTTGCAATTAGATAAGGAGCCGTAACACTGTGTGTTTTACTCCTGCTGGCTGCTTTTCCCAGGAATCTTTGTAACCTTCAGGCCAACCCTATGAGATAGCGAGAGCTGCAGATGTTCACCCCTCTTGAGTAGTCGAGGAACCCAAGGCCAAGGTCACCCAGCTTTCAGGGACTGGAGTCCACATAGGCCTGGTGCCTGCTCTTCGCCCGGATCCAGCCAGGCAGCTGTCTTCAACTCATGACCCTGCAGCGGGAGGTTGTGGGGTGGAGCAATTTGAGGAACAGATCCCATTAAGCTGTGTCCATCCACATGATGTAAACCCACACCTAGCCATCCCTTGGAACACAGTGGCCAAAAGTGCAGAGGGAACATTTGTCTAGGAGAACAATGGGTATTGATTCCTCTGGCAGCTGCAGCTGGCAGGCTCTGTAGGTGGTTTGGTCTGGGGTTTGGGGTGGTGTTTATTTGGATGCCGTAGCCTGGTTACTCATCATTCTTGCTCTCCCTGGGCCCCTGGGCTGTCTGAGGACTCAGTGGGAACAGTTCAACAGCCCAGGGCATGTGCTGTGTCACTGTCCCCTGCTCTTCCTGAGAGTGACTGGCACTATGTCCTGGCTTGGGCTGGGCTATCCTGGGATGGGGGCCTGGACACTCTGGGCTTGGACTGGCAGCCCTGCAGCCAACCTTCTTTATATGGGGCACACATGCTCCTGAGAACTTGCTAGACAGGACCGTGTCCGTGCTCCATTTCCTGGCCACCTGCACATCAGTCCAAATACTGTTTCTCCAACACACACACACACACATAGGCAGACAGGCCGCTGCCTACCTCTCACCACCACAGTCACTTCAGTGGCCTGGGAGGAAGGTGACCTCGAGCAGGTCCTGGTTCAGACACCAGTGCATGGCCTGTCAGAGCCTCTCAGGCCTCAGTGCCCCCAGCTGCAAGATGCGGCTCCACAGCAAGCCCTCTGTGCCTCACCTGCATCCTGCTCCAGGCGCCTCTGTCTGCAGACAGCTCTGTGCGCGTGCCCGTGGAGCACGCCCTGCCTGGGCACCACACATCACCACCAGAGAGGCAGGAGGCAGGAGCACCGGGACAAAGTCTCCTCCCACCTCCCCCAGGATGAGTTTGTGCAGCTTCTGGGAACTGGGGCCCAGGGCTCTCCACCAGTGCTATCTGCCATCAGTCCTCCTTTCTCCAGCTTCACTCTCCTGTCCATCGCTCCATCCCCCGGGGTCACACGCCCTTAAGTTTCCATACAGAAGCCAAAAGCCTCAGGCTCCCTGAATTTTGGGTGAGCCCAGGTAAAGACAATGGATGTGAGAACTTCTCAGGCCTCTATTCTGTGACATATGAAGGTATGAAGGGCATTTATTTATTTATTTATTTATTTATTTATTTATTTATTTAGAGATAGAGTCTCTGTCACCCAGCCTGGTGTGCAGTGGCGTGATCTCAGCTCACTGCAACCTCTGCCTCCTGGGTTCAAGCAATTCTCCTGCCTCAGCCTCCCAAGTAGCTAGGACTATGGGTGTGTGCCACCACACCAGACTAATTTTTGTATTTTTAGTAGAGAAGGGTTTTCACCATGTTGGCCAGGCTGGTCTCAAGCTCCTGGTCTCAAGTGATCTGTCTGCCTCGGCCTCCCAAGGTGCTGGAACTACAGGGGTGAGCCACTGTGCCTGGCAATACGAAGGACATTCTTAAAAAAAAAAAAATTGAAGTCCTGGGCCATTTTCATCTCACACCCAGCTGGCATCTCTGCCTCCTTTACTCCTTGGATAACTAACCCTTAATTCCGTCCTCTGTAAAATGAGGCTGACCCCTTGAGGAACTTCTCCAAGGATTGAATGGAGTAAGTCCATAATGTGCTCTGCACAAGGCCTGGTACCCAGAAGGTGCTCAATAATTTTAACAACCAGCACAGAGGCCTGAATGGGGTGCGGGGGGCAGTGGCTGGAATCAGAACACCTGGCAGTTTGCAGCTGTCCCTCAAGAGGCGCTGGCATCCCGGCTGGCGATGGCACTGGATGGAGCCACATTTACCCAGAATCTGTCTGTCCTCCACGAGCCCCGAGATCCAGCCTTTGCAGGCTGGGTGATGCACACCCTGGGTCCTGAGCCCAGAATTGGGGCCAAGATTCCGGGAGGCGCTCAAGATCAACAAGCTTCGGGTTTCCTGGTTGAGGTCCTGCACGTACAACATGTTCCCTCTTTCCAGAAGTGGCGAGGGTGCAGCCCAGAGGACCGCCCTCGAGCTTCTCTGACACCCTGACTGCCCCCAACCCCGAGCCCTCTGCCCTCAATTTCCCCCTGAGCTGCCTCATCCCATCCACCTGAACAAACGCATGTGGCTCAGAGGCACTCATCGATGCAGCAGGTTTCACCTTAGCCTGAAGATCTGCGGCGCCTCCGCCCCACACCCAGGGCTGGCATTTCATTCTGGGTGTCACATGGCCCCCAGGGCCTTTATGACTGCAGGGCCACTGACAGCATCTTCATTCATCTCCAGCTGCTCTGGGGGCCCAGGCAGGGCGGGAATCCATAGTAGGGTGAGAGGCTGGCCACAGCCTGCTCCCCTGCCATGCACTAGCACTGTCCCTGGCCCTCTGGCTGAAGCTGCAGGTTGCCCAACACAACCCTCTAGAGCCATTGACCCATGCGGGTCCCTGAGTCAGCTATAAATTCTGCTCAGCCCACACATGCGGCTCCCCAGGATGCCCTCCCCCACCTCCCTCCTTGGCTGCCCAGGACTTCAGAGGCCACACATCTGTGGGGGACTTTGGAGTCAGAGCTGTGTCGATCACATCCTCAGGGCATGCTTGTCCTGCTGCCTGGCCTCCCACCACAATCCTAGACCCAAGCTCGCCCACCCCTACAAGTCTCCAGGATGATGGGTGCACAACACAACTTGTATCAGGCTGATCCTTTGATCAGATTCCTTCCGTGGCTCCCCAGGCTTTCAGGATGGAGTCCTCCAGCCTCTTGCCTGCCTGGCAGCCCAGCCTCACCAGCCACCTTGCCATCCCCATGCCCGCTCTATCTGTTTCCCAAAGGCTGTCCCACACTCTCGCCATGGGCCTTGGCACATTCTGTTTCTACTCACTGGGATGCTCTTCTCTTCTTTGATAAATGATCACCTACTCATCTTTCAAGACTCGGCTTCAACCTTAGAAAAACTCGCATGATAAAGATGCCTCCAGGTGAGGCTGGGTGTCTTCCTCTGGGTCCTACAGAACTTGAATGCCTTTCTGTCCTGTTATACCCACAATCTGCTTGCTGTTCTGATTCCACCTAGTGATCGCGTTTTTGAAGAGTCTCGTGTCTCTTTCATCCCCTGTGGGTTGGGCAAAGTCTCAGAACATGGTAGATTTCAAAAAATATTTGAGATGGATGGAAGGATGGGCAGATAAATGGGTGGATGGATGGATGAATGGGTGGGTGGGTGGATGGATGGATGGATGAGTGAATGGATAGATGAAGGACAGCTCTCATAAGTAGCAGAAAGGTCCTAAATTTTCCTACATCCTCCTTAAAATCTTTGAACATAATTAAATTGAATCGAAAAGTCTCAATCAGAGGGAGAGTTTTGTCCTTGGGACACTGACTTTATTTATGCAGTCAGCACTTATTGTGAGCCTCCCAGAGGCCCAAAGGAGAAAGAAAGCCAAGTAAAGGGAAGGCCCTGCCCACAGGAAGTGGTGCAATCACTCAACAGACTAGACACATCTGGGAGAAACTCACAAGAGCCCACCAGCCCTCCACAGAGCAGTGCAGCAGGTGCTGAGAGACGGGGACGGGCAGGTCAGAGAGTTGGACAGGGTTGCCCCAGAGCTGCTCTGTGGTGAGCACTCAAGCCCTTTAAAACTGACTCCTTCTCAACCCCATCTTCTTCATCCCACAAGATATACAAGAACATGACCCAAAGCTGGAGCTGACCCTCTAGCACTGACTCTCATGTGGACCTGATTGTAAACCTGAACCAGGCTGCATGCGGTGGCTCACACCTGTAATCCCAGCACTTTGGGAGGCTAAGGCGGGCAGATTGCCTGAGCTCAGGAGTTCGAGACCAGCCTGGGCATCATGGCAAAACCCTATCTCGACTAAAAATCAAAGAATTAGCTGGTGTGGTGGTGCACGCCTGTAGTCCCAGCTACTCGGGAGGCTGAGGCAGGAGAATCACTCGAACCCAGGAGGCAGAGGTTGAAGTGAGCTGAGACTGTGTCACTGCACTCCAGCCTGGGTGATAGAGAGATACTCTGTCTCAAAAAAGTACAAATAAATAAAAATAAAAATAAAAATAAACCTGAACTTTATCTTGGGGGCTAGATCTGATCCTGACCCTAACCTGGACCTAAACCCTAGCTGAGATCAAATCTGAACCCAGACTTTAATCTTTACCCACGAGAGGGCTCCAGAAACAGTTGGATGGCAAGGAGCCAAACTGAACTCAGAAACTGTCTGACAGGAAGGTTCTGGCAAACACAAAGCAGATTCAAAGAGTGGCTCCATTGTAGAAAACCCACCTATGGCCCCTGCACACAGCCCAAGGTCCTTTGCCCAAGACTCAGGTGTCCCAGAGACACAGGCATCTTCAGTGCTTCCGGAAATGGGCTGAGGGTTCCCCAGGCCCTGAGGCCAGTCGAGGTGTCTGTGGACAGCAAAGAGGAACAACTGCACTTCTGTTCTCTGGGTGCCCCCCTTACACCTCACTGCCCAGCCTCCGCCAGTCATTGACCCTCAACCTGCCCTCGAGAGCCTTGTGCATGGGCCGGGCCCTGCACCAGGCACTCCGGCTGCAAGGAGTGCAGACATGCAGCTCCTACCCTCAAGACCCCAGTTCCAGTTGAGGAGGCAAGGCTGCTCCCTCATTCACTCAGCATTTATTGGCCCACAGGTTTGGGAACCTGATTTGGGGGACTAATAACCAGGGCTGGGCACAGTGGCTCATGCCTGTAATCCCAGCACCTTGGGAGGCCGAGGCAGGTAGTTCACTTGAGGTCAGGAGTTCGAGACCAGTCTGGCCAATATGGTGAAATCCTGTCTCTACTAAAAATACAAAAAATTAGCCAGGTGTGGTGGCAGGTGCCTGTAATCCCACCTACTCGGGAGGCTGAGGCAGGAGAATCGCCTGAACCTGGGAGGTGGAGGTTGCAGTGAGCTGAGATGGCGCCATTACACTCCAGCCTGGGTCACAAGAGTGAGACTCTCCCTAAAAAAATAAAATAAGAAAACTAATAACCATTTGTATAGGTTGCTTAGTGAGCATGGACATGGAGCAAAGAGAGCTGGATCTCAAAACTGCCAGGCTGATCAGCAGGGGGATTGCACCTGTGAATAGAATGGCCACTGCACTCCAGCCTGGGTGACATAGTGAGACCATCTCTTAAAAAAATTAAAAATAGGCCGGGCGCGGTAGCTCACGCCTGTAATCCCAGCATTTGGGGAGGCTAAGTCGGGCGGATCACGAGGTCAGGAGATCGAGACCATCCTGGCTAACACAGTGAAAACCCGTCTCTACTAAAAATATGAAAAATTAGCCGGGCATGGTGTCAGGCACCTGTAGTCCCAGCTACTCGGGAGGCTGAGGCAGGAGAATGGAGTGAACCCAGGAGGCGGAGCTTGCAGTGAGCCAAGATGGCACCACTGCACTCTAGCCTGGGCGACAGAGCAAGACTCTGTCTCAAAAAAATAAATAAATAAAAATAAATAAATAAATGATTAAAAGAAGCGCTGGATAAACCGAGAGCCATGTTGCCAATGGGTTCAGCGTTCTGAACATGCACCGGCTGGAAAGTCTCTCCCCATGGGCATTGCGGGCGTGGGCACTGCCAGTGTTTGCCTTTGTGACCCTCCCTTTCCGAGTGACAGTAGCAGAGACATTCCTTCATCTAATGTTGCAGCAAGCAGGAAGACGTTTGGCTTCAGATACTAGGACAGCCTGTTCCGTGATGCTTATTGATGCATGGTAACAAGATGGCTGCTGCCCCTCCAGGACTCACAGACACATTCCAGGCAGGAAATGAAGTAAAGGGGCCAAAAAATTTCTTGTCAAAACTTTGCTCTTCCCTGGGGGCTTTTGCCTAACTCCTGGTGTCCAGAATTGTATCACGTGTCTACTCCTAGCCTCAAGAGAGATTGGGCAGTGGAGTCATTTCGTGTTCTAGGTCTGTAGTAGAGAAAGGCAAGGAGAAGTGGCAGTGGGTGGGAGGCTGGGCAAACAACCAGCAGTGTCTGTCACAGATAAGACAAGTGATAACTTTCACCCAGGGTACAGCAGAGCCTTGCTGGGCTGGGAGCTGCTGTGTCTTCTCCAAGGGACTTCGTAGTAAGTGGTCAGAATCTGGGCTGCTTCTGGCATTAATAAGTCTTTGTTACGGGTTCCTGTTAGGGAACCCGGAAACTTAAGACCCCTTCTCCGTGCAAGTGCCCTGCTTGGTCTGGGAGAGCGTGCTGACCATATGGCAGTCTGCCCTCTCCAAGCCAATCCCAGGGCTCTTCAAGAATGGGTGCTTCTGGGCCGGGCGTGGTGGCTCACGCCTGTATTCCCAGCACCTTGGGAGGCCGAGACCGGTGGATCACGATGTCAGAAGATCGAGACCAGCCTGGCCAACATGGTGAAACCCTGTCTCTACTAAAAATACAAAAATTAACTGGGCACGTGCCTGGAGTCCCAGCTACTCAAGAGGCTAAGGCAGGAGAATCGCTTAAACCCGGGAGGTGGAGGTTGCAGTGAGCCGAGCACCACTGCACTCCAACCTGGGTGACAGAGCGAGACTCCATCTCAAAAAAAAAGAAAAGAAAAGAAAAAAAAGAATGGGTGCTTCTGGTCCTAGTGCCAGTGTTTGACGCCTCAGCCTGCAGTGCCCTGCTCTCCACTCTGCTTATGCATGGGCACCCACCCTTCCCATGCACCTAGGCCCACCTTCTCCAGGAAGCCCTCCAGGATGGCTCTACTCTCTAAACTCCCTTCTTGCAACCCCTCAAAACTCTGCCCCTCCTCAAGAGTCAGGCAGCCAGACCTTCCTCTCCCCCACTCCCCTCTGCCCCAAGTCTCACCTTCACAAGCCTTCCTAAATAGAGCATGAGTTGTGAACACAACCCAAGGCCCCACAGCAGAAACTGTCACTGCCCCACATGTCACTTGCCCTGATTAGCTGGTATTTTCTTCAATGTCTACCAAGGCGCAGACTGAACCAGGCCAAGGCTGCCCCTGACCAGCTCCCTGTGCCTGCCCCCATGTAGCCTGTGAGGTCCACGTCAGCCTGAGTCTTTAGTGCTTTCTCTTCCACTTCAAGTTTGGGGAGGCCCCCTGTAAGACACCCACAGTGCAGGGCCAGCCATCCCTCTGGCCGGATACCCAGAACGAGCCCCTGCTGGGCAGCCCCAGCAGACCAGGAGAAAACCCTGTTTACAGGCGTGTTAGCCCAGAGCCCACCAGGCAGAGTGGAGAGGCATTCAAAGGGGTCAGAGGGACACCGTGAAGTTGCACGGAGAGCAGAGGTCAGCGTCAGCATGGGGAGCTGGGTCTCAGGAAAGACGGGGAGGAGTAGTGCCCTGTGATTAACAGCCTTTGTAAAACCTGCCACAAGTCCCTCTCCTAATGGGTGGTCACTCTGCCCTCACACACCTGCAGAACTCCTGCTGGGCACACCCTGCACACATCGTGACGTCCTTGGTACAAGGGGCAGCCTCTCCTGCCTCCGTGCTCAATCTAATTGCCCCCCGCCTTGCCCCATCCCAAGCAAATCTTTGACATCCCTGATTAAATGACCTCAAACTCAGATTCTCAAATTAAAGCAGCAATTCCCAAAAATGTTTTCCTTGGCACACTGGTGTCCCTGAGTTAATGGAGGGCCAGAGGGAATACATTTGGTAACTGTTGGATAAAATAGGATGTAACAACCTTTTTCACTGCAGACCTTCTCAGAGCCTTCAGTATGCTCCTGTGTGGAGTGGCTCTGACAGGAAACTACCATGTACAGCATTTCCCAAACTTATTTGGACACTGACTGTGAAATACAAAGAATATCCATAGACCACAGTTTGGAAAACTCTAAAACAGGTAATACACTTATTCATTCATTCACGTATTCATCCAACAAATATGTGTTTGGCCCTGTGCTGGGCACTGGGGTGGGGCAGTAATTGAAGCAGATGTTGTCCTGCCCTCATGAGCTTACCTTCCACTGGGGGGACAGACCTAATGCCACTTTCTTTCCTTTTTTGTTTTTTTGTTTGTTTTTTCTTTTCTTTTCTTTTCTTTCTTTTTTTTTTTTTTTTTTTTTTGAGACGGAGTCTCGCTCTGTCGCCCAGGCTGGAGTGCAGTGGTGCTATCTCAGCTCACTGCAAGCTCCACCTCCCAGGTTCATGCCATTCTCCTGCCTCAGCCTCCCGAGTAGATGGGACTACAGGCACCTGCCACCACGCCCGGCTAATTTTTTGTTGTTGTATTTTTAGTAGAGATGGGGTTTCACCGTGTTAGCCAGAATGGTCTTGATCTCCTGGCCTCGTGATCCGCCCGTCTCCGCCCCCCAAAGTGCTGGGATTACAGCCTGTTTGTTTTTCTTTTTTTCTTTTTATTATACTTTAAGTCCTAGGGTACATGTGCACAACGTGCAGGTTTGTTACATATGTATACATGTGCCATGTTGGTGTGCTGCACCCATTAACTCGTCATTTACATTAGGTATATCTCCTAATGCTATTCCTCCCCTCTCTCCTCACCCCACAACAGGCCCCATGCAGCTATAAAAAATGATGAGTTCATGTCCTTTGTAGGGACATGGATGAAGCTGGAAACCATCATTCTCAGCAAACTATCGCAAGGACAAAAAACCAAACACTGCATGTTCTCACTCATAGGTAGGAATTGAACAATGAGAACACTTGGACACAGGAAGGGGAACATCACACACCGGGGCCTGTTTGGTTTTTTTTAATGCCACTTTCTTTCATTCATTTACACACTCAATAAATATTGAGTGTTCCGAAGTTCCCAACCCAGTGCCAGACCCTGGAGACAGAATTGAATCGGCTGTGATTGCTGCCCTCAGGAATTTTTAATTAACTAATCTAAGAGACTGTTTCTCTGGAGTAAGGCATAAGTGGCCTGGTTTTTTGCAAAGGAAGCTCCCTTTGCAAACACAAGCCATCCTTCCCCTTTCATTCCTGGGTTAGCCCATCCCTCACACCATAAACCAGGTTGAATTTGGGGTCAAGTTCAACCCTTCATGTGCTGTGAAGGTATTCCACTGGTCTGGGGACAGTGTGGCGGGGGTCTGGCATCCGGCCCTAGGAGCAGCCACAGCAGTGAGGGAGCATTGACCCATGTCATCCCAGGGACCTGATAGCGTTTCCTGCTGCACAGCACCCAAGCCTGGCCTGCAGGCTCTGGGCATCTCTGTAATCCCTTCCAGCAAGATTCAGATGCCTCCAAGCAAGAACCTGCTGCAGGCCGGGCTCCCTGGAAGCAGACTCTGCTTTAGATTAGCATCCGGGACTGTCACTGGGAAGCACTCTGGGACTCCATGTTGGGGTGGGGGATGAAGGTGGGATTGAGTGGAGGGAGAAGTTGGGTTGTGAAGCAGCCTCAGTGGAGGCCTCAGTTGATGCCACAGGCAGCTCTGGAGCTGGCATTGCCCTGAGTTGTCCCAGGTTGGGGCAAGAGACCAAGCCTTTATATCTGCGCATGAGGCTCTTCCACACAGGCACGGGCATCCTCTGAGGAAGAAGATGGCCCTGGGCAATGAAGCTCCCCTCGGCCAAGGCAATTCCTGGAAAGGCTGATGGGCAGCCTCCCAGCAGCTGTGGACTAAGTCCCTCAGTCCTGAAGCAGGACTGGGATGGCTTGTTCCAGCGTCCCCCACAAATGCCGACAGCAAGAGGCAGTCTGGCTAGGGGGAATAGCAACCCTAAAGCTGGTTTTCTCTAAAGCTTTAGAGCCTAGTCCCAACTCCCCACTCCAGCTTACCCCTGGGCAAGCAGCTCTGCCTCTTAGAGGAGCCTCCATTTGCTCAAACCTTGCAGGCTTTAGTGAGGTTAATCATGTCACAGCATTAAGTGAAAGGCTTCCTGGAGGAGGTGACACCTGAGCTGAGTCATGAAAGGAAGTGAAAGGTAGGTGTTGACCCCACAAAGAGGGGAAAGTTGCCCCAGGCAGAGGAGGACACCTGTTGGGACCAGAGGCCTGAGCAGGCTCAAGAGAAGCACCAGCGACTCAGTGTAGCTGCTGTGGAGAGGGAGGGGTGCTTAAGAGATGAGGCAGGATGATGGGCAGGGGCAGATCACAGAGGGCTGGAGGGTCAGGAGAGGGGAGGCTGGCCTCATTCTGCCCTCAGAGGAATCTGCCTTCTATCCTAGTGGCTTCCGGCTTCCATTTGTATGACGCTCACACAAGTTAGGGATGCTCTCAGTGGCTTACTTGTATAAGCTCATTTAACCTTAACAACACTGTTAGGAGGTATGGACTCTTACCAGTTCCATTTTACAGATGAGAACACTGAGGCACGGAGAGGCTCAGTCAGTTGTCCAAGGTCACACAGCTTGTAAGTGGAGCCCAGGCTGTCTGACACCAGAGCACACACTCCTAACCTCTACATTGTTCATCACAGGGGCACCTTTGGGTGGCCCAGGGCTGTGTCCTCTCACCACCCTGATTCTGCTTGACCCAGCCAGGTAGAGCCCTGTGGACGGGGCCCGCCAAACCAAAGCCTTCAAACCCTCCAAACCCTCAAACCCTCAAAGGCAGCTTGTCTTCCAGGGACAATGCCACTGACGCCAAGCCCCAGGGGTTGGGCTATGGGCCAGGGACATGGTTTGGCTCCAGAACATCACAGAGCAATTTGCAACACCTTCCAAATGCAATTGGAGCAGCCAAGAGAGGCAGGTGAGGTGCAGCCCTTACGTGCACCTCAGGTGTATGGCTGGGTGTCGGGTTACCCCAAGGGCAGAGGAAAAGCCTTGGCAGGAGATGAGGGCTGCAGCCAGACCCCTGTCCCCTGCCCACACACCCACATTCCCTCCTGCCTTACGCATTGCTCAGACCCCCACACCCAGTGTAGCCCGGCAGTCCTAGCTACGACCTCCTGCAGCCCCAGCTGCAGCTCCCGCCTCTCACCTCCTTAGCCCCAGTAATTCCACGTGCAGGGGTCTCCTTCCCAACTGGTGTACACTCAGGAGGGGAACACCCATCACCTGCGGCACGCTGGGCTCTGGGGCATAACTCTGGAGGGCTTAAAGACCTCACGTAAGACTACAACGCTTCCCAAGGCTCTGCTGCACGCTAGGTGCCGACTTTGGGGCTTATCTTCCTCATAGCCTCGGCAAACATCAACTGAACACACCTGTGTGCCGTTGGCCTGGGCAGGAGCATTGAGGTGAATCGGGCCCAGGCCTGCTCTCAAGGCACTCACTGGTAAGCACGGGCCTCCTCGCAGCTGGGGGAAATAGTGCCCGGGAGCCATGGGCCTTACCCACAAAGAGACTTAGGGGCCAGTGAGTGATGGAACCAGGCTTGCGTTGGGCCCGCTTTGGGCAAAACACCTCCCATCCCACCTGGAGCTCCTGCCACAATCTACAAGACAGGAGGCAGCCAGACACAGTGGCTCATGCCTATAATCCCAGCACTTTGGGAGGCCGAGGCAGGCGAATCACCTGAGGTCAGGAGTTTCACCCTGGCCAACATGGTGAAACCCCGTCTCTACTAAAAATACAAAAATTAGCTGGGCGTGGTGTCAGGCACCTGTGATCCCAGCTACTCGGGAGGCTGCAGCAGGAGAGTCGCTTGAACCCTGGAGGCGGAGGTTGCAGTGAGCCAAGCTCGTGCCACTGCACTCCAGCCTGGGCGACAGGGTGAGATTCGGTCACCTAAAAAAAAAAAAAAAAGACAGGAGGCTCAGAGAGGACCGCATCTTGCCTGAGCTCACAAGCCAGCCACGGCTGAATTCAAACCGAGCTGTGAATAACTCCGAGTCCACGTGCCCCGGGAACACCAAGCTGAGAGGAGAACAGTGCTGGAACAAGAGACCAGCTCGGGGGTGACACGGAAGGAGCAGGCCTTGGAGAAGAGTGGTGACTCACTGGGACACTTCGTGGTTACAAAACAGGCCAGGCTCCTGCCAGACACTCACACTCGGTTACTTTTCTTTTAATTCCTTCCCTGCCCTTCCACTCCCTGTTCCCTGGGCACAGTAAGTACATTCTGTTCTTCCTGAACTTCTCACTGAACAGGGCAACTCGATTCTTCTCCCATGGACTGAGGGCCCTTGGCCGACTGGAATCACGGGTGCCAGGCCAGGGCATCAGGAAGGACACAAGAGGGACCAGCCTGTTCTGGCCAGCCTGCCAATCTGCCGGCTCCCCAGTGCTTTGGGGTCAAGTTCAACCCTCAACTAAGTCCCAGGCCTTTGAGATGAGCTTACTCTGCAATCTCGTGTCCCCTACCCCTCTCGGGTACCAGCACGGAAGTGCTGACCAACCCTGCATACTCACTGGCCACCCCACACCCCCGGCCTGCCCACGCCACACCTCACCAGTGTTGACCAGAGGAGTTCCTCAAAATAAAATCCAAATTAGCTAATAGTGTTATTGCAATTTCCTAACATGAATTATGGTACTGCGGTTATGTTAAAGGGTGTCCACATTTTTAGGAAACACTCACTGAAATATTCAGAGGTAAAAGGGCTTCCTGTCTGCAACTTACTCTGAAATATTTTAGAAAAAAATGTATTAAGAGAATGAGAGAGAGGGCCGGGTACGGTGGCTCACGCCTGTAATCCCAGCACTTTGGGAGGCCAAGGTGGGCGGATCACAAGGTCAGGAGATCGAGACCATCCTGGAACACAGAGAAACCCCGTCTCTACTAAAAATACAAAAAATTAGCCGGGCGTGGTGGCGGACGCCTATAGTCCCAGCTACTCGGGAGGCTGAGGCAGGAGAATGGCGTGAACCTGGCAGGCGGAGCTTGCAGTGAGCCGAGATAGCGCCACTGCACTCCAGCCTGGGCGACAGAGTGAGACTCTGAATAAAAAAAAAAAGAGAGAGAATGAGAGAGAGATGGGGAGAAAAAGCAACTGTGGTAAAACATGAACATTTTAAGGAGTTCGAATTGTATCAGAAATAATTTGTACTATTTTGGTAACTTTTCTGTAAGTTTGAAATTATTTCTAAAATTTACAGCTGGGTGTGGTGGCTCATGCATGCCCCCGCTTTGGAAAGCTGAGGAGGGAGAGATCCCTTGAGCCCAGGAGCTGGAGGTTACAGTGACCTGTGACCGCACTCCAGCCCGGGTGAGAGAGCGAGACCCCGTCTCTAAAAAATATAAAATTAAAATTAAGTTACAAAAACTTGGGAGGAAAATAAATTTTAAAACCCCACTAACCTCAAGCCTCATCTCCAGGAAGTGCCCCAGACCCCTGAGGCTGGGATGAGGGGTCCTATGGTGTTGTGACAACTATCTTGGTTTTCGCCCACAGTTCCTGGCTCATAACCCCCACAGCCATCGTTACAGGCTTGGGTTATGGTGTTGGGTGTCTAAGGCCTCAGGGGCAGGCCCTTGACCTTCTCCTGCCCTCCCTTCACGCCTGTGTCCCCTGCCTTTCTGACTGTGGGTCTTAAGACCACAGTCTTACCCTGGGGGAAGGAATGCTGATGTCATGAGGCTTCCATAAAAACCCAAGAGGACAGGGTTCAGGGAGCTTCCAGGCAGTTGAACACATGGAGAACGCTGGAGGGTGGTGCCCCAGGGCAGGCATGGAACCCCCACACCCCTCCGCCATACCCTGCCCTATGCGTCTCTTCACCTGTATCCTTTGCAATATCCTTTATAATAAAACAGTAAACGTAAGTGTCTCCCTGAGTTTTGTGAGCCGCTCCAGCAAATTACTCAAACCCAAAGAGGGGGTCATGGGAACCCCAACTTGAAGTCAGTATGTCAGAAGTTCCGGAGGCCTGGACTTGTGACTGGTGGAGGTGGGGGGCAGGGGCAGTCTTGGGGACTGAGCCCTCCACTTGTGGGGTCTCACACTATCTCCAGGTAGGGAGTCAGAATTCGAGGACCCCCAGCTGGAGTCCGCTGCTTGGTGTGTGGAAAACCCCCGCACATCTGATCACAGAAGTATTCTGTGTTGATGATTGTTGAAGAGAGTTTTCTCCACACGGTTCCCTTCCAGACATGCCCCATCCCCTCACCACTGCATGCCCCCATCACACCTTGTCTCCATGTCCTGTTTGCTTGCCACTTTAGGAGTGAGTGCCCTGGAGGATGGGACAGTGTCTCCTTCCGATCTGTGATCTGGGTGATACGACACCTCTAGCTCTGTGCTCAGTTCTCTACAGCAAGACATGGACCCAGGCAGCACTGGGTGCCAGGTGCCACTCTAGGCCTGGAGAATGCAGTGATGGAGATTCACCCAGCCCCCACCTAGTGCAGCTGACCTTCCAGGAGAACCTGGAGCTGGGGACAGGAAGAAGGTCAAAGCTGGGGCTGCAGGCCTCCTTCCCATGGTGTCTCCTACACTGCAGTCCAGCCATTTCCCACTCCTTCCGGGGCTCCACATAGCCGAGGGCTCCACTTGTGGCTTGCTGTCATCCCCCCCAGCCTCTTGCCTCACACGTGCCCTCCGTGACTTCATCTGACACAGAGACCCTGACCCGCCTGAGCCCTGGCCTTCCCTCTCAGCATGTTTCCAGCTGCCAGTGGGCCAGGCGACAGGGAAGGGATGGCTTTGAGGCCTCAAGGCTCTGGCCGGTGGGCCTTGGGGTGGGGCAGGGTGTGGCACTCCAGGGAGGCTGGCCAGGATGAGCATTGCGGCTGTGGGCTCCTGCAGCTCCTGAGCCGCTGTGTGTTGCTGTAGAGTCCTGAACTCAGAGCTAGCAGTGCCGTGGGGACCCTGCTGTGCAGGCTTACAGTTGCCCTCATTGCTCCAGTGGCTCTGTGTGCGTCTCTGCTCCCTGCCTTTGAAGGACCTTGCAACTTGCCTAAGACAGGGTGCAAAGTGTGAAGAAATGGGGGGCCAGACCGAGTTGTCAAAGAACGCTTCAGCAGAGGGAGACTTCAGCTGAGCCTTGAAGGAGGAGGGAGAGGCAGGCAGATGGAGCACATTCCAGGCAGAAGACTTCCCCAATCGATGAAGGATGTCCTGGAGAAATGCTCAGCGTGCCCTGGCCACAGTGAGAAGACGACTGATTCGTGAGCTCCGGTATCAACAGAAGATGCTGTTTCAGACCCAAGAGGCTGAGCAGATGGCAGAATGGCAGCCTCCAGCAGGGACACAGGGCCAGGATCTATTCTCGAGTTGCTACCAGAGAGCCGGGGCTGGAGGGCCCTCCCTGCTTCCTTTGAAAGACACCCATGCCCCTGGTCTGGAGGGAAGTTACCTGGGCCCTCTGCCCCCAGTACGATGTGACATTCTAGCTACCCAGTGGCTATGATTAAAGGCCAAGAATGAGCTCAGCCATGGAACTCAGTGGTGGCCCCTGCTACCACCTCCACCCTGCCAGGACTGTCTTCCCCCAGTCACACACCTCACCCCCAAAACACAGGATCTCTTTTCTTCCCTGCGGTCATAGCCAAGATCAGCTACAGGCAAGATGCTCTGCTCAGTGCACTTGGGGCCTCCCACCCTGCTGGCTGTTGGCAAAAGGCGCTTTCAGAGGCTCCTCATGCAAGGATTAGGAGCCAAAGCTGGGAGGAAGGAAGGTGAGTCAGACAGACCTGTGTTCCAAGTCTGACCCTCCATGATTTTTGACCTTGAGTGAGCCTTAGAATTCAATCACCTCCTTGGCAGAAATGGACATAAAGATATCTGCACTGCAAAGTCACTCATGAGCATGAGTCCTAACGCACCCCAGATGCCCGGCCTGGTGCCCGGCACAGGGAGCCTCCAGACAGATGGCAGCCATTCCTCATTTTCAGAGGATTTGTTGTGTTCCCAGGTTGGTTGTTTTCCATAATTATCTTCACCAGCCAGGAGTCCCTTGAGCCAAGGATGGTGTCTTGCTTGTGCCTGGGCTCCAGGGCTAAGCACTGCTCCTGGTACATGGGAAGTGCCTGGTATCTGTGCATGAGTGTCCTTACAGGCCAGAGTGTCACCCACCTTCAGATCTGCATTGGGGCAATTTCTAGGGGAGCCTGACTCTGCTGGTCTCTGCCTGATCCTGCCTGGGAACTGGCTGGGAACAGTCTTGGCTTTGCCCTGCCCTGGACCCCTTGCTGGGCCCTGGATCCCTGTGGATGACTTCTCCAGGCTTCACCCCAGGCTCTACCTCCCATTCAGCAGGAGCTGAAAAAGAAAAAAGAAAACAGTCTATGGGAGTCAGAGCCAGAGTCTCCCTGCTAGATCAGCTTGAACTTTGAGTCCACTTTCTCTTCAAGAGGGAAAGAATGAATGAAAGGGACAGATGAAGGAGGAAGGTAGAAGTAGGTGAAGCACAGAACTGGCCTCCCAAGTGCATCTGCAATAGAGGGGCAGGGATGGTCACCAGAAGGTGCCATCTCTGGAGAGGGGTGAGCACCCCTTCCTGGGAGGTGGCCTGAGTGCTGACACAGAGCTGACCAGCCGGGAGGTGTGTACATGGCACCTACATGGACACAGTCTCTGGACAACCTGTAGATCTGCAGCCAGTCCCAAAGCAAGGGAGCAGGAGTAGGTGTCAAGGATGGAGTACGTTCTGCAGGGAGCCCAGCAGCAGGAAGTGGGACCATGCTGGGCGCACCCCTGATAACTTACCTTCCTTCTCCTCTGCTTCCTCATCTGAAAATGAGTGTAATAACACCCACCTTGCAAAGCCATCATGAGGGTTTTCTGGGAGAATGGATATAAAGCACCTAGCAGGCCAGGCGCAGTGGCTCACGTCTGTAATCCCAGCACTTTGGGAGGCTGGGGCAGGTGGATCACCTGAGGTCAGGAGTTTGTGACCAGCCTAGCCAACATGGTGAAACCCCGTCTCTACTAAAAATACAAAAAAAAAAAAAAAAATTAGCCGGGTGTGGTGGTGCACGCTTGCAGTCCCAGGGGAGTGTCAAGCACCACTGCTGGGGCAAGCTGGGGGCCATGAGGGCCATGAGGGCCAGGGAAGGGTTCATTACCCCACTTGGGCTCGGAGGAGGTCAGCAGGGTACCCTGAGGCAGGAACGAGAGAACTGAAGAATGAAAGCCAGAAGGCAGCACAGTCAAGGTGGCATTGGATGCATCTGGGAGGGATCAAGGAGGGAAGGCAGTCCCAAGCAGGAGAGCCATGTGATCGAGCCTTCCCATGCCAGTGCGGTGCCTTGCGCTGTTTATGAGTCAGTGCACTGAAACCAGGCAACCATCCTGGGGAGGCAGGAATAATTATCCTTACTCAATGGACTCAGAAGTGAGGCCCAGGGAAGTGGTTGAGGGGAGATCCACCAGAGTCCCTCCTTGCACCAGCTGGCCCAGGTGTGAGCTGAAAGGCCTCATGGCTGGGCAGCTGAGTGCTGCCTCCTAAGGCTGGCTCATAGGGCTGGGCATCAGGTGGCAGGAGGCCAGAAAGGCAAAGGTCCACTTCTGTTCCCACCTATTGTGAGGCCTCCTCATTTTTCTGAGCTCTCAGCCAGAGTGGCTTTGATGGGGAAGGACAATGGGGAGGCCATTCTGGCCCCTGCCTGGCGTGACTGCCTGGCTCTGCAGTGGAGTTGGGCTCCCAGGGGAGGATGCTGCATCACCTGCTCGTGCCGGCACTAGGAACAGGGACTCACAATTAAGTGTCACCAACACCAGTTTGTTGGTGAACCTGGAAGACAGGCCGGTGGGTAAAGAGAGAAGGCAGAAGGTGCCCTGGATCCAAAGGCGCTGCCCGCTCCAGCTGGTGGCACTCCAAGGGCAGGTCCTTCCTCTGAAGGGTGACACACTTCATTTCCTGAGCGTTTCTGCCTCTTTTTTTAAGCCTGTCCTATTTTGAAATGTAATACACATATGGAAAAGGGCACAAAACAAGCACACAGCTCAATGACTTATCACAAAGCAAAGCCCCAAGAAGTCACCACCCAGCTCCAGAAATAACACATTTTGGTCTTCCAGAACCTGGCTGGCCTTCCCTTCCCCAGAGCTAACCACTCCGCTGACATTCATGCTAATCGCGTGCTTGCCTTTCCATATGACTACCACCTCGGCGTCCTTAGCAGCTGCAGAGGCTGTTCCATCACATTTTGCGTTCTCTCTGGTTCCTTTCCATCGCTCTCCTGTCAGATACACATCCATATTGTGTGGGGCTATCATGCGCTGGTTACTGGAACTTCTTCACTGATGTTTACATCCAGAGTGTTGGTGAGGCTTTTCTGGAGCCCACTGGCTGCCTCCAGTCCCAGCCCTGGCACGTCCTCACTGCAGGGCACTGAGCAAGTTCCTGAACCTCCTACCCTTGAGGAATGTTGGTCATCAGCTGCTCTCCAGGATCTCCCAGTGTTCCCTGACACAGAGCTCCTAAAGCCCTTAGAATTTCCTGGGTGATGGGAGCATCTTTTGTTCCAACGAGGTGACTCTTGGGGGACTTCTGGACAGGGCTGGTCACCAGAAAGACCAAGCCCTGATTAGAAGCTTGGCGTTTTCAGCCCTAGGGCCATCCTCCAGGGAGGAAAGAGGAACTTGAGATTGAGTTAATAATCAACCACACCTACACAATGAAGCCTCCATAAACATCCCTGAGGGCCCGGCACAGTGGCTCACACCCGTAATCCCAGCACTTTGGGAGGCCGAAGCGGGTGCATCACCTGTGGTCAGGAGTTCAAGACCAGCCTGGCCAACATGGTGAAACCCCATCTCTACTAAAAATACAAAAATTAGCCCAGTGTGGTGGCGCATGCCTGTAATCCCAGCTACTCAGGAGGCTGAAGCAGGAGAATTGCTTGAACTCGGGAGGTGGAGGTTGCCACGAGCTGAGATCGCGCCATTGCACTCCAGCCTGGCGACAGAGTGAGACTCCATCTTGAAAAACAACAAAAAACAAACAAAAAAAACACATCCCTAAGGCACGAGGGTTAGAGCTTTTGGGTTGGTGAGCACCAACTCCAGGGGGACAGAAGCTCCTGCCCTTGGGACGATTCCGGGCCTTGCTCTATGTACTTTTAAAAATCTGGCTGTGATCTGTGTCCATTATCATACTCTTTATCAGAGGATAAACTAGTAAATCTAAGCTTCTCTGAGTTCTGTGAACCATAATAGCAAATTATTGAACTTGAGGATGGAATGGTGGGAACCCGCATTTTATGGCCAAGTTACACAGAACTATGGGTAAGGGCCAGACGCAGTGGCTCACACCTATAATCTCAGCACTTTGGAAGGCTGAGGTGGGCAGATTACTTGAGTCCAGGAGTTCAAGAGCAGCCTGGGCAACAATGGTGAAACTCCATCTCTACAAAAAATACAAAAATGTGCTAGGCATGGTGGCACATGCCTACAGTCCCAGCTGCTTGGGCAGCTGAGGCAGAAGAATCACTTGAACCCAGGAGGTAAAGGTTGCAGTGAGCCAAGTCGTGCCACAGCACCGCAGCCTGAGTGACAGAGTGAGACTCTATCTTCAAAATTTTTTTTTTTTTAAAAAAAAGGCTGGGCACGGTGGCTCATGCCTATAATCCCAGCACTTTGGGAGGCCGAGGTGGGGAGATCACAAGGTCAAGAGTACGAGACCAGCCTGGCCAACATGGTGAAACCCTGTCTCTACTAAAAATACAAAAATTAGCCGGGCATGGTGGCGCGCGCCTATAGTCCCGGCTACTTAGGAGGCTGAGGCAAGAGAATTGCTTGAACCCAGGAGGCAGAGGTTGCAGTGAGCCGAGAGTGTGCCACTGCACTCCAGACTGTGCACTCCAGACAGAGTAAGACTCTGTCTCAAAAAGAAACAAACAAACAAACAAAGCGAAGTAAGGGTAAGCTGGGACCCACTACTTCCAGTTGACATCTGATGGGTTCCTTCTTAGCCTGATGGGCCACCAAGTCACCGGATGCCCTTAAGCATGTTGCTTCCTTTCTGCGGGCCTCAGTTTCCCCAGCAGCTACAGCAGAAGAGGTTAGAGCAGCTCTGAGCTTTCCCACCGTGGTCCACACAGCCCTGGGTCCTCAGTTCCGCCCATGCCAATCTGGCCCTTCAGAGCAGCTCTTGGTTCTGAATGTGCTGCTACATTCTATTTCCTTCAAAGCAGGTTTGGCATGGCAAGTTTGAAGACCACAGGCCTGGATTTCCAGGGTTCCCTGCAGCGTTGATTCTCTAGGCCTGCGTGACTTGGAGTCTGGCTGGAATTCAGCCAAGATGCCACAGCTATGTCACATAGGAGCCATGTCCTCTCGCCCAGTCTCCATCCACTCTGTGCCAGAGACTCAGGACTGAAACTGGAGCCTCAGCCCTGGCTGACAGTGGGCCTCTGTGTGCAGCGCAGCCCCTGGCCACCCCCAGGCCCGGGCTCTGTTTTATATACAAACACCCATGGTGGGTCATAGGAAACCTGCAGGCCAATTTTGTCTTTCCAATAACAATGCACTTTTTTTCTTAAAGGCATCGATGCACATTCTTAGGTTTGTGAGGCAAATAGAGGCCATAAGAAGAATCTGGAGGAGGTGGGAGACAACAGTCACCCCCTCTTAACTCCTGGGTCACACCCAACAGCTAGGCTTGGGGGAGCCAATCACCCTGCCAATCACCCTGCACCACCCCACACAGCAGCGCCTGGCACACCACAGTGTGAGCTCAGAATGACAATTGGTTTAAAAAAAAAAAGAATGAATAAATATGCAGGACCCCTAAAAATCAGCCCACTTTTGACCTTTTCTTTTCCTTCCTTCCTTCCTCCCTCCCTCCCTCCCTCCCTTCCTTTCTTCTCCTAAAAATCAGCCCACTTTGGACCTTTTCTTTCTTTAACCTTTCTTTCTTCCTTCTCTTTTTTTTTTTTTTTTTTTAAGAATTGATATGAGGTCTTGCTGTGTTGCCCAGGCTGGTTTTGAACTCCTGGCCTTCCAGCAATCCTCTTGCCTCAGCCTCCCAAAATGATACAATTACAGGCGTGAGCCACAGGGCCTGGCCGGTAAACTCCTTTCTTCAGCAACTTAATGAACCTCTCCTGGTTTAAATTTCCTGCTTCTGAAAGTAGTGCTGATACTGGTGTCTAAACAGGGCTATAGTGAGGATTGGTATCTACAGATTAAGGACAAAGCCTGGCACAGAGGGGACACCATAGGCGTCGGCAATTTCTTTTTTCACTTATTCCAGCTGGCTTTTATTTATTTATGTCTTAAATGTCATTGTGGCAGAGAAGGCTGGACCTATAGCTAGACCGCATTTCCCAACCACCCAACCAGGCTGTTGGGTACGACCTGTGACTGCGCTGCCCAAGGTCATCCAAGCAGAAGTGAGGGCGCCATTTCCAAGCTGGTCCCCAAAACCTCTCCTCCCAGGGTCCCCATTGTCCCTTCCTCTGGCAGGAGCAAAGGCTCTAAGGCCCTAGAAAATGGCAGAACGGGCCAGGCGCGGTGGCTTATGCCTTTAATCACAGCACTTTGGGAGGCCAAGGCGGGCGGATCACGAGGTCAGGAGATCGAGACCATCCTGGCTAACATGGTGAAACCCCATCTCTACTAAAAATACAAAAAATTAGCCGGGCATGGTGGCAGGCGCCTGTAGTTCCAGCTACTCGGGAGGCTGAGGCAGGAGATGGCATGAACCCGGGAGGCGGAGCTTGCAGTGAGCCGAGATGGCGCCACTGCACTCCAGCCAGGGTGACAGAGAAAAATTCCGTCTCAAAAAAAAAAAAAAAACCACACAAAAATGGCAGAACCACTAGATGGAAGGAACCTGGGTCCCTGAATGACCATGTGGGAGGCGGCCCTGGGCGCCCACATGGGCCTGAGATGTGAAGGGGAGATAAACCTTTATTATGTTAAGCCATGGGCGTTTGGGGCTTGTTTTTGCAGTGGCCAATATTACTTACCTAATATGGCCAAGATATGAGAATATTGTATTTTAATTCAATCTTCTCAGGATATTTCCAACTTAATATCTGTTTCTAAAAATGCTTACCTTAGCGGTGTTATTCTATGTTCTTGGGAGTCTTCTTTTTAATGTCATCTTCTTTTGAATACTTTACAGACAGTGTAGTCGGTCTTCAGACCCAGTTCAAACTCTTAAGTCACTAGCAACAAATAAAACAGTACCCACAACACTACTTAGAACACATGGTCTGCCCAAGGCCCTCATGGCCCCTTCCTAAAGTCAAAGTCAGATTAATTTCAAAACAGAGACACCCCTCCCTTCTGGGGCGTGCAGGAGCAGCGTGCTTTGAAACAGACAAGTCAGCCAGAGCTGGCGGCTCAAGAGTCAGGCTGAAGCCAAAGGGATGCTGGCAGAACACCTCACAGCAGGGAGGACAGGGTTTGCCTCTACTCCCTCCGTTACTCCTCAGCTGGGAGCTCTTACAGCCCCAAGGAAAAAGCAGAGTTCTCCCTGAAGGTCATTTCCAGGAGTCTAGTCCTGCGGACAGTGGCTTTCCACAGAATGACAGTAGCCATAAGGGGGACTTCTAGGCCAGAAAAGCTCCAAGCAGCCTGACCAATACACCTTCAATATCTGTTCATTTAGAATATATACATATATTTATTCATCTTCATTTGTCTGAAGTAGGTATGACTAGTCCCCCCTACCTTTTTTTTTTTTTTTTTGAGATGGAGTTTAGCTCTTGTTGCCCAGGCTGGAGTGCAGTGGCACGATCTTGACTCACCGCAACCTTCGCTTCCCGGGTTCAAGTGATTCTCCTGCCTCAGCCTCCCAAGTAGCTGGGATTAGAGGCATGCGCCACCACACCTGGCTAATTTTGTATTTTTAGTAGAGATGGAGTTTCTCCATGTTGGTCAGGCTGGTCCTAGTCCCCATTTTTTTTAAAAAAAGAGACTTTAGGGAGATTAAATGGCAAACAGTCGGCCAGATGCAGTGGCTCACAGCTGTAATCCCAGCACCTTGGGAGGCCAAGGCAGGTGGATTGCTTGAGACCAGCTTGGGCAACATAGTGAAACTTTGTCTCTACCAAAAATACAAAAAAAAAAAAAAATAGCCGGGTGTGGTGGCACACACTTGTAGTCCCAGCTACTTGAGAGGCTGAGGTAGGAAGATCACCTGAGCCCAGGGAGGTTGAGGCTGCAGTGAGCTGAAATCACATCACTGCATTTTAGCCTGGGTGACAGAGTGAGACCCTGTCTCAAAAAAAAAAAAAGAAAAAGAAAAAAGAAAACAGCCTATGGGGGTCAGAGCCAGGGTCTCCCTGCTAGATCAGCTGGAACTCTGAGTCCACTTTCTCTTCAAGAGGGAAAGAATGAATGAAAGGGACAGATGAAGGAGGAAGGTGGAAGGAGGTGAAGCACAGAACTGGCCTCCCAAGTCCATCCACAATAGAGGGGCAGGGACGGTCAGCAGAAGGTGCTGGAGAGGGGTGAGCACCTCACCTGAGAGGAGGTGGCCTGAGTATTGGGGCAGAACCCTGGAGCCCAGCAGCCCACGGCAGCCCAGAGGAAGAGCTGCATCTGCAGGTACCCGGGGACAGGCTTCCTTTCCTAGGGCCCACATTCCAGAGGGCAGCAGCAGGGCCAGCAGAGGGGACAGTTGCAGCTGTGGGGAAGATGCCCATGCAGGGACTGTAAACGAGTTGGGGCTCAGGATCCCCTGGCTGGGGCTGGGCTGTGAGCTGAAGACTTAAACCAAGCCAGCCCCCTGGCCGCATATCCCACCCCTCCCCGTCCCAGAGAGGCAAGCGGGCGCAGCACTGGGAAGGAGGAGGCGGTTCTAGCTCACCCCTTTCCACAGGCCCCAAGGGCACAGCTGGGTCAGGGCTGAGGTGGAGAGGGGACAAGCATGGTATGTAGCTTGTCTCAAAGGCACGCTTCCCCATGGGCAGGAAGAACTGCCGGGAGGGGCATCTCCCAAGCTACCTAGATATCCTGGCATCCGCCTTCCCAGCCAGGAGCAGCACCTTATCCGGATGCATTTGCTCCCCAGCATCAGCCTCCCCGCAGCCACATGGGACGGTGGCACAGTCTTTGGAGCTGACGGACCTGGGTCAGAAGCCTGACTTTGCCCCCTGACTAGCTGTGTGTCCCTGAAGAAGCTGCCCAGATTCTCTGAGCCTCAGTCTCCTCACAGGCAAAGCAGAGACTTTAACAACTGCCTGAAAAGGTGCTGTGAGTGCAGATGAGATAATAGGGAGGAAAAACTTTTCCTGTGTCCTCTTATGTTCAGTGACTAGGGGCCTGCGAATTAAACTGACAAAAGATAGATTCGCTAGAGAAAAAAGATGGATTTTTATTCTCATACCTATGAGGGAGTTTCACAGAAAAATGTGACTCAGTTCAAGGCTGCAGCGAGCTATGATCCACCGCACTACAGCCTGGGTGACAAAGTGAGAAACTGTCTCAAAAAAAAAAAAAAGAAAAAGAAGAAGAAGATAAAGGAAAAAGAAAAAAAAGAAAGAAATGTTAAAAATAAAAAATAAAAAAAAAGAAAAGAGAAAAAAGGAGAAAAGGATAAAACAAGTATAAATAAAAAGAAAAATGTGGCCAGGCGTGGTGGCTCACACCTGTAATCCCAGCACTTTGAGAGGCCGAGGTGGATAGATCACCTGAGGCCAGGCGTTCACAACCATCCTGGCCAATATGACGAAAGCCCATCTCTACTAAAAATACAAAAATTAGCTGGACGCAGTGGCGGGTGCCTGTAATCCCAGCTACTTGGGAGGCTGAGGCAGGAGAATTGCTTGAGATGGAGGTTGCAGTGAGCCGAGATGGTGCCACTGCACTCCAGCCTGGGTGACAGAGTGAGACTCTGTCTCAAAAAAGAAAAGAAAAGAAAAATGCAACTCAAGGAGGTGGTTATAATTTGGGACTTATATACCATGTTAATAGGGGAAGAGGGAAGAGAAGGACCATTTTACTTTTAGGAAAGATAAATGGCCCCTAGGAGAACAGATGGCAGCTAGGACAGTTTTGCAACTATGTCTGTTCTGGTGATTTCTTATCTTGGTGCCAGTGCTGACTTCTTGAATTCTTGTATTTGGTGATAGGAGTCCATCTCTCTGGTTTTGAAAGTTCCAGGGAAAGGATTTCTGGCAGCTGAATTCTTTTGGGAGCCTCTGCTTTTAGGCAGATTAAGGGGAATAAAAAAATAAAAAAATAAAAAAATAAACCAGAAAACCCTCTTCAGTGTGGTACATCCTGGATCCCTTCAGACAAGGCACGGGCAATACCTGGCTGGGGGAGCCCCTCACAGGCCTCCTCCTGCCGGCCCACACCACATCCCTGTGCCCATGTTTGTCCTCTTCCCAATCCCTACTGCCCCATCCGAACTCACTGTCCTCTGTCCCCATTCTCTCTGTGCTAAGGTGACACGTCACCATATAGCAGCTTGCCCCCTGCCGGCACAGGCTCCCTTCACCGCTGCTTTCAGGTCCCAGTCCCTCGTTTGCCCAGCACCTCTTGCTATCTCTTACTCATTCAACAAACACTCCTAGCAGGCTTCTCCCTGCCAGGCCCTGGGCTGGATTCCAGAGTGGCAGCGATCAGGCAGACCAAACTCTGTCTCTAGGAGCTCCTCCCAGTGGGAGAGGCGGACAGAAAGATGGACAGTTACAGCCTAGGCACAGGAGCCCATGGGAGCTCAGAGGAAGAGCCCAGAGGAAGAGTAAGGCCCAGCAAGTTCTGTGAGCTGTTGGTGCCAGGAAAGAGCTGGGCCTGCCCCTGATACTCAAAAAGCATATGTGAACAAAGGGAATGGAGGGAGAGGAGGAGAAAGAAGGGATGACAGGAGGAAGGGAGGGAAGTTGGTCGATTTTCCTCATCCACCTTTCTCCTCTCTGGACTAGTGTTTGGGGCCAGCTCCTCCCCCACTCCAATGTCAACCTCTGGGCTTATCAGATATTTCAATAGCTGCTCTGGCCTGATAAGCCCTCTCCAGATAACCCCTTTCTCTTGTAATTGAGTTTAAATATTGTTCCACCCAATCAAGGCAGGTTAATATTCAACCCAACCTAGCTCTGGAAGCCTCCTGGCCACCAGATTCTTCCCTGGGCGAGGCAACCTGGGGCTGAGCAGGGCTGGAGCAAGCAGGGCGTGCAGTCTTCCCCCAAAGCATGTTTATCAGAGGGTTTGGGAATGGGGGGCGGGAGGGGACTGTCTAGACCTGGGTCCGCCCCTGGTGGGTCCAAGGAACAGTGTCCAAGCCAAGCCTAAGGGCCTGCGCTTCCTGGCTGGAGGACCAGGGGAAAGCCAGCTTTGTTCCAGCAGAGGCTCAGCTGGGAGAACCTGCCCAGACACCCTTCCCTTGAGGATTCTGCTTTGCACCTTAGAGTGTCCTCAGGCTGCCAGGATCCTCCAGAGCCATATGGCTGATTTCCTCCTCTCACCCACAGGAGTGATTCCCTCAGGCTCCTCAGGGTTTGGTCCTCGTGAGTCAGCCTCCCAGGGCCTATCCTGTCTGACACACTCCAGGTGGAATCTTCAGCCTACCCGGTAGAGGCCCAAACAGTGCATGCACCTGCTTCCCACTGGTGACTTTCACGGGTCTTCCATGTGGACAGCCCCAGTCAGCGATGTGGGAGCCGCCACAGCCCAGGACTTCCAGAAGCAGAAGCGCTGAGTGTGGCTACTCACCTGACCCAGGGCAGAGAGTGGGGTCGAGAGCCAGTGGCATCCACACCTGTACCCGGGAGGCCCCTCTGGTTCCGTGTGTGTGTGTGTGTCTGTGTGCATGTGTGTGTGTGTGTCTGTTGGGGGGTGGGAGGGTCATCAACAGGTTTCACTACTCAAATCATCTTCCCCTACAGGGAGGCGCAGAGGATCCCATAGCTACCAGCCAGCTGTCAGGCTCTGGGTCACCTTTGTGTCATTGGACCCTAACATTCTCTAGTCCCCCTCTGTCCCACCCCACCCGAGTGAGTCACTATCCCTCTTGGAGGTTCCTCCCCAGAAAGAGAGGGCAGGTGCCTCCAGGCCAGCAGCAACAGCCCCCGGGGGAACCTGTTAGGAATGCACATTCTCAGACCCGCACCCCACCACTGAATGGGAGACTGCGGGCGGGGAACCCCCGCAGTGCAGTGCAGGTGGCTTTCCGGCCCTCCTGAAGATTCCGATGCACTGGGACACCACCCAGCCACTACAAGCCATGAATAAAAGCCTCCTGCCTCTCACCGCTTTAATATGTGCCGGGGCCATTCCAAGCTCTTGAAGTAAATTCAGCTCATTTACTCGTTATAATCGTCCTGCGAGGCAGGCACGAGTATTAGTCCTCGTGGACTAATTTTACGGATGAGGCAAGCAAAACAGAAAAGTTAGGCGACCTTGGGCAAGGTCACACAGCCGGAGGCTGAATGAGAAGCTAGGCAGTTCTCCGCTACATCAGGGGCTCCCGAAGTGTGGTCCCTGGACAAACGGTGTTAGCATCACCTGGGGACTTCTTAGAAATACAAATTCCCAGGCCCCCGATCAGACCCACCGAGCCGAGGGCCCAGCCATCTTTAGAACAAGCCCTCCAGTTTCAGAACCACAGTGCTGCACCCCGCTGCCTGAAGAGACATCCTGGGAAATAGCCGGAAAGCCTCACGCCCGCATCATGGCTGGGGGGGAGGGGGGTGGTTTGCTGGAAATAGACCACGTTGCAGGGCGGCTGCCGGCTCCTGCCCACCGGGAGGCCGAGGACAGCGACCCGAGCCGCACCTGCGCTGGGGCCTGCCGAGCTCTCGCAGTTTGAATGGAAAGGAAGAAGCCTTTGCTGTGGGCCCATGCTGCTCTGGGCCTCGGCTGCTGCGAGGTGCTGCCGAGTTCACACCATCCCACTCTTGTGTCCTAGCTCACCTCTAGTTTCTCTGTTGGGGCAGAGGCTGTGCAGGCGGATGGGGCAGCCAGCAGCCATACCAGAAGGAAAGACGGTGGTACAGGGGAACTCTTGGGCCCTGAGCTTGCCAGGCTCCCTAGTTCCACTCTGAGCTCTTGAACCCAATCCCGTTGCTATTGACTGAATGCTTGTGTTCCCTCCCCCGCTTCCGATGTTGAAGCCTAACCTCCAAGGTGATGGTACATGCAGGTGGGGCCTTTGGGAGGTATGAGGCCATGAGGGTGGAGCCCGCATGAATGGGGTTAATGCCCTTGTAAAAGAGGCCCTAGGGAGCTTGTTTGCCCCTTCCTAGGAGGCAGGCCCTCTCCAGCCTCTGGATCTGCCAGCGCCTTGACCTTGGACACCTCACCTTCAGAACGGACAGAAATACCTTTCTGTTGTTTATAAGCCACCTAGTTTACTTATGGCATTCTGTTACAGCAGCTCGCATGGGCTAAGACAGCCATCACGTACCCTCTCAGCCTAAGGACCTGCCACGCTGTTTCCCACTGCACTTAGAACACAGACCGGACCCTCCTGCTCCCATATGGTCTGCAACGCCCTGTGTCAGGAGAGTCAAAGCATAGGGCACAGCCCACCAGCAGGCCAGAAGGTCAGCTCCACAGGTCAAGATCTGCATTCCTCAAGAAAAAATGACATGGACTAGTCCAAGTATTGTTTTGTGAAACTCATTAATATGCGCGTGTGTACTGGGAACACTGAAAACTCTGAGGATCATTCCGTTATCTGGCCCGATCCCCTCCTCCTCTGACCTCCCCTGGCATCATCCTCCTTCAGCAACAATGCCCTTCTTCAGGATCCTGGAACACCCAGCCGTTTCCCAGCTCAGAGGCCCTGCCAGTGCTGTTCCACATTTCCCCAGGAGCCTCGTCCTGTGCCCGGCCTTTTGCTCCCTGTCTCGTGTACATGGTCTCATTTCAGCCCCACAAACTTGCAAGGCAGGTGGTATTTCTATTTCACAGATGAGAATAGGAATCGGGGAGGTTAAGTAGCCTGCTCAAAATCATACGGACCCAGGATTCCAACCCAAGGCCTTGAAGGCCCTCCCACTGTGCACACCCTCTGCTCCTCTCACAGGGACGTGCAGGCAACTTGAGAGGAGAGGGGGGCTTTACCAGTGCGGGGTGGGAGGAGCGCCATCCGTGGGGCTTGGAAGTCTGGGGAGATCACGGGCAGCAGGCATGGCGGAGCCACAGCTCTGGGCGCCATGGGCACACATGATCAGAATGGACGCTGGAGACAGAAGAGCTTGGGAAAGTTGTGGTCAGGGTAGGAAGGTTTCAGAGCAGGGTAGGGGGCTGGTAGGGAGGCCTGTGGGTGGCTCATGGGCTACAGCCCTGGTCCTGGTAAGAGATAAGAGACTGGGGTGGCAGCGCTGCAAACGTGCTGACCAGCATTCAGCCAGCCCACCCACTGATCAAACTTCAAACACCTGAAGCCTCCAGTTACAATGGCTATTATTAAAAAACAAAGACAAAAAAAAAAAACCCAGGAAAATAATAGGTGTTGGCAAGGAGTAATTGGAACCGTTGTGCACTGTTGGAGGGAATGTAAAATGGTGCAGCCCCTGTGGAAAATAGGATGGTAGTTCCTCAAAAAATTAAACATGGAATTGACCCAGCAATCCCACTTTTGAGCATTACCCAAAAGAACTGAAAGCAGGGACATGAAGAGCTGTTTGGTCACACCTATGTGCATAGCAGCATCATTCACAATAGCTAAACATGGAAGCAACCAAAATGTCCACTGAAGGATGAGTGGATAAACAAAATGTGGGCTATCCATACAACAGTATTATTCATCCTTAAAAAGGAAGGAGAGTCTGGCCGGTGTCTCACGTCCATAATCCCAACACTTTGGGAGGCCGAGGAGGGCAGATCACCTGAGGTCAGGACTTCGAGACCAACCTGGCCAACATGGCGAAACACAATTTCTACTAAAAATACAAAATCTAGCTGGGCATGGCTACAAAAATACAAAATACAAAAATACAAAAATGGGCATGGCTACAAAAATACAAAAGTTAGCCGGGCATGGTGGCAGGCACCTGTAATCCCAGCTACTTGGGAGGCTGAGGCAGGAGAATCGTTTGAATCTGGGAGGCGGAGATTGCAGTGAGCAGAGATCATGCCATCTCACTCCAGCCTGGGCAACAGAGCAAGACTGTCTCAAAACCAAAAAGAAAAAAGTAAATTCTGAGACATGCTACAATATGGATGAACCTTGAGGACACCCCGGTCACAGGCCAAATACTATATGATTCCACTTTTATGATGTCCCTCATAGAGTCAGAAATGAGAAAAGCCGTTGCTAGGGGCTGGGACTAGGGTTGATACGGTTTGGACGTGTCCCTTCCAAATCTCAAGTTGAAATGTGACCTCCAACGTAGTAGGTGGGCCTCATAGGAGGTGTTTGGGTCACGGGGGCAAATCCCTCATGAATGGCTTAATGCTGTCCTCATAATGAGTGAGTCCTCTCTGAGTTCACACGAGATCTGATTAAAAGAGCCTAGCGCCTTCTCCCTCTTTCTTGTTCCCTCTCTCACCCTGTGACATGCTGGCTCTCTCCTTCACCTTCCGCCACGACTGTAAGCTTCCTGAGGCCCTTACCAGAAGCAGATGCTGAGGCCATGTACAGCCTGCAGAAGCATGAGCCAAATCTCTTTATAAATTACCCAGTATCAGGTATTCCTTGTAGCAATGCAAATGGACTAACACTGGGGGACGGGAAGTTAGTGTTTAATGGGTAAAAAGGTTCGGTTTTGCAAGATGAAAAGAATTCTGGGCTGGGCGTGGTGGCTCACACCTGTAATCTCAGCATTTATAGGCATCAGCCACTGTGCTTGAGGTGGGCAGATTGCTTGAGGCCAAGAGTTCAATATCAGCCTGGGCAACATGGTGAAACCCCGTCTCTACAAAATACAAACAAATTAGCTGGGCATGGTGGCACGCGCCTGTAGTCCCAGCTACTTGGGAGGTTGAGTTAGGAGAATCACCTGAGCCTGGGGAGGTCGAGGCTGCAGTGAGCAGTGATCATGCGACTGCACTCCAGCCTGGGTGACAGAGCAAGACCCTGTCTCAACAAAAAATTAAGAATTCTGGAGAGGGATGGTGTGATGGTTGCACAACAATGTGAGTGTACTTAATACCGCTGACATGTACAATTCAAATAGTGAAGACGGTAAATTTTATGTTTTGTATATTTTACCAGAATCTAACAAACAAAAAAGCAAAACAACTCAAGGCCTGAGCCACAGAGGTTTCTTACAAATGTGAGTTTTATTTGCATTCTAACCCAAGCACAGATCCCACATACAGACTTCTCGTCCGCACTATGGTACAGTAACAAGTGCAAAATATGCTTTATTTCAGGTACAAAAACATGGCAGTAGGACAACTTTGAGCTCAACGCCCACCTCCCCAGGACCTCTCACACCCACCTGACCCATCCAAGGGCCACACCACCCCGACAGATACTCCCACCACCTTTAGAAAAGAGTCACCCAATCTGGAGAAAGGTGTGGAGGTTACATCTTTAGAAAGAAATCATTTTAAATACATGAACATTAGAGAACACAGTAACCGTGCTTCCACCCAGCACGGGGAGGCTGCAGAGAGGCACCCCAAACAGTCCCCTTCTCTTCTGTGGTTAACCAAGCAAGCCCCGCAAAGCTTTTCCCAGCAGAGCACACCCAGCCAGCAATGAGGCCTCAGGACAGAGCCAGCACTGTGACAAAAGAACTTGTCCCACCTATCTGAGAGCATGAGATCTGCAAGTGGGATCCGGACTGGACACCAGGAAGCTCAACCTGGCTCGGGCCATCAGTAGCTGTGGGACCCTGGCCCCCATCTAACCTCCCAGTTGACTTCCTGAAAACTGGGCTAGTGGGGGCCTCCCCATTGCTTTAGGGAGGATCGAGTGAGAAGCTGACCAAATGCGCAGAACACAAAGCCTAGCCTGTTAGCCCCAGCTGCTATCACTACTGTTACTCACGAAGAAAGGAACTGCAGTGGCTGCTGTCTGCCCCTGGAGTGAAGACACCAGGGGTGCACAGAGGCTGGACAAGCCACAGGGGGCTGGATGGCCACAGCCGGACCTCGGACCCATCTCCCGTGGGACTCCTTCCATTTGAGGCTGTCCATCCTCCAATGGCAGATGCAGAATTCTCAGGCCCAGGATACCCTTATGGAGGGCCGGGGGGCGGCCCCTCAAAACCACCAAGCTGAGGCCACTGTGAGCAGTCCCCTTTGTAGCAGGAAGAGCAGCTGGACACATGGGAAGAGGCTTGCAGGCTCCAGAGAAGCCAAAAGGTCCTCAGTCCCCAAGGTACTAGGTGGAGGTGAGATCAGGCTGCCCCTCCCAGGACAAGAGTGTGAGCTGGCCAGGAGGCCACTGCTGCCCACCACTGCTCAAAGTCCTTCTCCACGCATCAACCCTGAGGGACCTGGCCAGGGGATGCAGACCAAAGGCCCAGCGGGTCCCCAGGAACAGGAAGCAGGCGGCAAGAAGGAAAGCAAAGGGCTCTGCATTCCCACCACGAGGCGGGGTGGACTCTGCAGGAGCCAGCTGAAGCACCAGAACCTTCCAAGGGGGGCTCGCCAGCCACACAGGACACGAGATGCGTGATAGGCAGGGTTAATGCAGAAACCGCTCATCTGAATGCTTCCCCTGCTTCCAAGCGCAAACCAAGTCATTTTATTCTTTTAAAAAAGCCCTTACTGTCTGAGGCTTTCTTTAAATAATCCAACAGGGATGGAGGTAATGGAGGTCTGGCTCAGTAGTCAGCAGACTTTTTCTGTAACGGGCTAGACGGTAAATATTTTGGGCTTTCAGAGCCAAGAGGCAAAATCAATATTATGTTGGCGTAAGAGCAAACAAATTTCCACAATTTTTAAATTGATAAAATCCAAAATACAATAATTGAGTACATATTTTTGGTAAATACATGTCTACTAAAAATAAGAATTTTTTTTTTTGTGATGGGGGAGAAAACACTTCATTGGGTTCAAAGATAATATTCCCTATCATAAATCAGTGGCATAAACAGCCAGTGGGCCAGGTGGGCCCACCGTATGCTAGCTGACAAGGGCAGTCACACACCGGTAAGTGCTGATACAGGATGAGGGGTGCGGAGCTGAGGATGTTGTTCTCTTTGATGAAGGCCTGAAAACTTCCCCTGGCCCCTGCTGCCCACCTCAGGGCTCCTCAGGACGAAGGGCATGAGGACAGGTTCCCACTCTGGCCCTTCGCTGGGGGACATGGTTTGGTTTCCCCATCGCCAGGCTGGCCAGCTGGGGCCCAAGCACTGACCGTCCTTCCCCACCTTATCCCATCAGCTGCCCTGCACAGGAGCAGAAAACCCATGCCTCAGAGCTACTTCCTAAGGACACTGCCTCTAGAAGGCCCTAAAGTGGCAGAGCCGGGGATGGCAGGTGCAGCCCTGGCCACTAGCACAGCAGTTGCCCTCAGATCTGTTAGCTGTGACCCATAGATTGGGGGAGGGAGGAAAGCCAGGAGGAGCTTTTGCAGAAAGGTCTGGAAGCTAAGTGGGGGTTTCAGGAGCTCTCAGGGTGCCCCTGGGCAGGTCCCAAGGAGGCCTGGGGTGCCTGACCAGCGCCTCACTGGCCCTCAAGCCCTGTCCCTAAGGGGCGATGGGAAGGAGGTGGCAATCAGAAGAGGGTACAAACATTTCCTACCTGCAACCCTGGACCGGTAAGATGACACAGAGCATGCAACCCGAGCGGAAGTGCCTGTGTGAAGCCAGTCATGTGGGAGACCCGCTCTAGAGACCTTGCCCTGCTCTGGGGGCCTTGCCCAGTGCCACTTACACTGTCTAGAAAAGCTAAGGCCACCAGCTTCATCCACTCTCCAGGAGGTCACACAAGATCAAAAGAGGATCATCGAGCTACCGAGGGAGCCTGTTTTCCCCAAATGCGAAGGGAACAGCAGTCATCTCCACACCTTGCCAAGCTGAGGCTGCTTCTGGCTGTGCTCATGGCAAATTCATGGGCAAGGGAAGGAACCCAGGTACACATGTAAACACGCACATGTGCACCAATGACACAGACTGTGCCTGCACTGTGTCTGGCCCCTGGCTGGCAAGGAATATCTGGGAGCCCCCATAAGTTTGCGGAGGAAGTAGTCAGCCCAGTTAGGAGCTAGGGCTGATTCCCAAAGACACGATGGACACAATCTGACCCATGTCAAGAAGCATGCCGCCTTGCACTGCAGGAGCACTGGTGGCACTGTGTACAACCAGGATGGGCACACGTAAAGGTCTCCTGCCTGTTGTGCAATTTTCAAAGATTTTTTATTTTCAAAAAGACAGAGATGGAGTCTCACTACGATGCCCAGGCTGGTCTCGAACTCTTGGCGTCAAGTGATTCTCCCACCTCGGCCTCCCAAAATGCTAGGATTAGAGGCATGGGCCACCACGTCCAGCTTTTTGTACGATTTTGATGGAGGGAAAAATGGGAAAACCCCTCAGATTCATTTCATGGCAGGTTGGTGCCATCTTCAGAGATCACCAAGCCTGTATTTGTAAGAGGAGGAGATAGAGACCCAGAGAGGCAAAGAGACTCATACTGAGCGAGGGTCTGGGATCTAGGACCCTGACTCTGGGTTCTCTGTTCCTCTTCCTACACCCCAGGCAGTGTCAACATCTAATCCCCCACCCCCGCCCAATCATCCACTGCTTTCTCACCCCCTCTGAGCGCCTAGGGACTTTCTCCCTCTGCTCCACTGACAACAGCCTAAGAGGCTTTTCCGTTTATTTCATCGACTTGTTAATGATTTTCAGATCTTCAGTTACTCAGGCCAGCCCCTGAAGCAATGCTGGACTTGGAAACTTGTGACCCTGGCTGGCTCCAGTCCACTGCTGGTAAAGCCTTCCCTAGGTTAATAGCTCTGTGTAAGGGGCTCTGGGCTGTCTGGGCAAGAGGTCACTAGGGCAACACCTGACCTTTGTTTAGGACCCCAAGTCAAAGCCTCGACCTCCCCACCCCATCCTGTCCTTTCCACAGGCATACCATGCCCCTCCTCCAGCAAACCTATTATTCCTCCATTCAACAGCCTCTGTCCCTTCATCCAGAAAGGACAACCTGGTAAACAGGAAAGGGTTTATCTCAACCTTGCAGATACCCCGCAAAAACCGTGACGACCTAAGAGTAAGGAACTCAGCTTTGGGCTTCCAGTTCAAGATGGTGGCCTGAGCACATGTGTCTGTCTTATTTCCCTCTGGGGTTCACTGTAAAAAGAAGCTACAGTTCAGAAGCCACAGGTTGGTGGGAATGCCCTGGGAAGAGCTGTCCTGCTCAATAGGCCAGCACCTCCGGACTCACAGGAAAGACCCTGGACAGCTGTGGGAAGGGCTATGGCTTTTCTGTATGTCAATCAAATGAAAAATAAAACCTGGAGCTTTAGCTCATCTGACCCCTGTGGAAGGGATGAGCTGCTAAATTAGGCAGCTGAGATATTTTGGTACCAAATTACCATGTGTACTTTTTTTTGGTATTTATTATTTTCTATTCTTTCATAAGCTATAAGCTTTAACTACAACCACGAGAAGGTAAGAAGAGCAGATGCCAGGGGCATGCCAGAAAAATGGAAGACTCTACTAATAGCACACTTAAGGTAACAGACTTTTATTACATCTTCTTTTGGAACTTAGAAGACAATATTAGCCTCCTACACTTTTGAGAATTAAAATTTAGCCCACCATCATTTGGCCTTGGTAGTGACATCACTTGGGTACAGTGATGACAGACAGCCTAAGGGGCTGGACCTCAGAAGACTAAAGGTCTAGTCCTGGTCCTTCCACTAATGGGCTATGGTGACCCTGAGCACATTATTCCACTTCTAGGTGATTCAGTTTCCTCATGACTCATAACAGGAAATCATTGGTCTCAACCTTCCTCCAAGGACTAGTGTGTGGAGCTAGAACATGCACCAAGGAAGACTGGGGAACATCAGAGAGAGATAGGACTCAGTACCGTTGACTCAGGTAAAGAGGGAGACAGCAAGAACAGAGTAGAAAGGCAGCATAAAACTGGTGGAACCAAACACAGACTAAGTAAAAAAAAAAAAAAGGTAAGCTTCCCAACGACACCATGTCCCAGGAAAGAAGATCCAGTAAGAAGCAGAGGCCTTTAGCAAGGATGCCAAGACAATTCCGTGGAGAAAGGATATTTTTCTCAATAATCAGCAGTGGGACAAGTGGAGATCCACAAGCAAAAGAATGAAGCTGGACCCCTACATCACATCATATATAAAAATATACTCGAAATGGATCAAAGACCATTGTGAGAACTAAAAGTATAGTTCTTAGAAGAAAACACAGGCATTAATCTTCTTGACCTTGGATTAGGCAATGGTTTTCTAGATATGGCACCAAAAGCACAAGTGACAATAGAAAAAAAATACGTATCTTGGAAATCATCAAAGTTAAAAAGTTTTGTGTCTCAAAGGACACCAACAAGAAACTGAAAACAATCCACAGAAGGGGAGAACATTTTTACCAGTCATATACCTGATAAAAGACTGGCGTCTAGAATATACAAATAGCTCACCCAACTCAATAATAAAAAGAAGGCTCATCCCTGGTAGTCTAGTGGTTAGGAAAACAGAAAACTTAAAAAAAAAAAGACAACTCAATTAAAAATAGGCAAAGGACCTGGATAGACCTTTCTCCAAAGAAATACGCATGGCCCGTAAGCACAGGAAAAGACACTCAGCATCAGTTGCCATCAGGGGAATGCAAATCAAAACCACAAGATAGCATTTCATACTCATTAGGATGCTAAAAGCAAAAAGACAGATAATAGCAAGTGTTGATGAGGATGTAGACAAATTGAAACCTGGATACATTGCTGGTGGGAATGTAAAATGGTACAGCTGCTATAGAAAACAGTCTGGCAGTTTCTCAAAAAGTTAAAACACGGAGTTACTGTAAGACCTAGCAATTCCACTCCTATGTATATTGCTAAAAGAAATGAAAACATATGTCCACACAAAATCTTGTAGAAATATGTTCATAGCAGCATCATTCAGAGTAGCCAAAAAGTAAAAACACACAAATGTCCATCAACTGATGAATCAATAAACAAATGTGGTCTATCTATACAATGAAGTATTATTCAGCAATACAAAAGAATGAAGTACTGATACATCCTCAACTTGGACGGCCCTAGAAAACATTCAGTGGAAGAAGCCAGTCACAAAAGAGATATCACATGATTCCAGATATATGAAATGTCCAGAGTAGGTTAATCTTACATAGAAAGTAGATTCATGGCTGCCTTGGACTGCAGGAGTTAGGAAAGCAGGAGTGACAGACCAAGGGTACGGGGTTTTACTGGGGGTGATGAAAATGTACCAACGTTGACTGTAATTCTGTGAATTGATGGTGGTTCTGTGAATACAATTGGACACTAGCAATGGGTAAACTGAATGGCATGTGAATGACATCTCAATAAAGCTGTTAGTTAACCCACTCCCCGCTTCTCCTCTAAAGAAGGAAGAGGAATCAGGAGCCTGTCCTCACTCTGTTCTGTAGGAATGCCACGGCTATTACCCAACATAATGACTAACAGAGCCCCTTTTATTCCGAGATGTCCTGGTTTATATGATAAATTTATATCGCTACCCTATCACTATGTGCTACCATGCAGGTGACTTTGCCCCTCTGAGCCTTGGTTTCCTCATCTATAAAACAAGTTCTCCCCATTGTAGACCCTGTTTTATTCTGGTAGTCCTTCAGTCTAGCACTTCATTCCACAGAAGCTCCATTTAGAAGCTATGACATCCCATTCAGGTGGTCAGAGGGTTCCCCATGAACCTAAATTAACCAAGAGCTGAAGCCCTGGGCCAGTAGAGATCACTGGATCCCAGGAACCAGAGGCAAGACAAAGACGAATTTCTGAGTCTACCACAGTTACTGACACTCAAATTTCCCGATAGTTAGGCCATTAAGAAAGATGATGCACCCATTCTGATGCAGGCAAAATATCCTAAACATAGCCTCTACAAACAAAGATAAACATGTAAGTGAGGGGCACTCAGAGAAAACACATCGCTCCTGTGGCAAGTTTAGCAGCGGTTCAACAAGGTCTTCTCTAACTTTCTATAAGTCCATCCAAGAGGGCCTGGTATTGTGGTGGTCAAGGTCATCTGATGACACCTAGGAATGGAATACTCATTCCTAATCCTCCTTACCCGTGATTGCCAGGAAATAAAATAGTCTTTTTCTATTACCATCCCCCTAACCTCCCCACAAAGGGCCTCAGAACTAATGTCTCTGAGAAAGGCCGTGCACATACATTGTGGCATCTACCATGCCAATGCGCCAGTGCAGAGACAGGAGCACATCTTTGGGTTCCGCAGCAGCAGATCCTTAGAAACAACGTAGAGAAGAAAGAGGTAGAAGGCACAGAATAGCCCCACTCCCATCAATTCATCCAAGAACAGGAAAGGCGGATGCTCACCAGGGTCACTGAGAAGGGAAGCAAACCTGAAACAGGAGAATGAGGGCAAACTGCTCCCATCAAGTCGGCAGTGCTGGCCATGCAGCCAACTCCCAGAGGAGGAGGTAAAGGTACCAGCTTCCAGGGTGAAGCAGAGCTTTCTCTGGAGGCAGGAGAGTGGTCAGAAGGGACCAATACAGGCAGCACCAAGATACCCAATCAGCTTCCAACTAAGGGATGAGGGATTTCAGAGCAGACGTCTCCACTGTTTGCCCTTTTAGAACGTCAGGGTTGGACCAATAGAAAAGAACAAGGAACCATTCAAAATCTGGAGGCCAAGAGGAAGGGAGAAAGGAGCCACTGGCTTTCTGTACACCGTACTTGGTGTCCACAGGCTTCTGCTGGTTGGTGCTCTGTAGCTTTCACAGACTGGGCAGGGTCCCTCCTGGCCTCAGCTTGCCTGGTGAGGCCACAGCTTACAGTGGGGCAATGTCTACATCCACGGGGATCCACAGGGCTGGGAGCTGGAGACAGGTATGAGGTCCACTGCTGCTCAGAGTCCACATTTCAGGATGATGTGGTAGCCATCATTGCTCTCAGCTGCAAGAGAGAAACACTGGGTGTATTTCACAGGAAAAAAGGTGCAGTGCCACAGTATTGGGGAGTCCCAAAAGGCACGCTGTTAGGGTATCAGCAAAGACCACCAAAATAGGGCTGCATACAGCAAAGCGTGCTGGCAGAAGCAGGGATCTCACATGCCCTGACATCTGCCTCGTTTAGTGTCTTTTTAACAATAGGTCTTTCTACCATAGCCCCAGGCCCAAGGATGAAAACCTACGTTCCAAGGAGGATTTGGACAACTGTGGTTCTCAGGGATATTATGGCCCCCAAGGCCCCAAAGACACTTGGTGGTGGCTGGGCGTGGTGGCTCACGCCTGTAATCCCAGCACTTTGGGAGGCCAAGGCAGGCGGATCTCGAGGTCAGGAGATCAAGACCATCCTGGCTAACACAGTGAAACCCCGTCTCTACTAAAAAAATACAAAAAAATTAGCCGGGCCTGGTGGCGGGCGCCTGTAGTCCCAGCTACTCGGGAGGCTGAGGCAGGAGAATGGTGTGAACCCGGGAGGCGGAGCTTGCAGTGAGCTGAGATCGCGCCATTGCCCTCCAGCCTGGGTGACAGAGCAAGACTCCATCAAAAAAAAAAAAAAAAAGACACTCGGTGGCTAGATCCACGGGACAAGGTGGGAAGTGGCCTCATCATGGTCCAGGGTCTATGAGTCGGTCAGAGGGCTTTTGTTCTGACATATCCTATACATGCACCCCAACCCTTAGGAAGGCCACAGCAGATCTTTCTCTACCTTTTATGAATAAATACATGTTCTTGGCCCACAGGCTCTTCCTCGGCAGAGCACAGGCACACTGTCAGGTGGGCCCCCTCATCCCCCATCCCGACCCACGCTACCTGCAGACTCAGTGGCTGTATTCCAGGCTTGATCTTCCCGGAGGACCCCAGGAAACCCACAATGCTTCTACTCAACACTGAGTTCATAGAAAACAAGTTGCCTGGCCCAGGATTTCCCTTTCAGAAGTGACCCTGGGGGCCAATCTCACTAGTTCTGCCATTTCTAGGGCTAGCTTTCACGGAGAGTTTGTGCTTTCTTTTTCTCAAAGGCTTTTCCCAGGTCAGCACTCTCTGGAAGGGCCCATCCTGCAGGCAGGCCCCACCCTCTCACCTGCCCCCACAACTACCCTAGGGGGAGGGGGAGGCTTCACCTTTAATTGTGCTGAGGACAAAACAGGATTCATCTTGGAAGTTCTGCACCATCTGAGAGACAAAAGAGAGAACATGTTCCTTCAACCACGAGTTCATCATTTGGAAAGCCTCGGTGGCAGAGCCTAGCCATGCGCAGCTGCAGAAACACCACTGCCAAGCCACTGCCACGGTGCCCACACACACAGGAACGCGGTAAACACCACTGCCACGGTGCCCACACACACGGGAACACGGTAAACACCACTGCCACGGTGCCCACACACACGGGAACACGGTAAACACCACTGCCACGGTGCCCACACACAAGGGAACACGGTAAACACCACTGCCACGGTGTCCACACACACGGGAACGTGGTAAACACCACTGCCACGGTGTCTACACACACGGGAACACGGTAAACACCACTGCCACGGTGCCCACACACACGGGAACACGGTAAACACCACTGCCACGGTGTCCATACACACGGGAACGTGGTAAACACCACTGCCACGGTGTCTACACACACGGGAACACGGTAAACACCACTGCCACGGTGTCTACACACACGGGAACACGGTAAACACCACTGCCACGGTGTCTACACACACGGGAATGCGGTAAACACCACTGCCACAGTGTCTACGAATGCAGCAGGAACATGGTTCTGCTACAACATTCACTGAAAAATAAGGACACAGAATCAAGGTGTGACATGATTGCAATTTAAGTAACAGAAACCTGAACATAACCCCAACCATCTAGTATGAATATGAAGGATGGAAAGAGGCCCAAACGGGAATCAAGATGTTACCATTTAATACTGGACCACTGATTTATGTTTGTTTGCACTATTTTTGCTTTTTCCTAGTTACTGATTCTTCCAGTCTCTATAACGGATGCATTACAGGAATGTGTATGTGACTAATGGCAACAGAGAAAAACAACTAAATAAAATGTTTTTAAAAATAGAAACCTTGGTACTTAGTAGGATCTGCACATCAGCGTCCTACAAAGACAAAATATAAAGGAGGGTTCCACTACCTGTGTCTATAAATGTGGCAGGAAACTAACAACTCTGCTCAGGAGCCTCCTCTCTGGAGTTCTAATTTCGATGAACTACCCAGTGACCTTGGACAAGCCAACCTTTTTAACTTCCTGTCTCCATGGCCCTATCTGTAAAACAGGGCTGATTTAATGATAAAAATATAACCAGAATGTAGAGCAACAGGAACTGGTGTCCACTACTGATGGGGATGTAAATCTTCCTAACACTGTTCATGGGACCCAGTAAGAATGACCATGCATTTCCAACAAGGAAATTTTCCTACATTCTCCTACAAGTCATGAGCCCTGGACAAAGTTCTACATCACAAAGACGGGCATGAGGCTGGTTAGCGCAGCACCGTCTGCAGTAACACCAAACTCCTACCAGCCCCGTCAGTCAACAGCAGAAGCATGAACCAGATGTGATGGAATCATGCTCCTCGGCAGTGCCAATGAGCGCCAGCTGTATACTTCAACATGCATGACCTTCCAAACAAAATGTGAAATGAAAGAAATCACAGAAGAATACACTATGATTTCACTCATGGAAAGTTTTTAAATAGCAAAATTAAACAATATATTGAGGAGGAACAAGGGAATGTTTAATAGAAAATTCATACTAGCCAGTTGGCTGTTATGAAATCAGTCCACAAAGGGGCTTCTAATGTAACATTCTGGTAACCTGAGTGCAGGTACATGGGTACTTCAATGGTTCTTTAACTGTATAAGTAAGTTTTACAAATTTTTTCCATATTTATACTGCATTTCACAATTTACATTTAAAGAATATTTTTAAAATATATAAACAGGCCGGGCGCGGTGGCTCACGCCTGTAATCCCAGGACTGTGGGAGGCCAAGGCAGGTGGATCACCTGAGGTCAGGAGTTCCAGAACAACCTGGCCAACATGGTGAAACCCCATCTCTACTAAAAATACAAAATTAGCCGGGCACGGTGGCAGGTGCCTGTAATCCCAGCTACTCAGAAGGCTAAGGCAGGAGAATCGCTTGAATGCAGGAGGCGGAGGTTGCAGTGAGCTGAGATCACATCACTGCACTTCAGCCTGGGTGACAGAGTGAGACTCTGTCTCCAAATAAAATAAAATAAAATAAAATATATAAACATACAATACACACACACACACACACACACACACACACACTAGCTAACACAATAGCAAAACCCCTTTTCAAATTGAAAAAATGCCATCCACATTTTATGGCCTGCTCTGGATTACTGCCTCGAATCTTGCAAATCCATCCACCTGTCGCCCCCGCCCCTCCCACAGGGCCTAATGATGCGTGAAGTACATTTACTCTATTCTGCTGGCCTGCTCCATCTAGCACTCTTGGCAGCCCAGCCACTTGGGCATGCGAAGCCCTACGCAGAGCCCACATGGGCTTAATCAGTAACTCTCTTGTTTAATGAAGTGCCCTTGCACCCCAGGGGCCGGCTCCGCGGCTGGCCAGGCTGCCTCCAGCACTCTGGGCAATTAAGAACCAAAGGTTTCCAATAGATTCGGGGTTAAGAGGCAAGGAGACTTTGGGGAATGAGAATCGCCTACTTAGGCGAGGTGGCATTTGGGTTCTGCTCTCTGCTTCACTTGCTTCACTGCCTACTCTTGAGCACACAGGACAAGCTGAGGAAGGAACTGCCTTCAGGGACCCGTGATATTGCAAGCGTTCCCCACATTTTTGGCTTTTGTCTTCACAAAAGGAAATTCATTTTGGAATGCAAAGTGACAAGCCTTCGGTGACACTACAGCTGTCCACTGCTCACAGCATGTCCACCTTCCTGGCTATTCTAAAGTCAGCTCTCAGGTTAGGAACCTCAGGCTTCATTTTCCTCCTCCGTAAAATAGGAGTTAAAAAAAAAAAAAAATAGCTAGGCCGAGCACAGTGGCTCACACCTGTAATCCCAGCACCTTGAGAGGCCAAGGCAGGTGAACTGCTTGAGCCCAGGAGTTCAAGACCAGCCTGGGCAACATGGCGAAATGTTGTCTCTACAAAAAATTAAAAAAAAAAAATTAGCCAGGCATGGTGGAACATGCCTGTGGTCCCAGCTACTCAGAAGGCTGAGGTAGGAGGATCCCCTGAGCCCAGGAGGTCGAGGCTGCAATAAGTCTAGCTGTGACTGGGCCACTGCACTCCAGCCTGGGTTACAGAGTGAAACCGTGACTCACAAAAAAAAAAAAAAAAAAAAAAAAGCTCGCTTAGATTTGAATGTAATAATATAAACGTAATTCTTAACTGGTGAACTGGTGACAAAAATAGCAAGTTGCAGATAAGATAAATGTATGGCTGCGTGTTTGCTGCATGTTTTAATTTTTTTTTATTTTTATATTTTTGAGATGGAGTCTCGCTCTGTTGCCCCGGCTGGAGTGCAGTGGCACAATCTCAGCTCACTGAAACCTCTGCCTCCAGGGTTCAAGCAATTCTCCTGGCTCAGCCTCCCGAATAGCTGGGATTACAGGCACCCACCATGCCCAACTAATTTTTGTGTTTTTAGTAGAGACAGGGTTTCGTCATGTTGGCCAGGCAGGTCTCGAACTCCTGACCTCAGGTGATCCACCTGCCTCAGCCTCCCAAAGTGCTGGGATTACAGACATGAGCCACCATGCCCGGACTGCATGTTTTAAAAACCCACACCTACATACACTAGGGCACACACAGAGACAAGAGCACAAAAAATTGCCTTGCAGAATCACATCAAACTTAACAGAAACTATTCCAGGAGAAAAGAAGGGGGAGGTAAGCTTTTTTCACATCTACCTTCTGCTGTTCTATGTTGCTTAACTTCTTATACTAATTACAAATTACTTTTTTAATGTGAAAGACAGGGAACATCCATCTTGCTGGCCTCCAGGACTGAGAGGAAGTGCTCGTGAACATTCAAGGGCTCTGGCAGTTTAATGACAAGTGGCAAGAGGATTATTACTAGTAATGTCAACCTGTGAAATACACAAACCCTGAAAAGCCTGACATTTTTATACATCCCCAAAACTAAAAAGATCTCTCCACCACTAGCTCCCCCAAATAACAAGTGCCCTGCAGAATCACAGTCAATGACACCACCCACGACTTGTTTAGTGTCTCCTGGCACCTGCCACTGTTCTCCCACCTTATCTGTACTACAGTCTGACAGGTATATGCATCCCTGTTTTGCAGATGTGGAAACTGTGGCACAGAGAGGTTCAGTAAATTTCCCCCAAAGTCATTCAGCAACTAGGAGGTAGTTTCAGGTGGGGACACCAGTCCAATTCCAAACCCTGCATTTTCTCTACTTCTCCCAGCCACTGTTTCTGTACTCAGTATCACCAGGTCAGGAACACTCTTGGCAGCATCACCAGCAAAGGCAAGGACCAGGGATGGGAAGAAACAAATCGGAGTCTTAATCCACAAATACTGGCCTTGTGTCCTACCACTCCTTTGCTAGTCCAGGGTCAGGTGGGGCTCTATAATCCTCTATACAGAGGCCTTCAGAATTCCCAGAAGGGCTCGGGGTCTGCTGGGGGCTGAACTGGGGGCACACGATCCCATCCCGCTCCCACCAGCACAGTCCTATGTTTTTGTTTGTTTGTTTGCTTTGTTTTGTTTTTGAGATGGAGTTTCGCTTTTGTTGCCCAGGCTGGAGTGCAATGGCATGATCTCAGCTCACTGCAACCTCTGCCTCCCAGGTTCAAGCGATTCTCCTGCCTCAGCCTCCCGAGTACCTGGGATTACAGGCATGCACCACCATGCCCGGCTAATTTTGTATTTTTAGTAGAGACAGGGGTTTCTCCATGTTGGCCAGGCTGATCTCAAACTTCTGACCTCAGGTGATCCGCCCACCTCGGCCTCCCAAAGTGCTGGGATTACAGGTGTGAGCCACCGCACCCAGCCACAGCTCTATGTTTAAAGGCTTCACTTCAGCTGGTGCAGGGGCTCATGCCTGTAATCCCAGCACTTTGGAAGGCCAAGGTGGGTGGATCACTTGAGCCCAGGAGTTTCAGACCAGCCTGGGCAACATGGCAAAACCCTGTCTCTACAAAAAATTAGGCAGGCGTGGTGGTGAGTGCCTGTAGTTCCAGCTACTTAGGAGCCTGAGGTGGGAGGATGGCCTGAGCCTGGGAGGTGGAGGTTGCAGTAAGCTGAGATCACACCAGCCTGAGTGATAGAGCAAGATCTTGTCTCACAACAACAACAACAACCAACAACAACAAAAGGCTGGGCATGGTGGCTCACACCTATAATCTCAGCACTTTGGGAGGCTGAGGCAGGAGGATCACTTGAGCCCAAGAGTTCAAGACCAGCCTGGGCAATGCAGCGAGACCCTGTCTCAATTCTTTTTAATATAAAAATTTTAAAATAAATAAATAAAGGCTTCACTTCAGCAGGGGCTGGGTACCTTACAGGCTCAGAGCTTGGGCCCTGCAGCTCCAATCCCTGGGTTCCCACCATAGCTCCACCCCTTACCCACTGTTCAACCTGGGGCAATTACTCAGCCTCTGTGCCTCAGGCCCGCATCTGTGAAATGGGATAATAATAACACCCACATCATATAGAGGCAGACAGGATTAAATAAGTCGCTATGCATACACTTAAAACAAGTACACACTCCTGTTATTAGGTGGAAGGGGTCCAGGATAGAACAAACTTAAAAGCCTCTGTTCTACATCATGCAAGGAATGCCTAACCCTTTGGCAGGCATATTCAACACCCGCTTCTTAGCCATGAGCGGGTCAGATCCCTGGAGACCACAGTACCTGAGCCCTCTGCCAGTAGCTGCTTGTGCTCTACACTGCCCTGTGCCACCTGGGAAGGCTGTGGCACCTTCACCACTTGGCAGAGGCCTCTGCTCTCCTCTCCCACAAGCCACAGCCTCGCCAACACCTGCCCCGGAGTCCACTTCACCTCTCCCTGGGGACTGTCGCCCACCCTGGGGGAACGCCCCTCTCCTGACCTCCACAGCCCTGACTATAAGCACCTTGGGCCAGAGTGGAGTCTGTCCTCCTGGCTCCCACCGGGCACCCAGCCCAGGAGGGGTAAGGAGTGCCTACTTGGCATGGCAGCCATTTGGACCCAGACGGGGCCTCAGCACTCTCCATCGCAGCCCCGGACAGCCACAGCTGCAGGTGGTGTGCAGATGAACCTGTCTGTCACTCCCAAACCCAAGTGTGTTTCTGGGGCAGGGGTTCTGACACTCCTCCCGTGGCCCAGAGCCCGTTGTCGGGGCAGGCCAGGCAGCAGCCCTCACCTCGTTGCTCACCACCACATGGATGCCCGTGGGGCCCTGCCGGTAGACTCGGTGGATGTGCTGGGGGGAGATGCTGTACAGGTTGGCGATCTTCTCAATCAGCTCCAAGGTGGTCAGCTCTTCCAGGAAGATGGCGTGGTACACTGGGGGAAGGAGGAGCAAGTGCTGCTTTCCAAGTGGCCATTCTGTCAGTGTGAGCCTCCCACCCGCCCTGAGAAAGCAGTAAGTCCTTTGTCAAAATGCCACACCCAGGGCGGCGGGGCAGGACCACACTGCCACTCTTTTTGTTTTGTTTTGTTTTGTTTTGTTTTGTTTTGTTTTGTTTTGTTTTGTGATGGAGTCTCGCTCTGTCGCCTAAGCTGGAGTGCAGCAGCGTGATCTCGGCTCACTGCAACCTCCATCTCCTAGATTCAAGTGATTCTCCTGCCTCAGCCTCCCCAGTAGCTGGGATTACAGGTGTGCACCACCACACCTGGCTAATTTTTGTATTTTTAGTAGAAATGGGGTTTCACCATGTTGGCCAGGCTGGTCTCAAACTCCTGACCTCAGGTGATCCGCTCGCCTCAGCCTCCCAAAGTGCTGGGATTACAGGGATGAGCCACTGCACCCAGCCAGGCTGCCACTCTTGATTCCTCTCGGTCTCTCTTGGGGTGCTTATGTGAAATGCAGAGATCCCTAGACCCATCCCCAGCCCAGTGACACCCAGATGGGCTGAAGGGAGTATCAGGCAATTCTGACATGCAGCCAGATGTGAACCCACATCAGAAGGAAGCAACAAATTCTGTCCCTTTTCAGCTCTTTTTGCTGTTTAAAGGGTTCTTGGATAGCTGGAGGGCAATGAGTGAAAGTTAAAAGGAACTATTACTTGACAACAGAAAGGAGAAGGCCTGGTCTTTCCCCTGCCCGCAACACAAACCATACTCAGCCTCAACACAGTAACCCTAAGGAGAGAAGAGAGCACCAGGAGGGCACCATGGTGTCAGCAAGTGGGAAGAAAACAGTGACACTGACACAGAGACGGCCTGCACCAGCCAGGCAGGAGCAAATGCCACCGGCAACCCAGGGTGGGTTACTCAACTTCAAGGGACCTCAAGTTCCTCAAAAGCAAATGCAATTGGATTAAATTCAAGATTCTTAAGCCTTTCCCTCACCTGAGAAACCCTTGGTTCAACAAACCTCATCAGAGGCCCAATATTTTAAAAGCACACACAGGTGGGTGTGGCAGCTCATGCCTATAATCCCAGCACTCTGCGTGGCCAAGGCAGGCGGATTTCTGGAGTCCAGGAGTTTCAGACCAGCCTGGGCAACAGAATGAGACTCCATCTCTACAAAAACATACAAGAATTAGCCAGGTGTGGGGGTGTGCACTTTTCTTTTTTTTTCCTGAGACAGAGTCTCACTTTGTCACCCAGGCTGGAGTGCAGTGGCATGATCTCGGCTCACTGCAACCTCCACCTCCCTCCGCCTCCCGGGTTCAAATGATTCTCCTGCCTCAGCTGGGATTACAGGTGTGACCATGCATGGCTAATTTTTGTATGTTTTCTTTAGTAGAGATGGGGTTACTCCTGACCTCAAGTGATCTGCCCGCCTTGGCCTCCCAAAGTGCTGGGATTACAGGCATGAGCCACGGCGCCCAGCCTACTTTTTCAATATTTAGAGATTTGGTCTTGGTATATTCCCCAGGCTGGCCTTGAACTCCTGGGCACAAGCAATCCTCCCACCTCCCCAGGTGCTGGAATTACAGGTATGAACCACCACACCCAGCCACAATTTTGCTCCTAAAACAAACCAAGCTGCCAGCAAAAAGAATTAGCAGGATCCCAGGCTGACGCCTTTCACCATGGCCACTGGGAGTGCTCGGTGGGAGCAGGAAGGCTGACAGCCACGCCTCTGAGGTCCTCGAGAGTCTCCTCTCATCAGGAGCTGCATCAGGAGCAGTTTGAGGAAACAAAAAGCTCCAGGGTGGGCATTCCTGCCTCCAATCCTGACTGCCACTGACTGGAAGCAAGATCTGGGACAATCCCAACACCTTCCCAAGCCTCGGGGTGTGCACTAAGGCAGCACCCACACTGCGGGGCCGCCACGAGGTCAGACCATGCACCATGCAAGGAGCATGCACTAGGCTGCCCTTTCCACGTGTGGGCATGTGGGAGCCCAGGACTGTCCTGCACATTCACTGGAAATGAACAGAGGCCAGACTGCGGGCTTGAAAGCCAGGCTGCGGGACCCAATGTGTGGGTCCCAGCTCTGCTCCCCACAACTCACCAGACAGGTTGCTGTCTCCACTGCCGTCCCGCTTCTGCTGCAGGGGCACTCGATTCTGCTCCAGCTCCTGACAGACATAAATGGTCATCTTTGGCCTCACATTCCTGGCAGGAGAAGAGAAAATAAATAATAGGTGTGGTGGACCAGGCGCAGTTGTTTCAGAATATTCCAGGATGGAAACAATAGTGGGCAGAACTCAGGGAGGAAGAAAGACAGCGGTGGTGACGTGGAGTGCCTGTCATGGGGTGGTGGATGACCCTCCCAGGTCCCGCAGCCTGCCAAGGGGCACTCTGCCCCAGACCATGAAGCTCAACATACAAGACGTTTTCAGGCAACAATTAGAGCAAACACTGTCTGTGGCTTGCTGTGTATCAGGTATTGTTCTCAGAACATGCGTAACTCATTTCATCCTCACAAAACTTGCAAGGGAGCTAGGACTATCGCTCTCATTCCACAGTTGAGCAAACTGAGGCTCGGAGGGCAAAGGGCTTTCCCTTCACTGCACAGCACCTAAGAGGCAGATCTGGGACTCAAACCCAGGCTCTCACTCTAAAACCATGCTGTCCATGTGTGGCTATTAAAACTTAAATTCACTAAAGTTAAATAAAAATTTCGTCCATCACATCAGCCTCGGTCCAAGTGCTCCACAGCCACATGTGGCCAGCACGGCTGCAGAACGTCTCTGCCATGGCAGGAAGGTGTGCAGGACGGCGCTGCTCTGGAGTCTCCCCTGAAACTGCTGCATGATACCATCTGACCAGCCCCAAGTCCACAGCTCCCCTCAGCGGGGGAGCAGCTCCGAGCCCAGGACCACACAAGCATCTGAGAACATGGGCAAGTGGCTCAGAGGCCGAGATCCAGAGGCCAAGGCTCTCGTCCAACCAAGAAGAGGGAGGGGCCTCCAGGCAGGGTCTGCGGCAGCTGGCCACATCTCCCACTGCAGTGTCTCACTCCCCTGCTGTGGCCCGTGCCCCTCTTGCCACATTTCCTCCTACACTTGACCCCACACTGCAGGAGTCCTGTCCCCCCAGCCAGACCACCCACCATCCAAAAGGCTGAGGTAGGGGTTTCCCACCACATGCCACGGGACATGAGCCTCTGGCTGGCTTCACAGAGAAACCAACACCTACCGGCCTTTGATGGCGTTGAAGAGCCGGATCCCATCTGCGGGACCACAGATCTGGACCAAATCATCTCGGGACATCTTCAGCAAGTCAGCACCTAGGCAGGAAAAAAACGGGGATGCCTGTTACATGGAACCCAGAGAAAGGGCTCGGTCCCCAACCAGCTGCAGACCCCATAGCACTGGGGGTGGGGGGTGGGGAAGAGCCAGCTGCACTATCTCACAGAGAGAAAATGGCAAAATGCTCAACAACATCAAAAGATTGCAGCCCAGGAAGTGCCAGTGCTCACAACAGTGAGTACAACAGAAGCCAATAGGTCCCCACTGCCTCATTGCCTGCCCTGCTTGCTTTCTTTCTTTCTTTTTTTTTTTTTTTTTTTTTTTAAGAGACAAGGTCTCAATATATTGCCTAGCCTGGCTGGTCTTGAACTCCTGGGCTCAAGCAATCCACCTACCTCAGCCTCTCAAAGTACTGGGATTACAGACATGAGTCACTGCATCTGGCCTCTTCTCTTTTTTTTTTGACATATAATCTGTATGCATAGATGTCATCAGCACAGGGCACTGGCCATGTGTGCATCTGTCTGTATGTGGAAGTATACAGCTCGCTGGATGCTGACAATCTGAATACACCCCAGGACCCAGCACTCAGAGCCAGCAGTGAAACATTGCCAGCCTCCTGTAGGCCCCTCGTACCAGCCACCACCCCTACTCCCACCCAGGGGAGCCACTATCCTGACTTGCTACAGTGCAGACACGTTTTGCATGTTCTCTGAAGTTTCTGTACATGGAATTGAACGGTAGGCACTCTTCCTGGTCTGGCTTCCCTCCCCGCAAGTCATGTTTCACGGTGCATTTGTGTGGAATGTAGTCAGAGTGTTCATGCCCGTTATTACCTATCATTGTGTGACTACACCACAATTCACATACCCACTTTATGTGGATGGGCGCTGGGGGGGCTTCAGGTCTGGGCTGTTATGAATAGGCTCTCTGAACGTTCTCATACATGTCTTTGTTCATTACACAAGGTGCGTGTCTGCCGGGTCTAGCCCCGGAGAGGGCTGCGGGATCACAGGGTGTGTTTGGCTCTAGCAGATACTGCCAGCAGTTTCCCAGAGTGTTGCATCTATGTATGGTCCCACCAGCAGCATGTGAGGACGGGCCCACAGTTAAAGGAACATAGGAAGGTGACCGTCTCATGGGGACAGAAGTGAGCACAGCGTGAGGGCTGCCCCTTCCTCAAAGCCCAAGGGGTCCCCGAGAGCCTGGTCCCACACACTCTCCAAGGTACTAGTATATCAGCCTCAGGTGAAAGCCTGCCCAAGGCCACAATTCCCACTCCTCTCCTCTCATCACAATAAGATACGGTTTTAGGTACAATTCTATAGACACAATGGCTTCCTTTCCACTGGGAGTAAAAGCCGAAGTCCTTCCACTGTTCTTCCAGGGCCCCCATCCTGTCCGTGTCCCTTGGTGCCTCTCTGACCTCTCCTCCCCGGGCCACTCCACTCCACTCCACCTGGGTCCCCTGCTCTGTGACCACATAAGGCAGGTGCCCACATGGTGGCTGACTGCCCTACTTAAGACACAGCCGGCACTCCTCCCCCACCTCCACCCAGTCCAGTGCAGGGTCCTCTCTGAACCCCCACTCCAATCACACAAGTCACGCTGCACCGAAATGAGTGGTTTATGCATCTGTACTGACTTACAGCTACAAGCTCCCAAGGACAGGGACCCTCCCCCAACAGGCTCTCAGCAATGCCGAGCTGAGGATGTGCGGGCGTCGTTTCTCTTCCACTGCCACAGGTGTCTGTGGCATCCGCTCCTCTAGTTGTGGCCAAGCCTTTACTCTGTCACTGTGGATGAACTCTACTTGGTGACAAGGCTCACTGCTCAGTTCACCTTTGCACTCCACAATACCTAGCTTGGGACTTCTGTCTGAGGGCCCATCAGGAAGGGCTCTGACACTTTCTAAAGAAGGAAGAGCCCCCTTTCTGTCTCACCTGTGGCCTCACCTCCAGCTCCCAGGTCGTGGCTCTGGAGCCAATGTGAGGAGCAGTATTTGGGTAGGAAAAGCATAAGGGGCCCTGCATCACCCTGCCGGGCTAAGGGGACTCTTCCTGGACAGACCAGAGCCCACCAACCCCCCGCAGGTGAGGAGATCTTGACCAAGTCACCCAGATGGTCCCCCTCAAGTCACACTCACTTGGGACCTTCTGGGGGCAGCATCACCTATGTCCAGCACTTGGCCCAGGGTTGGGGCACGTGAGCGAGCGAACCCACACTATCTCGGGTCTCCCAGCTGAAACGACAGCGCTGCCAGTGTTGACAGCAAGGCCTGGAAGGTGGCCAGCCTTGAAGTGTCTCCAAGATACTCATGGGCTTTAAACACAGTTCGGAGATGCTCACCTGAGAAGCTGGCAAAGAGCCGGCAGAACTGCGAGAACCTGTTGCGGTGAAGCCACTGCTGGGCATCCTGGATCGAAGCTGATGGGAGCAGGTGCTGTGAGCAGAGGGGAGAGGCCTTGAGATGGTGGCTCAGGGCCCACGAGGGACCACCAGCCAGAAAGCCCTGCTCAGACACTTACGTCACTGCCCACGGGCAGGGCCTCCACCGGGTGGGTCGGAGAGGCGTTGCTGCAAGGAAAAGGAACCAGTGATGAGGACAGAGGGGGCTCCCAGGGCAATGGCCACGGTCCCGGCACCCAGCCTGGCACTTTTACTTCCTATCAGATGCAGGATTTGTTCTAAGTGAAATGAGTCCTCAAGAATTTCCTGAGTCACAGAAACACAGCAGGAGCCAATGTCCAATCCCTCAAAATCCCTAACTGAGCCTTCATTGTAGACAGCAAGTTCTGATAGGCTACACTGCCCCAGTCAATGACACTCCTCTACCCTGAGTCACCGGCAACACATCCCAGGCCCCTGCTGGCTGACCCCTGCTGGTCTTGAACTTGGAGATTCAAAGCCCCAGCCCCAGGGAAAGGCACGCTGACCAAGGGCACCCAGAGCCTTGGCACCTGAAGGCTACCACCAAACTCAAGGGTCCTCCACCAAACCCTTTGTCAGGTGGTGAGGGGAGAGGGCATAAGAATCCCACGGGGAGTTATTTTGCAGTGAACAAGCACCCGCAGCTTGACATCCATCCACGAGGAAAAGCACTGTTCTGTTCTCTCCCGAGAGGGGGTGCACAAGCTTCCTCGGGGGCCAGGTTGGGGATGAGGCACAGACCTGAGCGCTCTCCAGGTGGACGGCGGTGAACGCTGCACAACAGTGTGAATGTACTTAATGCCACCAGACTGCACACTTAAAAATGGTAAATTTTGTGTTATGTATATTTCTCCATAATGGGAAAAAGAGACCCTCGCAGGGCTGATCCCCAGACCGGTCATCAGTGAAGACAGCCGCCACTTCTCGCCAAGTGTCTACAGGGTGCAAGCATCGTACACTTGTTCCTCCCGACCCTGTGTAGAATTCTTAACCCCCTTTTGTAGTAGAGAAACTGAGTCTCAGGGAGGTTAAGGGAGTTACCCCCAAAAAGGTACAGATTGAAGACTAGGTCTGCCTGAATCTAAACATGACACCATTTCTGTGTCTACCCCCGCTTCCCTGGGGACTCCTTGGTAAAATCAAGTTCACAGACAATCTCGCTTTCTTATTAGAAAAGTTCTGTCTGCCAAGCATGGGCTCTGACGAACCTGCAAGCAGAAAACAGGCAGCCTCCCACCCACTCTCCTGCCTCCACCCCTGCTGCCAGCACAGGGCATGCAGAGCCATCACGGTGACCCATGGCCCCGTGCTGTGCAGCCCACAACACTCAGGAGAGTGACTGTCCTGTCACAGCATCCTCAGGGTCCATGTGGCCTGTGTGTCTGCAGAGCTGTGTGGGACAGCAATGAAGCCAGTTTCTGTGTTGTAAGGCCTGAAACCCAAGGCAGAGAGGACCCTAGCCAGACCCTCTCACCCCCACACTCAGTGACCATGCTGGACAAAGAACCAGGAAAGGCCCCCCAGACAGCTGCTCCCTAAGGCACCACTGTCAGGAGGGCCATTCTGCCCCAGAGGGCACCAGAGGCTGTCTTGGGTGGCTGACCGCATGCACCCTCAAGCCAGTCCTGGTTTCACCAGGTAAGTTCTGGGCCGCTGTCCCACCCGACAACGTTTACAGGGGTGTTTCTGAGCACTAAAAGTTGTGTAAATGCTGAAGACAGTTGTGACTGCAACACGAGTTAGCTACCCTGAAACCCAAACAGAAAGGAGAGGAGACCCAGAAAGGAAGACTAAGAAAGGAAAGTACACCTGCCTTCATTTCAGGGAACCCGAAGAAAGAGAGGTGGGACGTACCCTTCGCCGAGGCCAAAGCTGTTTGGAGAACCATTGTAGCTTGGGGACGGGGCGCTGTTCA